>NC_000005.10:138154701-138803680 GCF_000001405.40 Homo sapiens
CCTTCTCAAGAAGACTTTGACTATTAGACCAGGCTCCAGTGTGACATATTGTCTAAATATTTAGTTATAAAGTGATATTCATCTAATATTTTTTCATCATAGCCATGTTTATAATAAAAAGTTCATAACTTTTTTTTTTTTTTTTTTGAGATGGAGTCTTGCTCTGTCGCCAGGTTGGAGTGCAGTGGCTTGATCTCGGATCACTGCAACCTCTGCCTCCCAGGCTCAAGCACTTCTCCTGCCTCAGCCTCCCGCGTAACTGGGATTACAGGCGCCCACCACCATGCCTGGCCAATTTTTTGTATTTTTAGTAGAGATGAGGTTTCACCATGTTGGCCAGGATGGTCTTGAACTACTGACCTCAAGTGATCCGCCCACCTTGGCCTCCCAAAGTGCTGGGATTACAGGTGTGAGCCACGGTGCCCGGCACTATTTCATTTCACTATTGAGTTTTAAAAATGTTGGCAGGGCGTGGTGGCTTATGTCTGTAATCCTAGCACTTTGGGAGGCCGAAGCGGGTGGATCACCTGAGGTCAGGAGTTTGAGACCAGCCTGACCAACATGGAGAAACCCCACCTCTACTAAAGAAACCACAAAATTAGCCGGGCTTGGTGGTGCATGCCTGTGATCCCAGCTACTCGGGAGGCTAAGGCAGGAGAATCGCTTGCACCTGGGAGGCGGAGGTTGCAGTGAGCCGAGATTGCGCCATTGCACTCCAGCCTGGGCAACGAGAGTGAAACTCCGAATTTAAAAAAAAAAAAAAAGTTTAGTTGGCCAGGAGCAGTCACTCATCACTTAAAAAAAAAAAAGTTATTAACAGAAGTTGGAATTGAACTGAGATTTTAAATTTAGGGGTGTTTTTTCTCTGTTGCCCAGGCTGGAGTGCAGTGGCATGATCTCAGCTCACTGCAGCCTCAACCGGCCAGGGTTGTGATCCTCCCACCTCAGCCTCCAATGTAGCTGGGACCACAGGTGCGTGCCACCACACCTGGCTAATTTATTATTTGTAGAGACAAGGTCTTGCTATGTTGCCTAGACTGGTCTTGATCTCCTGGGCTCAAGTGATCTTCCTGTCTTGGCCTCGCAAAGTGCTGGGATTACAAGTGTGAGCCACCGTGTCTGGCCAAATTCAGTAATTCTTAAAACTGGGCTTAGCCTTCAAACAGCAATGTTAAGAACTATATTTATTTGAGAAAGGGTCTTGCTCTTTCACCCAGGCTGGAGTGCAGTGATGCAATTATAGGTCATTGCCAACTTTGAATTCCGTGGCTCAAGAGATCCTCCAGCCACAGCTTCCCGAGTAGCTGGGACTACAGGTGCACACCACCATGCTGGGCTAATTTTTTTTTTTTTGAGAAAGGGTCTCACTTTGTTGTCCAGGCTGGTCTCAAACTCCTAGGCTCAAGCAACCCTCCCACCTCAGCCTCCCAAAGTGTTGGGCTATTTTTTTTTTTTTGAGATGGAATCTTGCTCTGTTGCCCAGGCTGGAGTGCAGTGACGCGATCTCAGCTCACTGCAACCTCCGCCTCCCGGGTTCAAGTGCTTCTTCTGCCTCAGCCTCTCAAATAGCTGGGACTACAGACATGCGCCACCACGCCCAGCTAATTTTTGTATTTTTTGTAGAGACAGAGTTTCACCATATTGGCCAGGCTGGTCTCGAACTCCTGACCTCGTGATCTGCCAGCCTTGGCTTCCCAAAGTGCTGGGATTACAGGCATGAGCCACCACGCCCGGCCGCCAAGAACTCTTTATACAGAGTCTTTAACCATAAAAACAGGAAAAAAATGGTAACACACTATCCTAGAAATACCATCTGCAAAGATAGCATTAAGTGAGACAAATGTTCCTGAGGTAAGGGTCAATGCTACCTATGTCCATGCTCTAATCTTCTTTAAGCAATGCCATGAACAGAATTCTAAAAACCTTACTTTTCCCAAACATTCAAGAAAATCTGAGTAAGGAAGTCTTTCCTGCGCAATGCAACACCTTAAGGTATATTAACTATAAACTCAATTCTGGTTGCTTACCTTCTCACACTACAGCAAGCAGTTCATAAGACTTTTCCCCTGTAACAATCTCATTCCTACAAATGAAATAGTTATGCAGAAGAAACAAGTTTCAAATACACACACACACACACACACACACACACACACACACACACACAGAACAAGCCAAAGGCTAGTTTTTTTTTTCAGTTTATTGTATACACACACATTTCACTGGTGGTTGTTTTTTTTAAAAAGTCTGTACAATTGACAAGACAATACAAACTAGCTACGATCTGCTAGCTACACATTAGGACATTAACATAGCCCATGGTTTCTGCCCTAAAACAGGCAATTGTGCTACTCCAACTCTCTAAGAGAGATTTTCCAGCTCATGTCGTGTGGCCCAGGTACCTCCTCTTCTGTAACTTCCACCTCTGGAACTGGGCCCGCAAGCCCAAGCTCTATCTTGTTTACTTTTATTTTAGGTTCGGCTCAAAGAGGGTAACTCTGAGGCTTCACTTTTTCATCTTCATATCTGCTTCAATGGCACAGCGGCGTCCCCTGGTTCCTCCATCCTAGATGACAGGCAGAGAAAGAAAGGGAGCATGAGTTGGTCAGGAGACAAGAGACGGTGCAACAGAAAAGTTGGGGATTTGGTTTCTTGGGGGAGAGGGAAGAGAATCAGCAGAAAAATCCAGAGGGATGAGGGGCATATTTCTGTCTTCCCACAGAGTGGCTAAAGAACACCTGGTAGTTTGTGAGAGGAAATGTAGGATGGAATATCTTGCTCATGCCCACTACAGAGGTCCTTGGAATTCACCTAGGGTCCCACAGAATAACTATTAGTCATCCCACCCAGGCCCAAATCATGTGCAAAGGAGCAGGAGAGTAAAAGAAAGGTAGGAGAGTCAGAATGGGCAATGGGTAGTGAGGTTCTTGACTAACATACCTGTCCAACTGTTGGTCCCTATAAGAAAGGCCTTTCCTGCAGACTGACCCTGGCACTAGTTCCCTAGCACCTCCTGACAGTGGTTTTCCATGAGATCAGGACAATTAGAAGGCTTCTTTCCATCTGCTGCTCTCTCCCTGCAGCCCAGCTCCTTCCTCTTGTGCAATATTTTGCTGTCTTCAATAGATAAAAGATCCTATTAACCAGCCTTGCAATAGCCAGCCAAATGCTTTGCTTGGGGGATCCAGAGTCACTGTTGTAGGCCAATAAGAAAGAACGGAGATTATAATGTTCTGTCTGTGGTACAGCCTGTAGGCAAGATGAATTACTGAAACCTTTGCTGGGCCAGGCCATTTTTACATTTCTAATATGCAAGGACTCTAAAATTTTTAGAGTCCATGAACATAAGTTGCCCATGAGGCAACAGTGAAAATAAAAAGGTGGTAACCTTGCATGTGTATAATGCTTTTCTTTTTTTTCCAAGCCAGTTTCATATCTATTATCTCATTTTATCCTCACAACATCCCTGTGAGGTAGGCTGGACAAGTACCTCATTATATTAGCTTTATCACACACCAAGGAAAACAATGCCCCAAGAGATTATCCAATGACCTTAAGACCATGTAGTTTTCTAGCCTGATGCCCTTCCATTACATCATACCTCACTGTCCCATAATGAACAACACAGAGTCAGAGCCAGTTAATTTATGGAGGAAAGTAATAAAAGTCTTTAGGCTAGCTCTCCTAAGCTTATCTGTAATTCCAGCAGCCACTATTGATGCAGTGGTCACTTTTTTTTTTCTTTTTTTTGTTTGAGACAGAGTTTCACTCTTGTTGCCCAGGCTGGAGTGCAATGGTGCAATCTCAGCTCACGGCAACCTCCGCCTCCTGGGTTCAAGCGATTCTCCTGCCTTAGCCTCCCGAGTAGCTGGGATTACAGGCGTATGCCACCACACCCGGCTAATTTTTTTTTTTTTTTTTAGTAGAGACGGGGTTTTTACATGTTGGTCAGGCTGGTCTCGAACTCCCGACCTCAGGTGATCTGCCCACCTCAGCCTCCCAAAGTGCTGGGACTACAGGTGTGAGCCACCACACCCAGCCACAGTGGTCATTATTACTGAGATTGTTTTTTTTTTTCTTTTGAGACAAGGTCTCGCTCTGTCACCCAGGCTGGAGTGCAATGGTATGAACAGTGCAGCCTTGACCTCCTGGGCCCCAGTGATGCTCCTACCTTGCCTTCTGAGTAGCTTGTAGTTAGGGACCACAGGTGCGCACCACTCCGCTGCACAGCTAGTAGGGTTTTTTGTTGTTGTTGCCGTTTTTAAATTTTGTAGAGACAGGGTCTCCCTACGTTGCCCAGGCTGGTCTCAAACTCCTGGGCTCAAGCAATCCTTCCACCTCAGCCTCCCAAAGTGTTGGAATTATAGACGTAAACCACCACACCCAGCCTATACTGAGTTCTTTAGCTTAAATTTTACTGTTTGTTACATTAGTCTTGCAACTTAATTTTAGGAGACAAGAGAAAAACTATTTGCTGAGTACTGCCATTATGAGAAACACTGTTAAAAAGCCAGCTAGCAGCTCCTGCTCTGACCAATTTTAAATTTGTTAAGAAAAGAATTGGTAAAAGGTGAAGTCAGGAAATGACGAGCAGGTACATCCTAGATCCTTCACCCCTAGAATACATTTCAGCCCAGTGATCTCAAAAACAGTCCCTACCCAGCCCACACACACACACACATGCAGAAAGACAGGAATGCAGAAGAAAAGAGTTTCTTATTCAATGACCTGAATAAACAGAAGTTCAAGACACTGCCACAGTCTGCATGTTGGATTTCCCTCTGCCACCCACCCCCATTAAGAGCTGAGAATCTTTGTGGCAACACCACCCCTTGCAGCCATTCAATACTTACAAAGAGAGAGAGAAGGAAGGCAGGAGAGCCCATTGGGACACTGTCCTGTTAGAGGACAAACAAACACTGATCAGGTTCCACAGAAACTCTCAGCCACAAGCACCCCAAACCTCAGGACAGAGACACAAGCACCACACACACAAGGACAAAATTTTAAAACTCAAGAACAAGAGGAAAGAGATCCAAAAGCAATCTGTCCATTACGCCTCTAGCACAGAAACTGATGGTCCCCAACTGCTGCAGGCTAAGCCATTTCCCCCGCCTTGAGAGCACTCTCCCAGAGGAATTAATAATTCCCCTACTCATGATTTCTCCCATGTGACTGGGCCTTTCGGTTACAATAGGCTTATTCAACGTTTAGATGGGTGCAAACCACCATCATTCTAAGATCTATGTGTCTGTATATCATTGGAATCTAGAAGCCCAATACCAAGTAGTAACATAAGGGTCCTTGGATGCTTCAGACTTCTACTACTGGAACACTGGCACACAGGTTCCTTCCTGATCGCCTCACCTTCTCTGAAGCATCCTGTTTGCGGGTAGAATCTCTCCCTCGAAGACTTTTAGCACTGATCCCAGACTCGGATGTTTGCATAATCAACTGCGTGGCCAAGAATTGCTGTAGGGAGAAGAAACAGGGTAGGCCATGGAGACCTGATTTAGTAGGGACAAATTAAGTACACTTTAAGCACTGTAAATAGAACTTTGTATAGTACTCTTCTGGCTCAAATATATTTTGACTGATTGGAAGTTTAGCATATTAAGTTTTAATTCTAGTTGCAATAGGGATGCTAAAGAATCAAGCAGCCCTAACTTTTTTTTGCTATAACATAGGATCAAAATCTCTATCCTCCAGGAATGAGAAAAATAATAAAACTAGAATGAACCAAAGATCATTCAGCAATTTAAGTAATTTGACAAATCGTGCAAAGATTTGCAATATTCTTCCAAGTTCAACACCCCAAAAAGTACCTGGTAACACAATCATAGGATAAAAGCAGGGAAAAGGAAAGGAGAAACTCTTATTTGCTGATCACCTACTATGTACCAGGTACTTAATGTAATTAAAAAATATACATTCACCATTTTTAAAAAATTTTATTTAAAAACTTTATGAAACTGCAAATAATTGCCCAAGAAAGGTAGAATATTGTATCACAACTCTTTCACCACACCAAAGAAAATAAAAGTAAGAACAAAATATTATGTTTTCAATTGTGTCCCTGACAGCTATCCACGTAAAAGCCACAGCAACCCTTCTTGGCATCAATATGAATCCTCCCCTTGAAGTATTTTAATTTCATCCTTGCTGAAACACAAAGGATCCTCAAAGTACCTGGATCTGTTCCAAGACATCTCGCTGCATCTCCACTGCCATGTGATAGACATCATGGTCTGAGCTATTGTACATTACAGCATTCTGAAACATCAGCATAATGTCACGCTGAAATTCAGCTGTGCTTCGGATCAGTCCATTTTCTATGTTTTTCTTAATAGTTGACAAATCCATAGGCCTAAAAAAAAAGAACAGGGGTAAGTAGCAGTGGGGATGGAAAGAGGACGCACCTAGATCTATGAATACATTATCATATAGACTTTCTCATATATACCTTAACTCCCAGCTGCCAGGACTTAAATGCTAACCCCTTATCCCAAAACATGCACTTAACCCAAGAAACAATCTATATAATAAGCATTGAGAAAGGTAATAAAGGGAGTTTATTTAGGTTTTTTTTGGAGACAGGGCCTGGATCTGTCACTCAGGCTGTAGTGCAGTGGCACAATCATGGTTCACTGCAGCCTCGAACTTCCAGGCTCAAGCAATCCTTGGTTCACTGCAGCCTCGAACTTCCAGGCTCAAGCAATCCTTCCCACCTCAGCCTCCCAGGTAGTTGGGACTACAAATGCGCGACACCACACCTGGCTAAGTCTTGTATTTTCTGTAGAGAGGGGGTTTCGCCATGTTGCCCAGGCTAGTCTTGAATTCCTGGGCTCAAGTGATTCACCCACCTCAGCACCCCCAAAGATTACAGGCGTGAGCCACCGCTCCTGGTGGAGATTTATTCTTTTAGACTATCAGTGGTGATCTAGCCACTGGAATTATCAGTTTAGCACTCAGTGCCCCTTATAGCAAAACCATAAACTTACTTGCTTTAAACTTTCTATCGAAAGCAAAACTTCACTAAGACTGGACAATTTATAATTCAGGCAAGTTACCATGCTGGGTGGACCATGGCTCACCTCTGCACAATGCTGTGGTAGCCAGGTGCTATGTCATCTGTAACAGGCTGCAGGAAGACATTGGCATACCTGTCCAAAAGGAATAAGGTGCAATTACTGACATTCTCCAGAAGTGCAGGGAGGGAACTTACTCTAAGTAACTAAAGGTAGTAAGAACTAATACCAGCAGTTCCACAGAAGCCTACTCAGACTTTTTTCCAGTCACCAACAATGAAGAGTAGGAGAAAATGAACCTACTGACTGGTAAAGCCCACTCACCTATGATTAGCTGCAGCTCTCCATACAAGCATGATGGCTTTCTTCCAAATTTTCTGTGCCTGAATAGCTTCCTGATCCTCACTACAGACAGAGCTGAAACAGAGATACAGCAATTCCACTAGGCACAAGTTAAAAAATAAAAATTATAATTCTCTTTTCTTTTTGAGACAGGGTCTCACTCTGTCCCCCAGGCTGGAGTGCAGTGGCATGATCATGTTCATTGCACCCTCAACCTCCCAGACTCAATCCTCTCACCTCAGCCTCCCAAGTAGCTGGGACTATAGGTGCATACCACCATGCCCAGCTAATTTTTTAATTTTTTTGTAGAGATAGGGTCTCACTGTGTTGCCCAGGCTGGTCTCGAACTCCTGGGTTCCAGCGATCCTCCTGCCTTAGCCTCCCAAAGTGCTGGGATTACAGGTGTGAGCCACTATGCCCAGCCCTAATTATTTCTTGTCAGCTGTTTATTCCAGGTCAAAAAAGGGAAACACTAAAGAAAAGATCAGGCCAGGCATGGTGGCTCATGCCTCTAATTCTACTGCTTTGGGAGGTCAAGGCAAGAAGACTGCTTGAGGTCAGGAGTTCAAGACCAGACTGGACCACATAGATCCTGTCCCTTAAAAAAATTTTTTTAAAATAAAAATTTAAAAATAAAGAAAAAGGCCAGGCATGGTGTCTCACGCCTGTAATCTCAGCACTTTGGGAGGCCGAGGCAGGTGGAACGCTTGAGCTCAGGAGTTTGAGACCAGCCTGGGCAATGTAGCAAAACTTGGTTTCTACTAAAAAAATTTTTTTTAATTAGCAGGGTGTGGTGGCACAGGCTGGTAGTCCCAGCTACTAAGGAGGCTGAGGTGGAAGGATTGCTTGGGCCTGAGAAGTGGAGGTTGCAGTGAGCTGAGATCGCACCACTGCCCTCCAGCATGGGTGAGTGAGAACAAGAAAAAAGAGAAGGAAAGGAAAGGAAAGGAAAGGGAAAAGAAAAGAAAAGAGAAAAGACAGGAAGGAAGGAAGGAAGGAAAAGATCCTCTCCTCACCTTCACTGCCTTGGCCTCAAAGAAAGAATCTCAGATACTCACAACTGTGAAGAAGCAGGGCTGCTGGGGATGGAGTCTGCCAGTGTGTGTGACTGCAGTGTAGCATTGTGTATGCTGAAGCCATCATCACTCTCGCTCACAGGAGGTTCATTATCCATTTCTGACAAGTAGCCTTCTCCTTGATCCTCTTCCTTAGGCTCCTCTAGGCTGGCCGCTTCACTGACACCATCTTCCTCCTCATCCTCACCTGGGGCATCCTTAGATACAGTATGCTCCAGTTAACAAATGCAAGCAAAGCTATCCAGCAAAGCATCATTAAACATGATCTGTCTTTTGGGTTAGAATTAGTTCTAGAAATGACCTCACGCTGTTTCCTGACTCAGCTGTCTATCACTTATACTACCATCTACTTACAGACACTGCGTTAAGTAATTTAGAACCTGGACAAAGAATAATACCCAGGATCTTTTAAAAAGAAAGAAAAAAAAAAGCTACTTACTTAAGACTAAGCTAAGAGGCGTTCCTTCTTTCCCCTTGCTCGAGAGTAACTCTGACCCTGGGTACAAAGTTATCAAAAATAATTTTTATTTTGTGTCTCATTTGATGGAGCAAGCTCACATCACATTCTTTAAGCCTCTGTTACTGCTGCTTTAATAATTCTAAAAAGAAAACTCTGGATGATTCTCTTTGGATAGTCTAATTAATAAACTTGATTCCTGTATGTTCTCCTTGGCTCAGGTATCCTTATTCACTACAAATCACTCTAAGTGTATCAAGCCTTCTTAAGGACTGTGTGATATTCACATGCTGTTTCATATGGGAGGCACCTGTTGCTATAGTACTCCCATTATGCCTGTCTACTGCAGCTTTTCCCCATGCAACTCCATACCAGTCTCTTATCAGAGAATAAAGATGTGACTTTACTGAAATTCATTAAAAAGTAGTGCTATAGGGAAATCTAATCACATGGCAAGAGGAATAAAGAAAAGTCTGAAATACCTTTATCTGGCTTCCAAAAATAGTCCCTGATTCTTCTTTCAATGAGTCTGCAGAGGAGAGAAAGACTACCTGAAGATTTTTCCACCTTAGCCTTCCCCTTCCTATGGACCATAATCCCCTGCAGCTCTCCTTTACATGCTGACCTGTTCTACCTCCTCTACTTGCCCACAACCCACAACCCCTCAGAAGCCAAAGCAAATGATTTCAAGTCAGTGAAAGAGGACTTTATTTACCTGACATTTCAAACTTGTGCTGAGTCTCTGCCTCTAAAGGATCTTCAATGGGATTTGAGCCATGTGATGGAGACAACATGCTTTCAGGGGATGCCTGAAAACCAGAAAAGAAAAAACACCCTAAGTACTGATAAATCGCTATAGCTCACACAACTTTATTCTTCAGTGATAATGAGACCATAGAAGAAATTCTAAGTCCTACTCATGTAATGTGACTCCAATGGTCACCTTAACAGGAATAAGTATATATAACACTAATCACAGCCTATGGGCTTTGGACACATCAAACATGTCAGAACTCAGGAATGCAACTGGAAAACCAAAAAGCCTAAGCTGTCACTTCTTATCTAAGGTATAAACCTCCATCTCCCCAGCCCCGATCTTTCTTAAGTACCTCTGTCTTCACATTTGTAAGTGGAGTCTCATCGCCTTTCCCAATGGCAACATCTGCTTCAACAATCTCTCCAGCTGCAGTACTTCCCAGTTCCTCATCTAAGTCCTGACTCCTGAGTTCTGGTGGCTCCATACTTGTGGCTGGAACAACTCCAGCTACTATTTCGGCTCCTGAAATGACTGGCTCTGGTTCTGCAGGTTCCACCTTGATCTCTGCACTGGGCTCCCTGATGTCCACCAGTTCATGTATTCCCTTGTTTTCCGTTTCCTCAAAGTCCAGTCTCTCTTGCTTGACCGTCATTTCTGGTGCAGGGAGAGGTACTGGCTTGTCCCGCTCCTGCTGGATAGGATGCTCCCAGGGGCCAGGCAGGGACTGAGGATCATCATTTTCTTCACAAAATGACAGTGCTGCTTCCACTGCTGCCACATCCAGCACTTCAGGATGATCATCTACCTGTCCCACAAAACACAAGACTATTGAGGTCACAGAAAGAAGCCCAAGTCCTTCAATTTTTGTTAGCACCAAATGTGATGGCTTGAATCTGCAGCTTTTCGCTCCATTTTTTCCATGTAGTGGAGGCAAACAATGAAGAGGCACCTGTCCTGTGCAAACCAGTAACATGGGTAGACCTGAGGAGATGACTAGTATGTTAGCACCAAAGGGCTACAAAGATGGAGATGGGCAGAAGTAGGAGAGTTGTTTAAGTAATTCTTACTGTAAGAAGCAAAGCAGCCGAGTATGGTGGCTCATGCCTGTAATCTCAGCACTTTGGGAGGCCGAGGTGGGTGGATCACTTGAGGCCAGGAGTTTGAGACCAGCCTGGCCAACATGGTAAAACTCATCTCTACTAAAAATACAAAAAATTAGTGAGGCGTGGTGGCATGTGCCTGTAGTCCCAGCTACTCAGGAGGCTGAGGCACAAGAATTACTTGAGGCTGGGAGGCAGAGGTAACAGTAAGCCAAGATCGTGCCACTGCACTTCAGCCTGGATGAAAGAGCAAGACTCTGTCTCCAAAAAAAAAAAAAAAAAAGCAGCAGCAGCACCAAAGTGAGGCTGAAAAGAGAAGCCTATGTAGGACCCATGAGATTCTCTGGGGCTTCGCTGAATAGTTACCTTGTCCTCAATGATGGCAATGATGTCTCCAACAGTCTCAAAATCCAGCTCTTCACCTGTGTAAGACACAGCAATATCCATCTTCTCAGCCAGATCTAATTCTTCCTTCCCATCTATGCTGGGAGCCTTTGATCCAACAGGAGCCTCTGCTACCCCTGATCGAAAACACTCTTCTTTGATAGAATTGATGATCATGGATATTTCACTGCTGTCCATGGAAACAGTCACAGTATGTGGATCCCCCACAGCCTCCATGGGAACACAGTTGTCGGGTTGACTCACTGAGTAACAGAAAGAGAAAAGCATCTCAGAAGCTTATTGGGTACAAAGCGACCACCTTGAGATCACATAAGCGCTACAGACAGATGTCAAATATCCAAACACTTAAGGTCAGAAAGAGTCATCAACATGTGCCTATGTTTTCTTCTCCCCAGTTTTATCTAGAAAGGTGAGAACATATTTTCAAGCCTGCTCATATCTGTATACTTAGCCTCTTCCTGCAATACATAAATGCCCACCCACCTCTTCTCACATCTATTTCTAAGGATATTTATTTCTAAGGATAAAGATGGCACATGTCTATGTAGAACAGAGAAGAAGCATCTGAATCGGAGCTGATGCTCTTGGTCATTTTTCTCTAACTAAAGCTCAAAATGAAATTTTAGATCTAGTGGCTGCTCAGGGACGCACCTGGAGCTACACTTTCAGTAGTGGAGACAGCCGGAGCAGAGGATGGTGCTGGCAGCGCAGGCATCATGACAATGGTAGCTTGGGACACAGACTCTACAGGGGGTGGCACAAGTTTAACTGGAGGCTCACTGGCAACAGTAGTGAAGGAAGCAAGAGGTGTGGTGAACTGTGTAGGACCAGCTTCTAAAAGCCGGGAAAGAGTGGGAGCACCTAACATATAAAGAGGTACACAAAATGAAGTAAGAAGAAAGCACATAAATAAGAAGCAATAGCTACTTGAAGACTCAACTAAGAAAATTCTTATGGTCTCAAAGGATGAGAGCAACTCCTGCATTGAATAAGTTCATCATCTATATCCTTACTCTAACCTTACTTAAGATCTTCCTCCAAGTTAGGAATGAACCAAAGCACTAGAACACACAACATATATAAAAAATGGGTGGTAAGGCTAGGTGCAGTGGCTCACGCCTGTAATGCTAGCACTTTGGGAGGCCGAGGCAGGTGGGTCACTTGAGGTCAAGAGTTTGAGACCAGCCTGGGCAACATAGCGAAACCCTGCCTCTACTAAAAATACAAAAAAAAAAAAAAAAAAAAAAAAAAAATTAGCTAGGCGTGGTGGTGGGTGCTGTAATCCCAGCTATTCAGGAGGCTGAGGCAGGAGAACTGCTTGAACGCAGGAGGTGGAGATTGCAGTGAGCCAAGATTGTGCCACCACACTCCAGCTTGGGCGACAGAGCAAGGCTCTGTCTCAAAAAAAACAACAACAACAACAACAAAGGGTGGTAATTTTTCCTCAGAGGAAAATTAATCACCAAGAAACGAAAAACTGGTATGAATAAATCTGTCGCTTCTGCTGAAGTTCAGCATATTGTAAACCACCCAAGTTCAACACCATTCAAATACCAATAAGGTTTGTATGGTATTCTATGGAGCTTTTTTTATTTCCCTGCTTTATACTTTCTACCTCATTAAATTCTCATCACATCCTTGTGAAGTATATATGTTACAATAAAAAAGGAAACTGAGGCTCAAAAGCTAAGTTACCTATCCAAGGTCACAAAACCAATGTGTGGCAGGCCTGAGATTCAAGCCCAATTCTCTGGTTCCAAATCTTATTCCACTATTCTATAATCTTAGGTATCTCTAGCACCTTGATTTTGCAAGCCCTAAGAAAGCAGTTCAATATTACTCTCAATATCCATGCTGTGGTCAATCAGGGCTATCACTATCTTGAAGATAGATGGCTTTATAATATGGAGACTACATTGTTTACCAGGTAAAGTAGCTCCAAAAAAAAGTTAGAAAAAGTTGGGCTTTAAATCTAGCACTGACAACTGCTTAGTAACAGTGAAACTGAGGTCAGTCAATGTCAAGTTCAACACCTTTGAGGTTGATAAAGGAAAAGTGGTAACTTACCTGATGCAGCAGGGGAGGCTGCAACAGTATTGGGTGTTTGCTGTATCTCCCCACCATGTATCATGGGAAGGACCCCGCCTACCTCCAGGAGGACACCTGTACTGTTCAGGTGGCCAGAAGCCACAGCCATTTCACTCTCATTGACCTACCAGGGAAGAATAGAGGTGAAGGCTACACTCAAGCTTTCCTTCACTACCATTTCCCAACAAAGCTCCAGCAGTTGATCAAACTTCATGAAAACTAATAGCTAATATCCACAGAGAATAATTTAAGACCCAAGGGAAACTCTAAACTATAATGTTCAAAACTTATTTGACAAGAGTTCTCTGGAGAAGAGAACCAAAATAATTGTGATTCAGATACCTCAGGACCCATGGGTACTATCAACTTACTGTATTTTTAAAAAATTAACATTTAATTAGGAGATCTTTTCCTCTTTTGAACTTTTATTCCCCATGTCACATTTTAGGTCCCAGGCACTCCCTTCCAAGTACTAAATCACCACAGCTCTCAAACACCCACAGAAGTCTCCATACCAGTCTGGGGCTAGTAGGCAGGAGGCTGCCCTTCTTCAAGAGCTCTGACAGCAGAGGGGAGGGGGGTGGAGTTGCTTTCTGTCCAAGCATCTTTTTCTGGGGTGAATCATCTGTTACTGGGGTCATGGGGGCTTCTAAGGGTGCAGAGCCTGGAGGAAGGGTGTCAGGAATCCCAGGAAACGAGGTGACTGGGGTACTCGGCAAAGTCCCGGGGGTTACCTAAGAGACAACAGAGAACCTTTATCTGACTTCTCAAACTATGGAAGGTTCCCTACTAATCTGTATGGGTTAGTGTGTCTAACTATTATTTTATTAGTCCTGAGTGGAATTGCCCAGAAACCCTCTATCCCTCCTGCTCTTAGCCATACTTTTCTTCCCCACAATCTTCTCTTTCATCCACTCAAACCCACAGTGACTCAACCATCCCACCCAACCTGCCTTTTATGAACTCCTTACCCACTACCAATATTACATTTACAAGGATTTTGTCCCTTATTTCAGCAGGAATTTCATAAGACTAGTATGAAACAATTTCTTAAAATAGTTTTTTACCTATCTCTCAAAAAGGTCAAAAGCCTCAATGCTTTTAGGTCCGTTCTTATCTCAGAGCACAGAACATGGTAAATTAAGTCTTTAGCATTCAGATCAAGAGAGGAAGTTGCCTCTAGGCCAAAAGTGGTTTCCTCATCGCTCAGCTCTGCCGGCTTATTGCCCCTTCACTGATCAATTCCCACAGATGGAAATATACTCACCCCAGAGGTAGCCTCTTCCATAGTGGTTGGAGTCAAGTCCCCAAGTGGATAATCACCTCCTGGGGAGGCAGAATCTATAGGAGAGCGAACCATCACAGTGGGTAACCTCCGGGGGGGTGTTTTTACTGCTTGACGAGCTAGAACATAAAAGAGAACAATGTCCAAATCTTCAAGATTAAATAAATGAAACTTGACACTAGTCTGCTATTATACAATAAAGGACAAATAGGTATGTTGCATTACTAAAGCAGCATAATAAGTTTGGATTAGAAAGCTTTAACACTTCTAGAGATGGATAACTTTTTAGCCTAATTTTTCCTAAGGGCAATTCTCACACTAAGAAACTCCTTTAACAATCTCAAACTACTTAATTATCCCAAAGGTCCTTGGAGTGGGAAAGTAGTTTAAACATCCTTTAATATTCTCTTTAGCAACTTACTAATATTCTGCTTTTAAGAACAGGAAGGCCAGGTGCAGTGGCTCACGGCTGTAATCCCAGCACTTTGGGAGGCCAAGGCAGGTGGATCACCTGAGGTCAGGAGTTTGAGACCAGCCTGCGAAACCCCATCTCTACTAAAAATACAAAAATTAGCTAGGTGTGGTGGCAGCCGCCTGTAATGCCAGCTACTCGGGAGGCTGAGGCAGGAGAATCACTTGAACCCGCGAGGCGGAGGTTGCAGTGACCCAAGATCGCGCCACTGCACTCCAGCCTGTGCAGCAAGAGCAAAACTCCGCCTGGGGGAAAAACAAAAAACAAAAACAGGGAAAGACCTCACTGGCGCACAGCATGTATTCCTAGAGTTGTAAATGCTTAAATTTCTCCTCATCTAATGACTGAGCTATTCTCAATCTTTTCACAGGCCCTTGACTTCTAAAACATTATGTTCAATATCTCATCAAGCCTTTGTGTCCTGAAGTTAATTTAAGGTCTAGTGAGATCTGAGCACAACGCATGTTCTAGGAGTTTCTTCTTAAGACATTAAGGGATGTTTTTATTCTGGTAGAAGAGAAAACTGCAAGTAAATTTAAATCAATGTATTCTATGTTACAAAACAGTCCAACTGTCATTAGCATGCAGTACTGTGCAATCAATTGCTAAAGAGGCATACTAGGTTCAGCTTACCCTGGTATGCAGCATCTGTAGCCTTCCTCTTTACTTCAGCCTCCTCTTCTTCCAATTTCTTTTTCCTAAACAGGGAATTAAGGGTTAGATGCTAGACAGCTCTGGCTCCTCCCCAGAGTTCACAGAACCCTTACAAAGTAATTTTTTTTGCCAGGCCAGCACTTTCTGGAAGAAAGGCCTAAACAGGAATTCTAACCAGCAAAACAGTGAATTGGGGTATACTGCCTAACTCCCAGTTCTTCACCCAGGCAAACTATAGCCACTCTTAAGTTAGAACTAAGTTATGTTTTCATACTGAAATGTCCCATTATATTACCTTCTAGGACTCACTCCCCCCTCCCAGCCACCAAACCACTTTGCAGCTTTCCCCTTCCAGAATCTGTCTCAAGTCTAAAGGGACGGCAATTGGAGGAAATAAGCCAGATTACTTGAGGGGAAAAGAGGGTAAAAAGAAAGAAGCACAGAAGAACAATATAATATAACCCACGTTGCAATGTCATTGCAAAGCTCATCCAGTCTGCTGTCCATGTGTCCAGCTTGAATTAGTTCTGCATCTCTCTTTAGCCGTCTATAGGAAGAAAGAGAGGTAGGTAGACTGGGTTTTTTAATCTGCTATTTTAAAAGTTCTGACCAGTACCAGAAGACAGTCCCTTATGTCTTTCTCAATTTTTTGGCATTCTCTCTGATAAGTACCTATATCTCTCCTGGGTTTCCTTTATCACTTTCTTTAGTTCTTCAACTCGCTCAGCAGTCAATTTCCGAACAATAACATCTTCAACAGTTTCCACCACTTCTCCCTTTTCACCTCGTTTCCGTCTGTGGAAAATTGAAAAAAAAAAATTCATATTCAAATAACATAACATTTATCCCCTCTCCTACTTGCTTTTACCACTTAATCATAGATAACTTCTGCTATTTTTTAATCATCCAGTATCATAACTAAGTATAAACCAGAATTCCTCAGTAAATACTCTCCACTAAAGAAATATGGCTGAAGTACCTGGCTTTGTACTCACTTTGGTGTCTCAGTGGTCTCTAAAAGCTCCGAGTACTGGGAAGCACAATGCTATTAAAAAAAAAAAAAAAAGTGAAAATGTGATGAGCAAGGCTGGAAAGAAATGACCTTTCAAAGTTTCAAGAGATTAGAGTAAGATTTAGAGAAGAGAACTATATGTAAGACGGGAGTGGTTTACTAGGAGGGCAAGTAACTTTATAATCAAATCAGTTCAAAATAATCAAAACAAGACACAGAAAAAGACAGTCTTATGGACTGGAGTTTGTGCATTTGCGGAAAGGCAACCTAACTGCCAATATTTATAGCTAATATCTACCAAGTAGTTACTACATGCAAGGCACTGTGTTAAATGTTTTACATGTATTACTTCAATTAGCTTCACAACAATCCTGAAGCAACTCTTTTATCTCTATTTTACAAATGAAAAAACAGAGGATCATGGCCCAAAGTTTTTAGATGGAGTAATAATGAACCCAGATCTAATTCCCAAGCTTGGGCTCTTAACTGTTATGCAACACCAATAAGAAAGGTCTAATATGATCATACATGGATGGATTAGCAAACAGTAGGAAAAAGAAAAAGGTATTCTCAACTATTTTCCCACATCATGGTATAAAAGCTTTGTAACTAAAAGTCAGGGCCTGGTAGAGAACCTACTTTACAACCCAAAGACTGCTCTAAAAGAGCCCTTGCTTGGGAACTTACTTTTTGAGAGAACCAGTCTGGAGGGCGGCCAGGTTCTGCAAAGGGCTTGATTGCTCTGCTAACTGATACCCTACAAAATGAGGAAAGCTTTATTACACACCAAGCAGAAAACAATAGGAGAGGTATGCTGAGAGTGCAAGGCTTGGAGTTCAAACTTTGGAATAAAAAAGATGCGAATGGCCAGGCGCGGTGGCTCACGCCTGTAATCCCAGCACTTTGGGAGGCCAAGACGGGTGGATCACAAGGTCAGGAGATCAATACCAACCTGGCCAACATGGTGAAACCCCGTCTCTACTAAAAATACAAAAATTAGTTGGGCATGGTGGCATGCACCTGTAGTCCCAGCTACTCGGGAGGCTGAGGCAGGAGAATCTCTTGAACACAGGAGGCGGAGGTCACAGTGGGCCGAGATCTCACCACCGCACTCCAGCCTGGGGACAGAGTGAGACTCCATCTCAAAAAAAAAAAAAAAAAAAAAAAAAGCCAATGAATGCGAGGTGTGCAATGGACCGTGCCTGTAATCCCAGCACTCTGGGAGGCAGAGGTGGGAGGACAGCTCAAGCCCAGGAGTTCAAGCCACCCGAGGAGATCCCATCCCTACAAAAAAAAAAAAAAAAAAAAAAAAAAAAAATCGACAAGGTATGGTGGTGCGTACCTGCGGCCTGTGGTCCCAGCTACTTGGGCAGCTGAGGTAGGAGGATCCCTTGAGCCCAGGAAGTCAAGAGGCTGCAGTGAGCCCAAATCGCGCCACTGCACTCCAGCCTGGGTGACAGAGTAAGACCACCCCCTCCGCCATTCAAAAAAAAAAGAACAGCATATATAGTATATAATCATTTGTGTTAGAAAATGAGGGGGATGAAGGGGAAAAAGAAAATATTTGCTCACATAAAATTTTGCTGGAGAGACACAAGAAACTGCTAACACTAGTAGACGGGGGATAGTAACGGGAGGAAGACACTGCATATAATTTTGAATCTTATGACTTAGTATCTGCTGATAAAATAATAAAATTTAAAACTTTTACTCAAGTATTCTTATACTATTTTTCTATGGCTGGGCGTGGTGACTCACGCCTGTAATCCCAACACTTCGGGAGGTCGAGGAGGGCAGACTGCTTGAGATGAGGAGTTTGAGACCAGCCTGGCCAATGTGGTGAAACCCCACCTCTACTAAAAATACAAAAATTAGCCAGGCATGGTGGCGTGCACCTTTAATCCCAGCTACTCGGGAGGCTGAGCCAGGACAATCACTTAAATCCAGGAGGTGGAGGTTGCAGTGAGCCGAGATCGTGCCACTGCATTCCAACCTGGGTGACACAGTGAGACTCCATCTCAAAAAAAAAAAAAGATTCTTAACACTATTTATCTAATAAAAATGTGAGGAAATATACAGATTAGATTCTATTTCAAACCAGTTTACCTGTTTTGTTTAAAAATGAGCTCAATTTATATACATATACAAATATATGTGATGTGTATACACACACACACACACACATACAAAACACACATTGTTTTTGTTTAGACAGTATCTCACTTTGTCACCCAGACTTCAGTGCAGTGGCACAATCATGGCTTGCTGTTGCTTCCACCTCTGAGGCTTAGGCAACCTCCCACTGCAGCCCCACCCAAGTAGCTGAAATCACAGATGCACCATCATGCCTGGCTAATTTTCTTTTTTGTAGGGAACAGTTTCTCTTATGTTGCCTCCCTGGCTCAAGCCATCCTCACACCTCAGCCTCCCGAGTAGCTGGAACTATAGGCACACACCACCAGACCTGGCTAGTATTTTTGTGTTTTTTTATAGTTTTGTCATATTGCCCAGACTGGTCTCCAATTCATGATCTCAAGCAACCTCCTGCCTTGGCCTCCCAAAGTTCTGGGATTATAGATGTGAGCCATTGCACCCAGCCCCATTCTATTCTCTAGTTCTGTGAGGTCTATAATTTTTCCTAGATTCCACATATAACTGAGATCATATGGTATTTCTTTATGTGTCTGGCTTATTTCACTTTACATACTATCCTCCAGGCTCAACCATGGAATCACAAATGGAGGATTTAATTCTTTTTTATGGCTCAACAGTATTCCATTGTGTGTGTGTGTGTGTGTGTGTGTATACATATATATTTTTTCTTTACCCATTCATCTGTTAATGGATACTATAATAATTACCTTAATTGTGGATAGTTTCACAAATGTATATATATTTCAAAAATACCATGTCTTATGCTCTAAATGTGTGCACTGGCCGGGTGTCGTAGCTCATGCCTGTAATCCCGGCACTTTGGGAGGCCGAGGCAGGTGGATCATCTGAGGTCAGGAGTTCAAGACCAGCCTGGCCAACATGGTAAAACCCTATCTCTACCAAAAAATACAAAAATTAGCCAGGCATGGTGGCAAAGGCCTGTAGTCCCAGCTACACGGGAGGCTGAGGTGGGAGAATCACTTGAACCTGGGAAGCAGAGGTTCCAGTGAGCCAAGATTGCACCACTGCACTCCAGCCTGCGCAACAGAGACTCCATCTCAAAAAAAAAAAAAAGGTGCAGTTTACTGCACATCAATTATATCACAAAAAAGTTGTTAAAAGGGAAGAGATGTGACTTTTCTTACCAACCCCCTTCCTTCTTGTTGCATGGAACAAGGATGTGATAGCTGAAGGTCAAGCAGCCACCGTGAACCATAAGATAACCAGAAGATAAACTATGCACTGAGGAAGGTGGAACAGAAAGAGAATATCCTGAGCCTCTAATGTCACTGTGAAGTTGCTATGAGAGCTGTGGACTGCCTAGACTTCCTGTATGTGTGACAAAAAATAAACTCAAGTTTTTTTTTTTTTTTTTTGAGATGGCGTCTTGCTCTGTTGCCCAGGCTGGAGTGCAGTGGCACGATCTCAAATCACTGCAAGCCCCGCCTCCTGGGTTCACACCATTCTCCTGCCTCAGCCTCCTGAGTAGCTGGGACTACAGGCGCACGCCGCCACACCTGATTTTTGTATTTTTAGTAGAGACGGGGTTTCACCGTGTTAGCCAGGATGGTCTCAATCTCCTGACCTTGTGATCCGCCCACCTCGGCCTCCCAAAGTGCTGGGATTACAGGCGTGAGCCACTGCGCCCGGCCTTAAACTTAAGTTTTTAACCCATTTCTTTGTTGCTATTGCTTTCTATATAGTGTTTTTGTTTTTATGGTGGCCACATATTACTTCAAAAATTAGATTTAAAAAACAAACAAAAAAAATGCTAGGAAGCATGACAATCAGCAAAGTACTGAATTGTTTATAAATGTGGCAAGAGAGTTAAATTCATAATGGATGATTCAAAAGAAAGGGGGTGAGGGGCTGATACCGAGAAAGGTAAAATGATGATAGTTCTAGGCTGGGAGTGATGGCTCACGCCTATAATCCTAGCACTTTAGGAGGCTAAGGTGGGAGGATCACTTGAGCCCAGGAGTTCAAGACCAGCCTGGGCAACAAGTGACAAAAAACACAAAAAATTAGTCAAGCATGGTGGCAAGGGTCTGTATTCCCAACTACTCAGGATGCTAAACTGGGAGGATCACTTGAGGCCAAGAGTTGGAGACCAGCCTGGGGAACATAGTGGGACCTCGTCTCTACAAAAACATAAATATTTAAATTAAAAAAAAAAAAAAAGTTCAGCCTGGGCAACATGGCAAAACCCCATCCCTACCAAAAAATACAAAAATTAGCCAGGGGTGATGGCATGTGCCTGTAGTCCCGGCTACTCAGGAGGCTGAGGCCGGAGGATCACTTGAGCCCAGGAGGCAGAGGTTGCAGTGAACCACGATCGCACTACTGCACTCCAGCCTGGGTGACAGTGAGACCCTGTCTGCAAAAAAAAAAAAAAAAAAAAAAAAAAGTCAAACATAATAAAGTTACTACATAACCCAGCAATTTCACTCCTTGAATAAAAAACTCAAGAGAATTAAAAACATTGTCCACAACCTTGTACACGAATGTGCACATCATCAGCATTATTCATAATGGCCAAAAAGTGGAAACAACCCAATTGTCTATCAAGTGATGGATAAATAAAACTTGGTATATTCATACAACAGATTATTATTCAGCTAAAAAAGGAATTAAGTATTGATACATGCTACATAAGAATGAACCTTAAAAAGTGTTATGTCAAGTGATTAAAAAAAACAAAAAAAAGTCCAGAAGAGCACGTATCATTCCATTTGTATGAAATATCCAGAATAGGCAAATCTACAGAGACAAGAGAGTTGGCTGGGTATGGTGGCTCACACTTGTAATCCCAGCACTTTTGGAGGCCAGGACTGGTGCATTACTTCAAGACCAGCCTGGACAAAACCTCATCTCTACTAAAAATACAAAAATTAGCCAGGCCACTCGTGGCGCATGGCTGTAATCCCAGCTACTTGGGAGGCTAAGGCACGATAATCGCTTGAACCTGGGAGGCGGAGGTTGCAGTGAGCCAAGATCTAACTACTACACTCCAGCCTGTGTGACAGTGAGACTCTGTCTCAAATTAATTAATTAATTAATAGAAAGTAGATGAGTGCTTGCTTGGGGGTGGTGAGGAGGGGACAACATGGACTGACAGTTAAGGAGTAAGGGGTTTTTCTTAGAATAAAATGTTCTAAAATTAGATTGTGGTGATGGTTGCACAACTGTGAATATACTAAAAACCATTATATTGTACATTTTAAGTAGGTTAATTTTATAGTATGTGAATTATATCTCAATAAAGCTGTTTAAAAAAAGAAATACAGCTGGCCTGGTGGCTCACACCTGTAATCCCAGTAGGTTGGGCGGATCGCTCGAACGCAGGAGTTCGAGACCAGCCTAGGAAACATGATGAAACCCCCATCTCTACAAAAAAATAAAAAAAATTAGCTGGGCATGGTGGTGTGCACCTGTAGTCCCAGCTACTCAAGAGGCTGAGGTGGAGGATCATTTGAGCCTGAGATATGGAGGTTGCAGTGAGCCAAGATCACACCACTGCCCTCCAGCCTGGGCCACAGAGTGCAATCTTGTCTCAAAAAAAAAAAAAAAAAAATAGGCCTGGCAGTGGCTCACGCCTGTAATCCCAGCACTTTGGGAGGCCGAGGCGGACAGATCATGAGGTCAGGAGATTGAGACCATCGTGGCCAACATGGTGAAACCCCGTCTCTACTAAAAATACAAAATTAGCCAGGCATGGCCAGGCGCAGTGGCTCACACCTGTAATCCCAGCACTCTGGCAGGCCGAGGTGGGGGGATCACCTGAGGTCAGGAGTTCGAGACCAGCCTGGCCAACATGGCGAAACTCTGTCTCTACTAAAAAATACAAAAATTAGCTGGGCGTGTCCGCACCACTGCACTCCAGCCTGGGCAACAGAAGGAGACTCAGTCTCAAAAAAAGAAGAAAAAGAAAAGAAAGTCTACTTACAGCTTAATATGATTAACTATAGAAATCTACCGATGTGAAAGAGTATCTAACAATTTCTAAGACCCAGAAAAGCTGACATCCTAGATACCTTACCAATTTTGATCGCCACTTCTCATGACAGAAGATGCTAAACATAGCTTCTCTCGGATGGACCATGGCTCTGTGGGGCCAGTGCTTAGCAGCTTGTGTTCTGGGAAAGGGAGAAAAAAAAAAAAGCCTTGGAAACAACCACTGAGACTGTAGTGCTAAGCTCCAAAATCCCCAAAAAGAGGACTAAAAGCCTAATACAAAACATCCCAACTTGTTAGGACAAAGTGAGCTACTATAACCAAATCTTGATTTTCACCTCTCCAAGTGAAATATCACCAGTGACCGGGGTACCTATTCGTTGCATGTGAATTATTAACATTTTATTTCTTAAAACGCCATGGCTTGAAGCTCCGCTTTATTAAGAAACAGGGAATGTCAGATTAGGCAGTTCTCCCTAAAAGCCCAGTTTTAAGAATACTGGACTTTATTCCAGTTTGAACTTATTCAGGGCTTATTTCCCAGGAACCCGAGCGGCCAGCCCCTCCTACTACCCCGCCTCCCTCTTAGCATAAACTTGTTTACTTCTCTCAGATCCTCTACTCCAAATGTCGGGGGTAAAAGAGCTTTTCAGTCCAAAAAAAGAAAAATGGCTGAAATCCCCGAGATGCAATTTCCTGAGTGGCAAGAAAAGCTCATGGTTAAAAGACCCCACTTCCACTGCCTCACAAACGTCAGACAAAAAAATGAATGGCTCTTTGAGGTGCCGGTTACTCCGTCTGGCTCATAACATCTTTTCGTCTGCACGCCCAAGTTTCTAGAGTGCTTTTACGGTTAACCCGCAGAGTTCCTAACACACTAGGATTCACTAAGCTGCTTCTCTCACACCTCCGCTCTCTCCCTGAGAAACAAGACCCCAGATTTCTGGGCCCCCAAACGTTGGTCTTCACGATGCTGTAGAGCGCAGGTCTCTGAAAACCCTGGGCTCTCAAGCAACCCACTTCTCCCACTCCCTAAGCGTGTAACAAAAATATGGTGCCTAGCCTCGGATCTACAAAGGCCTTTCACGCAAAACCTGCTCAGATACTCACTGCCCGTTCCCGTCGCCATCTTGGCCCCGAAGTCTCCAACCCTGAGGAGAGACGGTCTGGAAGGGCCGAAACCCTGGAATTCTGGGAAATAGTGTACCGGCGTTGGTTCGCGGTGCCTCCTGGGAAATGTCGTTTTTCCCCTTAAGACAAAGCAAGCACCCTAAACCAGTTACCCTGTGCACTCCTGTTAAGATTGTTGCTAAGGAAGGACAGGAGTTGGCTGCTGAAGCCTCAAGATTTCCTTTAGGCTCTTAGGTAAGAAATGTCTAAGGTTCAAGGAAAAAGGTTAAGTTGGAAGAATCCCAGGCAAAATAAGTGCGAATCCACGACAGTTGGTAACCCGGACCCACATTAGAACTCAGAGGTCAAGCAGAAGCGAACGACTGGAATTCCAGTCAGGCCCGCCCCCTTTCCTTACGCGGATTGGTAGCTGCAGGCTTCCCTATCTGATTGGCCGAACGAACGCAGCGCGTAATTTAAAATATTGTATCTGTAACAAAGCTGCACCTCGTGGGCGGAGTTGTGCTCTGCGGCTGCGAAAGTCCAGCTTCGGCGACTAGGTGTGAGTAAGCCAGTATCCCAGGAGGAGCAAGTGGCACGTCTTCGGGTGAGTGTGCGGCTGTGCTGGAGCCCGGGTTACCAGCTCTTGCCCGCGCGGAATAGGCTTTAAGAAATCGGAGCTGCAGCCATCTGTTTTTCTCTTAATGCTGCATCTCTGTTCTCACGGTGGTCCTTGGGGTGAGGTTAGAGAAGGAGCCGAGGGATCCTGACACCACCTCCACAGCACCGGCGGGCGAGGTGCCCTACTTTAGGCGTAGCCTTCTGCTTTTGGAGCCAGATGTCTGTGGACTTCTGTTCGCGTTCAGAAATGCCGCCTCAAACTTCTCTCAATTGTTCATTAAGTGAACTTCTCTCATTCCCTTCCCCTTTGCCGATAATTGGAGGGGAAAAGAAGTAGGAAGCGGGACACGGTGTCCTGGGGCAAGGGACTTATTACCTAAAATTCGCGGCCCCTTCTGTCCCTAAAGGTTCTTCTCCCTGCCCACTTTTTGGTCTCTTTTTAGACCTAGGCTGCCCCTGCCGTCATGTCGCAAGGGATCCTTTCTCCGCCAGCGGGCTTGCTGTCCGATGACGATGTCGTAGTTTCTCCCATGTTTGAGTCCACAGCTGCAGATTTGGGGTCTGTGGTACGCAAGAACCTGCTATCAGACTGCTCTGTCGTCTCTACCTCCCTAGAGGACAAGCAGCAGGTAAAGGAACTGGGGAGTGGCTGGGGCGGAAAGTGATATCCTCAGGCCAATAATTGTCCATACAGGGTAGTATGAGGTCAAAGACTAGCAATCCTAAAGGTCTGAGATCAATTCAAAATTAAGGGCATTTAGGACAAAATGGCTATGAAAAGAAAAAAAGAAAAAAAAATTAAGGGCATGACAAGTAAAAAAAAAATTGAGTTGTGTGTCCAGAAGAACTATAATTTGCATTGCATTAATGAAATAGCCTCAAATGCATGCTCTTAGTTAATCTTTCAGGGAATAATAGTTATCTCTCTTTGCCTTGAGGCCCAGTTGTGCTAAATAATTTGCACAAGGTCATATAGGCATTATGTAAGTGGAATGTATGTTCAGGTTTTAATAGTATCACCATAGCTTCAATTTGTTGTAGGTTTCCTGCTAGGCCAGGGTTTCTCAGTTACAGCATTATTGACATTTGGGGCTAGACAGTTCTTGTAGGGATCTGTCCTGTACATTTCAAGATGTTTAATAGCATTCTTGGCATTTACCCACTAGATGTCAGTAGTGCCTTCCCATTTGTGACAATCAAAAAATGTCTTCAGGCACTTCAGGCATTGCTAAATGGCCCTTGGAGTGGAAATGACCCTGGTTGAGAAACACTGTACTAGGTCCTATGCTAAACATTAACATACATTGTCAGATTTTGTGCTCTTATAGAGTTTCTCTTAGAGACTTATAAAGTTCCATGAGAGCATGGTCCTTGATGATGTCTCTCACTATGGACTATCAGAGCTTCTCGGTTCCTAGGCCATAGTAGACACTCTAAATATCTGGGTTTTTTTTGTTTTTTGGGTTTTTTTGTTTTCGAGATGGAGTCTCGCTCTGTCCCCCAGGCTGGTGTGCAGTGGCACAATCTCTGCTCACTGCAACCTCCGCCTCCCGGGTTCAAGCAGTTCTCCCTGCCTCAGCCTCCTGAGTAGCTGGAATTACAGGCACCTACCACCAAGCCCAGCTAATTTTTGTATTTTTAGTAGAGATGGGGTTTTGCTGTGTTGGCCAGACTGGTCTGGAACTCCTGACCTCAGGTGATCCACCCTCTTTGGCCTCCCAAAGTGCCGGGATTATAGGCGTGAGCCCCTGCACCCAGCCTCTAAGTATCTGTTGAATGAATGACATAGGTGCTATTATTAACCCCATTCTGCAGATGAGGAAACTGAGGCCAAGAATTTCAAGAACTCATAATTCAAGGTCTCATAGTTACTAAGTCATGGAATTGGGACTCAAATTCAAGTGTTTGCCTCTGCTTTGCTTTAATATCACATACTAATTTTCATACCAGTCAATAAATTCGAACTCAGATCATCGGTGTGGCAAGCCACATTTGCAGGATAATGACGAGACAGGGAAGGGTGACAAAGTAGTAAAAATGTCCATGTGGGTTGGAATGATTGTGGAACCAAAGAGTAGCTGCACAGAGACATTTGAGGTGAAATGGGGTAGTGTTATCATAGTTCCTAGAAACTACTGTTTGCCCATTTGCTCAGAGGTAACTGCTGAAATTAATCTGTGGTTCTGGGCTGGGATTCTGCCACAGGTTCCATCTGAGGACAGTATGGAGAAGGTGAAAGTATACTTGAGGGTTAGGCCCTTGTTACCTTCAGAGTTGGAACGACAGGAAGATCAGGTAAGTGTCTGAGAAGGGAGGATTCAAGGTGAAATGATGCAGTACAAAAGATTCCCAGGAATGCCTTCTGTGACAACTGTATTTTCTCCCTTCTCAGGGTTGTGTCCGTATTGAGAATGTGGAGACCCTTGTTCTACAAGCACCCAAGGACTCTTTTGCCCTGAAGAGCAATGAACGGGGAATTGGCCAAGCCACACACAGGTTCACCTTTTCCCAGGTATGGAGGGTACTGGTTTGTGAACAAAAGACCAACATGTAAGGGCAACTTTATTCCCTCTTTAGAGGGAAAGCTTCTCTTCCTGACTGTGAGTTCCTTGTATATGCACACCTACAATTTTGAGGGCCCTAGTTATGTGTTAGTCAATGTGTCAAGTAACATATGTATATCAGTTCTGAAAAATTCTATTGTTATTATCATTATTTCCTTATTTTCCTCACAAGGATAGTGTGGCTCAATGAATGTAATATTGCTGAAGCCATGTAGCTAGTCACTAGTAGAGTTAGGACCTGAGTCTAGATCCATGTATCTCCAAAGCCCATACTTGTGGGCCATTATATTGCCCCATTGTGTGTGCAGCATCAGGCCTAGGGCATAGCATTCCTTAAGTGTTTGTTGATTTGGTGGAAAGATGGACTAGCAGAGAGTGCTTGAGTCCTCAGTGTTTAGGGAACAGCCAGCAGCATTGCAGGAAGAAGCTGCTTGAGTGGTCTCCAGAGCCAACCACTCAGGAAGGAATATATCTGCTGGCTCTGCACAGGAGGCAAGTGGGAGATGAAGGAGAGGCCTCTAAAAAACTGGGTCTCTCTCTAGATCTTTGGGCCAGAAGTGGGACAGGCATCCTTCTTCAACCTAACTGTGAAGGAGATGGTAAAGGATGTACTCAAAGGGCAGAACTGGCTCATCTATACATATGGAGTCACTAACTCAGGGAAAACCCACACGATTCAAGGTGAGTAGTAAGCCTTCACGGGATTCCTGATTGGCTGGTAATGGTGTTGTTTTTACCTTTTGAGACTCTGAGTTAGGGGGAGAAGGGCACTTGCCTCAGCTGTCCATCTTTCATATGCCTCCAGGTACCATCAAGGATGGAGGGATTCTCCCCCGGTCCCTGGCGCTGATCTTCAATAGCCTCCAAGGCCAACTTCATCCAACACCTGATCTGAAGCCCTTGCTCTCCAATGAGGTAATCTGGCTAGACAGCAAGCAGATCCGACAGGAGGAAATGAAGAAGCTGTCCCTGCTAAATGGAGGCCTCCAAGAGGTAAAGCATTGGTATCCATGGCAGTGGGGGTAGGGGGTACAAATCTCGGGGAAGTTTTGTGCTTACCTTCTCCCTGTGCCCCTCCAGGAGGAGCTGTCCACTTCCTTGAAGAGGAGTGTCTACATCGAAAGTCGGATAGGTACCAGCACCAGCTTCGACAGTGGCATTGCTGGGCTCTCTTCTATCAGTCAGTGTACCAGCAGTAGCCAGCTGGATGGTATGTACCGTGACTGGGCTCTGCCAAAAAATAGTAGGAACTCACTCCCTGTTCCTAATAGCTGCCAGGAGTACAGACCAGAGGTTGCAATCTAAGGTCTGCCTTCCAAGGCCCCTGCAGGCCAAAAGAGAGGTGAACTGCTCTAGGTTGATGCCCTATACATTGGCTTCTTCTCCAGAAACAAGTCATCGATGGGCACAGCCAGACACTGCCCCACTACCTGTCCCGGCAAACATTCGCTTCTCCATCTGGATCTCATTCTTTGAGATCTACAACGAACTGCTTTATGACCTATTAGAACCGCCTAGCCAACAGCGCAAGAGGCAGACTTTGCGGCTATGCGAGGATCAAAATGGCAATCCCTATGTGAAAGGTAAAGGAACATGGGGAAAGCTGGCATGAACCCTGGAGGGCAACTGGGGAGAGACTGGCAAAAGAGTTGGATGTTCCCATCTTACACCCCTCTCCTTTGGCCCCAGATCTCAACTGGATTCATGTGCAAGATGCTGAGGAGGCCTGGAAGCTCCTAAAAGTGGGTCGTAAGAACCAGAGCTTTGCCAGCACCCACCTCAACCAGAACTCCAGCCGCAGGTGAGTAGATTGTAAGAATAAACTCTTCACTGTGTTCCAGGAAACATTAGTCCTCTGCCTGGTCATGGAAAATGTGCAATGACTTTTTGTTTTTCTTAACTTCCAGTCACAGCATCTTCTCAATCAGGATCCTACACCTTCAGGGGGAAGGAGATATAGTCCCCAAGATCAGCGAGTAAGTTTATCCATTTAGAAATTTGGGCTTCTTGGCCATAAATGATAGTTGGGAAAGCATGGAGGAGGTCCTCAGGGGAACTATGTGTTCTCCTTCTTTGGGTACAGAGATTCTTAGTGGGCCGTCCCCTCTCCAGAATTATACAAAGGGCCAGAAGGCTCATAACATGTGAGGCCCTTATGTCAGATCCTGTGCATCATTCTAGGCTGTCACTCTGTGATCTGGCTGGCTCAGAGCGCTGCAAAGATCAGAAGAGTGGTGAACGGTTGAAGGAAGCAGGAAACATTAACACCTCTCTACACACCCTGGGCCGCTGTATTGCTGCCCTTCGTCAAAACCAGCAGAACCGGTGAGCTTTTGACTATAATTCCTGGGCTCTGCAATTTGCTAAGAGACTTCCTGGACACCACTGGGGATGGTGCTAGGATACCCAAAGGGCTGGTGTTCTGCTCACAGCTCTATTATCTCTGATTCTCTGCCAGGTCAAAGCAGAACCTGGTTCCCTTCCGTGACAGCAAGTTGACTCGAGTGTTCCAAGGTTTCTTCACAGGCCGAGGCCGTTCCTGCATGATTGTCAATGTGAATCCCTGTGCATCTACCTATGATGAAACTCTTCATGTGGCCAAGTTCTCAGCCATTGCTAGCCAGGTGAGAAGCTAGAGGTGTGATGGGTGTGCGCACTTGGAACTGGTAACTCTAAGAAAGCTCCTAGGGACTACTTATGGAGTCAAGTAAGATATTTTTTTTCCCTCTAGCTTGTGCATGCCCCACCTATGCAACTGGGATTCCCATCCCTGCACTCGTTCATCAAGGAACATAGTCTTCAGGTATCCCCCAGCTTAGAGAAAGGGGCTAAGGCAGACACAGGCCTTGATGATGATATTGAAAATGAAGCTGACATCTCCATGTATGGCAAAGAGGTGAGAATACAAGAAAGCTTTAGTGTAGCAGCTTAGTAGCTACACATTTTTCCATGGTGCCTTCCAGGTGGGCTTGTGCCTTCTGAGGGCATGAGCATCTGATGACCTCTGACATGTGTGTCTCTCCTAGGAGCTCCTACAAGTTGTGGAAGCCATGAAGACACTGCTTTTGAAGGAACGACAGGAAAAGCTACAGCTGGAGATGCATCTCCGAGATGAAATTTGCAATGAGATGGTAGAACAGATGCAACAGCGGGAACAGTGGTGCAGGTACTAGCTGAGTGACCCCTCTTGCTCTGTCACCTGAGACAGAGGGTGGGAAGTAAGGAGTTAGGTGGAGTTGTGCCTCAAGATCTGTTCCCCAAGTTCACTCCTCAGAACCTTCACTTACCTCTCTTTTCTCCTCTGTTTCTGACAGTGAACATTTGGACACCCAAAAGGAACTATTGGAGGAAATGTATGAAGAAAAACTAAATATCCTCAAGGAGTCACTGACAAGTTTTTACCAAGAAGAGATTCAGGTGAGTTGCCCTGAGCCAGCTCCAATTAGCTGCTCAGATTTCCATCACTAGCTTGCCTGAAGTAAAGAGATTTTATAAACTACTCCAGTAAGGGCAGGAATATATAACTCCCTTTTCTCTATTCCCCATAGTGCTTTGGGTTCAATCTATGTTTGGTGAATTGATTAAGGGTTTAGTTGGCCAGGAAATCGTATTAAGTGCTAACAACAGGTTTTCAAGGGATCAGTGTCACAAGTGCTTTGTTTGTTCAGTCATCTGTCTTAGCAATATTTTTCTGGCTCTGCAAAGAATTGTGCTCTCTGCTTCCCTCTTAGGAGCGGGATGAAAAGATTGAAGAGCTAGAAGCTCTCTTGCAGGAAGCCAGACAACAGTCAGTGGCCCATCAGCAATCAGGGTCTGAATTGGCCCTACGGCGGTCACAAAGGTTGGCAGCTTCTGCCTCCACCCAGCAGCTTCAGGAGGTTAAAGCTAAATTACAGCAGTGCAAAGCAGAGCTAAACTCTACCACTGAAGGTGAGGAAAGAGACAGGCAGGAAACATAACAGTGGTTCAGGGAAGAGCTGTTACTTAAACCCAGGCCTTCTAACTCCTGCTCTAACATAATTTCCTAAACTGCAAGCTACATCCCCCTGACATTTCAATCTAGGATACACATAGCCTCACTTTTTATATTTGCTGCAAGCTACTGTTACCTCAGTTAAAGAGGTTAGTCCAAGGCTAAAAAAACCCCACATATTTTAAGTTTCCTGTTTCCTTCCCTCAGAGTTGCATAAGTATCAGAAAATGTTAGAACCACCACCCTCAGCCAAGCCCTTCACCATTGATGTGGACAAGAAGTTAGAAGAGGGCCAGAAGGTAATTACCACCATTCTCTGTTTACCAAACTCTTACCTAAGGCAATTTCCCACATCCAACACTCTATCACTGGTTCATGTGAAGACAAGATGTTTTTTGTGCACAGTTCTGGAGAGTGGCTATTTCACTCAGCTGACTAGCCTTTCTAATTTTACTTCTCTTCAAATGGCTACCTGACCCCTCCAGATCATTATCCTGGTTGCTCTTGGCCACAATATGATTCCTACTTCCCCTTTTTCAGAATATAAGGCTGTTGCGGACAGAGCTTCAGAAACTTGGTGAGTCTCTCCAATCAGCAGAGAGAGCTTGTTGCCACAGCACTGGGGCAGGAAAACTTCGTCAAGCCTTGACCACTTGTGATGACATCTTAATCAAACAGGTTAGGGCAAACTATATACCCACTTCTGTCCTACCAGCCCACTCCAGTGTATATGTGAGAAAGGAAAGAGGACCAGAAGAAAAAGGTAAAGATTTTTAGGCTGAATTTATAGTGAGAGCAGTATATTTGCAAAATAAAAATAACTATTCTTTGTTAAGCATTTACTAAGTACCAGGCACTGTGCTAAGTAATTTATAGGCATTTTCTGTCACAACCACCTTAGGGAGGTAGTTACTGTCATATTTCATCTAAGATGCTACTGATTATAAGAAACCATTATTTTATGTACTACTAAGAAAAAAGTAACAATTTCTCATCAGTAAGATGCATCCTGATTCCAAAGAGATTAAAATGTTAAAATTGTGTATCTTAAACTAAACTCAACATTTAATTTGACATTTAGAGACTGAGGCACTTAGAAATTAAATTTACTCAAGCTCATACTACCTTATGTGTTAGAAGATGTCCTATTCAGCACTGCTTATGTTTTGTTCTCAGAAAATGTCCCCTTATTCAGTTATAAGCTCCGACCTTAAAGAGTTTTAATCTTTGAAGAAACAGTTGTTAGTAACTAGTAATGGATGGTATGTATTACCCTTAGCCCTCTCGTTTCTCTAATATACCAGACAAAAGTGTTTTCTATAACTTTATTGATCTTCCTTAGGACCAGACTCTGGCTGAACTGCAGAACAACATGGTGCTAGTGAAACTGGACCTTCGGAAGAAGGCAGCATGTATTGCTGAGCAGTATCATACTGTGTTGAAACTCCAAGGCCAGGTTTCTGCCAAAAAGCGCCTTGGTACCAACCAGGAAAATCAGCAACCAAACCAACAACCACCAGGGAAGAAACCATTCCTTCGAAATTTACTTCCCCGAACACCAACCTGCCAAAGCTCAACAGACTGCAGCCCTTATGCCCGGATCCTACGCTCACGGCGTTCCCCTTTACTCAAATCTGGGCCTTTTGGCAAAAAGTACTAAGGCTGTGGGGAAAGAGAAGAGCAGTCATGGCCCTGAGGTGGGTCAGCTACTCTCCTGAAGAAATAGGTCTCTTTTATGCTTTACCATATATCAGGAATTATATCCAGGATGCAATACTCAGACACTAGCTTTTTTCTCACTTTTGTATTATAACCACCTATGTAATCTCATGTTGTTGTTTTTTTTTATTTACTTATATGATTTCTATGCACACAAAAACAGTTATATTAAAGATATTATTGTTCACATTTTTTATTGAATTCCAAATGTAGCAAAATCATTAAAACAAATTATAAAAGGGACAGAAAAATTAAGAATCAAACATCATTCTGGACCATGGGAACCTTGAAAAGGCATGGCAGTGGAGACCAGTAACTAGTATACAGCTTGCCTGAGAAGGCTTAGTAACAAATGAATTCAAGTCGTATTAGATATTCTAAACCTTCCTTAATATAAGATGAAGTGTCATATGTTAGGAGGTAAAAACGTAACACAAAATTCTGGGAATAAGAATAAAGTCTGGACCCTGAGCTCAGAATGATCCATAGCATCTACTGTGCAAATATATTACAGCAGACATTATAGCATATTACCTCCTGCTGTACACACATGCACAGGCCTGAAACTCTCCAAGAGCACCATAAGAATGATTCCCTTTACCTCATCTAGATAAAGGCTGAAAAAAATGTATTCTGTTGCAGATGGGAGGGAAAAAAATAGACAATTACGTTGAAAATTTATTAAAACAGACCAGCTTGAAGTGAGTTTATTCTTGTCTGTATAATCACCAATGTTATTTCCAAATGTCCGTGAAATTATCTATAATCCTATCTCCTTGCTTGCTTTGGTAGGAGTATAGCTAACAATATAGCCATCTTTTGCCCTCAGTAAGGGCTATCAGCAGTTCCAAGCTCTGTGAGATTATTTTTGCCCTTCTTTTATTCAACTCTAGTTGAATAAAGTTACTTCCAATTTGAAAGCTTTAGAAGACCCCCCCAAAACTGTTTTGGAAGATTGTCTCCCTAGAGAGTAAGAACAAATGGATAGCTCTATTCCATTTAAACCTAATCTCTGACATCAGAATAGGGATCATGCTCAGCAAATCCAAGAGCAAGGTCATTTGTATCCATTGCTCTGACTTCTTCCTAGGGTACTCAGTGCCCTACTGCCAGCTCAGGGTAGAGTGGCAGACTTTCCTCCTTTCTTTCACTCTCAGCAGCATTGAAACTTTGTTCCTGTAGCATTGCCTGTGCTAAAGTGCTATAAAAGGGACTTTCTTGGGGGCCAAAAAAAAAAAGCATTCAGGGAAGAAGGCCAAGATCTATAGCCACTCTTTGGACATAAGTGAGACAGAAGTACTTCTAACTGGCAAGATAATGTCTGTTCCTGCCAGGATTCTGTCAGTTGGCCTCTGAAGGTAATTATACAAGCTGTCCCTATGGAGCTGTTGCCATCTGTAGAAACAAGAAGAGCTGAGGTCCTTGGAACAGACGTGCTGTTCTTTACATGGAGGTAAGGCTTAATTAAGATGGGTCTAACAATGTGCTGGCTTGAGAGTAGCCAACTATGGCGTGACAGAAGACAAGTTGAGTGGAGAAACTCTGCGTGTGGGGGTATTGTTAGCAGAGAGTGAAGCAGGTAGGAAAAAGGGAGCAGGCACCTCGGTGGTAGGAGTCTCGCCTTGGTTCCGAAGCTGTAGGATTTGCCGGAGTAAGGCCTTACCTTCTTCCCGGGTCTGCAACAAAGTCAGGGAAATGTTTCAAAACATGTCCAAAGCTAGTCTCGAAAACAAGTTATTAAGATGCTGTTAAACAAGTTCCACAGATCAAGGAGGCGGGAGGCTTGCTTGTTTTTTTTTTTTGAGATGGAGTCTCACTGTGTCACCCAGGCTACAGTGCAGTGGTGTGATCAAGGCTCACTGCAGCCTCGACCTCACTGCAGAGGATCAAGTGATCCTCTCACCTCAGCCTCCTGAGTAGCTGGGACCACAGGCATGCACCACCAAACCTGGCAAAATTTAATTTTTGTAGAGACAAGCTCTCCCTTTTTTGTCCAGGCTGGTCTTGAACTCCTGGACACAAGCGATCCTCCTGCCTCAGCCTCCCAAAGTGTTGGGATTATAGGTGTGAGCCGCTTGCCTGGCCAAGGTAGGCTTTCCACTTAAATATCTTATGTTCTAGCCTAAAATTCAAACCTTTTATTAAAGAACTGATACTCACATCATTAAATGCACAACACTTTTGTGCACAAGTTGAAGCTTCATCCCACAGTTTGCACTTAAAATAGTACTGGGCCAGATAGCGAAAGGCAGTGCTTTCCTCCAAGTGTTCTACTATTTCCTAGAAAGGGAAAGCAAAATTACTGAGGTGACAGTAATAATATCAGCAGTACAATTCTCATGGTATGATACATACCCCACAGGAATAGATATCTTGGATATATTTGATGTAACACTGGGCAGCCTGTTCTGACTCAGTCAACTGTTCATGAAGCCTACAAAAGAAACTGATCTTTAAATACCAATGATATCCCAAAGCAACTTAGTGATAAAAAAAGTAAAAGTACATAAGACCAAAAAAAACAATACATAGGTAAGTATCAATTTTGACATAAATGACACTCTTGGAACTAGAATAGTATTAGATGTGATAGTTACTGTTATCAAAGCTTAGAATCATTACTCTGCTAATGATGGAAGGAGAGTCAGTAAATATTAATATCTAAGCTAGATAAACCATCCTTGCAAAAATTATCTAGTAATACCCAGAGTAAAGTGGCTCATGCCTGTAATCCCAGCACTTTGGGAGGCCAAGGAGGGCAGATCACTTGAGGTCAGGAGTTTGAGACCAGCATGGCCAACAAGGTGAAACCTCATCTCTACTAAAAGTAGAAAAATTAGCCGGGCGTTGTGACACATGCCTGTAATCCCACCTACTCAGGAAGCTGGAGCAGGAGAATTGCTTTAACTTGGAAGGTGGAGGTTGCAGTGAGCCAAGATCATACCACTACACTCCAGCCTGGGCCACAGAATGAGACTCTGACTCCAAAAAAAGAAAAAAAAAAAAAAAAGCTGGGCACTGTGGCTCACACCTGTAATCCCAGCACTTTGGGAGGCCAAGGCGGGTGGGTCATCAGAGATCAGGAGTTCAAGACCAGCCTGGCCAACATGGCAAAACTCTGTCTCTACTAAAAAATACAAAAATTAGCCAGGTGTGGTGGCAAGCGCCTGTAATGCCAGCTACTCGGGAGACTGAGGCAGGAGAATCATTTGAACCCAGGAGGCAGAGGTTGCACTCTAGCCTCCGTGACAGAGCAAGACTCCGTCTCAAAAAAAAAAGATAACAAGTGGCCAGGCATGGTGGCATAGGGCCATAATCCTAGCTACTCTCTAATCTGGCTGAGACCAATGACTTCAAGACCAACCTGGTCATCACAGCAAGATCCTATCTATAAATTACAAAAAAAAAAAAAAAGATACCAAGCAACTCAATTTTTTTCCTAAGAATCCAGACAGGAACCTCTTTACATTTAAGAACCTCTTTGCCTACTATTTGAGTTATTCCTAATTTTTCTGGCCCTTAGCAGGAAATTAATACTGAAAGTAGTTTGACACAAAAATGTTATCCTTTCTTCAAATCAATCTTGATCTCTTGCTTTAATAGGAAAGCAACGGCCCTCCTTCAAGAGAAGTAGCATTCTCTTTTTATTTTTTTTATTTTGAGATGGAGTTTTGCTCTTGTTGCCCAGGCTGGAGTGCAATGGCGCGATCTCGGCTCACTGCAACCTCCACCTCCCAGGTCTTGAACTCCTGACCTCAGGTCATCCACCTCCCTCAGCCGCCCAAAGTGCTAGAATTACAGGCATGAGCCACTGCACCTGGCCAGAAGTGGCATTCTCTAGGAACAAGATGGCTACATTCACAAACCAGCATTCACACACCCTGCTACATCCCTACACCTATGTAGAATGATGGGTGTATGGGAGGCTCTAGACCATGCAGGACCCACCATCCCAGAGAAGCCAACAGAAATATCAATAGCATTTCACTCCTTTCACTCACTTTGCCAGTTTCACCAGAGCCATTTTCTCCACATCTCCCACGGCGTAAGCTCTCCAATAACACTGTCAAAAAAATAAACTGGTCATTTTGACCATTGTCCCATGTGTCACAACTAAATCATATGAAGGTTAAGACCCTGCAAGCCTCCCAGAAGTTCAGATTTATAGAATGCAAGACATTTTTACTAGTTCTGATAGGTCTAGGCTACACACTGACATTCCCACTGATGACCTTGGCCCAGCTTTGCTTTCAGACTATGTATCTATAAATATTCAGACTTTCCTATGCACCTAGATCAGAATAAGGGAAAAATTAGAGCACAGATAGCCCAACCTTCATCTAAACAGCAGATTTCCACTCAAATTCTTCAGGACCCAATTTAAGGTACCTTTTTGGCTTCCACTAGTTGATTGAGTTTCTCGTAACATTCTCCTAAAGCAACCAGCATGCGAGAATCATTGGGTCTGAGAAAGAAGAACAGGCAGTCTGAGCAAAGACTTTACAGAAACTGAAGTTCTCTTTTGAGGAACCAGTACACCACTATTTCAAATCTATGCAACAACTGGTCTTTAACCTGATGCTCCATATAATAGATTACTTTGTGTTCATAATTATACTATTAACCCATTAGTGAAATATACTAAATGAAAATAACCAAACAGCCTTCAGCAACTTTAACCTCAGATCCCCAAGAGCCAAAACCATCCACTGTGATTTGTCAATAGCTATCAAAAGAGGAAAAAAAAGTTATTAGCCCTTCCCATATCAGACGCATTGTCAAGTGACCAGGCTTACCGAAGCTGGTGGGCCCGTCTATAATAATAAAGGCAGTAAAATGGCATCTTAAGGATTTCATAGGTCTGCCCGAGGCCATACCAAGCTCTGTAGTCCCGTTTGTTGACCTCAATGGCATGTCTAAGAAATGGAAAAGACAGGTTGTTAAGAAGGCAGAATCAAGGTTGGCAACTTGCAGGCTTAGAGGCTCCTAACCACAGCAATCTGCTCTACCTCACCACCTATAGATAATCACCTATAAGCCTGGATAGCAGCAGACGTGTTCTTCATCTCCATGTACTCATGTCCCATTAGTGTCCAGGCACCAAGATACCGAGGATTTAATTTCAGGGCTCTCTGGAAATATAAGGCTGCTTTCTCATGCTGAGAACGTAAACTGTAATAATTGCCTGATTAAAAATCAAACAAAAAAATGAATAATCAGAAAGGTAAAAATAAAAGTCCATTAAAATAGATAGCATTCCACCAAATGGGCGTGAAACCATAACCCATTCCCTCTAAAGTCCTGGCAAAACACCCAAATTGTACAAAAGGGAAATATTCCCTTGGGAAATATATTTCATCTGTCACACATTCCGGTTAAAAAAAAAAGTATTCTTAAACACTGCAAGTTTTTATTCCTTTTAATATCACCTGGATACAGCATTTATATACACAGTCTCTTTCTTTCTTTTTTTCTGAGACAAAGTCTTGCTTTGTCACACAGGCTGGAAAGCAGTAGTGTAATCACAGCTCACTGCAGCCTCAACCTCCTGAGCTCAAGCAATCCTCCCACATAAGGCTTTCAAGTAGCTGGGAGCACAGGCACATGCCACCAAGCCGGGGTAATTTTTAAATTTTTTTGTGGAGACAGTCTCCCTATGTTGCCAGGGTGGTCACAAACTCCTGAGCTCAAGCGATCTTCCTGCCTCAGCCTCCCAAAGTGCTGGAATCAAAGGCATGAGCCACCACATCTGGCCTATATATACATTTTCTTAGATTATGCTTTACATCGGTGGTTTTCAAACTATATTCCTTGGAGCCTAGGTTTCTAAAGAGGTACCCAGGCTGGGCATGGTGACTCACGCCTGTAATCCCAGCACTTTGGGAGGCCAAGGTGGACAGATCACCTGAGGTCAGAAGTTTCAGACCAGCCTGGCCAACATGGCAAAACCCTGTCTCTACTAAAAATACAAAAATTAGCCGGGCATAGTGGCGCACATCTGTAGTCCCAGCTACTCAGGAAGCTGAGGCAGGAGAATCGCTTGAACCTGGGAGGCAGAGGTTGCAATGAGCTGAGATCGTGCCACTGCACTCCAGCTTGGGTAATAGAGCAAAACAACATCTTAAAAAAAAAGGAAAAAAAGAGGTATGATTCTGTCTCAAAAAAAAAAAACAGGTACCTCAAGGGTTAAAAAGGTAGCATTCTGACCAGGAGTGGTGGATCACGCCTGTAATCCCACCACTTTGGGAGGCTAAGGCGGGCGGATCACCTGAGGTCAGGAGTTCGAGACCAGTCTGACCAATAGGAAGAAACTCGGTCTCTACTAAAAATACAAAATTAGCTGGGCATGGTGGCACATGCCTGTAATCCCAGCTCCTCAGGAGGCTAAGGCAGGAGAATCGCTTGAACCCAGGAGGCAGAGGTTGCGGTGAGCCAAGATCGCGCCATTGCACTCCAGCCTGGGCAACAAAAGCAAAACTCCGTCTCCAAAAAAAAAAAAAAGGTAGCGCTCTAAGTTTCCGTCTCACACAAGAATCAAAGCAGTTCTATTCTCATTGGTCTTAAAAAGTGGAAGTGAAAGATTTCAGCTGAAGAAAGTATAAGAGCCATCTGTCTTATATCAACTGGTGAATAAACAAAATGTGGCATATCCAAACATGGAATACTACTCAGCAATAAAAGGAACTACTGATACATGCTACAATATGGATGAACCTCAAAAGCATGCTAATGGATGGGAGGCTGAGGTGGGAGGATCACTTAAGGTCAGGAGTTCGAGACCAGCATGGGCAACATAGTGAGACCCTGTCTCTAAAAATAAAAAGTATCCAGGTGTGGTGATATATGCCTGTAGTCCCAGCTACTCCAGAGGCTGAGGCAGGAGAAAGCTTGAGCCCAGGAATTCACGCCACTGCACTCCAGCCTGGTGACAGAGAGAGACCGTGTCTCAAAAAAAAGCTAACTGAAAGAAGCCAGACAATAAGACTAAATATTGCAAGAATCTATTTATATGAAATTCCTGGAACAGGCAAAACTATAAAGAAGCAAAGCAGTGGTTGCTGGGGGATGGGAATGGGACTGACTGCAAATACACACGAGGGAACTTTTTGGGGTGATGGAGTATTCTAAACTGGATTATGGTAATGGTTACAACTGCATAAATTTACAAAAACTCATTGAAATGTAGACTTAACATTTTATGGTATGCAAATTATACCTCAATAAAACTATGTGTTTTTTTGGTGTCTTTTTTTTTTTTTTTTTTTTGAGACAGAGTTTCGCTCTTGTCGCCCAGGCTGGAGTGCAATGGTACGACCTTGGCTCACTGCACCCTCCGCCTCCCGGATTCTAGCGATTCTCCTGCCTCAGTCTCCTGAGTAGCTGGGATTACAGGTATCCGCCACCATGCCCGGCTAATTTTCATATTTTTAGTAGTGACAGGGTTTCACCATGTTGGCCAGGCTGGTCTCGAACTCCTGAGCTCAGGTGATCCACCCGCCCAGGCTGGTCTTGAACTCCTGGGCTCAAGTAATCCTCCTGCCTCAGCCTCCCAAAGTGCTGAGCCCCTGCACTGGCCTAAGCTATATTTTTTTTAAAAAGAATGAAGAGCTACACCAAGACTAAGAAGGATTTTCATGAAATACTGTTGAATGAGAAAACCAAAATGCAGAGTATGTATATAATATCCTATTTTTGTAAAGCAAGCAGCCCATTAAACCTTGCATATGTATATATACATATTCCTTTTAATGTGGCATGAGAACATGTTAACACAAGTAACTTAAAGGGGGAAAGGTACAGCAAGCAAAAGAAACCCTGCACTTTAAAAAATCTCCTTTATGGGCCAGGCGCAGTGGCTCACATTTTATTATTCTCCTTTTACAGATGAAGGAACTAAAGCACAGAAGGTTAGGTAACTTGTCCAAGATTACACAGCTAGTTAGTATCTAAACCAGAATTTAAAATTGGGCAATCTGGCTCAGAGTCCAAAGCTTAACTATGCTATACTGCAGTATACATATATGTAAAAAATATATATATATAAATATATATAAATTATATATATTTATATATAATATAATTATATATAATATATTTATATATAATATATTATATATAATATATATTATATATGATATATTTATATATAAATATAAATATATATACATATATAATATATATTATATACATATATTTTATATATGCATATATACATATAATATATATGCATATATACATATAATATATATGTATATATATACATATAATATATATGTATATATATACATATATTATATATGTGTATATATACATATATTTTATATATGTGTATATATATACATATATATAATATATATTATATACATATATATATAAAATAAAATGCTGCCGCTCAAGTAGAGACTGTGACTGACAGGTACAGAAGGGAGCAAGTCACATCAAGACATAAAAGCAAAAGAAGCCAGGACTAAACAAGTAGGAGATTCTTGCCATCACTCTACTCTTAAGATTGTCTCATTCTCTCAGGTCCTCAGTTTCCTTTTCTTCTCTCCATCCTTCTTTCTCCTTTTCACTTCCTCTGAACTGGCTATAATATGAAAGCTAGCGTATTATTTTTTGTCATATCTAATGTTCCCCGCTCTGATTTTTAAGGTAGGTGGGCTGAATTCAACAAACATTTATTGACTGTATGCAGAAATTTTACTGGGCATTATGGATATATTAAGGAAAAAAAACACAATTCATTAAGGAGTTCACCTCGAATGATTATTAAAAGAAAGAAAAAAGAAGCTTCTTAATAATTATTCTTCTCATATATATTGATTTTTTTTTTTTTTTGAGATGGAGTCTCACTGTTGCCCAGGCTGGAGCACAGTGGCATGATCTTGGCTCACTGCAACCTCGGCCTCCTGGGTTCAAGCAATTCTCCTGCCTCAGCCTCCCAAGTAGCTGGGATTACAGGTGCCTGCCACCACGCCTAGCTAATTTTTGTATTTTTAGTAGAAACAGGGTTTCCATGTTGGCCAGGCTGGTCTCGAACTCCTGACCTTATGATCCACCCGCCTTGGCCTCCCAAAGTGCTGGGATTACAGGCGCTGTGAGCCCCCGTGCCCGGCCTTTTTTTTTGAGATGGAGTCTCACTCCGTCGCCTAGGCTGGAGTGCAGTGGCACGATCTCGGCTCACTGCAACCTCCGCCTCCAGGGTTCACACCATTCTCCTGCCTCAGCCTCCCGAGTAGCTTGGACTACAGGCGCCCGCCACCACGCCCAGCTAATTTTTTGTATTTTTTGTAGAGATGGGGTTTCACCATGTTAGCCAGGATGGTCTCGATCTCCTGACCTCGTGATCCACCTGCCTTGGCCTCCCAAAGTGCTGGGATTACAGGTGTGAGCCACCGCGCCTGGCCTTTTTTTTTCCTTTTTTTTTTTTTTTTTTTTTTTAAATAGAGACAGGGTCTCACTGTCTAAAGCCAGATGGGGTTGCCCAGGCTGGACTCGAACCCTGGGCTGAGGCCATCTCCTGCCTCAACCTCCCAAGTCACTAAGACTACTGAAGCTAGTAATTATGCCTGGCTTCCTTTGATTTTAACTGTCTCTGTTTTAAAAAGAACTGTTAAAAATATGTTTAAAAAAAAAGAATCGTTGTAGTAGTAGAAACCCAGTCTCTACTAAAAATACAAAAAATTAGCCGGGCGTGGTGGCAGGCACCTGTAGTCCCAGCTACTCGGGAGGCTGAGGCAGGAGAATGGTGTAAACCCGGGAGGCAGAGCTTTCAGTGAGCCAATGGCGCCACTGCACTCCAGCCTGGACGACAGAGCGAGACTCTGTCACCAAAAAAAAAAAAAAAAAAAGTACATCTATAAAATGCTAGTCATCAAAAATAATACAAGTTTAAATGTACTAACATGAAAAGATGGCAAAGATATATCATTAAGTTAAAAAAAAGGAAGTTAGATAGCACTATGTATAATGATACAGTTTTGGCAAGCAAACAATATAGACGTAACATGTAATACATATTTATTTTTTTTTTTTTTTTTTTGAGACGGAGTCTCACTCTATCGCCCAGGCTGGAGTGTAGTGGCACGATCTTGGCTCACTGCAACCTCCACCTCCCGGGTTCATGTGATTCTTCTGCCTCAACTTCCCAAGCAGCTGGGACTACAGGCACATGCCACCACACCCGGCTAATTTTTGGATTTTTAGTAGAGATGGGATTCCACCATATTGGCCAGGCTGGTCTCGAATACCTCACCTCATGATCTGCCTGCCCTGGCATCCCAAAGTGCTGGGATTACAGGCATGAGCCACCGCGCCCAGCCCCTACACATACATTTTTACTATTTGCACAGAAAAATATCCTGGAATCATGTTCACCAAACAATCTTCAGAGTAGGATTAATCAGTGAGCTTTCACATTCTATGGTATGTATTTGTTACCTTTGGCACTTTTGTATTATTGAGTTTTTGTTTGCTTGTTGGTTTGTTTGTTTGTTTGTTTAAGAGATGGGCTCTCACTCTGTTGCCCAGCCCTGGAGTGCAGTGACATGATCACAGCTGACTGCTGCCCTGACATCTGGGCTCTCAAGCGATCCTCCCGCCTCAGTCTCCTGAGTAGAGGAAACTAAAGGCACGCACCACCATCCCTAGCTAATTGTGGTTATTTTCACATGTGTTACTTATAATAAATATAAATCTTAAAAGAAAAAATGTAGTTAATTCTTACCAATTACACAGCACGTTTCTACACGATATTTATCAATCTCACAGAGGTTATGAGCCAGATAACTCAACTCCGATTTCATGCTCTGGGATAAAAGAAAAAGACAATATAAGCATGAAAAAAGAACTCCCTAAATTATTTTTCCTGTAGCTAATACAAGTGGGTGACAATCCAACCCAGATTAGTGCACAAAAGAGCTTAATCAAATCCAAGCAAGGGAAGCAGCTCACCCTGACATAAAGAAGGTTGGAGAATGTGTCCATATTTTCAATCCTGTAAGGGTCTTGTTTCCTTAGCTCATTAAAAATGGAGAGGGCTTTGTCAATATCTGCAGAAAGAAGATAGTTCAGAAAACAGCACAATGCACCTGTCAGGGTCTGATAGTATTTCATTGTCTTTATTCACTCACCTCTGATATTGTGATAGGCAACTGCAATTTGGGAAACAATATACGAGCTCTTAGAGAAGCCCACATCAATGAGATTCTGATACTTTTGCAGGGCCTCCTCTATCAACTGCAACTCTGTGTATATATGAGCCAGAAAAAACTCTTTCATCCAGGTGTCTGGCAAAGACAGGAACTTCAGCTGGCAGCAGGAGAGAGAGGGACACACTTAATATAACTTGACCTCTCTCTCAAACAAACATCCAGGAACTATCTTTATTATCTAAAGGAATTTATCACTAAAATTTTATTAGAACACCTAGTAATGAAAACAGGACAGTCCAATTAACTGAATATGACTTACAAGCATAATAGGGAGGAACAGCCTAGTTGGGAAAGGCTCCAAAGAAAAGACAGGATTTGAGGTGAGTCTTAGAGAATGGGTAGGATTTGAATACAAAAGGGGAGAGGAAGAGAAAGAAGACAATAGTCTAGACACGGGTAATAGCATAAGGAGAGGCAAAACAGTCATGATGATTGTGAGTGAGTAGGACAAAGAAACTAGCTTGGTTTGCGGGGAGGCTATGTACTGGGAAGTAGCAGAAAAATCAAACTGAACTGGTAGAGCGCATCCTAGGGTACAACAGATAATGGGATACAATAGGGAACCACTGCAAATATTCAGTAAGAGAATGACATGATGACATGGGAGCTTTAAGAATAAGTTTGGAAACAGGCCAGGTGGAATGGCTCAAGCCTGCAACCCCAGCACTTTGGGAGGCTATGGGAAAGGATCCCTTGAGGCCAGGAGTTTGACACCAGCCCTGACAAGAGAGTGAAACCTCATCTCCACAAACAAAAAAGAGAAAGAAATAGTTTGGAAACAGTATAGAGATGACTTGGAAATGGAAGTATAAAAATGGGAACCCTAGATAGAAAGTACCCATTACTTATAAGTAATCCAAATTTGAGATGACAACTGAGATGATAAAGGAAACCAAGAGAAAGAGATGTATACAAGAAAGTAACTATGGTTATGTCTCATGACAGACTAGATAAAGGCAGATAAGAGAAAAGGAAGACACAAGTATGACTCTAATGTGTCAAGACTGGATGTCGTTAATAGCGATGCTAGTAAAAGTCTATCAAGTTGGGAGAAATAATTTAGTAGGCAAGACAAGGAATTTGGTTTTGCTATTTTGAATCCAGAGATTGTTTAACAAACCTTCAATGAAAGTCTAGTAGGCAGTTACACATAGGTGAATAAAAGTAAACCAAGATAAGATTTCAGATACAGATTTAGTGACATAAATCACTACTGGGGGAAATCAACAAGACTTTAAGGCCAAAAAAAGGAAGTGTATTGTTGCTTCCATTAACTACTGAAGAACAGCAAAATAAACACTATAGACAATATCCTCTACTAATGGCTAATAAAATGACTGGAGTTTAAGAACAACTTAGTATACATTATTTCTTTAATAAGCAAATTTCTGAATCTTTACAGAATCCATGACAGCTCAGAAGAGGCCTGAACAATTTTTTGTTTGTTTGTTTGTTTGTTTGTTTGAGACAGAGTTTCGCTCTTTCGCCCAGGCTAGAGTGAAATAGCACCATCAGGGCTCACTGCAACCTCTGCCCCTCAAGTTCAAGTGATTCTCTTGCCTCAGCCTCCCGAGTAGCTGGGATTACAGGCATCCACAACCACACCTGGTTAATTTTTATATTTTCAGTAGAGACATGGTTTCACCACGTTGACCAGGCTGGTCTTGAACTCCTGACCTCAGGTGATCCACCCACCTTGGCTTCCCAAAGTGCTAGGATTACAGGCATGAGCCACCGTGCCTGGCCATAATGTTTTAATACAATTCTTGACAGCAGAGAAACCTTTCCTATAGCATCTTTGGGATTAGGGGACAAACTACAACAATATTCAGTCTATAAAATAAGTAACATAGGCTGGGCGTGGTGGTTCATGCCTGTAATCCCAGCACTTTGGGAGATTGAGGCAGGAGGATCACCTGAGGTCAGGAGTTCGAAGCCAGCCTGGCCGACATGGTGAAACCCCATCTCTACTAAAAATACAAAAATTAGCTGGGGATGGTTGTGCGTGCCTGTAGTCCCAGCTACTTGGGAGGCTGAGGCAGAAGAATTGCTTGAACCTGGGAGGCAGAGGTTGCCGTGAGCCAAGATCGCACCACTGCACTCCAGCCTAGATGAAAGAGCAAGACTCCGTCTCAAACAAAAACAAAAACAAGTCACAATAGAACTGAAATGTGAAAACATGAATATGAAAAAAATATTCTAGTATAACTGGATACAAATCCAACAGCAACTACTGAAAAAGAGCTAGTCATCAGTCTTTCAAACAAAGACTTACTTCCAAAACAGCGAAAAGACACCAGAGGCGCAGCAAAGGGAGAACTATAACCAAAGCCCTGCCAAAACTTTCCCCACCCCTATATTACTACAGAATTACAAAAGGCTTGAAGCAGAGGGTTTTTCACATAGCTCATCACAATTTACCATCTCTTTGTCTGTGATCAGGTTACAGAGTTCTAACCAGGCTCCCCAATGCAAGGGCAAAACATGAGTAGCTTCCACAAACACATCAATGGCCTCTTTAACCAAGTCCAGTTTTCGAAGCACCACACCATACCTGGGAAAAAAAAGAAACAATCACAGAAGTTAATGCTATTTAATAGCTGCTTTCTACTCAGGAGAATATGTTACAGAAAGTTCCAAATTACTGTAACACTTACAGATAAAGTCCAAATCCATCAAGTTCTCGAGCTTGGTGTTTTTTGCTGAGCTCCACTCTCAATTCTCTAAGCGCCTCATTTTTCACTTGTCCTTTTTCCAGGGGGCCTAGGAAAGAAACAGAGTCTCTGTTCTAAGGTTAGGATGCTGGTTTTCATTTTCTTATTTTATTTATTTATTTATTTTTCTAGAGACAGGGTCTCGCTATGTTCCCTAGGCTGGTCTCAAACTCCTGGGCTCAAGTGATCCTTCCGCCTCAGACTCCCAAAGTGCTGGGATTATAGGTGTGAGCCACTGTACCCAGCTCATTTTCATATGCATAGATATTCTCTTTAGCATCAACGAAAGTTACACCTGAAACCTCTAGCAAACACAAGGTACCAATGATATCTTACACAACCCATTTACTGTATTCCAGAAATTGCAACTACTAATGGGTTTACAGTCATTCTGTTAGACCCACACAGTTTTTATTTGAATTCGTTATGAATGTTTAAAAATCAAAAACCTCAAATAAAACTCTAAATTTCTAGCTTCAGGTTGCAGGGAACAGGGTAGGGCCAAGGGAAGAAAGCCATCACAATACCAACCCCAGATTCCCCCAAGACAGCCCTCAGCTATAGCTGGGTACAAGGTAGCTGAGATAAGCCAGGTGCTTTCCAATTTGTAATGGTTATCCTCAGACCATTCATATTACCTGCCTGGCTGTTGGAGGCATTTAAGTTTGCAACCCTGCTTTTTAGGTCAAAAGGTAAAAGAAAAAAATTCGTACCTAAGCTATCAACTGTTTCATCGTCCTTCTTTTTTTCTCCAGACTGTAAGAGAAAATCAACAAATAGGTCTTTTTTCAGTTTATTCTAAAACATACTTTAAAACTAGCATCCTGATCCTACCTAAAGGGCCAAGTTCAACCAAAATGGCATCGACTTTTGGTCATTATTTATTTATTTATTTATTTGAGACAGTCTCACTTTGCTTTGTTGCCCAGGCTGGAGTGCAGTAGCGTGGTCTCAGCTCACTGCAACCTCTGCCTCCCAGGTTCAAGTGATTCTCCAGCCTCAGCCTCCCGAGTAGCTAGGATTACAGGCACCCGCCACCACGCCTGGCTAATTTTTGTATTTTTAGTTGCGACGAGGTTTCATCATGCTGGTCAGGCTGGTCTCGAACTCCAGACCTCAAGTGATTTGCCCACCTTGGCCTCCCAAAGTGTTGGGATTACAGGCGTGAGCCACTGTGCCCAGCTGGTCACTAATTTCAAATAACTCTTCAGGGCCTCCCTGGCCAAATCTGGAGTTATCTGAGCACCAAAATAATTAAGTAATGAATTATGTACAATTAAAAATATAGGAATCCATGAGTTCATACTGATACTAAATAGATAAATAAATGGGGAAAGGGAGGGAAGGCTCTTTCTTAAAGTAGAATGCCAAGCGTTGAGTAGTAAATGTAGACAAAATGCTAGAGTAGATAATCATCATTTTGAAACATTATAGTAAAGATTGCTTCAGATAAAAATTAACAATGAATACTAAATTTAGAGAAAAATTTGTATGAGGAGCAAGATATCTGCATGGTCTTAAAATGTTATCCGCACAGACTGTTGATGAGTTGCAAGGGAAATAACAGTAACTACACAGTGGAGAAAATGGATAACATCTTCATCAAATGATCAAAATTAACATTAGCAGTGAGGGGCTTAAAGGCATTGTGTAACACTAGATGCGATGCCCTGTGAAAAAACATCAGACATATCCAAAATGAAGAATGTTCTATTAACAAAAGGGAAAGATTCACATACCAAGAATATGTGAAAAAAGGAGGAGAGAGGGAAAGGAAAGGAAGGGGAAATGGAAAGGGAAAAGAAGTCAAACCCACAGAATGTACAACACAGGGTGAACCCTAATGTAAACTGTGGACTTTTGTTGATATGTGTCAATACTGGTTCATTGATTACAACAAATATATCACACTGGTGCAGGATACTGATGGTGACAGAACCTCTGTGAGAGGGGAGAAGGAGGTATATGGGAACTCCTGTACTTTCTGCTCAATTTTGCTGTGAATCTAAAACTGCTCTAAAAAATACTCTATTGATTAAAAAAAAGAAAGAAAGAAAAAGAAACAGGGAGGGAAGATTTATAAATTTCAAAAAAAGTCAATGTCATAAAAGACAAATAAGGCTGTTTCAGATTAGCGGAGATTAAAGAGACATGACAACTGATTCTAGATTGTACTGAGGGGGAAATGCTATAGAAGACACTGCTGGCTCAATTGACAAGATTGGAATTCGGCCGGGTGCAGTGGCTCACACCTGTAATCCTAGCACTTTGGGAGGCCGAGGCACGCCAATCACCTGAGGTCAGGAGTTCCAGAGCAGCCTGGTCAACGTGGCGAAACCCCGTCCCTACTAAAAAATACAAAAATTAGCCGGGCATGGTAGTGAGCACCTGTAATCCCAGCTACCCAGGAGGCTGAGGCTAGAGAATCGCTTGAACCTGGGAGGCGGAGGTTGCAGTGAGCTGAGATCACAACACTGCACTCCAGCCTGGGTGACAGAGCTAGACTCCATCTCAAATAAAAAAAAAATTGGAATTCAATAATAGATTGAATATAGTATCAAATGCCATATTTAACAATATGGTGTGAAATTTACTAAAGTTGATAACTATGTTGTGGTTATTTAAGAAAATGTCCTTATTCTAAAGAGAACAAATTAAAGCATTTGGGGTAAAGAATGATGATATCTGCAACTTATTCTCAAATGGTTCAGAGTAAAACAATTCCATGTGTATGCACACGTTGTGTAGAGATAAAGTAGAGAGAAATGATAAAGCAAATAGGATTAATGTTCACAATAGGCAAAACTATAAAGAGTACAGAAGTGCCAGGCACAGTGGCTCACGCCTGTAATCCCAGCACTTTGGGAGGCCAAGGCAGGTGGATCACCTGAGGTCAGGAGTTCGAGACCAGCCTGACCAATATGATGAAACCCCATCTCTACTAAAATTACAAAAATTAACTGGACATGCTGGCATGCACCTGTAGTCCCAGCTACTTGGGAGGCTGAGGTAAGAGAAAGGCTTGAACCCGGGAGGCAGAGGTTGCAGTGAGTTGAGATCGCACCACTGCACTCCAGCCTGGGTGACAGAGAAAGACTCCATTTCAAAAAAAAAAAAAAAAAGTACATAAGTATTCTTTGTACTATTCTTATTCTCGCAACTTGTCAATTTGGAATCATTTTCAAATAAAAGGTTAAAAAGCAAAGTAAACATTCAGACTCTCTTTTTTCTTTTTTTGGAGACGGAGTCTCACTCTGCCGCCCAGGCTGGAGTATAGTGGTATGATCTCGGCTCACTGCAAGCTCCACCTTCCGGGTTCACGCCATTCTCCTGCCTCAGCCTCCCGAGTAGCTGGGACTACAGGCGCTCGCCACTGCGCCCAGCTAATTTTTTGTATTTTTAGTAGAGACGGGGTTTCACCGTGGTCTTGATCTCCTGACCTCGTGATCCGCCCGCCTCTGCCTCCCAAAGTGCTGGGATTACAGGCGTGAGCTACCGCGCCCGGACTTTTTCTTTCTTTCTTTTTTTTTTTGGTGACAGGGTCTTGCTCTGTTGCCCAGGCTGGAGTATAGTGGTACAATCTTGGCTCACTGTAACCTCCACCACCTGGGCTCAAGCGATCCTCCTATCTCAGCCTCCCAAGTAGCTGGGGCCACAGGCACACACCACCACACCTGGCTAATTATTGTATTTTTTGTAGAGACGGGGTTTCACCATGCCGCCCGGGCTTCCTTTTATATTTTATATATTTGCCTTAAGGAACTTTATTTTATCCCAAACTTCAGCAAATGCTGGTTCTATTCTACCATAACTCATCCAAATTAGTGCTTCTACACAGGTATAGATTGTATGTGAAAGATTAACTTTTTAAATCCCATAATTTCAAAATATCTTTCTTAAACTCATGGAGATAAGCAAACTGTGGTATATAAATACAATGGAATATTATTAAACTTTAAAAAAGGAAATTCTTATATATGCTACAACATGGATGAAACTTGACAGCATTATGGTAAGTGAAATAAGCCAGTCACAAAGAGACTAATACTGCATGATTCCACTTATGTAAGGTACTTAGAGTAGTCCAGATCATAGAAACAGAAAATAGAATAGTGGTTGCCAAGGGGTCCACCTTGGGGAAAGGGAAAAATGGAGAGTTATTGTTTAATGGGTATAGAATTTTAGTTTTACAAGATAAAAAATGTTCTAGAGATGGGTGGTGGTGATGGTTGCACATTATGAATGCATTTAATACCACTGAACTGTACACTTTAAAAATGTTAAAATGGTAAATTGGAAAAAAAAAAAAAAAACAAAGATGACTTAAACATAGTCCATAACTGCAAGAATTTACCACGCTTGACAAATACAAGCTATGCTAATAGTTGATCAACCTAAATCATAAGATCTGAAATCTGCATTGCTCCAAAACCCAAAACTTTTTCAGCACCAATGACACTCAAAGCACCAATGACACTCACTGCAGCATTTTTTATTTCAACCAGTAAGTATAATGCAAATATACCAAAATCTGAAAAAAATCTGAAATCTGAAACACTTTTGGTCCCAAGCACTTCAAATAAGGGATACTCAACCTGTACTAGGAAATGAGAAGTACATAAAATGTTTTTTTAATCAATTTATATAGATAACAACTAAGAAAAAGTAGGAAAGTAAATTCATAATGTTTCAAAGTAAAATAATAAATTGTACTTATTATTCAATACAGTATTAAGTTGGTTTACTTGCATTGTCCTTTACAGTCATACTTTTTAATAGCCATGAAAGAAAAACAATAAATATACTATAAACATGATAAATGAATTTATAAATTTAAAAGTCAGCCCAGGCTTTTTAACTTAATTCTTACACAATAATATTAATTCACAGGCATGAAGAACCTTATATAACCTAAAGTAAATAAATAATCAGGTTGTTACTTATCCTGTTAGTCATTCCTAAGAATATTTTCTTCTCTACCATCCTTTTTAACTTTATTTATGATATCTTTTTTTTATTATTGCTATGTATAAAGTACATTCATTCAGTGGCCCACTGCTAAGCTATTTAAAAGATTTAACTTTTCCATTGGTTCTAAATATGGATGTTTCACTAAAGGCAGAATGACATTTTAAAATGGCCCTCACCAGATATCTGGAATACATATACAGAAAATAGGCTTTCTTGCTATTGCAGCCATGCAGGAAATGTGCTGCCCGATCATACTCTTTAACGTCAAAGTAGGCCTTGGCCAGGGTATAGGCATCCATATCCTGGGCATCTTCCTAAAAAAGAAACAAGCTTATGTAAGTGGTTGGGAATAGGACAACAAAACTTCAAATCTAAAAAGTATATTCGTTAATTTCAAGATGTAAAAGAAAAAGGATTGTTTTCTTCCTCCTAAAAACCTAGAATATGTAGATGCATATATATATAATTTTATATATTTATTTTATTACCAAGTAAGCCCATAGAACTCTTTTTTTTTTTTTTTTTTTGAGACAGAGCCTCACTCTGTCACCCAGGCTGGAGTGCAGTGGCGCAATCTCAGCTCACTGCAACCTCTGCCTCCCAGGTTCAAGCGATTATTGTGCCTCAGCTGCCAGAGTAGCTGGGATTACAGGTGTGCGCCACCACTTCCAGCTAATTTTTGTATTTTTAGTAGTGATGGGGTTTCGCCATGTTGGCCAGGCTGGTCTCAAACTCAGGGCCTCAAGTGATCTGCCTGCCTCGGCTTCCCAAAGTGCTGGAATTACAGGTATGAGCGACCGCACCCGGCCAAGTTTTTCTTTCTAATTTTTTCAAAATAAAAAAATGGAGAAAAAAGAAAACTTTAAAAAACTAAACGAACACTCATAAATGTGTATTGTTTCTATAAATGTAGTAGAAAGTTGAATAGGCTTTAGTGTTAAGGACCTAGATTCAAATTCTGACTTTTTGATTTCCTGGTTTCAGGACATTGGTAGGGAGGTTACTTAGCTTCTCTTAGCATCCATTTCTTCATCTGTAAAATGAAGCCAATAATACTGACCTTACAGATTTGACTTGAGGAAAATGTGAGTCACATAAAATATCCAGCATTAATACTGGCATTCTATTCCTTCTCCTGTCTTTTACAGTCCTACATAAATGCAATGTACGTGCAATTACTTATATTTTTTGTACTTCAATAAAGTTTTGTCATAATTTAGTATTGCTGAAGGCACAGAACACAGCTGTAATTCTCTATGTTAAAAAAAAATTAGATAATGTCACATTTAAGTTAAAAACATACAATCCTTGGCTGAGCGCAGTGGCTGTAATCCCAGCACTGTGGGAGACCAGGGCAAGAGGATGGCTTGAACTCAGGAGTTCAGGACCGGCCTGGGCAACGTGGCAAGACCCTGCCTCTACTAAAAATACAAAAAAATAGTTGGGCATGGTACTATGTGCCGGGGGTCCCAGCTACTCGGGAGGCTGAGCCTTGCTGCAGTGAGCCAAGATCGCGCCACATCACTTCAATCTGGTGACGTAGCAAGACTCTGTCTCAAAAAAAAAACAAAAAACAAAAATTCAATCCCCCAAATTCTTTTTTTTTTTTGAGACAGAGCCTCGCTCTGTCGCCTAGGATGGAATGCAGTGGTGTGATATTGGCTGACTGTAACCTCCACCTTCTAGGTTCAAGCAATTCTCCTGCCTCGGCCTCCCTAGCAGCTGGGATTACAGGTGCCCGCCACCATGCCTGGCTAATTTTTGTATTTTAGTAGAGACGGAGTTTCACCAGGCTGGTCTTGAACTCCTGACCTCAAGCGATCCACCCGCCTTGAACTCACAGCAGAGTGCTGGGATTACAGGCACGAGCCACCACCGGCCCAATCCTCCAAATTCTAAGGATGAGTTAATTAAAATTTGAATAACTGTATTTTCCTCATCTTTCTTGCCCCAAATATCACCAGAACAAAACTGGAACCAAAACATATTCAGTGCTTTCTTCATTAGATCAACATGTCCTAAATACGACCATTTGATTTAGGATTCTGGAGGCCCTTCTCATATCAACTCACCACTTGTTTATTTCTTTCCCCCTAACTCTTTCACCTGCATTATGCCTTTTTGAGTAAGAAATACTTGTTATTGCTGAATGGGACAAAAAAATCAAGAAAGGCATCATCAGGAAAACAAAATGGATTATAATGAAAAGCATTCAGATTATACAAGACTATGTATACATGCATACTATAGGCCCAGCATAAAATATATTCGTAACAGTCGATATATCCTTATAATTCAGAAAGTTTTACTATTTGGATTATATAATCTTAAATTTTTCTGTTTCATTCTTGCTTATGGGAAGAATCTGGAATGTTCTACTGAAAATTACATGTAATTTAGAGGCATTTAGCATTTGGCTGAGTTTTGTTTCGTTTTGAGACAGGATCTCACTCTGTCTCCTGGGCTGCAGTGTAGTGGCGCAATCTCAAATCACTCCAACCTCAGCCTCCTGGGCTCAAGTGATCCTCCTCCCACCTCAGCCTCTGAAGTCACTGGGTCCACAGGTGCGTGCCACCGCACCACCATGTATTTCTAGTACAGATATAGTTTCACTATGTTGCTTAGGCTGGTCTGGAACTCCCGGCCTCAAGCAGTCCTCCCAAAGTGCTGGGATTACAGGCATGGGCCACCATGCTCAGCCAGGTTGAGTTTTTAAACCAAGAAGCCACAATTGGTCCTAGTCACATCTTATATTCAGAAAAGCTAAGCTTCAGGGCCAGGTGTGGTGGCTCATGCCTGTAATCCCAGCACTTTGGGAGGCTAAGACAGGTGGATCACCTGAGGTCAAGAGTTCAAGACCAGCCTAGCCAACATGGTGAAACCCCATCTCTACTAAAAATACAAAAAATTAGCCAGGTGTGGTGGTGAGCACCTGTAATCCCAGCTACTTGGGAGGCTGAGGAAGGAGAATCACTTGAACCTGGGAGGTGGAGGTTGCAGTAAGTGGAGATCATGCCATTGCACTCCAGCCTGGGCAACAGAGTGAGACTCAAAAAAAAAAAAAGAAAAGAAAAGAAAAGAAAAGCTTTAAGTCCAAGACAAAGGATAACGAGTTTAAGGCCTTATATGACATGCTTCTTTGGTAATGTTTATAAAACACTGAGAGTAAGCAAGCCGGGTGTGGTGGCTCACACCTGTAATCCTAGCACTTTGGGAGGCTGAGGTGGGTGGATCACCTAAGGTCAGCAGTTTGAGGCCAGCCTGGCCAACATGGTGAAACCTCGTCTCTGTTAAAAATACAAAAATTAGCCAGGCGTGGTGGCACATTCGGTAATCCCGGCTATTCGGGAGGCTGAGGCAGGAGAATCACTGAAACCCAGGAGCCAGAGGTTGCAGTGAGCCGATATTGGGCCATTGCACCCTAGCCTGGGTAATACAGCAAAACTCCGTCTCAAAAAAAAAAAAAAATTGAGAGTAAGCTATAACAAACATCTACTACGTAGATTGAGCAAGCATAATACTCTTGCATTTTAATAACTTTAAATATCACAGTTATGGCTGAGAGCAGTGAATCATGCATGTAATCCCAGCACAGCACTTTGGGAGGCTGAGAGGGGTGGATCACTTGAGGTCAGGAGTTCGAGACCAGCCTGGCCAACATGGTGAAACCTCCTCTCTACTAAAAATACAAAAAAATTAGCCAGGTGTTGTGGCATGCACCTGTAATCCCAGCTACTCAGGAGGCTGGGACAGGAGAATTGCTTGAACCTGGGAGGTGGAGGTTGCGGTGAGCCGAGATTGAGCCACTGCACTCCAGCCTGGGTAACAGTGCAAGACTCCGTCTCAAAAAAAAAAAAAAAAATTCACAGTTTTGGCCAGGCACGGTGGCTCACACCTGTAACCCCAGCACCCTGGGATGCCTCGGTGGGTGGATCAGCTGAGTTCAGGAATTCAAACCAGCCTGGCCAACACGGTGAAACCCCATCTCTACTAAAAATACAAAAAATTAGCTGGGTGTGGTGGCACACGCCTGTAGTCCCAGCTACTCAGGAGGCTGAGGAAGGAGAATCCCTTGAACCTGGGAGGCAGAGGCTGCAGTGAGCCGAGATCAAACTACTGCATTCCAGCCTGGGTGACAGAGCAACATTCCATCTCAAAAAAATAAATAAACAAAATAAAGTAAATAAATCACAGTTTTAAGGTTTACTCTAGTTTACACTTTAGATCAAAACATTACTCTGGGGTTTTTCAGAGATAGTCCCTAGAGAAGACCTGAAAACACTAAGTACACAACAAATTGGTAAAGAGGCTGCTGAATCAATCATTCTCACAGCAAACTGAAAGCTATTCAACAAACCAATAGCTAATACTTTACAATAATTCAATAATGGTCAGGTTTCTGCAATGTCTGTAAAATCCCTGTATATAATACAAACCCTCAGGAGAGGGTGATATTTACTGAGGCTCTACTTCTCAATAAATATGCTTTATTTACTCATTCAATAGTTATTTATCCTATTTAGGGAACACTTATACACTGTTGATGGAACTGTTAAGTTAGTTCAGCCTCTGAACTAACAGAGTTCACAGATTTTTCAAAGAACTAAAAACAGAATTACCATTTGACTCAGCAATCCCATTACTGGGTATATACCCAAAGGAAAATAAATTATTCTACCAAAAAAACATCTGCACTCGCATGTTTACCACAGCACTATTCACAATGGCAAAGACATGGAATCAATCTAGGTGCCCATCAATGGTGCACTAAAGAAAATGTGGTACATATACACCATGGAATACGACACAGCCATAAAAAAGAACAAAATCATGTCCTTTGCAGTAACATGGATGCAGCTAGAGGCCATTATCCAAAGTGAATTAACACAGAAATAGAAACCCAAATACAGCATGTTCTCACTTACAAGTGGAAGCTGATCACTGGGTACACACGGACTTAAAGATGGGAACAACAGACACCAGGGACTCCAAGAGTGGGGAAGGAGGAAAGCAAAGGGTGAAAACTATCTGGCCAGGTCCCAGCACTTTGAGAGGCCAAGGTAGGTGGATCACCTGAAGTCAGGAGTTCCAGACCAGCCTGGTAAACAGGGTGAAACCCTGTCCCTACTAAAAATACAAAAAGTTACCCAGGCGTGGTGACGGGTGCCTGTAATCCGAGCTACTCGGGAGGTTGAGGCAGGAGAATTGCTTGAACCCGGGAGGCAGAGGTTGCAGTGAGCCATCATGCCATTGCACTCCAGCCTGGGCAACAAGAGCAAGACTCCGTCTCAAAAAAAAAAAAAAGTAAAATAAAATAAAACTGTCTATCAGGTATTATGTTCACTATTTGGATGATGGGTTCAACTGAAGCCCAACCTCAGAATCACACAATATATCCATGTAGCAAATCTGCACAAGTAACCCCTGAATCTAAAATTTAAACAACAAAAACAATTATTTATCCTATTCAGGACCAACGATGGGCCTAGGCATTATGAAAGTGGGCACAAGAGTAAAAGCTAATGAGACAAATATAAACTGCATTGACTCAAAAAATTTACCTAAGAGTATACCGTATGCTTTACCCTTATTGCTTTATTTAATCTTCTTGAAAATGCAGCAATTATTAACATTATCTATAGATGAGAAGGCTGTCACTTAGAAATCATTTGCCCACATTGGTGCTGCTAATAAAGAACTTGACCGAAATATAGATGCAAGCACCAGGCACACTTCTAAGCGGTCTATATTATTATCTCATTGACTTCTCTCAATATCCCCATTGAGTAGATACTATTACTATCGTCACTGCACAGATGAGGAAACTGGCTCAGAAGGTTAAGTTGCCAAAGGTCATTTGAACCCAGAGTCGTCTCAATCCAGCACCCAAACTTAACCATTATTTGCTATGCTGATCAGACAACAGTGTAGGTATTGTAAAAACTTTATTTATTTATTATTTATTTTGAGACAGTGTCCCGCTCTGCCCTCGGGCTGGAGTGCAATGGCGCGATCTCAGCTCACTGCAACCTTCGCCTCCCGGGTTTAAGCGATTCTCCTGTCTCAGCCTCCCGAGTAACTGGGATTACAGGCGCGCGCCACCATGTCCGGCTAATTTTGTATTTTTACTAGAGACGGGGTTTCACCGTGTTGGCCAAGCTGGTCTCGAACTCCTAACCTCGTGATCCGCCCACCTCGGCCTCCTAAAGTGTTGGGATTACAGGCGTGAGCCACCGCGCCAGACCAAAACTTTTGATTCTTCTCATCCTTTTGGGTATTTATTATGAGATATCCTTATAATAATTCCTTATAATAATATTTACTATTATGAGGCACTCTTATGTCTAGGTTTGGCTATAAGCCCTAAAAGGCTGAAATCATAAGCAGTAATTGTTTACTAATTCTCCCCAGCTTTAAATAAGAGCACCACCAAGTCTTTCAAAGCTCAAGAAAACTAAATGGATAAAATCATTTAAAACACTCAGCTCTTTGAATGCCTGAATTCCCTCTACAAACATTTCTGCTAAGCAGTTTGCTCTCCTCCAGTGACAGGGCACTCAGTGGCTCTTGAGGCACACCCCTGGGTTGATGGGGAGCGCTCACTGTAAACATGTCCTTACCTCTGTAATAGGCGGAGGCGGTTGCAGCTCGGCCAGAGGCAATGCAGGGAGAGAGAAAGCCAACTCCGCCGACCTGGAACACCCACACAAACTAGATCAGCTCGACAAGCCCCCCAAGGCCAAGGATCCAAGCCCCGTCCCTTCCCACTCCAACATCTCACCATTTGCTACTGTGTAGTAGGCCCCGCTCCCGGGTAAGGCCCGCAATAAGCAGCAGTTGCTTTTTAATTTCCCGCAAATCTGAGAAATCGCTGTTTATGGACAGGACAGGCGCCACTGCCGCCGTCACAGCCACCGGGACCATGGAGGTACTCGCAGCCATTTTCCCGACTCGGGCCACTCCAGCCAATCATCGGCGATAATACTGGCTGCCCATCTGCACCAAAAATATCTGCCTGTCATTGGCCGGCTCTTGCTCCGGAAAAACCAATCATAGGTCTTATTTCTGAAACGTCACGAAGAGGCGGGGGAAAAGAAACAACTACATCCCCAAATGGCCAAGAGCTACTGAGGCGGGAAAATTAGAAAATAGGCGGGGCGAGGGAGAAGCCACGACCTCTGGGCGGGGCGGGGAAGAGGGGAATGAGTGACTGGGAAAAGTAAACTGGGAAGCTAGGGGTGGGAGTAGGGGCAAGAAAGGGTGGAGAAGGGAGAGTGCCTTTCACGGGTGATGTGATTGGATGAAAAATAGAAAGGGTGTAGTTTCAGGGCCGACTCTGTACCAGATAATGACAAAGTGATGTATATGCTAGGAAAGATGCATGGTAGCCTCTGGATTCTTCCTTAAAATAGGAGGATGTATCGCCCCATGTGGAGGATTTTTCCTCTTTGTCTACCCTTTCTTACCCCGGGTAGCCCGGGGAGGTGGGGGTGAGAGCATTGTTCTGTAACATTTATTTAACAATAATTGTTAACATTTCACATTTATTGAGGGTTTATCCTACAACAGGTTCTGCTCTTTTACAACTATAATCTGGTTTAATCCTAAAAACAGCACTATGATATTCGTATCATCCCAATTTTATAGAAAGAAAAACGGAAGCTCGGCCAGGCGCGGTGGCTCAAGCCTGTAATCCAACACTGTGGGAGGCCGAGGCGGGCGGATCACGAGGTCAGGAGATCGAGACCATCCTGGCCAACACGGTGAAACCCCGTCTCTACTAAAAATACATAAAAATTAGCCGGGCGTGGTGGCACGTGTCTGTAGTCCCAGCTACTCGGCAGGCTGAGGCAGGAGAATCGCTTGAACCTGGGAGGCGGAGGTTGCAATGAGCCGAGATCGTGCCATTGCACTCCAGCCTGGGCGACAGAGCGAGACTCCGTCAAAAAAAAAAAAAAAAAAAAACAAAACCAGAAAAGAAAAAAAAGAAAAAACGGAAGCTCAGAGAAGTTCTATCACTCTTCCAAGGAGAGAGTCTAGACTATAAACCAGATTTTACTCCAAAGCCCAATGTTCTTAAACATTACATGAACATTTTCGGCGTTTTTTGGTTTTTATCCTTTCATAGTAGTATACTATCTTACCAACCCCTCGGGAATTTTTTTTGAAACCATTTTGTCATTCACTGGGTGTTATATAGAAGTTATCTATTTTTAAATTGTTATTTTATTATTTTATTTATTTTAAGAAAGGGTCTCGGCCGGGCGCGGTGGCTCACGCCGGTAATCCCAGCACTTTGCGAGGCGAAGGCGGGCGGATCACGAGGTCAGGAGATCAAGACCATCTTGGCTAACACGGTGAAACCCCTGTCTCTACTAAAAATACAAAAAAAAAAAAAATTAGCCGGGCGTGGTGGCAGGCACCTGTAGTCCCAGCTACTCTGGAAGCTGAGACAGAATGGCGTGAACCTGGGAGGCGGAGCTTGCAGTGAGCAGAGATCGCGCCACTGCACTCCAGCCTGGGCGACAGAACGAGACTCTGTCTCAAAAAAAAAAAAAAGAAAGAAGGTCTCGTTCTGTCATCCAGGCTGGAGTGGCCGCGGCCCGATCAAGGCTCACTGCATCCTCAAACTCCTGGGCTCCAGTGATCCTGCCGCCTCAGCCTCCCAAGTAGCTGGGACCACAGGTGTGTGTCACGACACCCAGCTAATTTTTTTTTTTTTTGTAATTTTCGTAGGGACAGAATCTCCCTATGTTGCCCAGGCTGGTCTCAAACTCCTGGGCTTAAATGATCCTCTCGCCTTGCCCTCCCAAAGTTCTGGGATTACAAGCATAAGCCACCATGCCCAGCCCATTTTACCCTTTAAAAAAATCAATTTGCGGGCCTATATTCCCAGTGCTTTGGGAGGCTGAGGCGGGAAGATCATTTGAGCCCAGCTGTTGAAGACCAGCCTGGGCAACATACCAAGACCTCCCTATCACTACTACTATAAAAATTAAAAATTAAAAAAATATATATCCAGGCATGGTGGTGCATGCCTGTCATCCCAGCTACTCGGGAGGCTGAGGTGGGAGGATCACTTGAGTCCAGGAGTTTGAGGTTGCAGTGAGCTATGATTGCACCACTGCACTCTCCAGCCTGGATGCAGAGACCCTATCTCAAAAAAAAAAAAAGAAGTAATGTCAATGGCAAAAACTTGAAGAATACATTAACTATAAAGAAAAATATGGGAGGTGGGCGTGGTGGCTCACGCGTGTAATCCCAGCACTTTGGGAGGCAGAGGCGGGTGGATCACGAGGTCAGGAGATCGAGACCATCCTGGCTGACACAGTGAAACCCCGTCTGTACTAAAAATACAAAAAAGCCAGGCTTAGTGGCGGGTGCCGTAGTCCCAGCTACCCGGGAGGCTGAGGCAGGAGAACATGTGAAGCCGGGAGGCGGAGCTTGCAGTGAGCCAAGATCACGCCACTGCACTCCAGCCTGGGCAACAGAGCGAGACTCGGTCTCAAAAAAAAAAAAAGAAAAGAAAAATATGGGCCAAGCGCAGTGGCTCACGCCTGTAATACCAACAAGGCCTAGATGGATGGATCACCTGAGGTCAGGAGATGGAGACCAGCCTGACAAACGTGGTGAAACCCCATCTCTACTAAAACTACAAAAATTAGCTGGGTGTGGTATTATGCACCTGTAGTCCCAGCTACTCCGAAGGCTGAGGCAGGAGAATCGCTTGAACCCAGGAGGTAGAGGTTGCAGTAAGCCAAGATCGTGCCACTGTACTCTAGCCTGGACAAGAGTGAGACTCTGTCTCAAACATAATTAATTAATTAATTAATTTTTTTAAGAAAGAAAAATATGTAGAACACTAACTCCCACCCAAAGGAAATCACTGGTTTCTGTGTTTCTCCATCCATCTGTGTACATAGCTTCATACTGCAGTGCTGCCCACATTTGTCATTTGATAATTCACTCTAAGTATTTTCCCAAGTTAATATTCTTCTAAATCGTGATACTTAATAACTGCATGATAATCCATTATATGAATGTACCATAAATTGGCCGGGCACAGTGGCTAATGCCTGTAATCCCAGCACTTTGGGAGCCTGAGGCAGGCAGATCACCTGAGGTCAGGAGTTCGAGACCTGTCTGGCCAACGTGGAGAAACCCCATCTCTACCAAAAATACAAAAATTAGCTGGGCATGGTGGTGTGCCTGTAATCCCAGCTACTCAGGAGGCTGAGGCAGAATTGCTTCAGCCCAGGAAATAGAGCTTGCAGTGAGCTGAGATCGTGCCACTGCACTCCAGCCTGGGCAACAGAGCAGGACTCTGTCTCAAAATAAAACAAAACAAAAAACCATAATATTTAAAGCATATAATACTCAACTGAATAGAACAAGCACTCTGTCACTCTAGACTCATGAGATCCTCCTGCCTCAGCATCTCAAGTAGCTGGGATTACAGGCAGGTACAAACAAGCCTGGCTAATTTTCTTTACTTTAGAGATGAGGGTCTCACTATGTTGCCCATGCTTGTCTGGAACATCTGGCCTCAGGTGATCCTTCTGCCTCAGCCTCTAGAGTAGCTGGGATTACAAGTGTGAGCCACTGGCCTGGCCAAGTTCACCCTTTTGATATATACAATTCAATGGTTTTTAGTATATTAACATAATTACGCAATTATCAACCACTATCCTATTCGAGAACATTTTCATCACCTGAGAAAGAAACACCATATCTGTTACCAGTCACTTTCCATTCTCCTCTCCCTCCAGCCCCTGACAATATTTTCTGTTGGTACCATTGTTTTCTGTGGTTCCCTAAGATTTCTTGCCCTGCTAGATAAGATTTTTGATTAAATAAATGCAACTCACAGATATGTTGAAGAGTACTTTAAGGAAAATTTACAGGATTCTTATTTGCAAGCTCCTCCTTATGTAGTATTTCAACATCAGGGTTTCTTATGCTTGGGGTCTTTAGCCATTATCCATTGCAGGTAATTTTTTTTTGGCAAATATTTATAGTAGCTTTATTCATAATCACCAATAATTGTAAAACAACCCAAATTTTTTTTTTTTTTTGAGACAGAGTTTCGCTCTTGTTGCCCAGGCTGGAGTGCAATGGTGCAATCTCGGCTCACTGCAACCTCCACCTCCCAGGTTCAAGTGATTCTCCTGCTTCAGCCTCCCGAGTAGCTGGGATTACAGGCATGTGCCACTATGCCTGGCTAATTTGGTATTTTTAGTAGAGATGGGGGTTTCACCATGTTGGTCAGGCTGGTCTTGAACTGCCTGACCTCAAGTGATCTACCTGCCTCGGCCTCCCAAAGTGCTGGGTTTACAGGTGTGAGCCACTGTGCCCAGCCCCCAAATATCTTTTAATGGGTAAATCTTAGGATAATCGGTGATACATTGATATACTGGAGTACTAGTCAATAATGCTACTAATAATTTTTTTTTCGAGACAGAGTTTCACTCTTGTTGCCCATGCTGGAGTGCAATGGCACAATTTCGGCTCACTGCAACCTCTGCCTCCCCAGTTCAAGTGATTCTCCTGCCTCCTGAGTAGCTGGGATTACAGGCGTGAGCCATCACACCCAGCTAGTTTTTGTATTTTTTTAATAGAGACAGGTTTTCACCAAGTTGGTGTGAGCCACCAAGCCTGCCACTAATAATAAATTTTTAATATGTATGTGACTTAGAAAATCAAGTCAGGCTGGTCGCGGTGGCTCACGCCTGTAATCCCAGCACTTTGGGAGGCCGAGGCGGGTGGATCACGAGGTCGGGAGATCGAGACCATCCTGGCTAACACGGTGAAACCCCATCTCTACTAAAAATACAAAAAATTAGCCAGGCATTGGTGGCAGGCGTCTGTAGTCCCAGCTACTGGGGAGGCTGAGGCCGGAGAATGGCGTGAACCCAGGAGGCAGAGCTTGCAGTGAGCCAAATCGTGCCACTGCACTCCAGCCTGGGCAACGGATCGAGACTCCGTCTCAAAAAAAAAAAAAAAGAAAGAAAATCAAGTCAAAATTACCACAGAGACCTCCCGTGTTCAGCTGAGTAATAAACTGTTTCATGCTTGTCTAATCATCAGGAACTGCATCACAGACTCATTCCCTCAAGATTTAAACTGTCCCTTTTTTCAGGAGGAAAATATTTAAATAATTATCTTATGTATTAAACGTTTAAAAAGTGAAAGCTGGCCGGGCACAGTGGCTCACGCCTGTAATCCCAGCACTTTGGGAGGCCGAGGCAGGTGGATCACAAGGTCAAGAGATCAAGTCCATCCTGGCCAACATGATGAAACCCCATCTCTACTAAAAATACAAAAATTAGCTGGGTGTGGTGGTACACACCTGTAGTCCCAGCTACTCGGAAGGCTGAGGCAGGAGAATCGCTTGAACCTGGGAGGCGGAGGTTGCAGTGATCTGAGATCGCACCACTGTACTCCAGCTTGGGCAATAGAGAGAGGCTTTATCTCAAAAAAAAAAAAAAGTTAAAGCCATAATTACCAACTTTAATGATGTAGACTCCTCAACTCCTTTGTAAACCCTTGAACTCTACTTCCTTGACCCTCCAGCACCACCAATCTCTGCCTAATTCAAAGGTTTTTCATTTCCAAGCTGACATTAGTTATCTTTTTGCCTTTCTTCTCTCTTTGTAGAGATACAATGGTGATATTAGTAATGCCAAGACCAGCTTGGTTGGGGAGACCCTAACCCAGTGGTGCTAGAGGAATTAAAGACACACACACAGAAACATAAAGGTGTGAAGTGGGAAATCAGGGGTCTCACAGCCTTCAGAGCTGAAAGCCCCGAACAGAGATTTACCCATGTATTTATTAACAGCAAACCAGTTATTAGGATTGTTTCTATAGATATTAAATTAACTAAAAGTATCCCTTATGGGAAACGAAGGGATGGGCCGAATTAAAGGAATAGGTTGGGCTAGTTAACTGCAGCAGGAGCATGTCCTTAAGGCACAGATCGCTCATGCTATTGTTTGTGGCTTAAGAATGCCTTTAAGCGGTTTTCCACCCTGGGCGGGCTAGGTGTTCCTTGCCCTCATTCCAGTAAACCCACAACCTTCCAGCGTGGGCGTTAGGGCCATTATGAACATGTTACAATGCTGCAGAGATTTTGTTTATGGCCAGTTTTGGGGCCAGTTTATGGCCAGATTTTGGGGGGCCTACTCCCAACAAGTAAGAGTTCTTTATTGGGAAAGAACAGAGTGCAGAGCTAGAGAATGTGGGCTCTGAGCCACACCACCTAAAGGCAAACTCTAACTCCACCATTATCAGCTTGTGACCTTGGCAAAGTCATTTATTGTATTAGGTTGGTGCAAAAGTAATTGCGGTTTTTGCCATCACTTTTTTTTTTCGTTTGAGATGGAGTCTCACTCTTGTTGACCAGGCTGGAGTACAGTGGTGTGATCTCTGCTCACTGCAGCCTCCGCCTCCTGGGTTCAAGCTTCTCCTGCCTCAGCCTCCTGAGTAGCTGGGATTACAGGCGCCCACCACCACACCCGGCTAATTTTTGTACTTTTAGTAGAGATGGGGTTTTACCATGTTGGCCAGGCTGGTCTCGAACTCCTGACCTCAGGTGATCTGCCTGCCTTGGCCTCCCAAAGTGTTGGGATTATAGGTGTGAGCTACCGCACCCAGCCTGCCATCACATTTAATGGCAAAAACCATGACTACTTTTGCATCAACCTAATATGTTCAGGTTATTCATTGATAAAATGAGGACCATAACAATAATTCCTGTTATTCAGGTGAGGTGAGAATTGAATGAGATAATCCATGTAATGTATTTTGAACAATTTTTAACAGATAGTAAGCACTGGATACATGTAAGCTGTTCTTGAACACTAACTCCCTGTTAGGACTTTATGTATCTGAGCACCAATCCTCTTGACAAGCCTGCAAGGCAGGTTATCGTTGCCCCTATTTTAGAGAGTAGAAAACAGACTCAGGCAACTTAACTGAGGTGACCTCAAGTTCTGTTCAACTACAGCCCATATTCTTTCACTGTGTTTTCATAATGTTAAAAAAAGTTCTTATTTATGTGTTTTGCTATTTATAGATCATTTTCAAATGTTATATTGTTAAATCTTGTGAAGTAGGCATTATGCCCTTTTTCAGACAAGATTGGGCGCATTCAGGGTGGTATGGCCATAGACATTATGTTCTTTTTCAAAGAGCAATAATTCAGGCAGGTATGGTGTCTCACACCTGTAATCTCAGCACTTTGGGAAGCCAAGCCAGGAGGATCGCTTGAGTCCAGGAGTTTGAGACCAGCTTGGGCAACATGATAAAACCCTGTCTCTACAAAAAATTCAAAAGTTAGCTGGGCATGGTGGTGCACTCCTGTAGTCCCAGCTACTCAGGAGGCTGAGGTGGGAGGATTCCTTGAGCCTGGGAAGTCAAGAGGCTGCAGTGAGCCAAGATCACACCACTGCACTCCAGCCCGGGCGACAGAGTGAGACCTTGTCTCACAAAAAAAAAAAAAAAAAATTCAGTACCTATTTTATAGAGTTGCTATGACAATTGGAGATATGTACACTTAGTAGGTACTATTTCTTTTTTTTTTTTTTTTTTTTTGAGACGGACTCTCGCTGTCGCCCAGGCTGGAGTGCAGTGGCGCGATCTCGGCTCACTGCAGGCTCCGCCCCCCGGGGTTCACGCCATTCTCCTGCCTCAGCCTCCCAAGTAGCTGGGACTACAGGCGCCCGCCACCTCGCCCGGCTAATTTTTTGTATTTTTAGTAGAGACGGGGTTTCACCGTGCTAGCCAGGATGGTCTCGATCTCCTGACCTCGTGATCCACCCGCCTCGGCCTCCCAAAGTCCTGGGATTACAGGCGTGAGCCACCGCGCCAGGCCTAGTTAGGTACGATTTCTATAAGGAAACAGACATCATGGTTTATGGGTCACCCATCCATTTAGAGGTAAGTAAACCACCTAGAAGCAGCCCAGGATTGGAATCCACAAGAGCTGAAACCTGTCACGATCTAAATACACCTGCAAAAATCTCCCACTCCCTCTCCTCACTGGGCCTTACTTTTCTCCTTGTAAAATGGCAGAGCTAAGCAAGATGACTTCCAGGATTCCTTCTACCTCTGACAAGCTCCAAGTGAGGACTAGAGCTCAGACTGCCTCCATGAAAGTTAGAAGGGAGAGGGCTGGGCGTGGTGGCTCACACCTGTAATCCCAGCACTTTGGGAGGTGAGGCGGGCAGATCATGAGTTCAGGAGTTTGAGACCAGCCTGGCCAACATGGTGAAACTCTGTCTCTACTAAAGATACAAAAGATTAGCCAGGCATGGTGGCAGGTGCCTGTAATCCCAGCTACTCGGGAGGCCGAGGCAGAAGAATTGCTTGAACCCGGGAGGCAGAGGTTGCAGTGAGCTGAGATTGTGCCATTGCACTCCAGCCTGGGCGATACGGTGAGACTCTGCCTCAAAAAAAAAAAAAGTTAGAAGGGAGAGAGTGACTTCCTTGTTTTTGGTTTATTAATAATAAATACAGGCTGGGCACTACGGCTCATGCCTGTAATCCTAGCACTTTGGGATGTCTAGGCAAGTGGATCACTTGAGCCCAGGAGTTTGAGACCAGCCTGGGCAACATGGCGAAACCCTGTCTCTACCAAAAACACAAAGATTGGCCAGTCTCATAACCCAGTCCCTAAATAAATAGATTAAAATTTTTTTTAATTAAAAAAATTTAATAAAAAACAATAAATACATCAAAAGGCAGTGATGTAATGAAGAATTAAGAAGTCACTGTCGGCCAGGCACCATGACTCCTACCTTGGGAGGCCAAGGTGGGTGGACTGCTTGAACTCAAGAGTTCATGACCAGCCTGGACAACATGGCAAAACCCTATCTCTATAAAAAAATACAAAACTTAGCCAGGTGTGGTGGCATGCTCCTATAATCCTAGCTACTCAAAAGGCTGAGGCAGGAGAATCTCTTGAGCCCAAGAGGTCAAGGCTGCAGTGAGCTGAAATTGCACCACTGCACACCAGCCTGGCTGACTGATTGAGACTCTATCTCAAAATAATAAAGAATAAGAAGGGGCTGGGCGTGGTGGCTCATGCCTGTAATCCCAACACTTTGGGAGGCCGAGGCTGGTGGATCATGAGATCAGGAAACCGAGACCATCCTGGCCAACATGGTGAAACCCCATCTGCACTAAAAATACAAAAATTAGCTGGGCGTGGTGGCACATGCCTATAATCCCAGCTACTCTGGAGGCTGAGGCAGGAGAATCCCTTGAACCAGGGAGTTGGAGGTTGCAGTGAGCTGAGATCGCACCACAGCACTCTAGCCTGGTGACAGAGCGAGACTCCGTCTCAAAAAAAAAAAAAAAAAAAAAAAAAAGAATAAGAAAGAAAGCACTTCAAGCTTCTAAATACCACTCCCAAGTTTGTCACACATGACAACGTCGCGAACAACTTTATCCAGTCGCGTGCTGCCCCACTGAATGTTCTCCAGCGTTCCTTGGGGGCTGTAGTCTGGTCAAGGCTGATCCTCACCTAAAGTCCTTCCTGGAAAAAACTCAATTGCCTTTTTCTTCTGTGATCCCGGCTTTGTCCGACAGATGGAACCATTCCCTCCCTCCCCGCTCTTCAAAGGGCTTGACCGGAAAAGGTGTTTGCTCAAGAGCGATGTGGGACCAGACACCAGAGACCAAAGTAGAGAGAGGCTAAAGAACTTACTAAATCTAAGCCCGATGAGAACTGAAAGAACAGTCAGTTCCCAGCAAGGTTTCTTGACTTAGGCATTATTGATATTTTGAGCTGGTTAATTATTTGTTGGAGGTGGCAGTGGGTAGGAAGGAGGTGGGTGCTGTCCATGTATTCATTTAACTACAATTTATCTAGTTGTTACTATGTGCCAAGCTCTGGGAATAGACTGTTGAATGAAACAGTCAATTCCTGCACTCAGACATTTTTTTCTAGTGGGGGAGAAAGATGATAAACAATCATACAAAGAATTATGTAACAACAGTTACCATAAGTGCAGTGAAGGAAAAGCTTAAGAAGCTATGATAGGAGGCCTGTGCCAGGCTGTGGGCAAAGATGGCCATAAGTCCTCCATCCCTGGATATGTGCCCCTTTACAATATGACTTTGCATCAAGCGGTGAGTCTGTGTCCCTGCCTTTGAATCTGTGTTAGCCCTGTGACTTGCTTTAACCAATAGAAAGCAGTGAAAGGGATGTTATGTGACTTCTGAGCCTCAGTTTCAAGGGACCTTGCAACTTTAACTCTTGCCCTCTTGCTGCCCTGAAGGAACCAGGTTAGCCTCTTAGCTGTCCCAGATATTCCAGCTGTCCCAGTGGTTCCCACCATTCCGGCTGAGGCTTCAGATAGATGAGTGAGGCTATGCAGGAACAGCCAGCACCCAGTCAACCTGACAACTGACTGCAGCTGCAGAAGTGACCCCAGGCAAGACTGAACCCAGTCAGAATTGCAGAAAAATGAGCAAATACATGGTTGGGGGTTATTATGCAATGATAGACAACCAATACAAGGCCCTAACCTGGTCTAGGGCTAGAGGAGTGGATCAGAGGAGGCTTCCTTGAAGAAATTAGTCCAGCTAAGACCTGGAGATAGACCTAGAGTCAGCCCGGTAGAGCATAGGGGAAGAGCATTCAGGCAGCAGAGACAGCAGGTTAAGAACTATATGTATCTGAGGACCTAAGCAGGGAACTATATGTATCTGAGGACCTAATCAGGCAACACCAGATGGTCTGAAGAGAAGAGAGCCCAGCAGTATAGACAATGACCAATGAGCGGTGTGCTGTACTTAACCCATCACCCACCTCCATTCCCAAACTGACTTTTAGTTTTTGTTTTTTTATCACATTCTGGATACATCCATGGGCCGTGTCAAGCATGTAAATTTCATCTACTATGTATGTTGAAAAATTAAAGAGTTGAAAATACCTGTGGACATTAACCTGTCTCCTAGAAGCTAGGAAAAGGTTGAGTTACAGTCTTTTGGGGATGAACAATATGAAGATGACAAAGCAGGCTGAGCACGAGGAAAAAATGTATTTTTAATAGTTGTGATGACCATCAAAGCTATTATGACCCCATCTTCACTGATCTAAGCTCATACTTAAATGGAAATTTACTTGAAAAGCCCTTTCTTTGCATAATGGAAAGGCAGGCTTGTCCAATTCCATCTCCCCAAGGTAATGGCCCTAGGATGTAATGGGAGGCCTCACTGCCAGCTCTGCTCATCGGGGGCTCTCAGCCTTGTGTAGCCCAGCTTTGGTAACCCCCCTTCCCAGTGTCCTTTATCCCTATTACTCAGTAAAGTTCCCCTAAGGATGCCTCACCTCCAAGGTTACTGCTGAGAACCTTTAGAAAGAGGGAGAATTGATGGGGCTGACATCACTGTGTTGCTCGGCCTCTTCGTCTGTCTGGGGAAGATGATCCAGTGGGAGCTCCCCTGCAGGGCAATAGGCTGAGCCTGATCTCAGCAGGCTTCCCATCAAGCAGGCCAGAATGCTCATTTCCCCAGAACAATCACATAACCCTGCACCCAGGCCATCCCTCTGTTCCAGAAGCTGAGGAAGGAGGGCAGCCTGGACCCCAGCTGAGCTGACTGCCTTAGCTCCATCCTTATTCCACCGGGGACGAGGATCCTGCTGCTAGCTGATACCTAAGAGGGAGATGTTTACATTTTTAAAAGTTTATCTCTTTTTAGCTGGGCGTGGTGGCTCACGCCTGTAATCCCAGCACTTTGAGAGGCCGAGGCAGGTGGATCACCTGAGGTTGGGAGTTTGAGACCAGCCTGACCAACATGGAGAAACCCTGTCTCTACTAAAAATACAAAATTAGCCGGGCGTGGTGGAGCATGCCTGTAATCCCAGCTACTTGGGAGGCTGAGGCAGGAGAATAGCTTGAACCCAGGAAGGCAGGGATTGCAGTGAGCCGAGATCACGCCATTGCACTCCAGCCTGGGCAACAGGAGTGAAATTCCATCTCCAGAAAAAAAAATTGTCTCTTTTTAAAAATATTTATTTATTTATTTAAGATAAGATCTCACTCTGTTGCCCAGCCTGGAGTGCAGTAGTGTGATCTTGGCTCACTGAAACCTTGATCTCCTGGACTCAAGTAGTTCTCCTACCTCAGCCTTTGGAGTAGCTGGGACTACAGGCGTGTGCCACCAAGCCCAGATAATTTTTTGAGGAGACAGGGTCTCACTATGTTTTCCAGGCTAGTCTTGAACTCCTGGGCTCCAGGTAAAGAGCATTCTTGGGTCTGAGCTGCACTTTCTACACTTGTGGACCTGAGGAAGTAAGAAAGCTGTGCTGTTTTCTCAGGGAGGGCACACAAGGAGTGGCCACTGTTAAAATTGCTTTTGCAAAAATTATGACAGTGAGAGAAATCTGACGTAGAAAACTTAAGACAGTGGAAGAAATCTGAACTAACTGACTCCATCTAGCTTCTAACATCCAAGCTGCCGTTGTTTATTCCTGGGCATAGGCCAAGGTAACTATGGGAAGTATAGTTTAACCTTAAAGCAAGGATGATAATAGTGCTTTCCCAGAACTACCCTCTCCTTGTTTGGGACTGAAACCACCTTGTAAAACTAAAAAAGACCACAAGATTAGGATTATGAGAGCAGCCTAAATTCTACTAAGATCTGTGCTTAGTTAAATGATAACTAGTCATTGTTTACTGCTCAGGAGTCAGAGGTGGACTGAAAATGTATAACTTTCCTAATTGCCCCTATAGATAATGTTGCTATTGTAGAACCTAAGATTGGTCTTTTGAGATGTTTTTCAGACTTTTGCATTCTGGTGACCAACTGATTCCACTTGGACCTGTGACTCACGACTCAATTAGTCCCATGGCCCCCATCCAGAGCAGACTCAGTGCACAAGGACTGTTTTCCACACCCGTATCATTTCATCCCCAACCAATCAGCATTCCCCATTCCCTAGCCCCCTGCCTGCCAAACTATCCTTGAAAAATTCTAGCCTCAGCCAGGTGCAGTGGATCATACCTGTAATCCCAGCACTTTGGGAGGCCAAGGCAGGTGGATCACCTGAGGTCAGGAGTTTGAGACCAGCTTGGCCAACATGGTGAAACCCCATTTCTACTAAAAATACCAAAAATTAGCCAGGCATGGTGGTGGGTACATGTAATACCAGCTACTCAGGAGGCTGAGTCACGAGAATTGCTTAAACCCAGGAGGCAGAGGTTGCAGTGAGGTGAGATCGTGCCATTGCACTCCACCCTGGGCAACAAAAGTGAAACTCCGTCTCAAAAAAAAAAAAAAAAAAAAAAAAAAAAGCAAGAAAGCAAGCAAGCAAGCAAGCAAGATTTTAGCCTCCAAATTTCAAGCGGGCTGATTTGAGTAATAAACTCCCTTCCTACCACTTGGCTAGCCCTGTGACCATTAAATTCTTTCTCTACTGCAATACCACTGTTTCAGTGAATTGGTTTCATCTATGCAGTGAATTGGTTTCATCTATGCAGCAGGCAAGAAGAACTGGGTGATTACACTGTGGCCCCCAGAAGCAACAGGCTGTTAGAAAGTCCTCTGTCATCTTTCTCAGGGGGCACAAATTATGCACTGAGCTCATGGGAGGGAGTATGCTGAGAGTGGAGATTGTTACTTCCAAGTTTTAAAGGAGAACCTAGAGGTTCCTGAGAAAATAAACAAAATAAAACAAAATAGAGGAAGTAATAGGTTACTTTGAAGTGGTTCCAGTGGTTGCCCACTGCTATAGCAATGATTAGGCACATGGGACTTGGAGTCCAGTAGACCTGGGTTTGAGCACCAGGCTGGCACCTGCTTCTTTGTGTGACCTTTCACAAGCCATTTAAATTCTCAAAGTCTCCATTTCTTCATCTGTAAAATGGAGATAATCACACTATTTTGTTGCAAATATCAAATGATATCATGAACATAAAGCATTTAGCCTAATACCAGGAACTCAGTCAATGTTAAAAAAATAGTATTATTAGTAATAAAACTGGGTTAAGAGTAAACTGTCAGAAATGTTCTATATCTTGTCAGAGCACAGCGGCTCACACCCGTAATCCCAAAGCTTTGGGAAGATGAGGTAAAAGTGTCACTTGGCCAGGCGCGGTGGCTCACGCTTGTAATCCCAGCACTTTGGGAGGCTGAGGCAGACGGATCACTTGAGGTCAGGAATTCAAGACCAGCCTGGCCAACATGGTGAAACCCTGTCTCCACTAAAAATACAAAAATTAGCCAGGTGCGGTGGTGCATGCCTGTAATCCCGGCTACTTGGGAGGCTGAGGCAGGAGAATCACTTGAACCTGGGAGGCAGAGGTTACAGTGAGCCGAGATGGTGCCATTGCACTCTAGCCTGGGCAAGAGAGCGAGACTCTGTGTCAAAAAAAAAAAAAAAACTATCACTTGAGGCCAGGAGTTTGAAACCACCTGGGCAACATAGAGAGACCCAGTCTCTACAAAAATTTTAAAAATTAGCTGGGCATGGTAGCACATGCCTGTAGTCCCATCTACTCAGGAAGCTGAGGCGGGAGGATCACTTGATCCCAGAAGTTTGAGGTTGCAGTGAGCTGTGATTGAGCTATTGCCCTCCAGCCTGGGTGACAGAGGAAGACTGTATCTTTATTTTGTTTTTGAGACAAAGTTTCGCTCTTGTTGCCCAGGCTGGAGTGCAATGGTGCGATCTTGGCTCACTGCAACCTCCGCCTCCTGGGTTCAAGCAATTCTCCTGCCTCAGCCTCCTGAGTAGCTGGGATTACAGGTGTGCGCCGCCACGCCCAGCTAATTTTTTGTACTTTTAGTAGAGACAGAGTTTCACCATGTTGGCCAGGCTGGTCTCCAACTCCTGACCTCAGGTGATCCACCCACCTCAGCCTCCCAAAGTGCTGGGATTACAGGCGTGAGCCACCACGGCTGGCCTTGACCCTGTCTCTTCAAAAAAAAAAAAAAAAAAGGAAAATGTTATATATCTTGCTTTGGGTGATTATATGGTTGTGCATATATGTAAAAAAAAATTGAAGTATACATGTAAGATCACTGTACTTTTCACATCTTACTGTATGTATCTTACACCTTGACCAAAAAAAAAAGATAAAAGCTCTTTTATTTTGTGTGTGTGTGTGTGTGTGTGTGTGTTTGCTTGTTTGTTTGTTTGTTTTGAGACAGAATCTTGCTCTGTGGCCCAGACTGGAGTGCAGTGGCACGATCTTGGCTCACTGCAGCCTCTGCCTCTTGGGTTCAAGTGATTCTCATGCCTCAGCCACCCAAGTAGCTGGAATTACAGGCGCCCAGCTATTTTTTGTATTTTTAATAGAGATGGGGTTTCACCATGTTGCCCAGGCTGGTCTCAAACTCCTGGCCTCAGGTGAGCCATCGCCTTGGCCTTCCAAAGTGCTGGGACTACAGGCATGAGCCACCACACTCAGCCAAAAGGAAGCCCTTGTAAGCCAGTGTTGGTAAAGTGAAAGAGTTCAAATTAAAAAAAAAATGCAGCCTAAAATATAGGGGAAAAATGTATAAATGAATTGTAAAAGTTTATTAGGCAGGTTTTTTTTTTGTTTTTGTTTTTTTGAGATGGAGTTTCTCTCCGGTTGCCCAGGCTGGAGTGCAATGGCACCATCTCAGCTCACTGCAACCTCCATCTCCTGGGTTCAAGTGATTCTCCTGCCTCAGCCTCCCAAGTAGCTGGGATTACAGGCGCCCGACAGCACACCTGGCTAATTTTTGTATTTTTAGTAGAGACAGGGTTTCACCACATTGGCCAGGCTGGTCTTGAACTCCTGACCTCAAGTGATCTGCCTGCTTCAGCCTCCCAAAGTTCTGGGATTACAGACGTGAGCTACTACGTCCAGGCCCCTCTTTTTCCCTCCCTCCTGTTCTGCCCTCCAAGCTGAGCCTGATCCCGGGCTGACCCAGGTCCTATAAACACATCTCCACAATGGTAATATCATACTGACCGTGGCTTCCTGACCTTCCTGAGGAGTCAGTCAATGGCAGATGACCACCTCATCCATACTGCCCTAAGAAGAAAAATCATGAGTTCCCATTTTTTTTTTATTTTTTAGAGACAGAGGCTCACTTTGTCATCCAGGCTGGAGTGCAGAGGCGCAATCAAAGCTCACTGCAGCCTCTGATTCCTGGGCTCAAGCAAGCCTCCAGCCTCAGCATCCCAAGTAGCTGGAGTTCCCATTTATTAAGCAACGTTAGGAATGTGCGTGCACGTGCAGGTAAGCACTAACTGCTTTACATGCCTGGTTTCTCTAACCCTTACAACAACACCGGGAGGGAGGGAAATATTATTTCCTCCTTTTCATACATCAGGAAACTGAGGATTTGAGAAGTTAACAACAGGCCAGATGCGGTGGCTCATGCCTATAATCTCAACACTTTGGGAGGCCAAGTGGGGGGCAGATCACTTGAGGCCAGAAGTTCAAGACCAGCCTGGCCAACACGGTGAAACCTCGCCTCTACTAAAAATACAAAAATTAGCTGGGCTCGCTGACGTGCACCTGTAATCCCAGCTACTCAGGAGGCTGAGGCAGGAGAATCACTTGAACCCGGGAGACGGAGGTTACAGTGAGCCGAGATTGTGCCACTGCACTCCAGCCTGGGCGACAGAGCGAGACTCTGTCTCAGGAAAAAAAAAAAAAAGAGTTATCAGCAATGGCACAAAGCCAGTAGGTGGTCAAGCCAGGTTTATCTCTAAAACTTTGTTGTTTTAGCCAGCACATTTTCATTTAAATTAACACTTTGTAATAAATGTTAATGTTCCAAGCTCATAGATGAAGAAACTGAGGCTCAGAGAAATTCAGCAGCTACCCTGAAATTAACCACACAGTTATTCCTTTGCCCCATTAACTCTCTATTTACTGATCTTTCACATCCCTGTGGACTGCCTTCATGGAGCCTGTCATTTGCTGCCTCAGATAGGAGCTGACTGGGTAGATATCTGGGCCTTCTTATGGTACCTAGTGTGTGCCTGGCTGTGGACTTCCATGCTTAGTCAGAGCTTGCTAATTGAAACTAATCCCAGTGACTGCCAGAGCCTCTCCCCAGCTCCTGCCTCTGAAGGCCCCTTGGGCCCAAAGAAGTGTGATGACCTCAGATTGGGCCAAAGGCAATAACCAGAAGCTGCCAGCATCCAGCCTGGGGTGGCAGCCAGAAGGCCCTAGAGCAAGTCTGATTTAATCCCATAATGGAATGTCACTCAGATAAGGCTTTTATCAGCCCTTCCTAGGCTGTGGAAAAAAAGGATCATCCCAGAGTCATGGAAGGATGCTTTCCACTGTCCTGGGATTTCCCAGAGGTCCCAGAAAGCATGACCCCACTGGAAGGTCTAGAATAAAGTGAAAATATCAAGGGGCATTTGACTCAAATTTTCAGGACTAAGGTAACAGAAGCGGGAGGAGGAGCCTAGGGATTCCACACATTCAGGCAGAGAGGACATCAAACCCTAATAACACTTAAAATAATAACAATAATAATGGCTATTATTTATTAGGCATTATGCTAAGCACTTAAATGCATTATCTGACAAAATGCCTGTAGAGCATGTGCCATTTATCAATCTTATTACAAAAGAGGAAATCAGACTCAGATAGGTAAGTTACCTGGCCAAGGTCACGCAATCGCTAAAGTGGGAGAGCCGGAATTTATACCTAAGCCGGCCTCTTTCCACTGCCCTCCAGCCTTACCGTGGTGCTGATTGCCGGTACACAATTGCTATGGCTCACACACTGCTCAACTCCTGAATCTTTGTTTGCCAGGACCTCACACGCTTCCCTTCTTCCTGGAAGAATTCCAGAAAGCTTTATGTAACCACAAGCTGCAGCCACCCCATCACCCCAAAAGGGAGGAAATAAAGGATAAAGCAAGGTGACCTGACCAATTAGGAGTAGAGGGGCCATCCACCCCACTCCTCCCAATTCCCAGGGGCAGCCACACCAAAGGCAAAGTGGAGTCTGGCCTTCTGCCAATTGCTTTCTCTTTCTCATTCCCCCTCCCCCAGCCCAAACCTCTCCTCCCTTACTTCTCATTTTTTCCTAGATCAACTTTTCTTTGCAGGCTCCTACCCCACTGGTCTTGTTCATTCTAAGTACCCACTGTTAGCAATAGTCTGGGAATTCACATCCCTTGCCAGACAGGAACATATACAATGCAATATTAATAGTAATAACAGCTAACACTTACTGAGCACTTACTATGTGCCAGTCACTTTTCTTTCATCTTGAGCTGGAAAATGCAGGCAGAATGTACAGGAGCTTTTATGTCAATTACAACAAGACTAAGTCAGACAAGGGGAGGAATCTAATATTCCATGAGCTTTCTCTGCATTAGGCGCAGTACCCTCTCAGGAGGCAGAAGAGCTTAGTAACAAAGAACATGGACTCTGGGCTCAGGCAGACTAGGATCTCCATTATCAACTAGCTGTGCCTTTATACACAAGCTAATTCTCTGAGTCTCAGTTTCTTCATCTATGAAATTTAAATAATAACAGTTCTTATCTCATAGGGTTGATTAAAGAAATGATGTGTGTGAAGTGCTTAGCAGCCGGTGAGATGGCTCACGCCTGTAATCTCAGCACTTTGGGAGGCCGAGGCGGGTGGATCACCTGAGGTCGGGAGTTTGAGACCAGCCTGACCAACATGGAGAAACCCCGTCTCTACTAAAAAAATGCAAAATTAGCCGGGTGTGGTGACACATGCCTGTAATCCCAGCTACTTGGGAGGCTGAGGCAAGAGAATCGCTTGAACCCAGGAGGCAGAGGTTACAGTAAGCTGAGCTCGCACCATTGCACTCCAGCTTGGGCAACAAGAGCAGGAGTTCGAGACCAGCCTGACCAACGTGGAGAAACCCTGTCTCTACTAAAAAAATACAAAATTAGCCGGGCGTGGTGACACATGCCTGTAATCCCAGCTACTCGGGAGGCTGAGGCAAGAGAATTGCTTGAACCCGGGAGGCAGAGGTTGCAGTAAGCTGAGATTGCACCATTGCACTCCAGCTTGGGCAACAAGAGTGAAACTCTGTCAAAAAAAGAAAAAAGTGTTTAGTAAAGTCCCTGACCCATAATAACCAATGTATCGCAATTACTATTACATATTAAAATAACACTAATGACCAGTTGTGGTGGCTCATGCCCATAATCCCAGCCCTTTGGGAGGCTGAGGCTGGGGGCATCACTTGAGGTCAGGAGTTCAAGACCAGCCTAGCCAACATGGTAAAACCCTGTCTCTACTAAAAATACAAAAATTAGCTGGGCGTGGTAGCACACACCTGTAATCTCAGCTTCTCACGAGGCTGAGGTGGGAGAATCACGTGAGCCTGGAAAGTGGAGGTTGCAATGAGCCAAGATCATGCCACTGTACTCTAGCCTGGGTGACAGAGTAAGACTCCATATAAAAAAAATAAATGGCCAGGCACAGTGGCTCACGCCTGTAATCCCAGCACTTTGGGATGCCAAGGTGGGAGGATCATGAGGTTAGGAGATCGAGACCATCCTGGCTAACACGGTGAAACCCTGTCTCTACTAAATATACAAAAAATTAGCCGGGCATGGTGGTGGGCACCTGTAGTCCCAGCTACTCGGGAGGCTGAGGCAGGAGAATGGCGTGAACCCGGGAGGCGGAGCTTGCAGTGAGCCGAGATGTGCCACTGCACTCCAGCCTGGGCGACAGAGCAAGACTCCATCTCAAAAAATAAAATAAAATAAAATAAAATATAAATAAATAAATAAAGTTAGGGTGAAACAGCTAAATAATTCCAAACTTTATTTAAAGTTCTTCAGACATAAGCAGGAATTATTTTTAATTACATGGTTGTAGTCGATTGGACTTAAAGCTACTGTGCTTGTTGGAACTGATAGGTGAAGGGCTTTCCACATTGTTCTACCCACTCTTGGAAGGATAATTGGTGGGAGCTGTTAAAATAGAAATGGTTGGATGCAAGCACTTATAGATGTGAATATCTGGGCTTGGGCATGAATGACCACTGGGAGAGCCAGAAGGAGAGCATTTTTAGATTTGTTTGTTTCATGTATTAGTTTGCTAAGGCTGCCATGACAGTACAACAAACTAGGTGGCGAAACAGCAGAAATTTATTGTCTCACAGTTCTGGAGGCTGGAAGACCAAAATCAAGGTGGCAACACGGTTGCTTCCTTCTGAGGGCTGTGAGGGAGAATCTGTTCCATGCCTCTCCCCTTGCTTCTCACAGTTTGCTGGCAATCCTTGGCTTATAGAAGCACCACCATGACATCTGCCTTAATCTTCACATAACATTCTGTGTGTGTGTGTGTGTGTGTGTGTGTCCCATTCTCCCCCTCCTTTTTTTTTTTATAAGGATGCCAGTTTTATTGAATTAGCAGTCTACCCTACTCCAGTATGAACCTCATCTTAACTAATTACTATTATTGGGTTTCTGTTTTTGAGGCAGATTCTGGCTCTGTCACCCAGGCTGGAGTGCAGTGGTGCAATCTCAGCTCACTGCAACTGCTGCCTCCCCCAACTCAAGCCATCCTCAGCCTTCCAAGTAGCTGGGACTACAAGCACATGCCACCATGCCCAGCTAAATTTTTCTTTTCTTTTTTTTTTTCTTTTTTCTTTTCTTTTCTTTTCTTTTTTTTTTTTTTTTTTTTTTTTTTTTTTTTTTTTTTTGAGACAGAGTCTCGCTCTGTCGCCAGGCTGGAGTGCAGTGGTGCGATCTCAGCTCACTGCAACCTCTGCCTCCTCTGTTCAAGCGATTCTCCTGCCTCAGCCTCCTAGGTAGCTGGGATTACAGGCACGCACCACCACACCCAGCTAATTGTTGTATTTTTAGTAGAGATGGGGTTTCACCATCTTGGCCAGGATGATCTTGATCCCTTAACCTCGTGATCTGCCCACCTCGGTCTCCCAAAGTGCTGGGATTACAGGCGTGAGCCACCACGACCAGCAATGCCCAGCTAATTTTTCATGTTTTGTAGAGACAGGGTTTCACCATGTTACCCAGACTGGTCTCAATCTCCTGGACTCAAGTGATTCTCCCGCCTCAGCCTCCCAAAGTGCTGGGATTATAGGCATGAGCCACTGTGCCCAGCCCATCTTAACTAATTACATCTGCAATGACTATTTCCAAATAAGGTCACATTCTGAAGTACTGGGTATTAATACTTCCATATATGAATTTTTTGGGGGGACACAATTCAACCCATAATACTTCAGGGCTTCCTGACTAAGCTCATAATATTAAACTTTAAAAAAATTAGAATTCAGGCCAGGTGTGGTTGTTCATGCCTATAATCTCAGCACTGTGGGAGGTCAGTGAGGATGGATCACTTGAGGTCAGGAGTCCAAGACCAGCCTGGCTAACTTTGTGAAACCCCATCTCTACTAAAAAAATACACACACACACACACACACACACACACACACAAATATCCAGGCATGGTGGCAGGCACCTGTAATCCTAGCTACTCAGGAGGCTGAGGTGGGAGTATTTGTTTGAGCCCAGGAGGCGGAGGCTGCAGTGAGCCAACGGAGGCTGCAGTGAGCCAAGATAGTGCCACTGCACTCCAGCCTTGGGGACAGAGTGAGACTCCATCTCAAAAACAAAAAAAATTTAGAATCCAAAGATATTTCTTCCTGTGGCCATGTTGAGTTTCTATGTCCATGAACCCCTCCACTCCATCCTTCTCAAAAAATTACCATTTTACTTTCCATCACTTTCTGGGTTTTTCTGTTTTGTTTTATTTTGTTTTGTTTTGTTAGAGATGGGGTCGTGCTCTATTGCCAAAGCTGGAGAGCACTGGCATGATCATAGTTCACTGCAACCTTGAACTCCTGGGCCCAGGCAATCCTCTCACCTCAGCCTTACAAGTAGCTGGGACTCTGGGCATGCACTACTATGCCTGGCTAATTTAAAAAAGGTGTTTTTTTTTGTAAAGACAGGGTCTTGCTGTGTTGACCAGGCTGGTCTTGAACTCCTGGGCTCAAGCAATCTACCTTCTTTGGCCTCTCAAAGTGCTGGGATTACAGGCATCTATCATGTCCAGCCTTTCCAAAGCTTTCAAAATGCTTTTAAGTCCTGTGATAAACATATTGAGAGCTCAACATTTATTCAAAAAATTATTTGTTGATAATTTACAATGGCACTAAGCTTTAAGAAAACCATAAGTGGCCAAGACACAGTCTCTATCCTCAAGAAGCTAGTCAAGTCAATGTCAGAGCATTTACTTTAATTTAAATTTGAGCATTTAAAAAACATTCAGCTTCAGCTGGGCGTGGTGGCTCAAGCCTGTAATCCCAGCACTTTGGGAGGCCGAGGCAGGCGGATCACGAGGTCAGGAGATCGAGACCATCCTGGCGAACACGGTGAAACCCTGTCTCTATGAAAAAATAGAAAAAATTAGCTGGGCGTGGTGGCAGGCACCTGTAGTCCCAGCTACTCGGGAGGCTGAGGCAGGAGAATGGCGTGAACCCGGGAGGCGGAGCTTGCAGTGAGCTGAGATCGCACCACTGCACTCCAGCCTGGGTGACAGAGCGAGACTCTGTCTCAAAAATAAATAAATAAATATTCAGCTTCAGCAGCAAACTTTGTCACATTTTCCTGGTCATAGTAACTAATAAAACATTTACAGACTACATCCAGGTGCTGGGCAAAGAACTTTACACGCACTATTTTATTTAATACTCAGATCAACCGCATGATAAAAAAATTGAGATTTACAATCATAGACTCTCAGAGAGATAGCTTTTTCCCCCTTGTCCCTAGTTTGTTTGTTTGTTGAGATGGAGCCTCACTCTGTTGCCTAGGCTGGAGTGCAGTGGCACAATCTTGGCTCACTGTAACCTCTGCCTCTCGGGTTCAAGTGATTCTCCTGCCTCAGCCTCCCGAGTAGCTGGGATTATAGGTGCACACCACCATGCCAGGCTAATTTTTTGTATTTTTTAGTAGAGATGGGGTTTCACCATGTTGGCCAGGCTGGTCTCAAACTCCTGACCTCAAATAATCTGCCCGCCTCGGCCTCCCAAAGTGCTGGGATTATAGGCATGAACCACTGCACCTGACCAGCTTGTTTTTATTTTTTATTTTATTTTTGAGACAGTTTCACTCTGTCGTCGAGGCTGGAGTGCAGTGGCATGATCATAGCTCACTGCAGTCTCATCCTCCCCAGGCTCTGGTGATCCTCCCACCTCAGCCTCCTGGGCAGCTGGGACTACAGGCACATGCCATCACACCTGGCTAATATTTTGTATTTTGGGTAGAGAAAGGGTTTCGCCATGTTGTCCAAGATCCAAGCTGGTCTCCAACTCCTGGGCTCAGGTGATCCACCCACCTTGGACTCCTAAAGTGCTGGGATTAGAGGCATGAGCCACTGTGCTTGGCTGTTTGTTTTTAAATTTGGAGTAATTTCAGCATAAATCTTCCAACCCCATCCATCCCTAGGTCCTCAGCATCATTTTAGAAATTACATGACCATGTAATGCAACTTTTTGAGAACTTCCAGGTGCTGTTACAAATCAAACACTTTGGGACTTCCATTATAATGACAAATTATCCAGGAAAACATGAAATGAAAAAGGTTTCTCAACTAGTTTTTGTTCAACACTTTGCTTAATAATTGGTCTCATCAATTTATCAATTTACTGAAGTAAGGGATGTTTTCGGTATATAAGCTCATTTCAAAGAAGACCAACTGAGTTATTTAAGAAGCATTTTTAGGTCTGGTGCAGTGGTGCACACCTGTAATCCCAACTACTTGGGAGGCAGAGGCAGGAGCTCAGGTTTGAGAACAGTCTGGGCTATTAAATATAGTGAGACCCTGACTCAAACAAACAAACAAAAAAGTTGGTTTTGTTTTTTGTTTTTGAGATGGAGTCTCACTCTGTCACCCAGGCTGGAGTGCAGTGGCATGATCTCAGCTCACTGCAGCCTCTGCCTCCTGGGTTCAAGCGGTTCTCGTGCCTCAGCCTCCCAAGTAGCTGGGATTACAGGCACCCGCCACCACACCTGGCTAATTTTTTTGTACTTTTAGTAGAGACAGGGTTTCTTGGCCGGGCTAGTCTCAAATTCCTGGCCTCAGGTGATCCACCCGCCTTGGCCTCCCAAAGTGCTAGGATTACAAATGTGAGCCACTGCACCTGGCCAAAAAAAAGAAAAAAAAAATTTAAGAAGCATTTTTTTGCTAGGCACAGTGGCTCACACCTGTAATCCCAGCACTTTGGGAGGCTGAGGCGGGCAGATCACCTGAGGTTGGGAGTTCGAGACCAGCCTGACCAACATGGAGAAACCCCATCTCTACTAAAAATACAAAATTAACCAGGCGTGGTCGTGCATGCCTGTAATCCCAGCTACTTGGGAGGCTGAGGCGGGAGAATTGCTTGAACCCAGGAGGCAGGAGGTTGTGGTGAGCCGAGATCGTGTCATTGCACTCCAGCCTGGGCAACAAGAGCGAAATTCTGTCTCAAAAAAAAAAAGAAGAAGAAGAAGCAGCAGCATTTTTTTTTAACCACATAAAGGGTCAAACCACTGCCCCTATTCTAGTCTTGTCTCTTTTGCTTGCAAAGGCACTCATGCTAGCACAGGAAAAGGTGGACACTAGTGGCTGGATGCAGACTACATAGACTCCAAGGACAGGAAATTAGCATAGTTAGGCCTCTTAGAACTGAAAAATAATCAGGAACAGGACCATTTCTGTATCTTCAGAGAGGTCAAAGCTAGATGGTCTCTCACTTGCATTTCTCTCTGCACCTTTCCATATCAGTTTCCTCACCTTGTCCATCAACTGTGTGCACCAAAATGGCAGTATTAGTTCTGGAGTCTATGTGACTCACCACAGTTGACTGGTTCAGCTCCCAGGAGAGGAATATTGTTTGTCCAGCTTAGGTTAAGTATTCACCCTTGGTCCAATCAATAGTGGCCAAGAAGTCAGGGTCATATATTACAAACATGGCTCCCCAGGTCTAACTTTTTGGCAGGGACAACAAATGAGAACGGTTCCTGGAGAAGTGGACCCTGGGTGACAAACCAAAGCATTATACCAGAGGTTTCTGAGAATATAATGACCTAGTTGACTAGATTGCCTATTTTGTTCCAAAATATTAGTTGGCAGATAAATTTGTGAACTATTTTATTATTATTATTGTTTTTTTGAGACAGAGTCTCACTCTGCAACCCAGGCTGGAGTCAGTGACACAATCTCAGCTCACTGCAACCTCCGCCTCCCAGGTTCAAGTGATTCTCCTGCCTCAGCCTCCCAAGTAGCTGGGATTACAGGCATGTGCCACCACACCTGGTTAATTTTTTTTTTTTTTTTTGAGACAGAGTCTTGCTCTGTCGCCCAGGCTGGAGTGCGGTGGTGCAGTCTTGGCTCACCACAACCTCTGCTTCCCTGATTCAAGCGATTGTCCTGCCTCAGCCTCCAGAGTAGCTGGGTTTACAGGCACCCACCACCATGCTTGGCTAATTTTTGTATTTTTGGTAGAGACGGGGTTTCGCCATGTTGGCCAGGCTGGTCTCGAACTCCTGACCTCAGGTGATCTGCCCACCTCAGCCTCCCAAAGTGCTGGGATTACAGGTGTGAGCTACTGCGCCTGGCCAACAATTTCAATAATGATTGCTATTTCTTAAACTCCTACTCTAGTGTCTAATTTAATCTTCACAACAACTCTTCCAAGTAGGTACTATTATTCCTGCCTTACAGACGACTTACATCAGCGGCCCCGGGCGGCCGCTGATGAACCTCAGGTTCAGAAAGGTTAAGTAAGAAGTAGTCAGCAGTGAGCTGAGATTGGAACCTGGGTCTGTTTGCTCCAAACCCTGTGCTATTAAGCTCTAGGGGTAGGAGGCTTATACTATTGTGGTAAAGAGCTGCCAAACTAGTTTAAAACCATAATGTCAAATATATTTGTGTGGTCTACAAACTTCTTTAAATTGCATTGACATCAGTGACTCATATGAGCCCACAGCAACCTGCAGCAGGGTAGGCTCAAATGAAAAACCTTGTCCCAGGGCACAGGTGGGACTCCCAGCCCCAGACTCTAGGCTGTGATAGCTAAAGACCTAATCTGTTATCTGCAGTTGTTCATTCATCAAGGACAGTTTCTTGACCTCCACAGATTCTCTAGTCTTCAGGTTCTCCCAAGTCATTGGGGATTGTGTGAGTTGAGCTCCTATCCGTAACTCCTCCACCTTTGCACCTTCTCCCAGCAAACTTTGGTCTCTGTAACCCCTTTTCAGGTAATAAGAAATGGTAACCCCCAAGTTCAGAAAGGAAAGCAAAGCAAGGATTTCTGGTTCAGGGAGAAAACTACCTCCTTTACGCTTGGCTTATTTTCCATTAAGATGGAAAGTTGCAAATCAATCAGGAGAAAATTGCCCTCGGGACTGTCAAGCAGACATCTTTGCTCAAATCAGGCCTTGAATGCATGTGTCAAAAGCACCTCACACTCTCATTCATTGCCAGCCAAGTCTCTGGGGGCAGTCCAGTTGATTTGGGAGCATTCAGTCAGATCTAACATTCATTGCACACATCTTCTGTGTATTGCAGCTGTCAGGCTGGCCATCTGATTACTACTTCCCATTCATGGGTCCAATGAGCAAGGTGAATCTACAATGCAATAAGGAGAACACTTAGAAATGAAAGGCAGAGGCTGGGTGCGGTGGCTCATGCCTGTAATCCCAGAACTTTGGGAGGCCCAGGTGGGTGGATCACCTGAGGTCAGGAGTTCGAGACCAGCCTGACCAACATGGAGAAACCCGGTCTCTACTAAAAATAAAATAAAAAAAAAATTAGCCAGGCATGGTGGTGCATGCCTGTAATCCCAGCTACTCGGGAGGCTGAGGCAGGAGAATCGCTTGAACCTGGGAGGCGGAGGTTGCGGTGAGCCGAGATCGCGCCATTGCACTCCAGCCTGGGCAACAAGAGCAAAAGTCCATCTAAAAAAAAAAAAAAAAAAGAAATGAAAGGCAGAGCTGCCATCCTCCACGCTCCAGGATTCTCGAGCTGAGAAGACTGAAGGCAATAAAATTTCCCCAGGTTTTAAAGGAATCAGGGAAGGAATTGTCAGTGAACAGCTACCTCATGCAGGTGTTTGGCATAGATTAGCTGATTTTGTCTTCATAGCATCTCTACCAGGTAGATGCTATGATTACCTTCATTTACAGGTGTAAACAATATTTTAGCTATGGAAAGTAGAACTTTAAAAACATAATAAATTATAAATAGGCTTTATGGGTGAGCCATTATATTTAAAATGAATTTCTCCTACAGAAGCTACCTAGGAAGAGTTTTCTGGGCAGCGTGGTTCGTGGTTATCATTTTTTTTACTGCTTTGTCCTACTGTCCTCTGAGATAAACTTTAAGCATGAGAAACTTTAAGCATGTAGATTTTGTGGTCAGACAGATCTGGATACAAATCATGACTCTTTGGGTAATCAGGAAAATGAACTCACTAACTATTTCAAACAGTGAGAATTTAATACTGTGGCTATGTAAGTGATGGAAGAACTGAGAAGCCAAACAGGGGAAACGGGGGCAACCCAGAGATTAGCAAGAACAGGAAACCACTACCATCCCTAGTGTGGGGCCAGATGAAGGAGATGGAGCCAGAAGCTGCCAAGGCTGTGGGTCTCCTAGCTTCTCCTGTCCTCCCACCCTCAGTCTGTGCCTGTGGCTCCCGTTGTCCAAACCCAGCCAAAAGCCAGCTGACAAGGGAGCCTGGGAAATGCAGCCTGCCTGGGGATGGGATGGGGATGGAGTGTAGGGGTAGCCCACATGTGACACAGAGTATTAGAAGGAGAGCAATGGATCTGAAGGCAAACAGACAAATGATGAGCCCAGCTCTTGCTAGTTTCAAGTTCCTCCTTTATAACACGATTTCTATCTCACAGGGTTGTTGTGAGAATTAAATGAGTAAATGTAAGTAAAATGTTAGCACAGTTCCTGGCACCTAGTATGGAGGCAGCTACAACTAACTTTCCCCTAGATGGGAAAACCAAGGTTCAGACACATTAATCTGTGCAAGGAAAAAGCATGGGAAGCTGGGAGATCAGTGTGATCTTGGGCAAGTCATTTCTCTGAGTCTCAGTTTCCCCACCCTACCAACTCCCTGGGCTGCTAAGGGGATTCATTCCTTGGGCAGATATGTACTGAGCACTTGCATCTTCCAGGCACTTTGGGTGCAGGTACACAAGGCAGATCCACTAAGTCCCGCTCTTCTGGGGTTTACAGTCTGGACGGGATAAAGATACTGTAGAGAACCTTCTATAGATCACTTTATAGTGTCACTGTGATAAATGCCATGAAGTGCTGTGAGGGTGGGTGACACGGTGGTCTGGCCTGGTCTAGGGAGGTCAGGGCGGCTTCCCTGTGACTTCGGCTGGACCTGCAGCATGAGCTGGCTGAGCGTGTTGTACAGCCTGGGCCGAGAGCGCTGGGAACAGCACCAGGGACTCTTTGGAATGTTTAAACGTTAACCCAGCCGTCGGCATCGCGCCCCTGGCCTACCCTAAGCCAGGCCGCGATGCTCGCGCCTCCGAGGGCCTCCCGCAGTCAAGCCGGGACCTCGCCCAGCAAGGACTCCAGGGCTGCCCAGGCAGGGGCGCCCGTCCGGCACCGGACTCCCGCCCTGGGCCCAGCTCCGGCGCTCGGCCAGCCCCGTGCCCCGGGCGGCCGCTGATAGTCGGCTAATGCGTATCGAATTTTTGTGGAGTTCGGCCCGCGCAGAGTGCGCGCGGAGGCGCTGCCCGAGCCTCTTAATTCCCTTTGCATCGATCCTGCCGTTAATGACATAACCTTCTCCCCTAATTAACTGACAACTGCATTAGGCGGCGCGCCTCCGCCGCACGCCGCCCACAGCTTCCCCCACGCAGTTCCGCCCGCGCCGGTGCGGGGCTGGGGCGCAGCGGCTCCGCCTGGACTCAACTCAGGGTCCGGCTGCCGTGGTGGAGGGGAGAGGATAGTGTTTCAGGATCGGGATGCCCCTGCCATCCATATCAGCTCAATAAACATTTGCCGTTATTTATATTGTTGTTGTTTACCTCTTTGCCACTTAACATACTGTAGCTTACTGTTTCATTACAACGACCCAAGAGGCAGAGAGTGGAAATTGGGGCTTGGAGAGGTGGAGGGACTTCGGCAATAACCACGAATGTGCAGCAAGCTACTGGGGGAGGCGGGACTCCCACCCTCCTAAGCAGCCTGGGACTCCAAGTTTGTACTGTTAAGCCCTAGGCTACCCTCCAACGTGTAATTTAGACCCTACTAAAGCTATTACATGCAAAGTGCTTAGCAGAGTACCTGGCAGATAATGAGCACTCAATAAATTTTAGTATGTCAGGCTAATTTACGGAAATACTAATTTGTGTTTATTCTCCTTTGCCTCCCTTTTTCTGGATGGCCAGTTCAGTCAAGTGGCCAGGTTTTCTAATTACTTGGGCAGCAGAGAAAGCAGAGGCAGTGGGCTTGGTCTCTTGCCAATTCAAACACAGGAGTCCCAAATTTTGTGTAATTTAAAGGATCATTTATCTCTTACACACACACACACACACACACACACACACACACACGCGCGCTATATGCTGGAACCAGGTCAGGACTTAACCTCAATTTCATTTGTAAAATACAAACACTTTGCCAGGCACAGTGGCTCACACCTGTAATCCCAGCACTTTGGGAGGCCGAGGCCAGTGGACCACCTGAGGCCAGGAATTTGAGGCCAGCCCGGCCAACATGGCAAAACCCCGTTTCTACTAAAAATACAAAAATTAACTGGGCCTGGTAGCGTCTGCCTGTAATCCCAGCTACTTGGGAGGGGGAAGCACTAGAATCACTTGAACCTGGGTGGCGGAGGTTGCAGTGAGCTGAGATAGCGCCACTGCACTCCAGCCTGGGCAACTGAGTGAGACTCTGTCTCAATAAATAAATAAAATAGATGAAATAGCAATTCAAGTGTCCTGCCACTATTCATGAAGCTGAATTGGCATTTGAAGGTGAAGAAACTGAGGCTCAAAGAGGTTCATGGAATTGTTCCCTCATGGTACTAAGACTTCAGGACTGGAAACTCTCTCTCCATGCTTCACCCACCACCTCTTCTTTTTCCCTTTGCTTGCTGGGAGTCACCTTTCCACCCAAGTTCCTGAGCTCACATACTGTCTACTTCCTACCCGAGAAATCCAGATTTGACAAGTCCCTAACACCCAGCACTGAAGAAAATATTAGATTAATATATCCCCCAGCCAGCCATTTCCTCTTCCTCTCTGACAAACCCATGAGGCACCACTCTTTAGCAAAAAGGCTCATCATTTTTTAGATCCAAAGACTGAAGCTCAGCAAGATTAAGCAGCTTGCCTGAATTCACCCAGCTGATGGTTTTGCTGAGACTCAAATGCAGATCAAGCTGGATCTGCTTTCCATTGTGTCCTTTAGACTACAATATGCTTTCTTTGACCAGCTAGAGGGCTGCATTCCCTAAGACAATCTTGACATGTAATTCCTGAGGAATTGAGCATATGGTATTTTGTTGGGGAGTTCATTGCTGGGCTCCTTCACCACAGACCTCCCTCTCTTCCCCTATGGAGGGGAGCCAGCCTGAGTCAAAATGTCTCTTTCAGAAGACACAAGGAGGCTTTGTGATGGAGGCTGTTAAAAGGGCACAGGCAGAATCTCCCTGGGGCAAAGTTGGGAAATGAGGCAAGTCTCCTAAGTGTCAGGCTCACCCCGTTGTGTGGGGTAGTGCTGAGATCACTCCTCTCTGACATCCCACTATCTGATATGCTTATCCCTTGGGCCTCCCTCCCACCCTTCCTGAGAAACATATCGCCCATCTCTGCCTATTGAGAGCTTTTCCTCATCCTTTGATGCCCGACTCCAGTATTTCTTCCTCCATGAAGCCTAAATGATCCCCCCATGCTGAATTACTTGGCCCCTTCTCAGGGGTCTCAGAGCCCCTGGATCACATAAGTACTTCACAGTAGGCACAGAACCTGCTTCAAATCCACCTGCCAATGATTAGCTTTGTGAGCTTGGTCAAGATTTAACCTCTAAACATCTGTTTCTCCAACTAAAATGGAAACAATAGTGCCTCCCTTCACAGGGCTGTGAAGAAGTTTAAATTGGATTAGGTATGAGTAAAGAAAAAATGTTATCTATATATATTCATGGCCTTAATTTCTCCTCTGGGGGAGCTTGGAAGGGAAGAAAGGGATGTGATGAGGGGCTGCTTTGTGTATACAATAGAGACAGATGGAAAAGTGTTTTTTGTTTTGTTTTTGTTTTGTTTTGTTGTTGTTGTTGTTGTTGTTTTTGAGACAGTCTTGCTCTGTCGCCCAGGCTGAGATACAGTTGCCCCATCATGGCTCACTGAAGCCTCAAACTCTTGAGCTCAGGCTGTCCTCCCACCTAGCCTCCTAAGTAGCTAGGACTACTACCACCATTCCTGGCTAGTTCTTTGTTTTTGGTTTTTTTTTTTTTTTTTTTTTTTTTTTTGAGATGGAGTCTCACTCTGTTGCCCAGGCTGGAGTGCAGTGGTGCATCTCAGCTCACTGCAACCTCCACCTCCCGGGTTCAAGCGATTCTCCTGCCTCAGCCTCTTGAGTAGCTGGGACTACAGGTGTGCACCACCACGCCTGGCTAATTTTTGTATTTTTAAGTAGAGATGGGGTTTCACCATATTGGCCAGGCTAGTCTCGAACTCCTGACCTCATGATCCACCTACCTTGGCCTCCAAAGTGCTGGGATTATAGGCGTGAGCCACCACATTCAGCCTCCTGGCTAATTTTTAAATTTTTTTGTAGAGACAGGGTCTCAATATGTTGCCTGGGCTGGTGTCAAACTCCCAGCCTCATGCAATCCTCCGGCCTCAGGAAAAGAGGATTTTAAGTTTTGCTGTGTATATTTTTCAAAAGAATGTGCAACCATTATTCAAATATTTTTTTCAAATATTATGGATGCCAGATTGATACCATGTGGAGACAAGACCGTGAAGAGGCTCAGCTTTTAATTTTTTGAGATGGCATCTCACTCTGTCACCCTGGCTAGAGTCCAGTGGCATAATCAGGGCTCACTGCAGCCTCTACCTCCCTGACTCAAGCAATCCTCCCATCTCAAACTCTCAAGTAGCTGGGTGGCTGGGACCACAGGCACAGGCCACCACGTCTGGCTAATTTTTGTATTTTTTGCAGGGACAAGGTCTCACTATGTTGCCCAGGCTGGAAGGCTCATCTTTTGAAAGGATACACGTGTAAAGCTCTTAGCACAGTATTTTATAGCTACCAAGTACTCAAATAATGATGTCTCTCACTATTATTTGTTTATCCATCTCTACGACAAAACTTGTCTTCATCTCTGTGCCAACCTGTCTTCTGCCCTACTCAGCCAACAGTAGGTGCTCAGCAGGAAGAAACCAAAAGCCAACCAAAGTCTGGGAAGACCAGAAACAAATGCCCTAACACTTCAGCTGACCACAGCAACTGGGAGCAGGGTCAGCACTAGGGAGGGGCTATTTGCAGGCATTCTTCTGTGGGGGATGGGCTCTCACATCCTGCTTGTCACTGTTCCCAGCCCAGACACAGGCTCACTTCATCCTCTCACCCACACAGACTGACCTCTGCCCTGGGATGTCACTAAGGGGTGAAGGGGCCACGGATGGCCAGGGACATCAAGCATGCCAAGCCAGAATTCTGCACACCAGCTCCCTGGGACTTCTGCCTGTTCCACAGGGCCTGGCTTGCACACCAGCAGCCCTGTAGTTGGGTGTGTACTCAAAGGTTAACTCTCCCCCAGGACAGCAGGGTGGGAAGATGAATGACAAGAAGACCTGGGAGTACCTCCGCTCACAGAACTCCAGTTACAGCTGGCTGGGTACAGTGGCTCACGCCTGTAATCTCAACACTTTGGGAGGCCAAGCTGGTTGGATCACTTGAGGTCAGGAGTTCGAGACCAGCTTGGCCAACATGGTGAAACCCCATCTCTAATAAAAATTCAAAAATTGGCCAGCGTCATGGCAAACGCCTGTAGTCCCAGCTACTTCAGAGGTTGAGGCAGGAGAATCACTTGAACCCAGGAGGCAGAGATTGCAGTGAGCTGAGATCATGCCATTGCACTCCAACCTGGGTGACAGAGCGAGACTCTATGTCAAAAAAAAAAAAAAAAGAGAGAGAACTTCAGTCACAGCCGACTACTTGTTCTCCCTGCAACACTGCCCTTTCCAGTCCCTGTGTTTGCTCACTCTGATCTCTGAGGTGCCCTCCCCCAATTTCTGCCTAATAAACTCTACTCATTCTTCAAGGCCTAATCCAAATAACTTCTCTTCCAGGAAACCATCCCTGCAGTCTGAAAGAGCTCCCTCTGACCCCACAGCCCTTATCCTGGCTTCTGTTGTTATTTAGGATATGGGGTCTCACCTAACATTGGACAAATGCAACGTGGATCAGAGATTGTGCTCAGGAGTCAGGGAAATTGAAGTTTCATTCCTGGATCAGCTGCTTGTTAGCCCTATCACCTTGCTTGGCCTCACTAAGCCTCACTGTAAAACCGGGAAAATAAAATAGGATAGTTATGAAAATTAAATGAGATAACGCTCATTAAGCCATTAGCATGGTGCCTTGTACACATTAAGCTCTCATGTTAGCTATTATTATTATTGTCTCTGTCTCTCTTCCACCTCCACACCCACCCACAGTATCTCAGATAAGGCCTTAACTAGCTCAATATCTGAAGGTGTAATTTTATTGAATCAGGTCTCTCAGGTTCTAGATATGAGAGGGCTTTCTCCAGAAAGAAGTGGAGATGCTAAAAAGAGGCTGAAGTTTCTAAGAACAAGAGATCCCAGCTGGGCGTGGTGGCTCACGCCTATAATCCCAGCACTTCAGGAGGCTGAGGCAGGTGAATTTGCCTAAGCCCAGAAGTTCGAGACCAGCCTGGGCAACATGGCGAAACCTCGTCTCTACTAAAAATACAACAATTAGCCAGGTGTGGTGGCCCAGGGTTCGAGTCCAGCCTGGGCAATCCCATCTGGCTTTAGACAGTGAGACCCTGTCTCTATTAAAAAAAAAAAAAAAAAGGCCAGGTACGGTGGCTTACACCTGTAATCCCAGCACTTTGGGAGGCCAAGGCGGGTGGGTCATGAGGTCAGGAGATCAAGACCATCCTGGTTAACACGGTGAAACCCCATCTCTACTAAAAATACAAAAAATTAGCCGGGCATGGTGGCGGGTGCCTGTAGTCCCAGCTATTAGGGAGGCTGAGGCAGGAGAATGGCGTGAACCTGGGAGGTGGAGGTTGCAGTGAGCCGAGATCGCACCACTGCACTCCAGCCTGGGTGACAGAGTGAGACTCCATCTCAAAAAAAAAAAAAAAAAAAAAAAAGACTCAGTCTGCCTTCACGACTTGTACAAAGTCCCTCAGGGCCTATACAATAGACCCAGAGCTGCAGCTTCTAGCCTGGAGTTCAGACCTTGAATAGAAAGTCTCCCAGGGGCAGCGTCACCAAGAATTGAGCCCACAATTGGAGAGGGAATCAGCCCTATCATCTCACCACTGTTTCAGGGCAGAGAACAGAATACATGGTACCTACAGGTCCCCTCTCAGATGTATATAATAATGATAGCTGCTATTTACTGAGTATCCATCCTGTATCAGGCACCACACTGAGTGTCATGATAATTTCCAGTCTTCAAAACAACCTGGCTGGGTAAGATGGCTCATGCCTGTAATCTCAGCACTTTGGGAGGCCAAGGCCATCCTGTATCAGGCACCACGCTGAGTGTCATGATAATTTCCAGTCTTCAAAACAACCTGGCTGGGTAAGATGGCTCATGCCTGTAATCTCAGCACTTTGGGAGGCCAAGGTGGGCAGATCACCTGAGGTCAGGAGTTTGAGACCAGCGTGGCCAACGTGGTGAAACCCCGTCTCTACTAAAAATACAAAAAAATCAGCCAGGTGTTGTGGCCTGTGCCTGTAATCCCAGCTACTTGGGAGGCTGAGGCAGGAGAATAATTTGAACCTGTGAGGCAGAGGTTGCAGTGAGCCAAGATCATACCACTGCACTCTAACCTGGGCAACACAGTAAGACTGTCAAAAAAGAAAAAAAAAAGTCGGGCGCAGTGGGCTTACGCCCGTAATCCCAGCACTTTGGGAGGCTGAAGTGGGTGGATCATAAGGTCACGAGTTTGAGACCAGCCTGGCCAATATGGTGAAACCTCATCTCTACTAAGAATACAAAAATTAGCTGGGCATGGTGGCGCATGCCTGTAGTCCCAGCTGCTTGGGAGGCTGAAGCAGGAGAATTGCTTGAACCCGGGAGGGAGAGGTTGCAGTGAGCCGAGATCATGCCATTGCACTCCAGCCTGGGCAACAAGAGTGAAACTCTGTCTCAAAAAGAAAAACCAACAAACAACAAAAAAAACCTGAGTTAGTATTTTTACTAATATCTAAATTAAATATAAATGGAGATCAAAATAAGCACAAATGACTCATGCTTATAAGCTTTTAGAGAAATAGGAAGCCAAAAAATTGCCAACCCAAACTATTACAACTGATATCAGCATTATTTCATACTGCCAATTAGTCTTTTGGCTGAAATTAATTGGCTTTACTAAAAACAAAGCAAAACAAAGACTGCAACTTGTTAAGTTATGTGTTCTATTGGCATCCCCACTTTAGATGAGGAAATAGTGGCTCAGAAATGTGAACGTTTCCTGAGGTTAAATAGCTGAGTGTGATAATCAGCCAGGCTAACTGAAGAATCCCAACAGCCCAAACTTAGGGTCCAGTTGCCAGACCCGGGCTGCTTCTTCATTAAAACGATGGCTCATGACTTGACAGGGACAGATCTTTTTTTTTTTTTTTTTTGAGACGGAGTCTCGCTCTGTCGCCCAGGCTGGAATGCAACGGAGCAATCTTGGCTCACTGTAAACTCCGCCTCCCGGGTTCAAGCGATTCCCCTGCCTCAGCCTCCTGAGTAGCTGGGATTACAGGTGTCCGCCACCACACCCACCTAATATTTCTATTTTTAATAGAGACGGGGTTTCACCTTGTTGACCAGGCTGGTCTCAAACTCCTGACTTTAAGTGTTCCACCTGCCTTGGCCTCCCAAAGTGTTGGGATTACAGGCATGAGCCACCATGCCTGGCCCAGATCTTATCTCCTGTAAAAATACTTAAGACCTGGGACAAGACAAGTGCTTGTTAAAGGTTTGTTGGGTGAATGAATGATTGGGTGAATTTGGAGATAGTTGTTTAGGAGATAGTCTGCTCCACCCCAACCATGGAGAGACCCGTAATTTAGCACTCTCCATTTACCACTGCTGCCGAAAGTCCTTCCCACATTGTTGCCCAGAAGCTAGTTTAATGGCATTAACCATCCCAGACAGCCATAACACCATTAAAAGCTTCAGTTCAGCCACTGCACCCCGACCCAGGGTCTTGGCTCTGGGCCCTGGGCTGGAAGAGTGGTGTGGTTGTTTACCAGAAATTTGGACCTTCTTCAGAGAAAAGCAAACATGACCTATTAGTCTAATTCAAGTACTTAGCAAGAAATGACTGGGCCGGGCGCAGTGGCTCACGCCTGTAATCCCAGCACTTTGGGAGGCCGAGACGGGCGGATCACGAGGTCAGGAGATCGAGACCATCCTGGCTAACACGGTGAAACCCCGTCTCTACTAAAAATACAAAAATTAGCCGGGCATGGTGGCGCGTGCCTGTAGTCCCAGCTACACAGGAGGCTGAGGCAGGAGAATGGCGTGAACCCGGGAGGCGGAGCTTGCAGTGAGTCGAGATCGCGCCACTGCACTCCAGCCTGGGCGACAGAGCGAAACTCCGTCTCAAAAAAAAAAAAAAAAAAAAAAAAAAAAAAAAAAAAAAAGAAATGACTGTACCATTCACACCCCCAGCCCTAGGTTAACGGAGCCAGGGCAAATGGAGAGGCCTTGACTGCTCAGAGATCTTCCTGGGAGGGGAAGAAGGAAGGAGGAAGGTCAACTCAGTGTCCCACTGGAGTTTTCAGGGAGGCAGCTTGGCTGAGCGTTTCCTGGGGCTGTGCAGGCTACGGGGATACAAGAATGTATATAGAGAGACTTACGGATTCCACCCACCACTCTGGCAGCTTTGTGTACATCCTACCCACAGTCACCTCCCTCACTGTCTTAAACTTGGCTCAGAGAAGAATGGGAAGACAACAAAATATCCATCAACACAGATGGTTAAATAAACTATGCATGTATGAATATGCATTCATATAAGTTCATGTCATGCAGCTGACAAATAGAATGATATAGCTCAACTCTACTCATGGATGCCGAACGATGTCTGTGTCTTGCACTTTGCTATCCAGTGTGTGACCCCACTTATGTAACACTACACATGCCCATAGATTCTCAAGGTCACAGACATGCAGGAAACAGTCTGGACACTTGCGAGTGCAAGCTTAAAGATTTTTCTTTCTTCTTTAGAATTGTCTGTAATGTCCAAATTCTCTAGAAAAACACACAATTGTTAACTTTTGTGAGTTTTTACTGTGTGTCAGCCACAATGCTTTTACATGGATTATCTCATTCCTCATGAGGTGGGTGCCATGGTTTTCCATGTTACAGATATGGATAGTAAGGCCCAGTGAGGTTAAGCCCAAGGTCACATATTAATAGCTTGTGATTAACAAACTCAAATGTTGCTGGAGGATTAAATGAATGAATGCATGTATTTGCACACGGTTAATGCACAGTAGTACTTGGCACACAGTATGGGCTCCATAAACGAGGATCATCATAATTAGGGCCAGGCACGGTGGCTCATGCCTGTAATCCCAGCACTTTGGGAGGCTGAGGCAGGTGGATCACCTGAGGTCAGGAGTTCAAACCAGCCTGGCCAACATGATGAAACTGCGTCTCTACTAAAAATACAAAAAATTAGCCTGGCATGGTGGCGTGAGCCTGTAATCCCAGTTGCTTGGGAGGCTGAGGCAGGAGAATCTCTTGAACCTGGGAGACAGAGGTTGCAGTGAGCCAAGATCATGCCACTGCACTCCAGCCTGGGTGACAGAGCAAGACTCTGTCTCAAAAAAAAAAAAAAAAAAAAAGGATTATCGTAATTATTATATATCACTCGTCATACTGCACTGCTCTTATGGACTGTTGTCTGCTTCCCTGCTCTGGTGTGTAAAAAGTTTGAACATAGGATCTGAGTCCTTTTATGCCAGAATCTCTTGCACACAAAACAGTGTCGTGCAGAGTCAGCATTCATCAGATGCTTATTGAAAGAGTGAGTGAATCAATTAATAGACAGATGTCCAGAGCTCTATAAATACATTCTTCCAACTATTATACTTTGCATGGGTGGGTGTGTCCTTATCCCAATAGGATTACAAATTCCCTGAGATCAAGAACAATCTCTGGGCCAGGCATGGTGGCTCACACCTGTAATCCCAGCACTTTGGCAGGCTGAGGTGGGCAGATCACCTGAAGTCAGGAGTTCAAGACCAGCCTGGCCAATATGGTGAAACCCGTCTCTAATAAAAATACAAAAATTTGCTGGGCATGGTGACACATGCCTGTAGTCCCAGCTGCTTGGGAGGCTGGGGCAGCAGAATCGCTTGAACCTGGGAGGCAGAGGTTGCAGATTGTGCCATTGCACTCCAGACTGGGCGACAGATAGAGACTCCGAGTCAAAAAAAAAAAAAAAAAAGAACCACTCTCTCTTTTCCTCTGGCTCCCATTATGATCTGGAGCAGGCCAATAACCCAAGCAGGTGTTCAATAAATGGTGTGGTTGACTAAGGATCCCCATCTCAGCTGCTGTGGCAGATCCCAGGCAGTATCCGAGAAATGGCTGGAGCTGGGACAGATCCCGGGTCCACAGCCTCACATAAGCTATTTTTTCTTCCAACTCCAAGTCAAGAACACAGAGAGGCTAGGAGACATACCTGAAGTCATATAGCACATGGTGGTAGGGTTGCTGTGTCTCATCACCTGGCCTGTGTTCTTTCATCTATAACACCCTAGTTCTACAGATACTCAAAATTTGAGAAAATGGAAAAAGAGCAAAGTCTTAAGTCAAAGGTTTAATCATGATCCAAGAGCCCAGAGAGACTTTAGGACAATAATAGGAATAAAGCAAGGCCCACAGGCTCCAGCTCCTGATGCCCAGATGTTCGGCAGGATCCGGGGACAGGGCAGTGCAGGCAGTAGTTTTCCATCCTCCACTCAGAGGAGGAGACGAGGGGGCAGGAGCCTTCTTCACAAAGGAGAATGACTTTCTAGGCTGCCTCAGAACACCCAGTCCTCCCTACCCTAACCCTAATCTGGAATGCAATAGAGAATGGCTAACTTATTAGATTCTGGTGATCCTGGTAGTCAAGAGGAAGGGCTCAGAAAGGGGCTTGGTGGAGCTGGTCACCACCAGATGACATGGCTAAATTGTGGCCACCAAGGAGGGGCAGCATGAATCAGAAGTGGAGATGGGGTGGAGGGAATGAGGACTGGACCAGTAAGGATCTGGAGGTCATAACCCTTAGCTTCTCCTGTGCCCTCATCTGCGCACTGCACCTCCTTCCTGCTGCTGTCCTTTCCTCACCCCTTGTGGGCTGCAAGTCCACCTGGGTGTGGTGGAGGGGAAGAGGGCCCTGGGGAAGTCCAGCTACCATAGGCTCAGGAGCAGAATCAAGGGAAGCGTGCAGGAGAAAAGAGAGGGCACCCAGGGCTGTGGCCTCACAGCAGGGTTTTCATTCTGTGGAAGAAATGGAATGGAGTTAGCTCAGGGGATTTTCTTTAGCCCTTTCACTACCTCAGCCTCAGTCAAGAGGTATTCCCCTTCCCCTGAGGTATCCATTAGAGGTCTCTAGTATTCAGGGCAATGAGGAGGTCAGCCCCTCGCCTCTATCCCTTTGTCTGCCTAGTTTGGGTTTTCCCCAGCCGGCCCAGTAAAGGTCTGAGGGGTGTAACAGAGGAGGCCCTACCTGGTGTGCCATCACAGCAAAGGTAGGGTGTGGCCAGTCCTGGGAGAAGAGTTGGCTGTGAAAACGCATCTTAGCTGCAATGGCCTCCGCTGAAGAGAGGAGAGAAGGCTCATTGGAAGGGTATGGGGGCAGGAGATTTCTCAGGCTCCCAAGGAAGGAAAGGGAATGCCACAGGGACCCTGGGCTATAGGGGAGCAAGTGGGTGGGAGGTGGAAGTGGGATACTCTCTCATTCTGCTTGTTTCTTGAGCTGGAGATGTCCCTGGGTTCCAGACAGGTTGAACAGGCAGCGTGGGAGGTTTCTCAGGGAGTGGGAGACAGAAGAAAGGCCTGGGCTATGGCAATGAAAGCCTATGCTAGGAACTGCTCTGTTTGGTGGAGATGGATGGAACCAGCCTGGGCCACAGAGTCGACCCTTTTCCTTCCCTTGAGTCCAGCTGACTCAGCCCCAGGGGCTGGGAGCAAGTACAGCACACTCACTGAGGCAGGGGTTGTGGGAGAAGAACCCTTCCAGCATTTCACACTCCTCCTGCAGGTTGCCACTGCCTCGGCAGGTGCAGCTTAAGGCAACACTGGTGTTGACATTGCTGACAAAGTTGGGGGTCATGGCAGTCCCTGTGAAGAGGGAAAGGGTAGTCAAGGCCTAGGCTAACCCTAACTTTAGCTCCCACCTTCTTCCACCCATGTCAGGATCACATCCTTTATCTCCGGAGCATTCTTACCCTCAGGCCTAGCCAACATAGGGTTCCCTACACATGCCCCCAGCCTCACCAATCAGCCCCAGGTATGCTCGTAGACATCTGGACTGCTCTGTTGCACAAGTTCCTAGGATGTCCATGGGATGGCAGTGGGTCTGGAAATCCACCAGGCGTGATCTGGAAGAAGGGAAATTTCTGTCTTTCTTTTTTTTTTTTTTTTGAGATGATGTCTCACTCTCTCTTGCCCAGGCTGGAGTGCAGTAGCTCAATCTTGGCTCACTGCAACCTCTGCCTCCCAGGTTCAAACAATTCTCCTGCCTCAGCCTCCCGAGTAGCTGGGACTACAGTCACGTGCCACCACACCTGGCTAATTCTGTATTTTTAGTAGAGACGGGGTTTCACCATGTCGGCCAGGCTGGTCTCAAACTCCTGACCTCAGGTGATCCACCTGCCTTGGCCTCTCAAAGTGCTGGGATTACAGGTATGAGCCACTGCACTCGGCCAGAAAAATTTCAAGTCACTCTTGAGGGTCCAGCCTGCAGCCTTCTCCCTCATTCCCCCTTAGCTTGGCATGCCCATTGTCGTGCCAAATCCTCCTCTGCCTTCAGAGCCTGGCCCAGAGCCTTTCCTCTGTGAAGTGTGCCCCTGTAACAGTTAAATGTACCATTCCTTGGAACCCATAGCATTTCACTCTGAGTTTGGGCTCCACGATCCCTACTTATGAGATCTCAGATAGCTTCTTTAACCTCAGTTTCCTCAACTATAAAATAGAGATGACAGCAGCACTACCTCGTGGATTTTTGTGAGGATGAAGTAAGAGAATGCATAAGCCAGGCATAGCGGCTCACGCCTGTAATCCCAGCTACTTGGGAGGCTGAGGTGGGAGAATCAGTTGAGCTCAGGGGTTGGAGACTACCCTGAGCAACACAGCAAGACCCTGTCTCAGAACGAAAGAAAGAAAAAAAAAGAAAGAGAAAGAGAGACAGAGAGAAGAGAAGGAGAAAAGAGAGAAGAGAAGAGAAGGAAGGAAGGAGAGAGAGAGGAAGGAAGGAAGGAGAAAAAGAGAGGAAGGAAGAAAGGAAAGAAGTAAGGAGAGAAGAAGAGAAAGAGAGAGGAAGGAAAGAAGGAAGGAAGGAGGGAGGGAAGGAAGGAAGGAAAGAAGGATCGATTTACCTTATTGGGGTTCTTGTGAGGTTTAGATGAGTTAATATATGTTAAGTACTTAAAACAGTATCTAGCCCTAGTAAGTATTTAGTTATTCAGTAAATGTTAGTATTATGATTATTAAGAGCCCTGACTATAAGATAGTTTACAGATGAGGAAAGTGGTAGTCTCAGAAGTTAAGTAACTTGCCGAAGGTTACAAAGAACTAAGTAGGAGAACCAAGTTGCAAACCAAGGTTATTGTCAACAAATGTCACTTGAATGAATGATAGCTTCAATTTTGTAAGTGTTTTGTCCTGAGAAGACACAGGAAAGCCAGATCAGAATTTCAAATTTCCTGAAGAGAATATTTATCAAATCTATCAAATACCTTACCAATCTCCCATGTCCTTTGATCTGGCAATGGTACTAGTAGCAGCACATCCTAAGTAATAACTACATTAGTGCACAAAGATTAAAGAGTAAGAGTTGGGCAAGCATGGTGGTTCATGCCTATAATCCCAGCACTTTGGGAGGCTGAAGTGGGCTGATCACTTGAGCTCAGGAGTTCAACACTGGCCTGGCCAACATGGCAAAACCCCATCTCTACTAAAAATACAAAAATTAGCTGGGCACTGTGGTGTGCACTTATAGTCCCAACATACTCAGGAGGCTGAGGCTGGAGAATCGCTTGAACCCAGGAGATAGAGGTTGCAGTAAGCCGAGATCACAACACTGCCCTCCAGCCTGGGTAACAGAGCAAGACTCTGTCTCAAAAAAAAAAAAAAAAGAAGAAGAAGAAGAAGAAAAAAACCAATCTGGCTGGGCACGGTGGCTCACACCTGTAATACCAGTACTTTAGGAGGCCAAGGTGGGCAGATCAACTGAGGCCAGGAGTTCGAGACTAGCCTGGCCAACACAGCGAAATCCCATCTCTACTGAAAATACAAAAAAAATTAGCTGGGCGTGGTGGCAGGCGCCTGTAATCCCAGCTACTTGGGAGGCTGAGGGGGGAGTATCCCTTGAAACCAGGAGGCGGAGGCTGCAGTGAGCCGAGATCGCACCACTGCACTCCAGCCTGGGTGACAAAACAAGACTCCGTCTTAAAAAAAAAAAAAAATCGCTGGGCACGGTGGCTTATGCCTGTTATCCTAGCACTTTGGGAGGCTGAGGCGGGCGGATCACGAGGTTAGGAGATGGAGATCATCCTGGCTAACACGGTGAAACCCCGTCTCTACTAAAAATACAAAAATTTAGCCGGGCCTGGTGGCACATGCCTGTAGTCCCAGCTACTTGGGAGGCTGAGGCAGGAGAATCACTTGAACCTGGGAGGCAGAGGTTGCAGTGAGCCGAGACTGCGCCACTGCACTCCAGCCTGGATGACAGAGAGAGACTCCATCTCAAAAAAAACAAACAAAAAAAAACAAACAAAAAAAAAAACAAAACAAAAACCTAAATATCTAGCAATAGAGGAATGGTTAAATTAAGTGTAGGGCATCCATACATGGAATATAATGCAGGCATTTAAAAATCAAGTTCTTGGCTGGGTGTGGTGGCTCACACCTGTAATCCTAGCACTTTGGGAGGCCAAAGCAGGTGGATCACAGGGTCAGGAGTTCGAGACCAGCCTGGCCAACATAGTGAAACCCCATCTCTACCAAAAATAAAGAAATTAGCTGGGCATGGTGGCACAAGCCTGTAGTCCTAGCTACTCGAGAGACTGAGGCAGAAGAATCGCTTGAACCTGGCAGACAGTGGTTGCAGTGAGCCAAGATCGTGTCACTGCACTCCAGCCTGGGTGACAGAAGGGGACTCTGTCTCAAAAAAAAAAAAAAAAGTTCTTAAAGGACAGTAAGTAAAAAAATAAGCACTACCATTTATTGAGCACTTACTCTTCACCGGTACTCTACACCACTCTACATAAATTATGTAATTTAACTCTCACCAGAATCCCATGAGGTCTGCATTATTATCCCAGTTTTTACAGGGGACTAAACGGAACCTTAGGTTTAGTGATGGAGTTTTTAGGTTAAGTGCTGTGCTCAAGATCGCAGAGACCCAGGGTTTAAATTCAAACCCGTCTGACTTCAGATCCTGTCTTACCACTACTCCACACCACCTCCACAGAAAAATGCTCATGAGACATGTGCCGTAAGAGAAAAAAAGTAAGACACAAATACATTCTCAGAATGTCTACTTTTGTTATCTGGATAGAAAATGACTGGAAGGAAATGCTTCCCAAAGTATGATAGATTATCTTCAGGTGATAGAATTTTTAATGATTTTTTAAAATACATTTTTATATTTCCTGAGGTTTTACAGCAAAGAAAAAAAAGACATATATTCTTTTTGAGAAAAGACTTTCACAAAATATCCAAGGTAGCTACTTCGTGAAGCAGCCAGTGGGTCCACGGTTCCCTGGGAGGGTCAGACCCTGCTCAGCACAGGAACGTGGCCAGGAAGGAGTGGCGTGTGCCTCATCCCTGCCCACCCTGTCCTCCCAAACTACACACCTGCAAAGCGGGTCGGAGAAGCAGAGGCGCCGCAGCTCCAGGCAGTTGGGGGCCACAGGCGGCAGCGCGCAGTTGGGGGCGATGGTGTTGCGCCGGCGCTCCCCGCAGCCCCGGTCGTTGGGGGCACATGGGCACAGTAGCAGGCCCTGCGCGTGGGGCTCGGCGGCCTTCTCGAAGAAAGTGAGCAGCTGCCTGAGGCAGACGTGGCGCTGGCAGTGGGGCCCGGAGCACGCCTCCCCGTAGGCCTTGCGCAGCCGGTCACACTTGTCATTGAGAGTACACAGCATGGCAAACTTGAGGCAGAGGTCTGAGTCTGGGGGGAAAGGGCACGGAGTCAGTCGGCTGGGCCCTCTGCACGCCTGCACCCCAGGTTCCACAGGAACCCCGGAAACCCCTGATTTGACAAGAAGGTAGTGGATATAGGAGGAAAAGAAGGCCTGTCATGAATAAACCCACTCCTAATCCAGGGCTTCCCCTCTCCCCACAAACTCTACCTGCTGTTTTGAAGCCTTCCCCACCCTACTCCTCTTTTTTTTTTTTTTTTTTTTTTTTTTTTTTTGAGACGGAGTTTTGCTCTTGTTGGCCAAGCCGAAGTGCAATGGCGTGATCTCGGCTCACTGCAACCTCCGCCTCCTGGGTTCAAGCAATTCTCCTGCCTCAGCCTCCCGAGTAGCTGGGATTACACGCATGCGCCACGACGCCCGGCTAATTTTTTGTATTTTTAGTAGAAATGGGGTTTCATCATGTTAGCCAGGCTGGTCTTGAACTCCCGACCTCAGGTAATCCGCCCATCTCGGCCTCCCAAAGTGCTGGGATTACAGGCATGAACCGCCGCGCCCGGCACAACTCCTCATCTTGACTACGTAAAATAATAAGAATAATCACTATCATCATCTATATGCATCGAACACCCATTTATCTAGAATTCAAGCAGCCAGAAAGCTTAAATAACCATACCTCTTTCCTCAGTGCTATGCTGTGAGATCTGATGGTAGAAATGATAACCTAGAGTACCTGCAACATTCTAAAGCACTTTCAGAACTGTCCAAAACAGATGCATCCAAATTCTATTTTAGGTTTCTGGTTTGGTTTTGGCTTCGTCTGCACCTATCCTGTTCCATTTTAATGTCACCTGCCCATCTTTCATTAATTGATTCATGTATACTCTGTTCCCCATACTCTGAATCTTGGGAAATTATGGTGATATTTCTATTAACAGAATATTCCAGCAGCCACAGCAATCAAGTAATTGCAACAGGTTATTTGCTGATCTTGTCACTTAGAGTTTTTCATGCATGAAACTCTATGCCTTTTTCTCAAAATTCTAATTCTAATGATAAAGCTCACATCTTTCTCAAAAAGAGAGTGCATGTGTGTATGTTTTTCCTCAATTAACTCATAGCCTCACTTTCCTGAAAAACATGCAACACAGTCCTTGCCAGACTGATGGCTCCCCACCCTGAGTCACCCCGTGCAGAGTCACACTCTCTTTTCCTGCCCAATACCTCGCCCATCCCATTAGAATGGTTGAAAACAAGCAATTTCCTAGTCTTCAGGGACAAAAAGGCTACTTTCCCAGCTGCCTTGAATGCAAGTAAATACTGCATTTCAGCACAATTTTTCCTGGGGCTGCTGCCACTCCCACCACGCCCTTTGCAGGGGCTCGCCTTGTGGAAACAGGGAGCCCTAATGGGCTCTCTTCAAATGCCTCCCTAATAACTGCTGTCCTTTGGAGACCCCTGTGAGACCAGATCATGCCCCAGAGCTCACACTTCCAGCCTGACACAGTCTTCCTTAGTCACCTGGTAGGCTAGAAACATTTCCCTTATAAGCTCCCCAACTTCTGCCCCTCCCCAGCCACCCTTCCTCCAGGGTCCAGCCCCAGCCTCTGGTTCCCGAGCCTAGTTGCCCTCCACACCTGGTTTGAGCATGTTCAGTTTGCTGAGATTCATTTTCCAGGGTTTGCTGGTCACTGTGTCTTCATAGGGGGAGACATCCAGCTCATAGTTACCTAGAGACAAGGTGGGGAGCACCAGAATGCTGAGGACCAGGGTGGGGTAGGCTGGAGGGGCTGAAGCTGCTGGCTCAGACCTCAAAGGCCTGTGGAGAAAAGGAAAAGCACAGCCTCTACCTAACCAGCTGCAAGCTGTGCAAAGATGAGAAAAATGCAGGGCCGTAAGGTATAGGCTGGGCTCCACCAATAAGCCATAAGAATAATAAGAGCTACCATTTGTTAAGCACACTGTGTGCTGAGCACCATGCTATAAGTGAGGTAAATAAATATGCTGAGCACCATCGCACTTACGCGATGGTGCTCAGCACACAGTGTAGGGAGGCAAGAGGATTCAGGGAGAAGCCTCTGAGGAAGTTCGGAAAGAGAAGTGATTAGGATGAGGAGTAGAAAACAGGGAGCAAGGAGTGTGGTAAACTGTATTATTGTTTCCAATTATTTGTTCCCCACCCCTTGGGAGGATTATACGTCCCCACCTGTTGCCATGTAACTTTCACACCCCCTGTGAGAGGCGTACACTTCCTCACCCCACTGATGGCAGGCTTGGCCAGGTGACTTGCTCTGGTCTGTGGATTGTGAGCTGAAGTGATGTAAATCACATCTGAGCAGAAGCTTTAAGAATCTTCACATGGTTCTGCTGCTACTCTTTCTCCTCTACCAGCCTGGATCTTCCAGTGAAGAAGACAAGTAGAACAGAGACAAGGCCAACTCATAGAAGCCTCCAGCAGATGTGTAACATGAGCAAGAAATACATTTTTGTTGTTGAAAGCCAGAGATTTGGGAATTGGTTGTTGCAATAGCATAACCTAGCAAATTCTTACTAAAAATGCAATGGGGTGCCGGGCACGGTGGCTCACACCTGTAATCCTAGCACTTTGGGAGGCCTAGGCGGGTAGATCACCTGAGGTCAGGAGTTCGAGACCAGCCTGGCCAACATGGTGAAACCCCATCTCTACTAAAAATACAAAAATTAGTTGGGCATGGTGGCGCATGCCTGTAATCCCAGCTACCTGGGAGGCTGAGGTGGGAGAATCACTTGAACCCGGGAGGCGGAGGCTGCAGTGAGCCAAGATCATGCCACTGCACTCCAGCCTGGGCGACAGTGAGTCTCCATCTGAAAAAAAAAAAATGCAACTGGGAGGCTGAGGCAGGAATATTCCTTGAACCTAGGAACTTGAGACCAGCCTGGAGAACACAGCAGGACTTCATCTCTACAAAAAATTTAGCTGGGTCCGGTGGCACACACATATAGTCCCAGCTACTCGAGAGGCTGAGGTGGGAGGATCACTTGAGCCCAGGAGGTTGAGGCTGCAGTGAGCTATGACTGTGCCACTGCACTCCAGCCTGGGTGACAAGTGAGACTCCAACTAAAAAAAACAGCAAAAATAAAATGCAATTGGTACCTAGAAGTGGAGCGCTACAGTAATAAAATAATATAATGTGTGTCATTGGCTTTGGTACTGGGCAATGGGTGGTAAGGAAGCTGTTACTGGGGGCTGGAAAGATGGCAGTCTTCATTATGCAGTGGCAAAGCATCTGGTAAAATTGTTGTGTGTGATAACTGGGAAGATTATATGCTGAATGAGTTTGTACTGTTAGGGGAAGCTGAGAAGCAGAAGTTTACTAGTATGTCTTGATTGCTATTGGCTGCATTTGGCAAGGTACTACAAGATATAAGCTCAGAAAAGAATTGGCCAGTTCCCAAATGTGGAGGAAAAGATAATCTAGAAATTTCAGGACTTCCAGGATTAAGAAATGCAACTGTGCTGGGCGCAGTGGCTCATGCCTGTAATCCCGGCATTTTGGGAGGCCGAGGCAGGCAGATCACGAGGTCAGGAGTTCAAGACCAGCCTGACCAACATGGTGAAACCCCCTCTCTACTAAAAATACAAAAATTAGCCAGGCATGGTGGCAGGGGCCTGTAATCCCAGCTACTCAGGAGGCTGAGGCAGGAGAATCGCTTGAACCCGGGAGGCAGAGGTTGCAGTGAGCCAATATCACGCCACTGCACTCCAGCCAGGGCAACAGAGGAAGACTCTGTCTCAAAAAAAAAAAAAAAAAAAAAAAAGAAGAAGAAGAAGAAATGCCACTGTTTCTTGTATTCATAAGGTAAAAGATAAAACATAAAAAAAAATGCTTTGAGTGATAAGGTTGATTACAACTCAGCCTTGGGGAAAAGACCAAATGAGGTATGTGGCTATCACACTGTTTGTGGATATCTCTCAGTCGATTAAGATGGTACCCAATAAGTCCTGCCAGTTGGACAAATGTACTCAGGGAAAAAAGACTAAAGTAGTGGCTCTTCCACAGAAGCCTGATAAGGGCTAGGTGCTTCTAATTAGGTGTAGAAAAAGAGGCATGTCTTGAATTGTGGGAAAGGCCACAGGCACATGAGATGATAGAAATCAAAGATATAAGCAGCAATTATGTTTTCAGAGAGTTGTACTACAAAGAGCTACCAGTGTAGATTAAAAGAGACTGTGACTATTTGAGACTTAAAATGCCCCAACATTTCTCAGGCAGGAAGCAGGCTGAGAATGCGGCTCAGTCCTCAGGGAGAATGTAGTCCCTAATACCCTTTTCAAATGTGGCCAAAGAGAAAACTGAAAGAGGAAGGACCTTTCCAGAGGGCTGGGCCAAGAGCTCTGGAAAACAATGGATAGGGCAACTACTCCCGTGGAGTAAAAACAGGGCCTTATTAAAGAACAATCCCTATTCCCAGGGAAGAGGACCCTTACAACATTTGTCTAGCAGGATTTCAGAATTGCTATGAATCAATGTCTGCTGTGTGTCTCCCATTCATTCATTCATTTATTTATTTGAGACAGGGTCTTGCTCTGTCACCCAGGCTGGAGTGCAGTGGTGTGATCATGGCTCACTGCAGCCTCAACCTCCTGGACTCAAGTGATCCTCCCACCTCAGCCTCCCGAGTAGCTGGGACCACAGGTGTGCACCACCACACTCAGCTAATTTATTTATTTTTTTGTAGTGATGGGAGCTCGCTATGTTGTCCAGGCTGGTCTTGAACTCCTGGGCTTTAGGGATACTCCCGCCTTGGCCTCCCAAGTTGCTGAAGTTACAGGTGTGAGCCACCACACTTAGATGCCCATTCCTCCCCTTTCTGAGAATGTTTGTTGTGGTTATCCTGACCCTGTTCCGTTATTATATGCTGAGTACGTATAGGAAGCAGATGACTTGTCTTTTTAGTTCATAAGTTTTTAGATTAAGAGGAGCCACATCCAGACCCAATTTGGAAACTATCATGAGATCCTAGACTTGAAGCCTGATGTCATGTTTGTTTGTTTGTTTGTTTGCTTTTTGCTTGTTTTTTTCGAGACAGAGTCTCGCTCTGTCGCCCAGGCTAGAGTGCAGTGGCGCAATCTCGACTCACTGCAACCTCTGCTTCCCGGGTTCAAGTGATTCTCCTGCCTCAGCTTCCCAAGTAGCCTGGGATTACAGGTGCCCACCACCATGCCCAGCTAATTTTTTGTATTTTTAGTAGAGATGAGGTTTCACCATGTTGGCCAGGCTGGTCTTGAACTCCTGAACTCAAGTGATCCGCCTGCCTTGGCCTCCCAAAGTGCTAGGATTACAGGTGTGAGCCACCACACCCGGCTTGATGTCAGGTTTGAACAGAGCTTTTAGGGCATCTTCCATGGAAAATAGGTGGGTATATTTTACTTGCAGAAGGGAGAGAAATGAATACTTTGACAATGGTAGATTGTATTATTGTTTCCAATCATTCTTTGCCTTCCCTGTAAGATTGTATATCCTCACTTATTGCCATGTGATTTTTGGTATCTCCCTGTGGAAGAAGTATAATTCTCAATCCAGTGATGTCAGGCTTAGCCATGTGACTTGCTCTCTCAATGAAATGTAAGCAGACGTAGTGTATATAAGATTTGAGCAGAAACTTTAAAAATCATCATGTGGTTCTGCCAATGCTCATTTCCTTCTGCCACGAGAAGGGAACATCCCAGACAGAGGCTGCACCTTGAGCCTGGATCCCAGAATGAAGAAGGCCCATGAAAGAGCCAATACAGAACATGAGCAAGAATTAAACCTTTGTTTTGCAAGTCACTGTTTTGTTACAGCAACATAGTCCGGTAAAAGCTGACTAATAAGGGGCCTATGGAAAGAGTGACAAGCAGCTCCTCTTTGGCTCTTTCTGTGCCTTCTCTCTCTTACATCTCCTGGCTGGTTAATGAGTATTCTTTCTGTTAAAGGCTGGACCAAGATGTTACCTCCCCATCTCTCTGAACTTGGTATTTGGAGCCTGTTTATGGGTTAAGACTTTTTTCTCCCATCTCCTGTCCATACCCGCTGTTCCAGGAACTCCCCAGGTTGGGCCTCAGCCTGGTTCACAGCTCTGCTAAGTGGGAACTGACATGTTGCCAGGTAAGAAAGGGGGAAGTAGGGAGAAGAGAGGGCAGTGTTATGGGGCCCCAAGGAGATCCCAGCACTATCCCTCCACCTTTCCTGATGTCAAATGCAGAGCTTCATTATCCTCCTCCTCAGATTCTACCATGTGGCCCATATCCTGCAGGATTAAAAAACAACCCCCAAGAGCCATCTTCCCCAGCTTAGTCCACTCTATAATGGGAGCCTCACCAAGGCTGCGGGCACGGTGAACGGTCCAATAGATGTCCAAGCAGGCAACCTGGTTCTTCATGCGCCGGTGGCACATGCAGCCTATCAGAGAGCTGTTCCTGAGTTGCTGTGCTGCCTCCAGGCAGTCAGCAGGGACCGAAGGCTCCTCTGAGGGCAGTGGGGTGCTTATGCTAGAGGTGCAGGAATCCAGGTGGTGGTAGGCAGCACTGCAGGTGGGATCAGCCTGGCACTTCCTCCTGGCCTGGAGACAGCTGTTCATGAGTCGGCTTTCTGTGGGAAGGGGGTCTCCTGTAAAGGGAGATACCAGGTGAGGCTACGTAAGATTAGAATAGCTGTCTGGGAATACCAAGTCATGAGGTTGGGAGAGGGATATTCCTGATGAAACTTTGTGAAAGTCTTAGGGTAGCACAAAAGGCCTTTAAGAATAAGTGTGGAGAGAGAGAGAAGCCCAGCAGGACTGGATAGTCTGCAGCTGCCACAGTCGGGACAGAACAGACCAGGCCCAACAAGAAATAGGGGTTTGCAGAGAGGCTGCTCAGCCTTCAGGGAGGTGAAGGGAATAGTTGTTTGAAGGCGAGCCTGATGACCCTGACAGGCACAGAGGAAGGGGTCCCCAGGCAGAGCCATGCCATGGGCAGGGCTAGTATCAGAACCAGAGAGTTGAGAATGGACAAGGGAGTGCTAAATGGGAGTCAGCAATAACTTTGAGTCTCCCATTAAAAATCATTTAAAAATACCTGAAGGTGGAAACTGGCTGGGGTTGGGGTAGAGAGCTAATTCCAAAAGGAAAGAAAGGGTAACCTGACCCTGTCTCTTACTCAGAAATACCAAGATTCCTCCACAGCCCGGAAGGAAGCCCCTGCATCCTAGGATTTAGGGTGCTCAACATGGGGTAATAGAACATCATCATCTCACTAGCTGTTCAAAGATAAAAATCTAGGAGAACTTTTTTTTTTTTTTTTTTTTTTTTTTTGAGACAGAGTTTCGCTCTTGTTACCCAGGTTGGAGTGCAATGGCGTGATCTTGGCTCAACGCAACCTCCGCCTCCCGGGTTCAAGCGATTCTCCTGCCTCAGCCTCCCGTGTAGCTGGGATTACAGGCGTGCGCCATCACACGCCCAGCTAATTTTATATTTTTAGTAGAGACGGGGTTTCTCCATATTGGTCAGGCTGGTCTCAAACTCCTGACCTCGGGTAATCCGCCCACCTTAGCCTCCCAAAGTGCTGGGATTACAGGCGTGAGCCACCGCGCCTTAATTCATCTCTTTCTTTCACAGCCTGTGTTCAATTCAGCAAGTCCTGTCAACTCCATAACACATCTGGAATCTGCCCACTTTTCTCCATGTGTGTCACTACCTCCTTAGATCAAGCCACCATCAACTCTTCTCCTTCTTCCCTCTTCTTTCTTCCTTCTCCTTCTCTTCTCCTTCTCCTTCTTCTCCTTTTTCTTTTTTAGATAGGGTCTTGCTCTATCTCCCAGGCTGGAGTGCAGTGGCACGATCACAGCTCACTGCAGCCTTGACCTCCTGGGTTCAAGCTATCCTACCTACCTCAGCCTCCTGAGTAGTTGGGACTACAGGCACATGCCACCACATCTGGTTAATTTTTGTATTTTTAGTAGAGATGGGTTTTCATCACGTTGGCCAGACTAGTCTTGAACTTCTGACCTCAGATGATCTGCCTGCCTTGGCCTCCCGAAGTGCTGGGATTACAGGCATGAGCCACCACACCCAGCCAGTACCTCATTGTTCTTTATGGATGACTAATATTTCATTATATCGATATGCTACATTTTGTTTATGCATTCTTCAGTTAATGGACACTTGGGTTGCTTCCACCTTTTGGTTATTGTGAATAGCGCTTTGATGAACATTTCATGTACAAGTATTTGTTTGAACACCTGTTTTTTGTTCTTTGGGATACATACCTAGGGATGGAATTGCTGGGTCATACGGTAATTCTATGTTTAACTTTTTGAGGAACCGCCAAATTGTTTTTCACAGCAGCTGTACCATTTTACATTCCCATCAGCAATGTACAAGGAGTCTAGTTTCTATACATACTGCCAACTCCTGTTATTTTCCATTAAAAAAAATTATAACCATCCTTGTGAGCATGAAGTGGTATCTCATTGAGGCTTTCATTTGCATTTCCCTAATGACTAAGGATGTTGAGCATATTTTTATGTGCTTGTTAGCCATTTGTACATCTTCCTTGGAAATAAAGTTTTTGTTGAGGTGTAACACAGAAAAGTACATGAATCAAAAATGTATAGCTCAATGAATTTCACAAATTGAATACACTTGTGTAGCCAGAATCCAGATAAAGGAATAGAACATTATCAGTAACCCTGAAGCCCTCTTCCAGTCACTGTGCTCCCAAGTAAACCAGTATCTTCATTTCTTTTTCTTTCTTTCTTTTCTTTTCTTTTCTTTTCTTTTTTTTTGAGTCAGAGTCAGGCTGGAGTGCAGTGATACAATCTCAGCTCACTGCAACCTTGCAACCTCTGCCTCCTGGGCTCAAGCGATTCTCCTGCCTCAGCCTCCCGAGTAGCTGGGACTACAGGCACCCGCCACAATGCTCAGCTAATTTTTGTACTTTTAGTAGAGAAAGGGTTTCACCATGTTGCCCAGGCTGGTCTTGAACTCCTAACCTCAAGTGATCCACCCACCTTGGCCTTCCAAAGTGCTAGGATTACAAGTGTGAGCCACTGCGCCCAGCCTGTCTTCATTTCTTTTACTTGTCTTCTGGTTTGTTGAAGCAATAGGTCAGACGTTTGCCAAAATAATGTCTGTCAGAGTGGCTGGCCATAAACACTTCAGCACCACATTCATCTGAAGGGTACTCCTGACGAAGGTGACTATTTTTGCTATTCTCATCCACCTTATGGTATTTTAGGACAGCCAGCTTCACCTTTTTTCTTTTATGCTTTTTTTTTTTTTTTTTTTTTGAGACCAGGTCTTGCTCTGTTGCCCAGGTTGGAGTGCAGTGGCATGACCTCAGCTCTCTGCAATCTCCGCCTCCTGGGTTCAAGTGATTGACCTGCCTCAGCCACCCAAGTAGCTGGGATTACAGGCATGCGCCACCACACCGAGCTGGGTTTTGTAATTTTAGTAGAGAGGTAGTTTCACCATGTTGGCCAGGCTGGTCTCGAACTCCTGGCCTCATGCGATCCATCTGCCTTGGCCTCCCAAAGTGCTGGGATTACAGGCATGAGCTACAGTGCCTGGCCTATTCTTTTTGGGAGTAGTTTAAGACTTCTTCCTTTTCTTAGGGCCACCACGAAGTCTCAACACAAGAAGGGTGGACTCCTTTTGAATGTTGTAGTCAGACAAAGCACATCCGTCTTCCAGTTGCTTGCCAGCAAAGATCAGTCTTTACTCGTCAGAAGGAATTCCTTCCTTATCTTGGATGTTGGCTTTTACATTTCCTTGTATCCAAGGGTTCAACCTCAAGACTGATGGCTTTCTCCATAAAGGTTGTTATGAAAATCTGCATTTTGGTGGTGGCTCCACTGCAGATGGTGGATCGAAAAGGCAGTATCTTTGTCTCTAACATCAGGGATTAGTTTTGCCCCAGTACAGCCAACTGATCTTGGCAACAAAGCAAACGAAAACATAAAGTGGGGAAAGAACAGCCTTTTCAACAAACGGTGCTGGGATAATTGGCTACCCACATGTAGGAGAATGAAACTGGGTCCTCATCTCTCACCTTATACAAAAATCAACTCAAGATGGATTAAGAACTTAAATCTGGCCACCACGCCTGTAATCTCAGCACTTTGGGAGGCCAAGGCGGGTGGATTACCTGAGGTCAGGAGTTCGAGACTAGCCTGATCAGCATGGTGAAACCCTGTCTCTACTGAAAATACAAAAATTAGCTGGGTGTGATGGCGGGCGCCTGTAATCCCAGCTACTCAGGAGGCTGAGGCAGGAGAATCGCTTGAACCCAGGAGGCAGAGTATGCAGTGAGCAGAGACTGTGCCACTGCACTCCAGCCTGGGCAGCAGGGTGAGACTCCATCTGAAAAAAAAAAAAAAAAAGAAATCTAAGAACTGAAACTATAAAAATTATAGAAGATAACATTGGAAAAATCCTTCTAGACCTTGACTTACGCAAAGATTTCATGACCAAAACCCAAAAGCAAATGCAAAAAAAAAAAAAAAAAGATAAATAGCTGGTACTTAATTAAACTAAAGAGCTTTTGCACAGCAAAAGGAACAGTCAGCAGAGTAAACAGACAACCCACAGAGTGGGAGAAAATTTTCACTATCTATACATCTGACAAAGGACTAATATTCAGAATCTACAACAAATTCAAACAAATCAGCAAGAAAAAAACAAACAGTTGGCTGGGCGCAGTGGCTCATGCCCGTAATTGCAGCACTTTGGGAGGCCGAGGTGGGCAGATCACAAGGTCAGGAGATTGAGACCATCCTGACTAACACGATGAAACCCCATCTCTATTAAAAATACAGAAAATTAGCCAGGTGTGGAGGCGAGCGCCTGTAGTCCCAGCTACTCAGGATGGTGGTGAGCTCCTGTAGTCCCAGCTACTCGGGAGGCTGAGGCAGGAGAATGGTGTGAACCTGGGAGGCGGAGCTTGCAGTGAGCCAAGATCATGCCACTGCACTCCAGCCTGGGTGACAGAGCAAGACTCCATCTCAAAAAAAAAAAAAAAGAAAAAGAAAAAAACAAACAATCCCATCAAAAAGTGGGCTAAGGACATGAATAGACAATTCTCAAAAGAAGATACACAAATAGCCAACATATGAAAAATTGCTCAACATCACTCATGATCAGTAAAATGCAAATCAAAACCACAATGTGATACCAACTTACTACTTCAAGAATGGCCATAATCAAAAAATCAAAAAACAGTAGATGTTGGCATGGATGCGGTGATCAGGGAACACTTCTACACTGCTGGTGGGAATGTAAACTAGTACAGCCACTGAGGAAAACAGTCTGGAGATTCCTTAAAGAGCTAAAAGTAGTCTGGGCGTGGTGGCTCACCCCGTAATCCCAGCACTTTGGGAGGCTGAGGTGGGCAGATCACCTGAGGTCAGGAGTTCAAGACCAGCCTGGCCAACACTGCAAAAGCCCGTCTCTACTAAAAATACAAAAATTAGCCAGGTGTGGAGGCGGGCACCTGTTATCCCAGCTACTCGAGAGGCTGAGGCTGGAGAATCACTTGAACCCAGGAGGCGGAGGTTTCAGTGAGCCGAGATCAAGCCATTGCACTGAAGCCTGGGGCACAAGAGCGAAACTCTGTCTGAAAAAAAAAAAAACAAAAAACAACAAGCCAGACGCAGTGGCTCAAACCTGTAATCCCAGCACTTTGGGAAGCCGAGGTAGGCAGATCATGAGGTCAAGAGATTGAGACCATCCTGGCCAACATGGTGAAACCCCATCTCCACTACAAATACAAAAAATTAGCTGGGCGTGGTGGCGTGTGCCTATAGTCCCAGCTACTGAGGAGGCTGAGGCAGGAGAATCGCTTGAACCTGGGAGGCGGAGGTTGCAGTGAGCCGAGATCATGCCATTGCACTCCAGCCTGGTGGTGACACAGCAAGACTCCATCTCAAAAAAAAAAAAAAAAAAAAGTAGAACTACCATTTGATCCAGCAGTCCCACTACTGAGTGTCTACCCAGAGGAAAAGAAGTCATTATACCAAAAAGATACTTGCACACTCATGTTTATAGCAGCACAATTTGCAATTGCAGAATCATGGAACCAACCCAAATGCCCATCAATCAACGAATGGAACAGAAATTGTGATAGAATAGAATACTACTCAGCCATAAAAAGGAATGAATTGGCCAGGCATGGTGGCTCACGCCGGTAATCCCAGCACTTTGAGAGGCTGAGACAGTCGGATCACAAGGTCAGGAGATCAAGACCATCCTGGCTAAAACAGTGAAACCCCGTCTCCACTAAAAATACAAAAAAAAAAAAAAAAAAAAAGTTAGCCAGGTGTGCTGGCAGGCACCTGTACAGCTACTCGGAGGCTGAGGCAGGAGAATGGCGCGAACCCGGGAGGCGGAGCTTGCAGTGAGCCGAGATCACGCCACTGCACTCCAGCCCGGGCGACAGAGCCAGACTCCGTCTCAAAAAAAAAAAAAAAAGGAATGAATTAACAGCATTTGCAGCAACCTAGATGAGATTGGAGACTATTATTCTAAGTGAAGTAACTCAGGAATGGAAAACCAAACATCGTATATTCTCACTGATATGTGGGAGCTAAGCTATGAGGATACAAAGGCATAAGAATGATACAATGGACTTGGGGACTTGGGGGGAAGCGTGGGGGAGGGGAAGGGATAAAAGACTACAAATAGGGTGCAGTATATACTTCTTGGGTGATGGGTACACCAAAATCTCATAAATCAGCACTAAAGAACTTACTTATGTAACCAAACACCACCTGTATGTACCCCAATAACCTATGGAAAAGAAAAAGTATATCAGAATTTCTCTAGGAAATATGTATTTCCAAAAAGCATATTTGATAATTTTACATGTACAAGATGAAAAAAAAAGCTTTTGAGATTTCAAAAAGTATTTAAGGAAGGTATGAGATTTTATATATTTACCAAAAGGGGAACATGGATTTAAAAAGATTGAGGAATTTCTACAAGTTTACGATGTTACTTCCGGTAGGTACTGAATAAGTGGTAAGTACACAAAGAAAAGTGGCAGATTCAAGTTCTATTGTTGTAACTGGACTAAAAATAATTTTTTTTTTTTGAGGTGGAGTTTTGCTCTTGTTACCCAGGCTGGAGTGCAGTGGCGCGATCTCGGCTCACTGCAACCTCTGCCTCCCGGGTTCAAGCGATTCTCCTGCCTCAGCCTCCCAACTAGCTGGGATTACAGGTATGCCCCACCATGCCTGGCTAATTTTGTATTTTTAGTAGAGATGCGATTTCTCGATGTTGGTCAGGCTGATCTTGAACTCCCGACCTCAGGTGATCTGCCCGCCTCGGCCTCAACAAAGTGCTGGGATTACAGGCATGAGCCACTGTGCCCGGCCATAAATATTTAACTGTACTAACTATTGAGTTGTAAACATTTTCAAAAGAAAACAATTTCTTAGTTGACACTTTACCAAGTTTGAGCAGTGATGGATTTAGGGGCATTCATCTCAACAAAGAACTTGGGGGCCACGTTAAATTTCATCTCAACAAGGTGGAACCTGTGTTTCCTGGATTGTGAAACACAGGACTTGATCCAGGGCAAAGGTCATAATTTGATCCAGTGTGCAAATGTGTCTTTTTTAGTCAGCATAGTTCCGTTCCTTTCTTTTTCTTTCTCCTTTCTCCTTTTCTTTTCTTTCTTTTAATCTCTGTCACCCAGACTGGAGTGCAGTGGTACAATCGCCACTCACTGCAGCCTACAGTCTCGACCTCCCAGGCTCAGGTGAATTCTCCCACCTCAGCCTCCCAAGTAGCTGGGACTGCATGCATGCACTACCACGCCCAGCTAATTTTGTATTTTTTGTAGAGATGGGTTTTCACCATGTTGCCCGGGCTGGTCTCGAACTCTTGAGCTCAAGCAATCCACCCACCTTGGCCTCCCAAAATGCTGGGATTATAGGCGTGAGCCACCATTCCCGGCAGTATTTTCTTTTCTGTTTTTTTTTTTTTTTTTTTTTTGTGTGTGTGTGTGTGTGTGTGTGTGTGTGTGGTTTGGTTGTTTTATTTGTTTGTTTGGTTGGTTTTTTTTGCACGTTCACAGTATTTTCTTTTTCTTTTTTTTTTTTTTGAGACGGAGTCTCGCTCTGTCACCCAGGCTGGAGTGCAGTGGCGCGATCTCAGCTCACTGCAAGCTCCACCTCCCAGGTTCACGCCATTCTCCTGCCTCAGCCTCCCGGGTAGTTGGGACTACAGGCGCCCACCAGCATGCCTGGCTAATTTTTTCTATTTTTTAGTAGCGACGGGGATTCACTGTGTTAGCCAGGATGGTCTCAATCTCCTGACCTCGTGATCTACCCGTCTCAGCCTCCCAAAGTGCTGGGATTACAGGTGTGAGCCACTGCACCCAGCCAGTATTTTCTTAAAGTTGTAATTAGTGGCCAACATTTAAAAATCAGATTTTAGGCCGGGTGCGGTGGCGCACACCTTTAATTGCAGCACTTTGGGAGGCCAAGGTGGGCAGACTGTTTGAGCCCAGGATTCAAGATCAGCCTGGGCATCCGAGATGGCAAAAACCCGTCTCTACAAAAAATACAAAAATTAACCAGGTGTGGTGGCACACTACTACAGTCCCAGCTACTGGGGAGGCTGAGGCAGAAGGATTACTTGAGTATGGGAGGTTGAGGCTGCAGTGAACTGGAATCACACCACTGAACTCCAGCCTGGGTGACAGATTGATACCCTGTCTCAAAAAAAAAATCAGATTTCAAATAAAACTATTAATTTCCAATTTGTCTTGAAAAATGGAAACACTCGGGCCCACATGTAACGGGTGGAGTAATGACTGCCCCCTTTTGACAAGTCATGCCTTTTCCAGCTTGTTATAGTCCATACCACTTTCTATTACTTGCCCCACCTCCTCATTTATACAGCCACTGCCACGTCTATTTCATATTGATTTGTTAGCAACCTGGTTTTGTAACTTTGTTTTCTGCTTCTTGGCTCATCAGAGAATGAGTAGCTACAGAATGGGTCAGATCAGGCTATGCCTCAGGGCACAAGATCCTCATTTGTTTCTCATCAGTGAGGCCCACAACCCAGGTATCCATTTTATAGTTGGATGAACAAAGAAAAGTAATGTGCACCAGGGGATGTAGCAAGTCAAGACCGAGTCAAGGCTAGAACCCAGGACTCCAGCCTCCTATCCACTTCAGAATGATTTTCAGTACATGACACCACTTCCCCATGAATCGGAGGTCTCCTATATGCTTGGCTTTAGCAGGCCCTGAGCAATGATATTTTCCACCCCCAAAGCCCTCTGTTGGTCTGTGCTCTTGAAGAGCACTTGGCTCTACATGGTACCTCCTAGATGACTGTTTTATGGATTTTCAATGAGGCTACTTAACCAGATGTCATTGCTGTCAAGTATTACTGTGGAAAATAGATCTGTCACCAACACTGCTTCATTAAACCATTTAATGAGAAAGGTGTTTAATGTTTTCCCCTGATCCTGACATGCAGCCATAACCTTTAGGATTAGTGAAATTTCCTGGGCAGTCAAATCAGACTGGTGATGTCTTGCTGCCCTGACTTACTGATGTTGGCAGGTGGACAGACCAGGGTTTTTCCTCCTTCCTTCCATATCTGTCTCAAGGCAGCATTTCTACAGCACTGCGTTGTGGACTGAGGTCTCAGGGCAGTGTGGTGGTCTCTCTGTCTCAGGAGTCCCTCCATTCAGTCTCTGGGCAGGAGCCGCATAATAAGATTCCACACACCCATACCACTCACGAAGGCCATGGGCCTTCCAGGGATCTCGGATCCCAGGCTGTTCTTCCTTGGGGGAGTGGCCTGGTTCTAAAACCAGGCCTTGAACTACATCTACAAAACATCTATTGTGGATTATTTATTATCCAAGGGGCAAGCCACTGTGCTAGACGGCTTGCAAGGCCTGCTATTGTAGAAGGTTATGAAACAAGTCAGTTTTAACGAACTTCTTTTTCTTCACCTGTACCTAGTTTCTTCCTCAGTCCTTAAAGCAGATGGAAGAGTTAAAGCCCACGTGGAGCAAATGACACTCTGTTTCTGATCTGATTCTCCCCGCCTCTTAGAGACGCTGTCTTGGTAGTGACCTGGCTGTGGGTTGTTCTGTGACTGTGTAGACCTACCTCAAAAGAGGGAAGAGGGGGGAAAAAGGGGCGAGGAGGAGATGCTTGGGTGGCCAGGCCATTGCTGGCACTCAGTCTATCTCAGTTCGTACACTGTGTTAGGTGTGACCCCAGCCCCTTGCAGGCACCCTGGGCTTCCTGCTCCAGTTCCCCTTGTTCGGCTCGGATGCACCGGGAGGCTGCTGCGCCCTCTCCGGACAGGTGCCCCGGGCCTCGCCTACACCTCACCTCCCCCTCCCACTGTACCCCCGGCCGGTGCGCGCTCTGACACTCACCGGCTGCGAGAGGCAGCGGCGACGGCGGCAGCAGCAGCAGCAACATCAGGACTACGGGCGGCAGCGGTCGCGGGTTCAGGGGGCGCACCATGGCGAGCTGTAGGCGCCGGGCTCCGCGCTCCCCTCGCTCCTCCCCTGGAGCTCTGAGAGCGGGGCTCCCTCGACCGGCACCTCCCGCCCCCGCCTCCCGCCCTCCAGCGCGACGCACACACTCTCCCACCAGGGTCCTGGGCGCCGCCCTCCAACTCCGAAGCGCGCGTCCACACCACGCGCCTCCAGCGCTGGTCCGAGGGACCGCGGGGGTGGGGGCGGGGGAGGGCCGGCGCCCCGGGAGCCGCCGGGCTTGGTGCGGAAGAGGTTGCTCTTTCCGAGGCGGCCCACCTGCTGTCTGACAAGTTCGACTAGCAAGACATTGTGGAAGCTGCCGCTGGAAACTCGCCATCTAGGAGAACCAAATATTTCTCCAAGAAAAGCACCCTTTCTCACTTTCTGGATCCCACTCACCCACACATCAAAGAACAGACACCACCACAAAAGAGATTTTGTAACAAAACTTGAACAAGCCAACACAAGGGCACTTGCATTTCTAGTATTTTTCTTAGAATTTGCACATCTATGATCTCGTTTTTTCCTCTCCTAAGTGTCTTCTAGGGTAAGATTGGGTGGTTATTAAGCTCAAGATGCTGCAAAGATGGGTCGCAGACAGGTGGAATGGCTTTGCTGGGGGAGCAGACCTGGGGCATTAGATTCCAAAATTCAGCCCCGATGGTGTCGTGAGGGAAGATGGAAGATTAAACTCTCCACTAAATAGCAGAGATTTCCTTGGACCAAAGCTCACTGAGGAAGGTGCCTGGAGAGACCATTTAGGAGCCCATCCTTTTCACATGATGAGACTTTCGGAGAGCAAGCTACTCTATCAGGATTAAACAACTAGGTAGAAACACATCTGTGCCCAGAACACAGGACGTCTACCCATAAGGATAAGGGTATTTATTGGGCCTGGGCCTGATTCCCACAAGATCCCAGGATAAAGCCAGAAGCAGAATGGCTTGGAAGAATGAGAACTAAGCAGCGCATAGAAAGAGAGAAGGAGAAGAGGGTGATGAAAGGAAGTGGAGGGTTTCATCCCCTAACCCTCTAACTTGACCCCCTCCTTACTTCCACAGCCAGCCTGGCAGAGGGCCAGCAGGGAGTACTGAGAATCGCAATATAAACCTCTGAGATTTATTGGCTGCTGCTTCTGAATATGGCCATCCTGCTGTGGCCTCTGGGGGGCATTTGCCGATGTAATCAGCCCAGAAAGAGAGTCATTCCAGCTGGGGGTGTAAATCACCCTTGGCAAAGCTAGGAGAGAGACATGTGGCCCTAGATAAGGAAGGAGACTGATGTGGCCTCTGTGCCCTTCCCTCCCTTCTCCTGCCCAGGGGGTGCTGGTTCCTGAGCTGTAATGCACTTTAAATGGAGTTTGTCCTTCGTTTTAATCTATATCTGCCCTGCCAGTTTTACAGAAGAGCTGTAAAAGTGAACATCTGGCTACTCAGCTTTTGTACAAGGCCTGTTTTCCCCCAGCTCCACCCTATCTCCATGTGCCTTTCCCAAGCCCTCCTCTCCAGAAAGGTGAGGGAACATGAAGCTGGGGGGCTACCATTAAAGGCCCCATGATGTCAGGCCCTCTACCCCATTGCCAGAGAGAAATATGCTCCAGGCACCTCATTTTCTCTCACACCTGCTATTACAGGCAGACAATCGTTTTTTGGGTTTTTTTTTTTGAAACTGACAATACTTAAGAAAGGAATTTATAAAGCAAAATGTAACAATTTCAGGCTCTTTGGGATGATAGGAAAGGGCTGAGACCCATGAACCAACAAAGATGTGAGGTGGTCAAGGGGTGTCTCCTCTGCCCTCCCCCTCCTCCAGCCCAAGCCAAATCATGTTATGGGCAGGAAGAGGGTTTGGGAAAGGAAGTTTGCTCAGGGTGCCTACTCTGATAGATACTCAGTGTCTATTCCAGGGCTGTCCCCACAGAATAGACCAAGAATGCAGTATCAAGCTGACGGGCTGGGAGCAATGACCAATCCCACCTGTAACAGGCCAGCCTTTTCATGAGAGAAAATAAAGTGTCTGGTGCATATTTCTGTCTGGGTACAGGGGTGGAGAGCCTCATATCATTGGGCCTTTAATGAGGATTGGAGAAGCTCTGCAAATAAATATGACTCCAAGACTAATATTGACAGCCCTCCAGCACACCCTCTCCACCAACCATGTCCTCTGTGACTGCCAACACCTGCTAGATAAGCAGCATTGCCCCTTGTGGACAATGACAAATGAGCCAGTCCTTTCTACAGAGATGATGTTACTCATCCATCATTCAATTCAATAATGTGTTTTGAGAATGATTATGAGCCCAGCTTTATGCTAGGTGCAAAATGATTAAGACACAAATCCTGCTCGGGGAGGGTGTTACAATCCACTGATTGCAACTCAAATGCCCAAAGACCCTGTATCTTATTCCACTTTCACTTGTAATCTCAATTTTCTCCTCTTATGGTCAGATTACATGGATTCTACCTTCTCTCAAGTCCTCTCTCTCTCCATTGAGCTTTAATTCCTGCTGCTATCCTAATCCAGGATGTTAGCAGTATAATAAATAGTTAAGACCACAAGCTTTACAGACTGCCTAGATTCAAATGCCGACACTAGCTGGATGACCTTGGGCAAGTCACTTAATTTTTCTGTGCTTCCATTTCTTCACCTGTAAAATTAAGGATAATAGTATCTATTTCACATTGTGAGGATTAAATGAGTATAGTATTTAAATGAAGGTGTAGGCTGGGCGCGGTGGCTCACGCCTGTAATCCCAGCACTTTGGGAGGCCAAGGTGGGCGGATCACGAGGTCAGGAGTTCAAGACCAGCCTGGCCAATATGATGAAACCCCATCTCTACTAAAATTACAAAGATTAGCCGGGCATGGTGGCACATGCCTGTATTCCCAGCTACTCGGGAGGCTCAGTGGGGCAGAAGAATTGCTTGAACCCAGGAGGCGGAGGTTGCAGTGAGCCAAGATCATGCTATTGCACTCCAGCCTGGGCAGTAGAGCGAGACTCCGACTCAAAAAAAAAAAAAGAAAAGAAAAAAAAAGGTGTAGCATTATACCTGGCATATAGCAAGCATCGAATAAATATCATCCCAGGTAGCATGCAGGAGTTAATTATTCTGTGTGTGAACTTGGCCAGACCCCACCACCCGACCTGCTGATTTGGAGCTGGAAGTGGCACTTTTTGCTCCTTTTGCTGAATATACTACTAGACCAGAGTGCTTGTAGGGATGGAAACAAAAAGAGCCATTTTTTATTTTTCTACCTTGTCAATTTCTTGAGGGCAGGGACTGTGTCATATTTTAACAACTGTGATACTCAGAATTGGCAACTCCAGATGCATATGTTTAAAGGAATTGGTGTTTCCTTAACCTATGCCTGAACAGAACAGGGAGAGAATCCCCCATGCCTCCTACTTTATACTCCTGATAAAGAAAGGGAAATATTCCTCCTTAATATAGTTTGGATATTTGTCCCCACCCAAATCTCATGATGAAATGTAATCCCTAATGTTGGAGGTGGGGCCTGGTGGAGGTGTCTGGATCATGGGGGTGGATCCTTCATGAATGGCTTGGGCCATTCTCTTGGGGATAAGTGAGCTGTCACTGAGTTCACAAGAGATCCAGTCATTTAAAAGTGTGTGGCACCTCCTCCCATAACTCCCTCCCTCTCTTGCTCCTGCTCTGGATATGTGACATGTCTGCTTCTCCTTCACCTTCTGACATGATTGTAAGCTTCCAGAGGCCTACCCAGGAGCTGAGCAGATGCCAACACCATGCTTCCCATAAAGCCTGCAGAACCATGAGCTAATTAAGCTTCTTTTCCTTATAAATTGTTCAGTCTCCCAGGCAAGCATGGTGGTCAGCCAGGCATGGTGGTGTCGGCCTGTAGTCCCAGCTACTTGGGAGGCTAAGGCAGAGGTTGCAGTGAGCCAAGATCATGCCACCACACTATAGCCTGGGTGACACAGTGAGACCCTGTCTCCAAAAAAAAAAAAAAGCCGGGCGCGGTGGCTCACGCCTGTAATCCCAGCACTTTGGGAGGCCGAGATGGGCGGATCATGAGGTCAGGAGATTGAGACCATCCTGGCTAACACGGTGAAACCCCATCTCTACTAAAAATGAAAAAAAAAAATTAGCCTGACGTGGTGGCGGGCACCTGTAGTCCCAGCTACTCGGGAGGCTGAGGCAGGAGAATGGCATGAACCCAGGAGGCAGAGCTTGCAGTGAGCTGAGATCATGCCACTGCACTCCAGCAGGGGTGACAGAGCAAGACTCTGTCTCAAAAAAAAAAAAAATTACCCAGTCTCAGGTATTTTTTTTCTTTTTCTTTCTTCCTTTTTTTTTTTTTTTTTTTGAGACAGGGTCTCACTCTACTGCCCAGGCTGGAGCACAGTGGTGCAATCATGGCTCACCACAGCCTCAACTTCACATGCTCTAGTGATCCTCCCACTTCAGCCTCTCAAGTAGGTGGGACTACAGGTGCACACCACCACACCTGGCTAATTTTTAAAAATTATTCGTAGAAGGCCAGACGCAGTGGCTCATGCCTGTAATCCCAGCACTTTGAGAAGCCAAGGCAGGTGGATCACCTGAGGTCAGGAGTTTGGGACTAGCTTGACCAACATGGTGAAACCCTGTCTCTATTAAAAATACAAAAAAATTAGCCAGGCATGGTGGCAGGCGCCTGTAATCCCAGCTACTTGGGAGGCTGAGACAGGAGAATCACTTGAACCCGGGAGGCGGAGGTTGCAGTAAGCCAAGATTGTGCCATTGCACTCCAGCCTGGGCAACAAGAGCAAAACTCCATTTTTTTTTTTTGAGACGGAGTTTCGCTCTTGTTGCCCAGGCTGGAGTGCAACGGCGCGATCTCGGCTCACTGCAACCTCCGCCTCCCAGCTCTCAGGTTCAAGTGATTCTCCTGTCTCAGCCTCCCAGGTAGCTGGGATTACAGGCACATGCCACCATGCCCGGCTAATTTTTGTATTTTTAGTAGAGATGGGGTTTCATCATATTGGTCAGGCTGGTCTCGAACTCCTGACCTCAGGTGAGCCGCCCGCCTTGGCCTCCCAAAGTGCTGGGATTACAGGCGTGAGCCACCGCACCCAGCGAAACTCCATCTTAAAAAAAAAAAATTCTTCGTAAAGACAGGGTTTCACCATGTTGCCCAGATGGTCTCAAACTCCTAGGCTCAAGTGATCCTCCAGCCTCAGTTTCCCAGTGTTAGGATTACAGGGTATTTCTTTATAGCAAAGGAAGAATGGCTTAATACATTCCCTTCTCTATGGCAGAGGTCACCCAGGTCCTGGGCTGAGATTGACAAGAAGCAATTGCAAAAAAAAAATTTATGTATATTTTTTGAGACAGAGTCTCCCTCTGTCACTTAGGTTGGAGTGCAGTGGTGCAATCTCAGCTCACTGCAACCTCCACCTCCCGGGTTCAAGCAATCCTCCCACCTCAGCCTCCTGAGTAGCTGGGACTACAGACATGCACCACTGCACCTGGCTAATTCTTAAATTTTCTGTAGAGACAGAGGTCTGACTATATTGCCCAGGCTGGTCTCAAACTCCTGGATTCAAGCAATCCTCCCACCTCAGCCTCCCAAAGTACTGGGATTATAGGCTTAAGCCACCGCACCTAGCCCAAGAAGCAGGTTTTTGTTTGTTTTTGATACAGAGTCTTGCTGTTGTCACCCAGGCTGGAGTGCAATGGTGTGATCTTAGCTCACTGCAACCTCCACCTCCCAGGTTCAAGTGATTCTCCTGCCTCAGCCTCCTGGTAGCTGGAATTACAGGTGCCTGCCACTACTCCTGGCTAATTTTTTTTTTTTTTTTTTTTGAGACAGAGTCTCCGTCACCAGGCTGGAGTGCAGTGGCCCAATCTTGGCTCACTGCAACCTCCACTTCCTGGGTTCAAGCACTTCTCCTGCCTCAGCCTCCCGAGTAGCTGGGTATTTTTAATAAAGACGGGGTTTCACCATGTTGGCCAGGATGGTCTCGATCTCCTGACCTCGTGATCTGCCCACCTTGGCCTCCCAAAGTGCTGGGATTACAGGTGTGAGCCATCATGCCTGGCCTGTTTGTATTTTTAGTAGAGATGGGGTTTCACCACATTGGCCAGGCTCCTCTCAAACTCTTGACCTCAGGTGATCCACCCTCCTCAGGCTCCCAAAGTGTTGGGATTATAGGCATGAGCCACAGCGCCCAGCCTCGAGAAGCAGTTTTTAGCTCAAAACATTTCTGTTCAATATTTCTTTACCTCCTGATGAATAAATACCAGTGCAAGGACACCAATGCCGAGCACACCCCCTACATAGCCTCATACTGAGGTCTCTGGGCTGGGGTTTTAGTGCCTGCTCATATCCTTATCTCTCAAGCCAAAGCAACCCTTATGGCCCTAAATTCTCAAGAGCTTACCATTGAGGCTCTTATAGATTTAACACCCAATACAGGGCCAACTCTGGAAAGGCACAGTGGTTTTTTTTTTTTAGACAGGGTCTTGCTGTCATCCAGGCTAGAGTATAGTGGATGGATCATAGTTCAATGCAACCTCAACCTCCTGGGCTGAAGCCATCCTCCTGCCTGACCCTCCCCAGTAGCTATGACTACAAGTGTGCACCACCATGCCCAGCTAAGTTGATTTTTATTCTATAGAGATGGGGTCTTGCTATGTTGCCCAGGCTGGTCTTAAACTCCTGGTCTCAAGGGATCCTCCCACTTTGGCCTCTTAAAGTGCTAGGATTACAGATGTGAGTCACTGCACCTGGCCAGGCACACTGTTCTTTGATGAAGGTTTGGTAACAGCAAAATCCATGAAGTGGACAGGCTCTGGAGCCATACTGTCTTGGGTCAAATCCCTACTCCACCATTAATTAGCTTTGAGATCTTATTACTTGACTAGGTGCAGTGGCTCACGCCTGTAATCTCAGCACTTTGGGAGGCTCCAATTGAAGACTAGAGCTCAGATTGCCTCCATGAAAGTTAGAAGGGAGAGGGCTGGGTGCGGTGGCTCACAACTGTAATCCCAGCACTTTGGGAGGCTGAGGCCGATGGATCATGAGGCCAGGAGTTCGAGACCAGCCTGGCCAACATGGTGAAACCCCTTCTCTACTAAAGATACAAAAAATTAGCCGGGCATGGTGGTACATGCCAGTAGTCCCAGCTACTCAGGAGGCTGAGGCAGAATCGCTTGAACCTGGGAGGCAGAGGTTGCAGTGAGCCGAGATCGCGCCACTACACTCCAGGTTGTTAACAGAGCGAGACTGTGTCTCCAAAAAAAAAAAAAAAATTCAAATTAGAAAAAAAAATGCAGGCCAGGCGCGGTGGCTCACGCCTGTAATCCCAGCACTTTGGGAGGCCGAGGTGGGCGGATCATGAGGTCAGGAGATCAAGACCATCCTGGCTAACATGGTGAAACCCCGTCTTAACTAAAAAATAAAAAAAAAATTAGCCGGGCATGGTGGTGGGTGCCTGTAGTCCCAGCTACTCGGGAGGCTGAGGCAGGAGAATGGTGTGAACCCAGGAGGCGGAGCTTACAGTGAGCCGAGTTCACGCCACTGCACTCCAGCCTGGGCGACAGAGTGAGACTCCGTCTCAAAAAAAAAAAAAAAAAAAAAGAAAAGAAAAAAATACAAAAATTATCCAGGTGTGGTGGCAGATGCCTGTAGTCCCAGCTACTTGGGAAGCTGAGGTGAGAGGATTGCTTGAGCCTAGGAGGTGGAAGTTTCAGTGAGCTGAGATTGTACCACTGCACTCCAGCCTGGGCAACAAGTGAGACCCTGTCTCAAAAAAAAATAAAATAAAATAAAAAAGAGTTAATCCCTCTGTTCCTCAATTTCTTTATCTTCATAAAGAAATGCTCATAATAATGAATACCTCTTTCACAGGCTTGTGAAAATTAAATTAGTGTGTATTTATATAGGAGTTTATATATATATATATATATATATATATATATATATATATATATGAGTTTAGAGATAGCCTTGTATACAGTAAGCACCTGAAAAATGTTAGCTACTATTGTTATTCCTGAAAATAACATGAATCAAATCATATAGTCCCTATACAATGAGAGGATATTACAAGAAATCAGTGGGCTTATATTAGGCCAGGCGTGGTGGCTCACGCCTGTAATCCCAGCACTTTGGGAGGCCGATGTGGGTGGATCACGAGGTCAGGAGTTCAAGACTAGCCTGACCAACATGGTGAAACCCTGTCTCTACTAAAAATACAAAAATTAGCCAGGCGTGGTGGTGCATGCCTGTAATCCCAGCTACTCGGGAGGCTGAGGCAGGAGAATTGCTTGAACCCGGGAGGTGGAGGTTGCAGTGAGCTGAGATCGCGCCACTGCACTTCAGCCTGGTGACAGAGCAAGACTCTGTCTCAAATAAAATAAAATAAAATAAAAAATACCAAAAAATGTTGACTTGGGTGAAAATACAATTTTCCATGAGGAAGATAATTAAGCCTTAGTGTTTTGTTTTGCAACTCAGATTTTCCACTTAAGACTACTGACTAGTGGGCACATGTACATCAATCTCTATCTATGTTGGGACTTGGTTCTAGCCTTCTGGGGAGAATTATCAGGAAATGGAAATGACCCACTAGGGTAGGCAGTGAGTTAAGGACCTCTCCTCACACTTCGAAGAGGTGCTTCAAGCAGTTTTCTTTTCTGGCTACTAGGAATTCCTATAGGGGCACGTGTGTGGGTGGGGCAGAGGAGCAGCATCTTTCCTTTGGCCATCTCCACCTAACGTAGCAGCAGCTTTTCTCTTTCCCCTAGACCTTCTGGGCTTTGAGTTCAAGGGATTAGGGAGAAGGCCACAGAGACAGCTTCCTTTTTGACAGACAGGCAGTAGCTAGGAATGGAAGCTACAGACTTCAGCAGGATGGCTTGGAGAAAACAGCAGTGCCCTCTGCTGTGAAGCATGCATGTGACACTCTAGGGCAAGAGCATGTGCAAACCTTGTCAAATAAAAAAATTAAAAGCCAGTCCAACCACTCAGGCACGTGCATGGGCCGCCCTATGGCTACAACCCCCCTTCCCTCCCACTCACTTTAAAAAAGTGTCTCTGTTCCAGAGCCTGGGAAGAGGGTATGTTTGTCTCTGTTCTGTCTCAGCCTAGGCTGTAGAGGGCTTCGTCCTGTTCCGTCCTGGGCTATCAGTCCTACTAGGTTAATACCAGAGAATGACAATGTTCAGTCAGTTCTACTGCCACCCAAGACCAAGTAGTGCCACACCTTACTACAGATAAAGGCCTATTCATATTAAAAAGCTCCAAGAAAGGAAACCCTGGCATACTGCAGAAGAGTACAGTTAAAAAATCTTCCTGAAGTCTAATGGATCTTGCTTTGTTTTATTCCTATCTTCATATATCACAAATCTCTACTTCCAACCATCCTAAATCCTAAAACTTGTCTTTGTGAGACGTGAAATGGAGTGGAGAAAAGACTTAAAAGTCAAAACCCCCCTAAGGCTATAGATAGGGAACTTTTTTTTTTTTTTTTTGAGATGGAGTCTTGCTTTGACACCCAGGCCGGAGTGCAGTGAAAAATCTTGTTCACTGCAACATCTGCCTCCCAAGTTGAAGTGATTATCCTGCCTCAGTCTCCCGAATAGCTGGGATTACAGGCAGCCACCACGATGCCTGGCTAATTTTTGTATTTTTAGTATAGACGAGGTTTTGCCATGTTAGCCAGGGTGGTCTTGAACTCCTGACCTCAGGTGTTCCGCCAGCCTCAGCCTCCCAAAGTGCTGGGATTACAGGTGTGAGCCACTGCCAAGAGGGAACCTTTGAGCCCAGCTGAGATCTGTCATTTGCCTTAGAGAATGTCTAGATACCACATGCTGCTGAGTCTGTGGTGCACTTTTAGTAACGCATACCATGGAATGATCTAGGAAAGGAAAGCCCAGGACATTGCTGAAGAAAACTGTTTGAAAGGCTTACCTTAATTCCAGAGCATTGGTTCATTTTTTTTTTGAGATGGAGTCTTACTCTGTTGCCCAGGCTAGAGTGCAGTGGATTTTGGCTCACTGCAACCTCCACCTCCTGAGTTCATGCAATTCTCCTGCCTCAGCCACCCTAGTAGCTGGGATTACAGGTGTGTGCCACCATGCCTGGTTAATTTTTGTATTTTTTTTAGTAGAGATGGGGTTTCACCATGTTGGTCAGGCTGGTCTCGAACTTCTGACGTCAAGTGATCTGCCTGCCTTGGCCTCCCAAAGTGCTGGGATTACTGAGCACTGGTTCTTAAGCCTTACCATGTATTAGAATTAACTGAAAAGGGAGATTTTTAAAACCCAGATTTCTGTGCCCTAACCTCACAAGTTCTGATTTAAGAGGTCTGGGGTGAGGCCTGAACATCTGTATTTCAAACAAGTTCAGATGATGTTGATGATCTAGGGTCCAAACTTTGAGAATTACTGGTTGTTTGGTATTTGTTTTTTGAGACAGTCTCTCTCTGTTGCCCAGGCTGGAGTGCGGTGGCACGATCTCATTGCAACCTTCACCTCCTGAGTTCAAGCGATTCTCCTGCATCAGCTTCCTGAGTAGCTGGGACTACAGGCACACGCCACCATGCCTGGCTAATTTTTGTATTTTTAGTAGAGATAGGGTCTCACCATGTTGGCCTCGAACTCCTGACCTGAAGTGATCCACCCGCCTCGGCCTCCCAAAGTGCCAGGATTACAGGTGTGAGCCACGGCCTAAGAATTACTGGTTTAGAGAAAAGCATGTTGGCCTCAGCTATGAATAAAGATAGTATGTCTGAAGTAGTCTAACTTGGTGATCTCCTCTGTAGACAGATCTTCTAGGAGCAGGCTAGGCTCACAATCACACCTCTCATTCTGTAGTGTTTATTTTTCCATTTTTAAAAAAGAAAGAGGGGGAAACAAAGAAGGAAAATACAAAGAAAGAAGGTAGACAACGCTCTTGCATAGCCCGAAGCCCAGAGAGAAAGAGTTGGCTGGCTTGTGAGAAGACATGAGGAGTTGGGAAAAGGAATGCCAGAGTTCCCTGAACCAATACAAATCTCTATGCAACTCAAGGCTGCCTTATAGAGCCAGCTCCAGGACTCTGCCACCAGCTTTCAGCTCTGCTGAAACCTAATCCATTCCCAGGCCTGGATACAAGTTGGTAGCCTGTTGGTTTGCAGAGACATCTTTTAATAATCTTGGGTTTGGCCATCCAGAAGGCCTCTTTCTGCTCAGGGTTTCTGCAGTGTCTTTTGGTGACTTGTTAGCAGCCAGTGGCTGGAATGTTATCATGGGCTCATGTCCTTCACCAGAAGGGCAATCTGCTCCCGCAGCTGCCGCTCCCCTTCCTGCACTTTGCTCTGGCTTCGACACCTCAGCAACTCAGTCTTGTGGTCCTGATGATGCATAGGGCAGTAGCTCTGTGGTTCACACAGTTCCTGAAAGGTAAGGAACAGAGTAAGGGATTCTCTAGACTCCTGAACTCTACCTATGAAGGATAATAGAGATGCTGCTGCTGGCAGTGGCTAAGGAGGAGCAGCAGTTTCTTCTCTGAAGGCTTTGCAGGCCCTGGGAGTTGAGTTGTTAAAGTTTGGCTCCCCGCATGCCCCACCCTTTACCATATATTCTGGAAAGAAGTCTCTGTAGCCGCCTTTAAGGATATATAGCTCTGGGTAGTACAATGCAGGATACTGGTTCAGAGACCTGTCCTCTTCACGCAGACAGCGGCACCTTTAGAGAGAACCCAGAGATGGGTGGGGTGGAAAGAAACAAGGTCAGGATCCCAGGGGCCATTCACTGGGGAGGGGGGAGAGGAGTAGACTATTGCCAACCTCAAAAAGGACTTTCCAATCTCCCTGTGTTTGCAAAAAAAGGTCCAAGTAGTACCACCCTTCCTCCTTTCCTCCACTGCAGCCTCATTCTCAATCCCTTTTCCTTTATTGTTTCAAACTTTTCAATTTTAGAAACGTCTTCCTTCAACCTCCCTAACATTCTTCAAACTGTAGAATCCAGTCAGTCTCTGTCTGAACTGGTGTGGGAAGTCCAACTCAAAATCCATTTCCATCACCCGCCAGACCCCATTTAGACACTCACATTCGGGGGCCCCTCTCTGAGGAGAATTCACAGTGGAACACGATGATTATTCTCTTCTGGGTGTCCAAAGGGACGATGGGCTTCTTCAGAAAGAAGTTAAACAGTTCTTCCTGACTATATAAGTTTAAGGCTCCCTGTAGAAGAAGAATTTTAGTAAGTATTTCCTCAGGGGCTTATAGACAGTGCCAATACTTAGAAATGACTGAGACGCCAACCTGGGATAATGTGGACCAGAAAAGCTGGACTATAAGCACCTTTAGGGCAGGGGTCTAAGTATATCTCTGTATATACCCTGAACGCCTGGCATAGAGCTTGTAGATGGTCAATAAATGTTTATAGACCTGAACCACTGGAAGTATAGAGATCACTGCGAGGAATGTTCATGAATAGTAAGTGTTTGCAAAGTGCTTCAGTCCTTGGATTAATGTTTTTATTTCTAGGTAGGACCCCTTGGCTCCTACAGAAAAGAGGGAGATAGATCTAGGAGGGAAAGGGAAAGTAACCTGCTTAAGGTATACAGAATTAAAACAATGAGGACCTCAGCCTTGAGGTGCTTCAAATATGTAATCTTTGTCCTGACTCTAGAGTTCATAGACCCCTTTGTCCACAGACTCTTCTCAATAAAGAGTTATCTCCAGCCCTCCCCTACTAATGGCCACAATGTCGTCTCACCTGGATGTGTCCTCCCAGATACTCATATGGATAGCGACAATCAATGACATAAAACTTCTCAATCAGACCCTGGAACTTCCCCGACAGTAAGGCAGCCACCTGGACAGAAACAATGACTGAATATTCTGCTCACTGCCACTCTGAGGGAGAGAAGGGTCAATGACACAGTTCCTTACAAGCATACTCCTGTTCTGTCCACTGTATGTCCAGCCTCCAAAGTCACCCCATATTTGATATGTGGCAATGATTCAGCCCCACTCCACAAAAGAGAATGAAACAGGAAGTGGCCCTTTTAGAGAACCAAAATAGCTGGCACTGACAAGATACCAAGGAAAACCATATTCAGGCTACCCATCTGGGGATAGGCATGGCTGGACTCAGGAGATGCCCAAGGACTTCTGCAGTGGCAGAGGCAGCAGCTAGAGAGCTTGAAATTGCAGGAAGAAATGCAAAATGGTTCCCTACCCACCATCAAAAAGGAAGAAAGTAAGTCTTTCAGGAAAGGATATGGAAGGGAAAGGTTGATACCTAAAGGAAGGAAGAAACTGAAGCTACTTGTAGGAGTGCAAATTGGTTCAGCCTTTCTGAAGGGAACTTTGTAAATACATATACAAATAAATGTAATCACACTTTGACTCAGCAATTTCTAACATCTTAAGTAAACAGGAAAAGTACACAAAGATGTAGGCACAATTATATTCATCTCAGCATTGTTTTATATTATCAATATATTAGAAATAACTTCAATATTCAATAATAGGGGTTTGGTAAAATAAATTGTACATGTCAGTAGAATAGAGCGGCATTATATAGCCATTAAAATGATAATATAGATACCTTATTGATATAGAAAGATGTCTATAATGTCTCACTAAGCAAATTGCAATACTATACGTTCATCATGATCCTTTTTTTTTGTTTTTTGAGATGGAATTTCGCCCTTGTTGCCCAGGCTGGAGTACAATGGTGCCATCTTGGCTCACCGCAACCTCTGCCTCCCGGGTTCAAGCAATTCTCCTGCCTCAGCCTCCCGAGTAGCTGGGATTACAGGCATGCGCTACCACACCCAGCTAATTTTATATTTTTAGTAGAGACGGGGTTTCTCCATGTTGGTCAGACTCGTCTCGAACTCCCAACCTCAGGTGATTCGCCTGCCTTGGCCTCTCAAAGTGCTGGGATTACAGGTGTGAGCTGTGCTAGGCCCATGATCCCATTTCTATAAAACATATGCTAGAATAAAATCTGGGGCTGGGCGCAGTGGCTCACACCTGTAATCCCAGCACTTTGGGAGGCTGAGGAGGGTGGATCACCAGAGGACAGGAGTTTGAAACCAGCCTGACCAACATAGTAAAACCCCGTCTCTACTAAAAATACAAAAATTAGTCGGTGTGATGGCTGGCACCTGTAATCCCAGCTACTTGGGAGGCTGAGGCAGGAGAATGACCTCCGGGAGGCAGAGGTTGCAGCAAGCCGAGATTGTGCCATTGCACTCCAGCCTGGGCAACAAGAGCGAAACTCCATGTCTAAAAATAAAATAAAATCTGGAAGGCCATAGGAAAATATGACTAGTGGTTATCTCTGGTGATGAGATTGTGGGTATGGTGACCAAATAATTTTTGTACAAACTGGGAGACTTTTGAGAATGAAAGCAAACACTATTAATAATTACCCTCACTAATAGATGAAAATGGGATTGTAAAATGTAAACGAGGGTGCATGGTCACCCTAATTGAGACCTTAATTGAGACCATTTCTTGTGTGTGATTTTTTATTTTCCTTTCTTTCTCCCTTTTTTCTTAAGTAATTATTATTTTTTGAGACAGTCTCGCTGTGTCGCCCAGGCTGGAGTACAGTGGCACGATCTCTGCTCACTGCAACCTCCCCAACTGGGGTTCAAGCAATTCTTGTGCTTCAGCCTCCCAAGTAGCTGGGATTATAGGCACACATTACCACGCCTGGTTAATTTTTTTGTATTTTTATTAGAGATGGGGTTTCGCCATGTTGGCCAGGGTGGTCTCGAATTCCCTGCCTCAAGTGCCTGAGATCTGCCTGCCTCAGCCTCCCAAAATGCTAGGATTTCAGGCGTGAGCCACCATGCCTGACCCCTCCCTTTTTCCCTTTTACAAAAACTATGTATCATTTGTTTAACTAAAAACGAAGGAGAGAGAAGAATGGGGAAAAAAATGAGTCCTTCAATATAACTTCAGTTGAATAAGGAGCCTGTGTGAGTGAACACAGTGAAAGAAATACAAATGGAAATGGGCATTTTAGGGACAGAAGAGACCAGATGGTAGCTTATGTAACCAGTTACCATCTCCAGAAATCTGCTTACTGTTTCTGGGTTGACATACTTCAGATCTTGGTGTTTCCCTGACACGGTTGGCAGCGCACATACCTAGAAATACACAAGAGCTGAAATAACAGCAAGTATTCCACACCCAAGTTTGAGATCAAAGACCCTTATTTTGTCCTTCTTTCCAAGTGACCCTTAAAACCCCAGAGGCCTTCAAAAAAATCAGTGTCTCTATAAAGTGCATATACATCAAGTCCATTTCTAAGAACTGATCCTAAAGAACAAATCAAGGATGTGTACGAAGTTTTAGATTTCTCTACAAATATATTCATCTTGGTATCATTCATAAGAAAAAATTGTAAAACCAAATATCTTACAAGAAGGGATTTATGAAGAAATTATGAGCAGCCAAAAAAAAAAAAAAAAGAAATAATATGGAGCTATTAAAATGAAATGGGCTGGGCATGGTGGCTCATGCCTGTAACCTCAGTGCTTTGGGAAGCCAAGGAGAGAGAGGATTTCTTGAGGCCAGGAGCTCGAGGCTGAAGTGAGCTATGATCATGCCAATGTACTCCAGCCTGGGCAACAGATCAAGACCTTGAATCTTAAAAAAAGAAAGAATGAAGCATAACTGCTTATTAATATGAAAAAAGATGCCCCTGATATAATTATTAAATGAGAGGAAAAACAACAGATAACAAAACAATATAAACTGTTTTTGTAGAAAAGCAAAAACTGTATTTGTATATGTGTTTGTGAAAACACAGAAAAAAATCTGTAAGAATATGTACCTTCTGCAATTACACAGACAGTAGGGGGGAAAAAAAGAGTATATACTAAGCAATATTACCCTGGTTAATAAAGTTTGGGATAAATTTCTTCATTTTCTACTTTTTCTGTAACAACCAAGTATTATTTACATAATTTTAAAATATGTTTTTAAACAGAAAAAAGGTAAAAAGTCTCATACTTTCCCCTGTTCTGGATCTTCCCAGAAGAATAAGAAATACTTTCTCTCTGGAAAGGCTTAGGGCCTGGATCTACCACTAGAGCACTGTCAGGTTACCAAAGAGTACTTGGTGAGGATGCATATTTACACCAGGCATTCTCGGCAAACAGAGAAGATTCAGATCCAAAATGACTCACTGAAATACAGGATGGGTGTAGCCAAACTCACCTTGGAAAAATCACCAATCAGGTGCCCCTGGTTAGAATCTTCCTCCAGCATCTGAGTGATAGTAATGTCACACAGAGAGACTGTCTTCTTTAAACATAAGCCCTGAAGATGACAAGATTCCCACCCCACACCCAATCCTCATGTTAAAGGTTTAAAAACCAGTGGATGGAGTGGGCCATGGTGGCGCACATCTGTAATCCTAGCTACATGGGAGGCTGAGGTAGGGAGATCACTTGAGCCCAGGAGGCCAAGGCTATAGTGAGCTACGATTGCACCACTGCACTCCAGTCTGGGAGACAGAGTGAGACTCCATTTGTTTATTTATTATTTTTAATAATAAATAAATATTGAGGCTGCAGTGAGTCAAGACCATGCCACTGCAATCCAGCCTGGGTGACAGAGTGAGACCCCATCTCAGGGGAAAATAAATAAATAAATAAATAAGTTGATTTTATAAAATATCCAAAGATTTTAGAATTTTAATTTTTTATTTTATTTTTTTTTATTAGAGATGGGGTCATGCTATATTGACCAGGCTGGTCTTGAACTTCTGACCTTAAGTGATCCTCCCATCTATTTAATTTTTTTAAAGTTGGGGAGGGTAAAGGACAAAGGCTAAGTTTTTCAGAAGTTGCTTTCCACAAAACCAACCTGCTATATGATGTTGTTTCTGTCAGACTGCATGTAAAACAGCAGTAAAATATCCATACCAAAGTTCCCTTGTATTCTTTCAGATCTTAAGAAAAAGGGTTGGGAAGACGGTATGATGACAACATTTCTCTTTTTTTTTTTTTTTTTGAGACGGAGTCTTGCTCTGTTGCCCAGGCTGGAGTGCAGTGGCACAATCTTGGCTCACTGCAACCTCCACCTCCCGGGTTCAAGCGATTCTCCTGCCTCAGCCTCCTGAGTAGCCGGGACTACAGGCACATGCTGCCACGCCCAGCTGATTTCTTGTATTTTAGTAGAGACGGGGTTTCACCGTGTTGCCCAGTCTGGTCTTGAACTCCTGAGCTCAGGCAATCCGCCCGCCTCGGCCTCCCAAAGTGCTAGGATTATAGGCGTGAGCCACTGCACCCGGCCTATGACAACATTTCTAAAAGTACAATATAGATATACTTTATGTATCTATGTTATATAAATATTTTATATATATATATATATTTCACGTGGATACAGATGTAGAAAAGACAGAAAGATGGAAAGAACAAAGAGGAAAAAGTAAAAGTAAAGAGGAAGAAGACAAAAAAGGCATAATAAAACAATCCTCATACCAGAAAAGCAAAGACATGAGATAGAAGATGAACAAGATTTTCATCTTAAAAAGTTCTTACCTTCCTGAGCTTTCCTTGGCCAGAAAAATACTTTTTTTTAACTTTATCTGGTATTGTGTTGTCCTTGAATTTTTCCACCTGCTTCAGTCTTGGCCTGTTCAAGTTCTCTGGCATCGACGGGGAGCGATATAGGCCACTTCTGCTCACCTGTTTGGGAATATTAAACCCCCTAGTTCTTACTCCTCCAAGTGTGTCTGCAGACCTGCAGCAACAACATCTCCTGGGAGCTTCTTTGAAATGCAGGTTTCCAGATGTTAGGCCACACCCCAAACCTACTGAATTAAAATCTGCATTTTAACAAGATGCCCAGGTGATTTCTCAAGTTTGAGAAGCCTTGGGTAGGCAACCTGTCTTCATAGGCCCGTTAATATCTTTCTACCTGGACTGCATGATATTCCATCTCCATGGACGTCTTAACTAGCCAAACCAAATTCTGCAGCTGACTGTCTTAGATGCACCAGTTCTTCTAACAGAAAGCAAACACAAGCTCAGTCCCTCCAGTTATGTGACCAAAAAAAAAAAAAAAAAAAAAAACATAAGTCCATTTTGTCTCTGGGATCCTAGGACATTGACAATCAGGATTTAAGGACCTCAACAAACCTAAAGATGAAAAGCCAAGAAGAAAAATAGCAAAAGAAGCATCATGCAAGAAAAAAGGACACACTAAAATCAAATAGCATGCTGACCATTATAGGATGGATACTATGAAACCCATCAGGGAAAAAAAAGTGGCTCAAACGTCATGAAGAACTAGCCTTGAGAATTGCTTACACAGGAACAGATTAAAGTATAAGAGGATAGACTGTTGTTTATTTGAAAGGCATGGTTTGGGTGCTATATTCAGAGTTGAGGGTCTATCAAATGACCTCTGATAACACCTTCCAACTAATCCACAATTCTATCCTCTGTTGCCACATACTTTGAGATCTCTACCTCTCACCTAGAGAACAGGCAAAAGCTCCTTCTCTAAACACTTATCGCACTACCTGTTATGGACTGATTTAGGAGGGGGGCTATACAATAAGAGAGCCATAACTGGAAGGCAGCTTGATGATCAATGGTTTCTGGAAGAACGAAATAAGAATAACAACATTTTGCTTTATGACAGCTATGGATATTATGTTGTTTATCACACACATGGTCCTACCTCTTGTTCGTGATACCAGCTGATGGTACCGTCCACATTATACGTACCCTTAGACTCCTTCCAAACATCGCCCTATGTCCCCATCCACCCTACCCCCCAGACACTGATGACTGGACCATATTGCTGGTTGAACACATCTATTTAGTGGTCTAGAATAAGCAAAAATAATCTAGGCCAATCAGGTTCCCTCTCTTGGTTGCCTAACTTGGAAGATGGAGAAATAATTAGGCAGTAGCAGAAGCCAAAGCCCAAAAGGAAGAAGCCAAGAGATACAGTCAAGGCCACGAAGCCAGTGATGCATGAATGGATCAACCAAAGGTAGGGTAGGAAAGGAGATATGGTGAGGCACTGAGGAGTAGGGTGCCTGGTCTCCATGACAGACAGGACTTCATATAACTTCAATTTTCCCCTGAGAAGGCAGGGGAAAGCTAGATGAGGATTTCAAAAGGGGCTTCTCTAGAACACACCATAATAATTATGCTAAGAGCCATATTACTAAGAGTTTGGAATTAATTAGCTAATTGAAACTTATCTTTTTTTTTTTTTTTTTGAGATAGGGTCTCGCTGTCACTCTGGTTGGAGTGCAGTGGCACAATCTTAGCTCACTGCAACCTCTGCCTCTCAGGCTCAAGCGATCCTCCCAACTCAGCCTCCTGAGTAACTGGGACTACAGATGCGCATCACCATGCCCAGCCAATTTCTGTATTTTTTATAGAGAGAGGGTTTTACCATGTTGTCCAGGCTGGTCTCGAACTCCCGGGCTTAAGTGATCCATCCGCCTTGGCCTACCAAAGTGCTGGGTTTACAGGCATGAGCCACCACGCCCAGTCTGTATCCATTTTTAAGCATTGTATCTAATAAATTTTTGCCAACTCAAGGTCACAAAAATTGTCTCCGTTTTCTTTGGATTTTTTTTTTTTTTTTTTTGAGACAGAGTCTCACTCTGTCGCCCAGGCTGGGGTGCAATGGCATGATCTCGGCTCATTGCAACCTCCGCCTCCCAGGTTCAAGTGATTCTCCTTGCCTCAGCCTCTGGAGTAGCTGGCATTACAGGTGCTGACTACCATGCTTGGCTAATTTTTTTTTTTTTTTTGAGATGGAGTCTAGCTCTGTCACCCAGGCTAGAGTGCAGTGGCACGATCTCGGCTCATTGCAACCTCTACCTCCCAGGTTTCAGCAATTCTCCTGCCTCGGCCTCCCGAGTAGCTGGGATTACAGGTGCCTGCCACCATGCCCAGCTAACTTTTGTATTTTTAGTAGAGACGGGGTTTCACCGTGTTGGTCAGGCTGGTGTCGAACTCCTGACCTCGTGATCCATCCACCTCAGCCTCCCAAAGTTCTGGGATTACAAGTGTGAGCCACCGTGCCCAACCACTCAGCTAATTTTTTTTTTTTTTTTTTTTTTTGAGACAGAGTCTTGCTCTGTCACCCAGGCTGGAGTGCAGTGGCGCGACCTCAGCGCACTGCAAGCTCTGCCTCCCGGGTTCATGCCATTCTCCTCCCTCAGCCTCCTGAGTAGCTGGGACTACAGGCGCCCGCCACCATGCCCAGCTAATTTTTTGTATTTTTAGTAGAGATGGGGTTTCACCATCTTAGCCAGGATGGTCTCGATCTTCTGACCTCATGATCTGCCCGCCTCGGCCCTCCAAAGTGCTGGGATTACAGGCATGAGCCACCGCGCCTGGCCCCGCTCAGCTAATTTTCCTATTTTTAGTAGAGATGGGGTTTCACCATGTTGGTCAGGCTGATCTCGAACTCCTGACCTCAGGTGATCCACCAGCCTCGGCCTCCCAAAGTGCTGGGATTACAGGCATGAGCCACTGTGCCAGGCCTTTCTTCAGATGCTTTATGGTTTAAGGTTTTAGATTTGGAGCTATGATCCATTTTGTGTTAATTTTAATATATGATGTACGGTATGGGTTAAAGTACTTTTATCTTTTAACGTATGGATTTCCAATTGCTCCAGCACAATTTGTTAAAAAGACTGTACTTTCTCCATTTGATTATTTTGTATCTTGGCTGAATTACCAGTTACATATATGCATAGGTCTATTTCTCAAATCTCTATTCCCTTGTTTCAATGTTTTAGGTTTCTGGTAGCTAATATAGTGATAATTAAGGTGATTAACATCTGCATATAGTCCAAGGACAAGATGTCAAAAATAAATGATAGCAGAAAACTACTTTCGCAAACAGAAACAGCTACTTCAGCGGCCAGGCATGGTAGCTCACACCTGTAATCCCAACACTTTGAGAGGCCAAGGTGAGTCCAAATCGCTTGAGTCCAGTAGTTCAAAACCAGCTTGGGCAACATGGTGAAACCTTGTCTCTACAAAAAATACAATAATTAGCCAGATATGGTAGCGTGCACCTGTAGTCCCAGCTACTTGGGAGGCTGAAGTGGAAGGATCGATTGAGCCCAGGATGTTGAGGCTGCAGTGAGCTGTGATCATGCCACTGCATTCCAGCCTGGGTGATAGTGCAAGATCCTGTCTTCTCTTAAGAAAAAAAAAAAAAAGGAAAGAGCAAGCTACTTCTTTCCTATACACTTACATGAAAATAAATGTCAACTGATTGCAAAGGATATAAGTGCTAGGCCATGGAGAGATAATGAAGATGGTACTTTAGTTCTGTCTAGCTAGTTAGAAGTTTCCCAGTTCCCAGAAGCTGGTGTGGGAAGATCCCAGGATCATCTGGCTTAGATAGCATTCAACATCTACCCATTTTCAATCTTTAAGGAATCACCAGAGAGTTTCCAAATATGGGAGTTTTTAAACACTGAGAAAGCCAAAAAGAAGGGAGGAAAACTTACTAGATTCAACCTGCAGATTCTATTAAAAGGCTTAATTAAATAATTATTATTTTATAAACTGAATTGAATAATTATTATTTTATAAACTGGCCTACACACTCTTGAGTACACATAAGCCAGCCCGGCTTCTGTCTGCACCACTCTTCTGCTCTTGTCAAGGCTATCAACAGCCTTCATGTTGCAGCATCTGACAGTCACTTCTCTAGCCACATTATCTTTCTGAACCTCATGTCGGCTTCCGTTAAGTTAGCTACTCCATTTTTGATGGCTTTAATGGCACCTCCTACTCTTTTAGTTATTTTTATTTATTTATTTATTTATTTTTGAGATGGAGTCTCCCTCTGGAACCCAGGCTGGAGTGCAGTGGCACGATCTCAGCTCACTGCAACCTCTACCTCCTGAGTTCAAGCGATTCCCCTGCCTCAGCCTCTCAAGTAGTTGGGATTACAGGCGTGCACCACCACCCCTGGCTAATTTTTGTATTTGTATTTTATTTTTTTGAGACAGAGTCTAGCTGTGTTGCCCAGTTTAGAGCGAAATGGCGTGATCTCAGCTCACTGCAACCTCTGCCTGCTAGGTTCAAATGATTCTCCTGTCTCAGCCTCCTGAGTAGCTGGGATCACAAACATGCGCCATCATGCCTGGCTAATTTTGTATTTTTATTTTATTATTATTAATTATTTTTTTTTTTTTTTGAGACAGAGTCTCGCTCTTTCACCCAGGCCGGAATGCAGTGGCGCGATCTCGGCTCCCTGCAAGCTCCGCCTCCCAGGTTCACGCCATTCTCCTGCCTCGGCCCCCAGAGTAGCTGGGACTACAGGCGCCCGCCACCGCACACAGCTAATTTTTTGTATTTTTAGTAGAGACGGGGTTTCACCGTGTTAGCCAGGATGGTCTCAAACTCCTGACCTCGTGATCTGCCCGCCTCGGCCTCCCAAAGTGCTGGGATTACAGGCGTGAGCCACCACGCCCGGCCACTTTTTTTTTTTTTTTTTTTTTTTAGACACAGTCTCGCTCTGTCACACAGGGTGGAGTGCAGTGGCACGATCTCGGCTCACTGCAAGCTCTGCCTCGCGGGTTCACGCCATTCTTCTGCCTCAGCCTCCCAAGTAGCTGGGACTACAGGCATCCGCCACCACGCCAGGCTAATTTTTTTGTATTTTTAGTAGAGACGGGGTTTCACCATGTTAGCCAGGATGGTCTTGATCTCCCGACCTCGTGATTCGCCTGCCTCGGCCTGCCAAAGTGCTGGGATTACAGGCGTGAGCCACCGCGCCTGGCCATTATTATTATTTTTTAATTTTGTATTTTTAGTAGAGACAGGGTTCAACTGTGTTGGCCACACTGGTCTCGAACTCCTGACCTCAAGTGATCGGCCCACCTCGGCCTCCCAAAGTGCTAGGATTATAGGCATGAGCCACTGTGCCCGGCCTAGTTCTTTATTTCTAGTACAGGCAGCCCCTACACTAGAAGAACTATGATGCTTCTACCTCTGTGCCCTCTCCTCTGCTCCTTCTCAATTTTCTTTGTTAGGCCTCCTTACCTATCAAACCTCTAATAGATGCTGGATTCATCAGGGCCAGGCCCTGGCCCTTTTCTCTTTTATCTCCTCCCTCTAGCCATAGGTAATTTCTTCTACCTGTGAATTTAAATTTTCACTCTAAGCTAATGATTTCCAAATTTCTATCTTTAGTCAAGTCCTCTGCTCTGACTTCAGAACTTCCAAATTCACATTTGGAAGCTTGATACGTTTTGAGTACCTACTAGGTGACATAGCAATGAACAAAAGAGTAAAAGAAACAAAGAAGTAGACTAATAAATATACTCTGTACTTTTTCACATAGTGATAAATGGCATAAATCAAAACAAAGAAGGATGAAAAGAAAAACACAGGGGTTGGGAAGTCTGTCAGGAAAGGTCCTTATAAGACATATGCACAGAGACTGAAATGAGGAAGAAAATCATGCATTGCCTTGGGGAAGAAAGTTCTAGGATGAAGGAACAACAAATGCAATGGCCCTGGGTGAGAATAACAAGGCAGCCAGTGAGACAGCCACATTTAGTATGGTACCTTTTTTTTTTTTTCTTGAGACAGGGTCTCACTCTCTCATCCAGGCTGGAGTGCAGTGGCATGATCACAGCTCACTGCAATCTCGACATCCCAGGCTCAAGTGATCCTTCCACCTCAGCCTCCCAAGTAGCTGGAACTACAGGCTTGAGCCACCACACCTTGCATTTTTTTTTTTTTTTTTCGTAGAGACAAGGTCTCTCTTTGTTGCCCAGGCTGGTTGTGAACTCCTGGGGCTCAAATGTCCTCTTGCCTTAGCCTCCCAAAGTGCTGGGATTACAGATGTGAGCCACCACACCCAGTGATACCATTTTTAGAAACCTCAAAAACTAATTTAAACAATACTATAAACCAACCAGACCTAACAGACACCTAGAGAACACTCTACCCAACAACCGTAGAATACACATTCTTCTCCAGTACACATGGCACATTCTCACAATAGACAATATGCCTGAACATAAAATAAGCCTCGCCAGGCGCAGTGGCTCAAACCTGTAATCCTAGCACTTTGGGAGGCTGAGGCGGGCAGATCACAAGGTCAAGAGATCGAGACCATCCTGGCCAACATGGTGAAATCCTGTCTCTACTAAAAATACAAAAATTAGCTGGGGGTGGTGGCACATGCCTGTAGTCCCAGCTATTCAGGAGGCTGAGGCAGGAGAATCGCTTGAACCTGGGAGGCGGAAGTTGCAGTGAGCTTAGGTCGTGCCACTGCACTCCAGCCTGGTGACAGAGTGAGACTCCATCTCAAAAATAAAATAAAATAAAAATAAAATAAAATAAAATAAGCCTCAATAAATTTAAAAGGATTGAAATCACACAAAATATGTTCTCTGACCACAATGGAATAAAATTAGAAATCAGTTAACAGAAAAAATCTGGAAAATTAGCAAATTTATGAAAATTAAATAGGCCAGGTGTGGTGGCTCACACCTGTAATCCCAGCACTTTGGGAGGCTGAGGCGGGCGGATCACCTGGGGTTAGGAGTTCCAGACCAGCCTGGCCATCATGGTGAAACCCCATCTCTACTAAAAATACAAAAATTAGCTGGGTGTGGTGGCGGGTGCCTGTAGTCCCAGCTACTCGGGAGGCTGAGGCAGGAGAATTGCCTGAACCTGGGAGGCACAGGTTGCAGTGAGCCAAGATCGCACCACTGCACTCCAGCCTAGGTTACAGAGGGAGACTCTGTCTGGAAAAAAAAAAAAAAAAAAAAGGCCAGGCACAGTGGCTCATGCCTGTAATTCCAGCACTCTGGGAGGCTGAGGCGGGAGGACCACTTAAGGTCAGGAGTTCGAGACCAGCCTGGCCAACAGAGTGAAGCCCCATCTCTACTAAAAATACAAAAATTAGCCAGGCGTGGTAGGGTACGCCTGTAATCTCAACTACTTGGGAGGCTGAGGCAGGAGAATTGCTTGAACCCAGGGGGCAGAGGTTGCAGTGAGCCAAGATCACACCACTGCCCTCCAGCCTGGGGGACAGAGCAAGACTCCGTCTCAAAAAAAAAAAAAAAAAGAAAGAAAAGAAAAAGAAAATTAAATAACACACTTGTTAATAACCAATGGGTCAATGAAGAAATCATAGGAAAATCAGAAAATACTTTGAGATGAATGAAAACTAAGATACAACATACCAAAGCTTATGGGATACAGCTAAAGTAATGCTTAGAAAAAAATTTAAAGCTATAAATGCCTAAAATAAAAAAGAAGATCTCAAATCAATTACCTAAACTCCCACCTAAGAGGAAACTAAATCCAAAGCAAGCAGAAGGAAGGAAATAAAAAAGATTAGAGCAGAACTTAAGAGAATAGAAAAACAACAGAACCAAAAGTTGGTTCTTTGAAAAGATCAGCAAAAATCGACAAACTTTTAGCCTGAACAATTAAAAAAAAGTCTCAAGTTATCAAAATCAGGAATGGAAAGTGGGACATTACTACCAACCTTACAGAAATAAAAAGGATCATGAAGAAATATTAGTGAATAACTGTGTGCCAACAAATGAGACCACTTAGATGAAATGGACTAATTCCTAACAAGACAAAAACTACTGAAACTAGCCAGGTGTAGTGGTGTGCACCGGTAGTCTTAGCTTCTCAGGAGGCGGAGGTGGAAGGATTGCTGGAGCACACAGGAGTTCAAGGCGACATAGTGAGGCACCGCCCCAACTCCAATTAACAAAACAAAACAAAAGACTGAAACCATGACCAGGTAGGATGTATCCCAGAAATGCAAGGTTGATATAACATCTGAAAATCAGCCACCGTATCCCACCAGATCAATAAAATAAATGACAAAAACCATATGATTACTCATCTCTGCACGTTGTGAGGCTAAGACGGGTGGGTTGCTTGAGCTCAGGAGTCTAAGACCAGCCTGGGCAACATGGTAAAACGCTGTCTCTACAAAAATACAAAAATTAGCTGGGTACAGTGGTGCATGCCTGTAGTCCCAGCTACTTGGGAGGCTGAGGCAGGAGGATTGTTTGTGTTCAGGAGGTTGAGGCTGCAGTGAGCCGTGATTGTGCTACTGCAGTCCATTCTGGGCAACAGAGTGAGACTCTGTCTCAAAAAAAAAAAATTGATAGATTAATAGACAGAAAACTAATAAGCATATAGATGTGTTCAACAATATAAATAAACTGGACCTACTTGACATACATAGAATATTCTACTCAAGAATAGAGACTATACATTTTCTAAGTTGCACTAAACATTTACCAAGATGTTCTGAGTCATACTCTGGACCATAAAAACCAATCTTAATGCACCTAAAAGGATTTAAGTCATATAAAATATATTCTTGACAATCGAATTAAATTAGAATTCAATAACAGAAAGGTCCTCAAATATGAGGTCCTCAAAAAGTCCTCAAATATTTGCAAATAATTAAATAACAAGCTTCTAAGTAACCCCTACATCAAAAAAGAAACCAAAAAAGGAAATTGGAAAGTATTTTGAACTGAATAAAACTGAAAATGCAACATATCAAAATTTGTGAGATGCAGCTAAAGTACTAAATACCCTTATTTAAAAAGGTCTCAAATCAATGACCTTAGCTTCAACCTTAACTAAACATGAAGATCAAATTGAACTCAAAGTATCCAAAGATTAGAGTGCAAAATCAATGGAATAGAAAACAGAAAAACAATGGAGAAAGTCAATAAAACCAAAAGATGATTTTTTAAAAAGATCAATATTGATAAATCTCTACCCAGACTTATCAGGAATAAGACAGAGGACACATATAACCAATATCAGGAATGAGAGACATCACTATGGATTCTACAGACACTAAAACGCTAATAAGGAAGTATTTTTAACAACTTTATGCCACTATATTTGACAACCTAATTAAAATGGACAAATTCCTTCAAAGACACAAACTACCAAACTCACTCAAAAAGAAACAGTTAAACTGAGTAGTTCCTATCTGTAAAGTAAGTTGAATTTGTTAAAAACATTCCCACAAAGAAAACTCTAGGCCCAGGTGGCTTCACCGGTGAATCGTGCCAAACATCTAAAAGAGAAATAAAACCAATTCTATATAAACTCTTCCAGAAAATTGAAAAAAAAAGAGGGAATTATTTGCAAATCATTTCATGATGCTAGCATTACACTGATACCAATACCAAAACATTAACATGAAAAGCTAAAACACTGAAGATCAATATCTCTCATGAACATAGAGGTACACAAAAAAAAAAAAAAATTTTTTTTTTTTTTTTCAGATGGAGTCTCGCTCTGTCACCCAGGCTGGAGTGCAGTGGTGCTATCTCAGCTCACTGCAACCTCTGCCTCCTGGGTTCAAGCGTTTCTCCTGCCTCAGTATCCCAAGTAGCTGGAATTACAGGTGTGTGCCACTGCACCTGGCTAATTTTTGTATTTTTAGTACAGATGGGGTCTCACCATGTAGGCCAAGCTGGCCTCGAGCTCCTGACCTCAGGTGATCCACCTGCCTTGGCCTCCCAAAGTGCTGGGAATTACAGGTGTGAGTCACTGTGCCCGGCCTTTTTATTGAGACAGAGTCTCGCTCTGTCTCCCAGGATGGACTGCAGTGGCACGATCTCAGCTCACTGCAACCTCTGCCTCCCTGATTCAAGCGATTCTCCTGCCTCAGCCTCTCGAGTAGCTGGTACTACAGGTGTGTGCCACCATGCCCGGCTAGTTTTTGTATTTTTTTGTAGAGACGGGGGTTCCACCATGTTGGCCAGGCTGGTCTCGATCTCCTGACCTCGAGTGATCCACCTGCCTCAGCCTCCCAAAGTGCTGGGATTACAGGCATGAGCCACCGTGCTCGGCCGATGTAAAAATTATCAACAAAATGTTAGCAATGAAATCCAACAACATATAAGAAGGATCATATGTCACAACCAAGTGAGGTTATCACAGGATTGCAAGGTTGTTTAACATTCAAAAACGTAGGCCAGGCACAGTGGCTCATACCTGTAATCCCAGCACTTTGGGAGGCCAAGGCAGGTGGATCACCTAAGGTCGGGAGTTTGAGACCAGACTAACCAACATAGAGAAACCCCGTCTCTACTAAAAATACAAAATTAGCAAGGCGTGGTGGCACATGCCTGTAATCCCAGCTACTCGGGAGGCTGAGGCAGGAGAATCGCTTGAACCCAGGAGGCGGAGGTTGTGGTGAGCTGAGATTGCACCATTGCACTCCAGCCTGAGCAACAAGAGCGAAACTCCATCTCAAAAAAAAAAAGTAATTCATCATATTAACAGATTAAAAAAAAAACTCACTTGATTATCTCAATAGATACAGAGAAAAGGGCTGGGTAGGGTAACTTATGCCTGTAATCCCAGCACTTTGGGAGGCTGAGGCAGAGGGGTTGCCTGAGCCCAGGAGTTCAAGACCAGCCTGGACAAAATGGTGAGATCCCCATCTCTATAGGGGAAAAAAAAAAAAAAGAACTAGCCAGGGGTGACTGTGTTTGCCTGTAGTCCCAGCTACTTGGGGAGGCATAGGCAAGAGGATCTCTTGAGCCCAGGAGTTTGAGGATGCAGTGAGCTGTGATTGTGCCACGCACTCCAGCCTGGGCAAGAGAGTGAGACCATGTCTCTTTAAAAACAAAAACAAAAACAAAAAACCTGTTCCTGCTAAAATCTCCTGGCAAACTAGGAAATAGAAGGGAACTTCCTCAACCTGATGATGGGCTTCTCAAGAAATGTATAGCTAACATCATACTCAATGTATAAAAAGCTGAATGCTTTTCTCTAAGCTCAGGTGTAAGGCAAGGGGTTGTAAGTAATTTTTAAGATTACAAAGGAGTTCTAAGACCAAAAAATTTGAGAACTCTTATTCTAGTAGAAGGGAAAATTGGTAATATAGGAGTGGGGAAATACTGCAGTAGTACACATGAGGAGATGCTTCCATCTGACTCGGTTTTTGCAGTCTTTACAAATGCCTACAAGGCCCTACACGATCTGTCCTTCTGCTAACTCCTCTCTGCCCTCATTTTCTACCCTTCTCCACTTGCTCCCTCCGCTTCAGCCACACTGGCCTTCTTGCTGTCCCATAAACACGCCAAGCATACTCACCTCAGGGGCATTGCACTTGCTTTGCCTTCTGCTGGGAATGACTCATTCCTCCTGACATCTGCTTGTTGGCTTCCTCGCTCTTTCAGATGTCTGCTCAAACGTCACTCTCAAATAAGTCTCCTCTGACCTATGCAACCTATCAAAAATAACAACTCTCACCCTGCCCTACTCCAATCCAGGGACTCCCTATAATCTCCCTTTGCTTTTTCACCATAGTATTTTTACCATCTGCCATATTACAAATGTATTTGTCTGTCTGTTTCCTCATAACTAGAATGTAAGCTCAGATACTACTGTATCTCTGGCATTAGTGAATAAATGAATGAATGAATGAATAGGACACAGTGTGAAGGAAGGGCTTTAGATAGGAGCAGGGACACTTCGTGCTCTGTGGCAAGAGCGACTGCAGATTATATGGGTATAAAAGGAGATTGATTGCTGTATCTGGTGAGAAAAGAAGGCAGTTTTCTTCTGATAGCATCTGTTTTCTCTTCACAACAAAACACTTCAAACTGCATATGACTAAAGTCATCCTTGATCTCATCCTTCCTTCACAGCCTGCACCCAACCCTTCAAGTCCTGTTGATTCTCTATCCAAAATATATATATCTATGTATCTTTTTACTTTTTTAATTTTTTTGAGACAGGGTCTTGCTCTGTTGCCCAGGCTGGAGAGCAGTGGTGTGATCGTGGTTCACTGCAGCCTCAAACCCCTGGGCTCAAGCCATCCTCCCACCTCAGCCTCCTGAGTAGCTGGGACTACAGGCATACACACCATGCCTGGCTTTTTTTTTTTTTTTTTTTTTTTGTAGAGACATGTTGCTGAGGCAGGCAGACAAAATATATTTTGAATGCATCCATTTCTCTGTCTCCATAGTCAACACCTTAGTTCAGGCTACCACCAACTGTAGCTAGGACTAACACAATGGCTCCTACTCTTACCTGCTTCCAACTCTTTTTTTTTTTTTCTCCTTTTTGAGGCAGGGTCTCCCTTTGTTGCCCAGGCTGGAATGCAGTGGCACGATCATGGCTCACTGCAGCCTTGACCTCCTGGGCTCAAGCAATCCTACTGTCTCTGCCTCCCAAGTGGCTGGGACTACAGGCATGCACTACCACATGCAACTAACATTTTTTTATTTTTAGTAGTGATGAGGTTTTGCTATGTTGCCTAGACTGGTCTCAAACTACTGAGCTCAAGCAACTCTCCTGCCTCAGCCTCTCAAATTGACAGGATTACAGGTGAAAGCCAAACCACCCGTTGACTTCCAACTCTTAATCCTTTCTAATCTGTTCCCCATCCATCAACAAGAGTGGTCTTCACAAAACAAATCAGACCATATTATTCCCCTGCCTAAAGCCCTCCCTTCAGTAGCAACTCATTGTACTTAGAATAGAATCCAAACACTCACCATAGCCTAAAGACCCTGCGTGATCTACCTCCTGACTACTTATTCTTTCCCAGCTCACATAACACTCCTCTCATTCACTGACTTCTCAGTCCCTCCAACATGTGAAGACCTTTTCCACCTGGGGCCTCTGTACCTGCAACATTCCTTCTTCATGAAATGCTCCTGCCTCTACTCTTGTCATATATGATTCCTTCACAATTAGAGTGGCCCTAACTTAATACCAGCTTGTCCGGGACTTTCCCAGCTTTAGCAATGGAAGCCCCATATCCTAGAACATTCTAGTCCCAGGCAAACAGAGAGTTCATCACCCGATTCTTAACCAAATATCTCCCACTTGTGGAGATCTTCCCTTATTATTCTCCATTTAAAGATTTCCTTTTGTTAGCCTCTATTTCAGACCTCATTTTGTTTCCATCATTACACTTGGACTATTTGCAATTACTAAATTATTATTATTATTATTAGAAATGGGGTCTTGCTCTGTCACCCAGGCTGGATTGCCCAGGCATGATCATGGCTCACTGTAGCCTTGAACTGCTAGACTCAAACAGTCCTCCCACCTCAGCCTCTGGAGTAGCTAGGACTACAGGGGCACACCACCATGCCTGGCTAATTTTTATTTTTTTGTAGCGATGGGGGCTTACTGTGTTGCCTAGGCTGGTCTCAAACTTGTCGACTCAAACTATCCTTCTGCCTCAGACTCCCAAAATGTTGGGATTACAAGTGTGAGCCACCACACCCAGCCCAAAATCTAAATTATTTTGTCTGTTATGGCAGACATTTACAATTTGGCTGCCTAACATACTGTTTCAGTAAAATCTAAAGTTAGAGAGGCAGTCCTGCCTCCTCATGAGGTGGCCAATGGGAGACAGATATTCCCTTTTCCATGCCCTTGTGACCAACTAGATATTCCTGCCTGGGATTTTCAACCTTAAAGAAGCTCAAAAAGCAAAGGGTTGGTCCAGACTTTTTATGGTGGCTGCATCACAGTAGAGAATATACTAGGTGGTAGCAAATATCCATGAGCAGCACAGTCTATCTAGCAGCAAGCCTGATCATGTTCCATGGCAGGGTGCCAGTAACGGTGGCATTGAGTGTCTAGCCAGCAAGTGGTGGCATCCTGAGCTCAATGTTCCTGGAATAGTATTTTGGCTGGGCCTTACTTTGTTTTCCAGCCTTCCTTGTAATTCTGAGTTCCTCAGTACCCTCCAGAAAAATCCCTTTTCTGCTTGAGGAAACTAGAATCAGTTTCTATTATTTGCAACCAAGAACTCTAACTAGAATATCTATTAACTTGAAAAAAATTTTTGTTGTTTTGATGCATCCCTGACAAGAATATAAATTCTAGTCTGTTTTGTTCACCATCGTATCACCAGTGCCTAGCACACTTCCCAACATGTAGCAAGTACTCAATAAATATTTTTTAAGTAAAGAAATGAATGAAAAATCACTAAGGTTACGACAATCTCCAAGGAGGTCACTGCTTTATACAAGTATCTATTTATTTCCGTTTATTATTATTATTATTATTATATTTTGAGACAGGGTCTCACTCTGTCACCCAGGCAGGAGTGCAGTGGCGCAATCTCGGCTCCCTGCAACCTCCACCTCCCGGGTTCAAGCAATTCTCCTGCCTCAGCCTCCCAAGTAGCTGAGATTACAGGTGCATACCACCATGCCCAGCTAATTTGTGTATTTTTAGTAAAGACGGGGTTTCATCATGTTGGCCAGGCTGGTCTCAAATTCCTGACCTCAGGTGATCTGCCCACCTCAGCCTCCCAAAGTGCTGGGATTACAGGCGTGAGCCAATGTGCCTGGCCTATTTTTTTTTTTTCCATTTAACATCAAAGAGGTAAAACAGTAACAAAAAAAAATCCCTATTCCTTTTCTTTTTTTTTTCCTTTTTGAGACAGAGTCTCGCTCTGTTGCCCATGCTGGAGTGCAGCGGCACGATCTCAGCTCACTGCAATCTCTGCCTCCCAGGTTCAAGTGATTTTCCTTCCTCGGGCTCTTTAGTAGCTGGGATTACAGGTGCATGCCACCATGCCTGGCTAATTTTTGTATTTTTAGTAGAGACGGGGTTTTGCCATGTTGGCCAGGCTGGTCTCGAACTCCTGACCTCAAGGGATCTGCCTGCCTCGGCCTCCCAAAGTGCTGGGATTACAGGCATGAGCCACCGTGCCCAGCCCCCTATCCCTTTTGTAACCTAAAACCTACTGCTATGCATATTCTTATAGGATGGGCCATCAATCAAAAATGACTTTATGGCCATGCATGGTAGCTCACACCTGTAACCCTAGCACTTTGGGAGGGTGAGGCAGGCAGATCACTTGAGCCCAGGAGTTAAGACCAGCCTGGGCAACATGGTGAAATTGTCTCTACAAAAATTAGCTTGGCATGGTTGCATGTGCCTGTAGTCCCAGCTACTCGGGAGGCTGAGATGGAAGAATCGCCTGAGCCCAGGAGGTTGTGACCTGCAGTGAGCCCTGATCACGCCACTACACTCCAGCCTGGAAGACAGACTGAGACTGCCACAAAAAAAAAAAAAAAAAAAAAGAAAAAGAGAAAGAAGGAAAAAAAGAAAGAGAAAATGACTGCATAAGAGTTACAATCTAAGAAAATGAGCCCATAAAAGGACAATTTTAAAACATTTTTTATTTAATTATTTAAATTTTCTGTCAAGGCTCTATTGTCCAAATATTTTTCAAAGACCATCAAAATGCACTTTGGGAGGCCAAGACAGGGGGAACACTTGAGCTCAAGAGTTTGAGATCAGCCTGGACAATATAGAAGACCCTGTCTCTTAAAACAAAAATCAAATAAATACTCATAGCCCTATGCCACTCTTCCACCTAAACAAAACTTTCAGAGCAGTGGTCCCCAGCCTTTTTGATACTGGGGACCAGTTTTGTGGAAGACATTTTTTTCCATGGATCTGGGTGGGGATATGGTTTCAGGATGAAACTGTTTCACCTCAGATCATCAGGCATTAGTTAGATTCTCAGATTCTCACAAGGAACCGGCAACCTAGATCCCTCGCATGCGCAGTTCACAAAAGAGTTTGCCTCCTATGAGAATCTAATGCTGCCACTGATCTGACAGGAGGCAGAGCTTAGGTGTTAATGCTCGCTGGCCTGGCCCACCTCTTACTTCCTACTGTGCGGCCCGGTTCCTAACAGGCCATGGACCTGTGTTGATCCATGGCCCACGGGTTGGGAAAACCTGTTCCAGAATATTTCCTGGGGTCAATCTATTTTAAGTCCATGCTTCTATACTGTCTATATTATGCAATTCAGAATGATATTTCTGAGACTATGAAAGATCTTCAATCACCAGAGAAAGATTCAATTATGTTCACTGTACTGTACTTAATTTCATAAAAGCAGATCAACATAACTTAGACAAGTTTTCAACAATGAAATAGAAAATAAAAGGATTTTTTAAATTAACATTAAATTCAATTTGCTAAGTTAATACCAGCTGAGACTTAACTATATTAATTACAACATTCTGCAAATGTGAAGACTAACATATTTGTAAAAGTGATCCTAAATCTTCATTTTACATTGCTCTTTTTTTCGGAAGCCCTAGAAACCTTTTCCCCATGCCGACTATTCCCAACTCACTGTTTTTCTATAGATCTACTGCCCATTATCAGCAAGTCCTCAAAACTGTTTTATGTTTTAGGAAGGTCACTGTCAATTCTCCCAACACCCATCCTGCCTTCTTCAGATTGTATCTTGGTTTTGTTTTCCCACAAACCAATGAAATTAAAAATAAAATAGGACTTAATACTATGTTATAGAACATAACGCTCAAAATTTAGTGTATATCAGAATTACCTGGGAAAATTGCTAAAAACAGGCTCTGGGGTCAGGTAGATCTTAGTTTAAACCCTGGCTCTGCTGCTTCTAACTATGTAACCATGGGTATCACACCTTACCTCATGACCCAATGGGCTCCCCTCAAAGGGAGACAACAGTCATATTTCAGGGTGGATATGAGAATGAAATGTGATTATGGATGTATACTGCTTAGCACATGGTGCCTACTATACTCTAAGTAGTCAATAAATGGGAGCTCTTGTTATTGCGTGGCCCTCATTTTTCCTTTCCATTCTAGTCTCTGTACTGTCTTCAATACTAAAACCCATTGTATTTTCCACATTCTTACAATGTCCACTGACAACACTTTGGAGAGCATGACTTCACAATACTTCCACTAAGCTTCTCTAGAACTCCACATCAGGCTCTCAACAAACTGGTATTAAAAAAAAAAAAAAAACATAAAAATACTTCATTCTTAAAACAGGAAATTTGACTGGGCACAGTGGCTCACGCCTGTAATCCCAGCACTTTGGGAGGCCAAAGCAGGTGGATCACCTGAGATCAGGAGTTCAAGACCAGCCTGGCCAACATGGTGAAACCCTATCTCTACTAAAAATACAAAAAATTAGCTGGGGGTGGTGGTGGGCACCTGTAATCCTACCCACCTGGGAGGTTGAGGCAGGAGAATCTCTTGAACCCTGGAGGCGGAAGTTGCAGTGAGCCGAGATCACACCATCACACTCCAGCCTGGGCAACAAGAGCAAAACTCCGTCTCAAAATAAAAGGGCGATGGGGGGAGGTGAGGGGAATTTAAGAAAACAAAATAAAAAAATAAAAATAAAAACAACTGCAATCATCATCTATTATTATACTATCAAGAGCTCAAACATGGCATGCCCTCAAACTAACTAAAACCTCCCCTGGCTCTCAAAATTTTTTTTTTTTTTTTTTGAGATGGAGTCTCGCTCTGTCACCCAGGCTGGAGTGCAGTGGTGTGATCTGCAACCTCCACCTCTCAGGTTCAAGCGATTCCCCTGCCTCAGCCTCCCAAGTAGCTGGGATTACAGGCACCTGCCACCAAACCCGGCTAATTTTTGTATTTTTAGTAGAGATGAGGTTTCACCATGTTGGCCAGGCTGGTCTCGAACTCCTGATCTCCAGTGATCCACCTGTCTCGGCCTCCCAAAGTGTTAGGATTACAGGCATGAGCCACTGCTCCCAGCCTAGCTCTCAAAACTTTCTAAACCAGCCACTTTCTACCTTCTCAGCAACTTTCAATCACATTACTGCTCTTACTTTACTGAGTCCACCTAATGATATCTGGCTTTTTAGCCAGGCTTTGAATCATCGTCGACTTTTCTGCTGCCTTCACCATACCTATTCTTCCTCAACCCCTTGTTCATCCACCATTGGCAATCTTCAACCCTTACTATCATCCCTGGAGTTCCAAAGTCTCCAATCTCGCTTCCAGGCCAGAACATTCTTGTAGGAAGACACTTCGAACAAGTGCCATGCATGTCTACCTGATAATGCCCTCATAGGACCTTACAAATATCATCTTACTAGGCTTTTAGTAATTCCACAGTCTCCAAAAGTCAATTATAACCTTCTTCACACACTTTTAAGACTCTCGCCTCGCACTCTCCTCTGAATCATCAGATTACTTCAATGTTTACTTTGCGGAGGACATCAAGGCCATTGAGCATCCCCTCACCTATCAGCCTTCTTCATAACTCCACATAGTTTAGTCGTATACTACAATAATTAAGCACTTACACTACACAATAATAGTTAAGTACTATTAATTGATAAGTATTGCTCTACATGTTTTATGTGTAATTAACTCATTCGATCCTGACAACAACCCAAGAAATTGAACACAAGGAGATCATATGACTCACCTACAGTCATATATCTAAAAGTGGCAGAGTCAAGCTATGAATCCAGGCAGTCTGGCCCCAGAGGCTACTTCTCAGACCACTGCGCTCCACTGACTCACATGCTCTTAACTTTTCCCACTGAGCCCTTTCCTTCAATAGGGACTTCGAATGGTGGTCAGATAGGGTTAGTTATCCTTAGCTGTTATGTTTTAACTTTTCCATAAAGGAGAATATATTCAAGGATGATTTGTGAAATTAAAGATTTATAAAATGACTTACTACAAAGCTGCAGTAAACAGTGTGGCACTGGCATAAAGACAGACATATAGACCAATGGAATGGAACACAGCCAAGAAATAACCTCTTGCATATATAGTTAAATGATTTTTGAAAAGGGTGCCAAGACCATTCAATGAAGAAAGGAGAGTTTTTTCAACAATTAGTGGTGGGACAACTGGATTTTACATTCCCACCAGCAATGCACAAGGGTCCCAATTTCTCCATATTGTAGCCAACACTGCTTTGTTCTTTGTCCCAAAGAGCAAAGTTAAAGCCTTCTCTTATACCATATACACACATTAACTCGAAATGAATCAAAGACCTAAACTTAAGAGCTATAACTATAAAACTCTTTAAAGAAAACATAGGGAGCTGAGCCCAATGGCTCACACCTGTAATCGCAGCACCTTGGGAGGCTGAAGCAAGAGGATCGCTTGAGGCCAGAATTTTGAGACCAGAAGAGTAACACAGCAAGACCTCATCTCTATCTCTACAAAAAATAAATTAGCCAGGTGTGGTGGTGCATGCCTGTAGTACTAGCTACTATGGACACTGAGGTGGGAGGATCCCTTGAGGGCAGGAGTTTGAAGTTACAGTGAGCTATGTGATCGCATCACTATACTCCAGCCTGGGTGAGACCCTGTCCCTACTATTTTCTTTTAAAAAGGGGAGGGGGTTGGGGGAGGCACATGACATTGAATCTGGCAATGATTTCTCAGATATGACACCAAAAGCACAAGCAACAAAAAAAGTGGATAAATTAGACTTCATCAAAATTAAAAACTTTTTTGCAACAAAGGGCACAATCAACATAGTGAATAGGCAACCAACGGAATAGGAAAAAAGATTTGCAAATTATTTATCTGATAAGGGATTGATATCCAGAATATATAAAGAACTACAACTCAACAACAACAAAAGAAACAACTCAATTAAAAAATGGGCAAAGGACTTGAATAGACACTTCTCCAAAGAAGATATACAAATGGCCAGGAAGCATATGAAAAGGTGCTCAACATCCCTAATCATTAGGGAAATGCAAATTAAAATTACGATGAGATACCATTTCGTAGTCATCAGATGGATAGTATCAAAATCAGGAAATAACAAGTGTTGGCTATGATATGGAGAAACTGAGACCCTTGTGCATTGCTGGTGGGAATGTAAAATGAACAGTTGCTATGAAAACAGTATGAGAGTTCCTTAAAAAATTAAACACAGAATAACCATATGACCCAGCAATTTTACTTCTGGGTATATACCCTAAAGAACTGAAAGCAGGGCCAGGTGTGGTGGCTCACACCTGTAATCCCAGTCACTTGGGAGGCTGAGAAGGGAGGACTGCTGGAGCCAAAGAGTTCAAGGCTGCAGTGAGCCATGATCACATCACTGCACTGCAGCCTGGGCAACTGAGTGAGACCTGTCTCCAAAAAAGTAAAAGAACTGAAAGCAAGGACACAAACAGATATTTGTAAACCAATTTTTATAGCAACAATATTCACAATTGCCAAAAGATGGAAACCCAAATGTCACAAAATGTGATATATACATACAATGGAATATTATTCTGCCATAAAAAGGAATGAAATTATGATACATGCTACAACATAGATAAAGCTTGAGGACATTATGCTAGTTGAAATAAGCCAGTTACAAAACAAAAAAACCCTGTATCATTCCACTTATCAGAGATATCTAGAATAATCAAATTTATAGAAAGTAGAATGGTGGTTGCCAGAGGCTGGGAGAAGGGGAAAATGGGAAGTTGTTTTATGGGCACAGAGTGCCAGTTTTCCAAGATTAAAAGAGTTCTGGAGATTGGTTACACAACAATGGGAATGTATGTAATACTACTAAACTATACACTTGAAAATGGTTATGATGATAAAGGTTATGTGCATTTTACAATTTAACATAAAACTGATTTTTTTTAAAGAGAATGAAATTCTGATACATGCTACAACACTGATTACCAATGAAAACATTACACTATGAGATATATGCCAGAGATAAAAGGATGATAAAATTCCATTTATATGAGGTACCTAGAGCAAACTCATAGAGGGCAGAAAATAGAATAGTGGTTACTAGGGGCTGGGGAAGGGGGAGAAGATGGGGAGTTATTGTTTATGGGGTACAGCATTTCTGCTTGGGGGCCAGGTGCAGTGGCTCACCTGTAATCTCAGCACTTTGGGAGGCTGAGGAGGGCAGATCACCTGAGGTCAGATATTCAAGACCAGCCTGGCCAACATGGTGAAACCTTGTCTCTACTAAAAATACAAAAAAAATTAGCCGGCCACGGTGGGGCATGCCTGGAATCCCAGCTACGCGGGAGGCTGAGGCAGGAGAATCACTTGAACCCAGGAGGTGGAGGTGCAGTGAGACAAAATTGCGCCACTGCACTCCAGCTTGGGCGACAGAGCAAGACTATATCTCACAAAAAAAAAAAAAAAAAAAAAAAGAGAGAATTTCTGCTTGGGGTAATAAAAAAATCCTAGAGATGGGTAAGTACACTCACAATAAAATGAAGGCACTTAATACCACTAAACTGTATGCTTAAAAATGATTAAAATTGTAAATTTTGTTTTACCATAACAAAAAATGTATAAAAAGAATTAATATATAAATGTGCCACCTGTATTTGTGTCCTAGATCTCTCCTTTCTGATTCCTGGCTAATATTATTCCTATATGTGTCTACTTCATTATCAGTCCCACAGTGGCTACTGCTCTTTCTTCCCAGCCTTTCTCTTCACTTTAAACTTAGAGTCATTAGCTTCCATTTTCTCCTCTATACAGCTGCCCCAGAAATGTACATTTCTCATCCTGATAGCTTCAACTCCTCATTTAGTATTTCCATCTAAATTTCCTCCTTAGCATCTATAACTCAATGTCCAAAACAGAACACATCTATTCCCGCTGAATCCACCCTTCTTTTCAAATTCATTATACTGTTGTCACCATTTCTCCAGTTACTCAGGGTAAAGTCAAAAATAATATCCTCCCAAACACCTATGTCCCTTTTTCTTTCTTTCTTTCTTTCTTTCTTTCTTTCTTTTTTTTTTTTTTTTGAGATGGAGTCTTGCTCTGTCGCACCCAGGCTGGAGTGCAGCGGCACAATCTCAGCTTACTGCAACCTCTGCCTCCTGGGTTCAGGCAATTCTCCTGTGTCAGCCTCCTGAGTAGCTGGGATTACAGGTGCCCAACACCATGCCCAGCTAAATTTTTGTATTTTTAATAGAGACGAGGCTTCAACATGTTGGTCAGGCTGGTCTCAAACTCCTGACCTCAGGTGATCCACCTGCCTTGGCCTCTCAAAGTGCTGTCCTTTATTCAAATCGTCCTGTCATTCATAGCACCTTTTTTTTTTTTTGAGATGGAGTCTCATTCTGTTGCCCAGGCTAGAGTGCAACGGTGTGATCTTGGCTCAATGCAACCTCCACCTCCTGGGTTCAAGTGATTCTCCTGCCTAAGCCTCCCAAGTAGCTGGCATTACAGGCACCTGCCACCACACCCAGCTAATTTTTGTATTTTTAGTAGAGCCAAGGTTTCATACTGTTGGCCAGGCTGGTCTAGAAATCCTGACCTCAGGTGATCCACCCACCTTGACCTCCCAAAGTTCTGGGATTACAGGTGTGAGTCACCGCTCCCAGCCTATAGCACTTTTTTTTTTTTTTTTTTTTTTGAGACAGAGTTTCACTCTTGTTGCCCAGGCTGGAGTGCAATGGAGCGATCTTGGCTCACTGCAACCTCTGCCTCCTAGGTTCAAGCGATTCTCCTGCCTCAGCCTCCTGGGTAGCTGGGATTACAGGTGCCCGCCACCACACCTGGCTAATTTTTTTTTTTTTTTTGGTATTTTTAATAGAGACAGGGTTTCACCATGTTGGCCAAGCTGGTCTCAAACTCCTGGCTTCAGGTGATCTGCCCATCTCAACCTCCTAAAGTGCTGGGATTACAGGCCTGACTCACCATGCCCAGCCAGCACTTTTTTTTTTTTTTTTTTTTGAGTTAGAGTCTCACTCTGTTGCCCAGGCTGGAGTACAGCGGTGCGATCTCGGCTCACTGCAGCCTCTGCCACCTGGGTTTAAGTTCAAGCGATTCTACTGCCTCAGCCAGCCCAGTAGCTGGGGTTACAGATGCTCACCACCACGCCCAGCTAATTTTTGTATTTTTAGTAGAGATGGAGTTTCACCATGTTGGCCAGGCAGCTCTCAAACTCCTGACCACCCGCTTCGGCCTCCCAGTGTGCTGGGATTACAGGCATAAACCACCACGCCCAGCCTCCTATAATTTTTATTATAGTATGTTGTTGTAATTGTTCTATTTTATTATTAGTTATTATTGTTAATCTCTTACTATGCCTAAGTAAAAAACTCCATCACAGGTACATATGCATAGGGAAAAGCATGGTATATATAGGGTTCAGTACTGTCTGCAATTTTAGGCATCCACTGGGGGGTCTCAGAATGTATTCTCTGTGGATAACAGAGGACTACTGTATTACAAACTGCTCTTTAAATTTTTTTTTCTATTTTATGGAGGTATAAATGATAAAATTTGTATATACTTAAGGAGTACAATATAATGATTTACGTATATATTACATGAGGATTACCACAATGAAATTCATTAACACATCCTTCATCACACAGTTACCATTTGTGTGTATGTGATGAGGACATAAACTGCTTTTAATATTTTATTTACAACAAGCCTATTAAGGAGGTAGTTGTTTTATCATGCTCTCCATTTTATAAATTAAAAACTGAGGTCAAGTGGTTGTCTTGTGAACAGTCATACCACCAAGTAAATAAAAGAATGAGGCTGGATACGGTGGCTCACACTTGTAATTCCAGCACTTTGAGAGGCCAAGGTGTTGGCAGCTGCAACTCCAGAGGGCTTGCTGCTGTCATCAAACTGGCTGCAGCAGAGAGGTATGGATAGGGCTGCATGATCCATGGAGCTAGCGGGAGCCCTTCCCCTTCTGAGTTGGGGCAGGAGCTCCCCTGGTGCTGCTGGAGCTACACAAACTGCAGCTGTTAACCTGGGCCTCCTGTTCCACGGAGCAGGCAGAAGCCCTGCCCTCCTGGGTGGGCTTGCAGCCGCCCAAGTTGTGGCTGCAGATCCGAGCCTCCCTGTGGTCTTGTGGGGGCCGGGAGCAGGCAGGATCCCTGCCTTCCCGGGTGCAGCTGCAGCTGCCCTCCCAGGTGCAGGACCTAATAGTCTCTGCAGCCTGCACCCTTGGGGGCCCAGGAAGGCCTCCCCACCACCCCCATATCCCCACTTCTCTCTGCTCTTGGCACCCACTCCAATCTCAGAGTGGGGTTGGGGCAAGTCCAGGTGCTGTTACAGTCCGGGGGCGGATCTGTGTGTGCACCCTCAGGGCAGCACCCTGCCACCTTGACCCCCTCTAGAATTTGGGCACGGAGAAGCAAAAGAGGGGAAGCCAAGTAGGGACTGAGGGTGGTCAGTGCTGGCCTTTAGGTGCACCTTGGTGTGAGCAGCCTGGTGCCATGGACTGCTGAGAGAGACAGACAGGCTCCTGGGTAGAAGGGAGGTTCCTGTAAGTCCCCACCTTCAGGACGGGGAGGGCTTAAAGGCTGGGGACCGGGCTGCTAGTCCCACCCACTGGATGGGGATTTGTGCTGCCTTTTCTCACAGTCCATGAACCAATCAGGAAGCACTTTCTCCCCTCTGAGGTCCATAAAAGGCCCAGGCTCAGCCAGAGCAGGGTAGAGGATGGAGAAAAGATCAGACAACCAAAGAGGAGAGAGGAGCTATGCTGTCTGCTGAAAGCTGGGAAATCAACAGGGAGGACCTGCCTGCAGAGAGGAGCCACCCACTCCAGGGCCTCCTCTCTGCTGAGAGCTGAATACGGGATAAGACAAACTGCCTACAGAGAGGAGCTGCCCCCTGTGGGTCTCCTCTGAGCTGTTCTAACACTCAATAAAGCTTCTCTTCGTCTTGCTAACCCTCTACTTGTCTGCTTACCTCGACGCAGGACAACAACTCAGGCAAAGGCACCACTGGGCAGAAAGGTTTCTGGCCAGAAAAGCAACACCCTAAAGATCCCGCAACAAAGGCAAGAGGATTGCTGGAGCGCAGGAGTTCCAAACCAGCTTGGGCAACACATCAAGACCCCATCTCTACAAAAAATTTTAAAAATTAGCTGGGCATGGTGGTATGCACCTATAGTCCTAGCTACTCAGGAGGCTGAGGTGGGAGGATTACTTGAGCCCAGGAGTTCAACACTGCACTCCAGTCTGGGTGACAGAGCAGAGCAAGACCCTATCTAATTAATTAAATAATTAAAAAAAATAAAAGCATGAGGACTAGAATGCAACTGTTCTAACTCCACTATACCATACTGGCCTTGTGAAATGAATAAATTTTAAAGACAAACCCATAGCCCTACTTGTTTCAAAGCAACAAAGCTGATTTAGAAATGCTAAATGTAGGCCAGGCATGGTAGCTCATGCCTGTAATCCCAGCACTTTGGGAGGCCAAGGTGTGTGAATCACTTGAGTCCAGGAGTTTGAGACTAGCCTGGGCAATATTGTGAAACCACATCGCTACAAAAAATACAAAAAATTAGCCAGGTATGATGGCATGTGCCTATAGTCCCAGCTACTTGGAGGCTGAGGTGGGAGGACTGCCAGAGCCTGGGGAGATTGAGGCTGCAGTGAACTTTAATTGTGCCACGTACCCCAGCCTGGGCTACAGAGAAAGACCCTGTCTATCTAAAAAAAAAAAAAAAAAAAAAAAAACCAAAAACCAAAAACCAAAAAAAGCTAAATGCCTCAGAAACTATCTTTGGCATATCAGCATATAGGCTATAACCCACATGCTTCAGGTATATCTATCAGTGATATGGGAAAGAAAAAAGGAAACAAAAGACTGTATTATAAAATACCTGAAAAGTAATGTTAGGTATATTCTATACATTTATACATTACCATTATCCTGGAGACATTACTTATCCTAGATTACTTTGATGGTGATCCACTCAAACTATTGACTGGAACCTGTTCACCAGCAGTAAGAAGATTTCTGTAGTGACCTGATAACCTATCAGTCAGGTAACCCTACAGTCTAAAGATAGGTTACGCCAGGCGTGGTGGCTCATGCCTGTAATCCCAGCTCTTTGGGAGGCCAAGGCGGGCAGATCACTTGAGGTCAGGAGTTCGAGACCAGTCTGGCCAACATGGCAAAACCCCGTCTCTACTAAAATTACAAAAAATTAGCCAGGCATGATGGCGTGCTTTGGGAGGCTGAGGCAAGAGAATCACTTAAACCCAGGAGACGGAGGTTGCAGTGAGCTGAGATACCACCACTGCACTCCAGCCTAGGTGACACAGCAAGACTCCATCTCAAAAATAAATAAATAAATAAAGATAGGTTATCACATCTTGTTGATCTCTGTAGCTCTAGCATTTAGTAGAGTGACTCATACATATCAGGCATAAAATGTTTATTCAAGAATGAATTGTTGGCTGGGCATGGTGGCTCACGCTTGCAATCCCAGCACTTTGGAAGCCTGAGGTGGGTAGATCACCTGAGGCCAGGAGTTTAAGACCAGCCTGGCCAACATGGTGAAACCCTGTCTCTACTAAAAATACTAAAAATTACCCGGGTGTGGTGGTGCACACCTGTAATCCCAGCTACTCGAGAGGCTGAGGCAGGAGAATCGCTTGAACCTGGGAAGAGGAGGTCGCAGTGAGCCAAGATGGCGCCACTGCACTCCAGCCTAGGCGACAGAGCGAGAATCTGTCTTAAAAAAAACAAACAACAAAAAAAAGAAGAATGAATTCTTAATTAAACTAAATTTGGCCTGGGGATGCCTCTGTACTTGAGTCTTTATATACCAAGTTGCAACCTAACTTAGTACTTAAACTAACTGAAAGCCTAATTTAGAAGTATACTTTTGTATCAAAAAGCTGAGTCTCAGGAAAGCACAGCAGCTGAGCTTCAGTCAACCACAAGCAATCAACTGTTTAAACCATGTTCAAATAAGGCAAACTCAAGGCTGCAACCAACTGGGCTGTCTCTGTACCTCACTTCTATTTTCTGTACTTCATTTCCATTTTCTGTCCATAATACTGCCTGACCACATGGCAAACTGGAGTTTTACTGAACATGTTCTGGCTATGAGGGTTGCTGGATTCACTAGTTATTTTTTTGCTCAAATAAACTCTCCTAAGTTTAATTTGTCTAGTTCTTCTTTTAACAGAATGAAGGAATATGAAGAATACAAAGATACTACCACAGAACACTTTACCTTTGCTTCTTGATCTTTCAGGGAAAACTCCATTAATTCATCTGAAATCTCTTCTGCCTGGTCTTCTCCTAGGTTTGGATTTTTATCCAATTTTGGAACAGTAGTAATGGGACTGCCCAAATATTTCATTTCACTGTCCACCAAGTTTCCATTGTCCTGTCAAGTATATTGACAACATTAAAAACTATTCAAAATATATCAAAGTTCTAAATGTAAGAGCTAAAACTATAAAACTCTTAGAAGAAAAGATAAGGGAAAAAATTCATGACACTGGATTTGGATAATGCCACCAAAAGCACAGGTAACGAAAGAAAAAAACAGATAAATTGGTCTTCATCAAAATGGAAAACTTTTGTGCATCAAAGAACACCATTAAGGGAATGAAAAGGCAACCCACAAAATGGGAGAAAACATTTGCAAGTCTTATATTTGATGAGAGATTAATATCAGAATATATAAGGAACTCCTACAACTCAGTAACAACAACAATAACAATCAAAAGGGACATGAATAGACATTTCTCCAAAGAAGATATACAAATGGCCCATAAGCACATCAAAAGATGCTCAACAAAGTAATCATTATGGAAATGCATATGAAAATTGCAAGAGATACTTCTTTATACCCATTAGGATAGCCATTATAAGAAATAACAAGTGTTTGTGCATTGCTGGTGGGAATGTAAAAGGGTGCAGAGGCATTCTATGGATAATAGCATGGCAGTTCCTCAAAAAATTAAATGTAGAATTATCATGTAATCAAGCAATTCTACTTCTGAATATATACCCAAAAGAATTAAAAGCAGGGGCCGGGCGCAGTAGCTCACGCCTGTAATCCCAGTACTTCGGGAGGCCGAGGCCAGCAGATCACGAGGTCAGGAGTTCGAGAGCAGCCTGGCCAACATGTTGAAACCCCATCTCTACTAAAAATACAAAAATTAGCCGGGCATGGTAGCATGTGCCTGTAATCCCAGCTACTTGGGAGGCTGAGGCAGGAGAACTGCTTGAACCAGGGAGGTGGAAGTTGCAGTGAGCTGTGATCGTTCCACTGCACTCCAGCCTGGGTGACAGGGCAAAGACTCCATCTTGGAAAAAAAAAATACACAAAATAAAATAAAAGCAAGGACTCAAGCAGATTTTGTACACCTATGTTCATAACGGCATTACTCACAATGGCCAAAAGGTTGGAAACAACTCAAAATGTCCATCAACAGATGAATGGATAAACAAAATATGATATATACATACAAAAGAAATGAAATTCTAATACATGCTATGACATAGATGAACTTTGAAGACATTACGCTAAATGAAAATATAGGCTGGACGCAGTGGCTCACACCTGTAACCCCAGCACTATGGGAGGCTGAAGCAGATGGATCTCTTGAACCCAGGAGTTTGAGACCAGCCTGGGCAACATGGCAAAACCCTGATTCTACAAAATATACAAAAAAATTAGGTTGAGGTGGGCAGATCACATGAGGCCAGGAGTTTAAGACCAGCCTGGCCAACATGGTGAAACTCCGTCTCTACTAAAAATACAAAAAAATTCACCAGGCATGGTAGCACACGTCTGTAATCCCAGCTACTAGGGAGGTTAAGGCATAAGAATCACCTGAACCTGGGAGATAAAGGTTGCAGTGAGTCAAGATTGCACCACTGCACTCCAGCCTGGGTGACAGAGTGAGACTCTGTCTCAAAAAAAAAAAAAAAAAAAAAAAAAAAAAAGTAGCCAGGCATAGTGGCACACACTTGCAGTCCCACCTACTTGGTAGGCTGAGGTGGGAGAATAATCAGAGCCCGGGAGTTTGAGGCTGCAGTGAGTTATGATTGTGCCACTGTACTCCAGCAGAGGTGACAGAGTGAGACCTCACACACACACATGAAAGGACAAAATATAATATTATTCTACTCATATGAGGTATCTAGAATAGTCAAATTCACTGACACAGAAAATAGAGGTTATCATTGGCTGGGCAGAAACAGGGATGGGGAGTTATCACTTAAGGGTATACAGCTTCTGTTTTGAATAATGAAAAAATTCTGGAAATGAGTTCTGGTGATAGTCTCACATTATTAATATACTTACTGTCACTAGACTGCACACTCACAAATAGTTAAAATTGTAAATATTATGTACATTTTACTGCAATTAAAAAAAATCACATATAAGACTATCCAATAATTGAACATACTCCAGGTCTTCCCTCCATCCTAGAAACCAAAAACCTAAATAAAACATGATCAACTTAGTGGCCAGGCGCGGTGGCTCATGCCTGTAATCCCAGCACTTTGGGAGGCCGAGGCAGGTGGATCACGAGGTCAGGAGATCGAGAGCATCCTGGCCAACATGGTGAAACCCCGTCTCTACTAAAATACAAAAAATTAGCTGGGTGTGGTGGTGCACGCCTATAGTCCCAGCTACTGGGGAGGCTGAGGCAGTGGAATTGCTTGAACCCAGGAGGCAGAGGTTGCAGTGAGCTGAGATCGCACCACTGCACTCCAGCCTGGTGACAGAGCAAGACTCTGTCTCAAAAAAAAAAAAAAAAAAAAAAAAAAAAAAAACCATGATCAACTTTATCTTCATAGGATAGAATATGTTAAAATAGCTTTCCCTCAGGGTTGAGATTAGAAATAATAATCCAAATCTCTGGAGTCCATGGTCTATGAAAGGCAAGTCAATGCCTGGGTAAGTTAAGACCCCAGTATTATAAGGGCACAAAAGACACTAGAGAAATTACGCATGGATAATAATCACATGAAATCACTACTAATTATTATTATTATTTTATTTTATTTTTTGATACAGAGACATGCTTTGTCGCCCAGGCTGGAGTGCAGTGGCGCGATCTTGGCTCACTGCAAGCTCCGCCTCCCGGGTTCACGCCATTCTCCTACTTCAGCCTCCGGAGTAGCTGGGACTACAGGCGCCCGCCACCACGACTGGCTAATTTTTTGTACTTTTAGTAGAGACAGGGTTTCACCATGTTAGCCAGGATGGTCTCGATCTCCTGACCTTGTGATCCGCCTGCCTCGGCCTCCCAAAGTGATGGGATTACAGGCGTGAGCCACAGCACCCGGCCTATAATTATTATTATTTGAGACAGAGTCTCGCTCTGTCGCCCAGGCTGGAGTGCAGTGGTGCAGTCTCGGCTTACTGAAACCTCTGCCTCCTGGGTTCAACTGATTCTCCTGCCTCAGCGTCTTGGGTAGCTGGGATTACAGATGCCTGCCACCACGCCCGGCTAATTTTTTTTTTTTTTTTTTTTTTTTTTTGAGATGGAGTCTCGCTCTGTCGCCCAGACTGGAGTACAGTGGCACGATCTCGGCTCACTGCAAGCTCCGCCTCCCGGGTTCACGCCATTCTCCTGCCTCAGCCTCCAGAGTAGCTGGGACTACAGGCACCCGCCACCATGCCCGGCTAATTTTTTCTATTTTTAGTAGAGACGGGGTTTCACCATGTTAGCCAGAATGGTCTCGATCTCCTGACCTCGTGATCCGCCCACCTCGGCCTCCCAAAGTGCTGGAATTACAGGCGTGAGCCACCGCGCCCGGCCCTGGCTAATTTTCATATTTTTTTTTCAGTAGAGATGGGGTTTCACCATGTTGCCCAGGCTAGTCTGGAACTCCTGACCTCAAGTGATCAGCCTGCCTCAGCCTCCCAAAGTGCTGGGATTACAGGTGTGAGCCACTGCACCCAGCCACTACTAATTATTTTTATTTTTATTTTTTTTTCCTTTTTTTTTTGAGACAGTCTCACTTTGTCACCTGTCCATTCACTGCACTGGAGTGCAGTGGTGTAATCTCAGCTCATTGCAACCTCTGCCTCCCAGGTTCAAGCCATTCTTGTTTCTCAGCCAGGTGCCACCACGCCTGGCTAATTTTTGTATTTTTAGTAGAGACAGGGTTTTGCCATGTTGGCCAAGCTGGTCTCAAATCCTGGCCTCAGGTGATCCACCTGCCTCAGCCTCCCAAAGCGGTGGGATTACAGGCATGAGCCACCATGCCTGGCCTGCTAATTATTTTTAACATAAAATAAACTATTTTACCATGTATGTATGTGTGTGTGTATTATTTATTTGAGACTGAGTCTCCATCTCAGCTGACTGCAGCCCCAGACTCCTGTGCTCAAGCAATCCTCCCAATTATAACTCACTGGAGCCTCAGGCTCTTGGGCCGAGGCGATCCTCTTGCCTTGGCCTCCAGAGTACCTGAGACTACAGGCATGCACCACCAAGTCCCAGCCATTTCTTTTTTTTGGTTGGGGGGTGGGGTAGAGATGTGGTCTTGCTGTGTTCCCCAGCTAGGGAACTCAAAGTCCTGGACTCAAGCAATCCTCTCACCTCAGCCTCCCAGAGTGCTGGGATTACAGGGATGAGCCACAACATCTGGCCTAATTAGCATTTTCCCTCAAACTAGACTGCTCAGCAGAAAGTAATTTTTTAAAAAATTCCATGAGAAGTCCAGGTATGGTGGCTCATGCCTGTAATCCCAGCACTTTGGGAGGCCGAGGTGGGTGGATCACAAGGTCAGGAGTTCAAATCAGCCTGGCCAATATGGTGAAACCCCGTCTCTACTAAAAATACAAAAATTAGCTGGGCGTGGTGCCACACGCCTGTAGTCCCAGCTGCTCAGGAGGCTGAGGCAAGAGAATCTCTTGAACCCGGGAGGCAGAGGTTGCAGTGAGCTGAGATTGTCCCACTGCACTCCAGCCTGGACAACAGAGCAAGATTCCATCTCAAAAAAAAAAAAAAAACAAATTCCATGAGAAGACTGGGCAGGGTGGCTCACACCTGTAATCCTAGCATTTTGGGAGGCTGAGGCAAGTGGATTGCCTGAGCTCAGAAGTTCAAGACCAGCCTGGGCAAGATGGTGAAACCCCATCTCTACTAAAATACAAAAAATTAGCTGGGCGTGGCAGCATGCGCCTGTAGTTCCAGCTACTCAGGAGGCTGAGACAGGAGAATTGCTTGAACCAGGGAGGCAGCGGTTGCAGTGAGCTGAGACTGCGCCACTGCACTCCAGCCTGGGTGACAGAGTGAGACTCTGTCTCAAAATAAATAAATAAATAAATAAGTAAATTCTATGAGATTTGGATTGCTAATGAAAATGTAAATTCTTGTAACTTTTTTAGAAATGAATCGGAGAAAGTATCAAAACCTTAAGGCTTGAGCCCAGGAGTTCAAGATTTGCCTAGGCAACATAGTGAGACCCTTATTTCTAGGGAGAGGAAAAAAAAAAACTTTAAAAATATTGATGCTGTCGGGCATGGTGGCTCACGGCTGTAATCCCAGCACTTTGGGGGGCAGAGGAGGGCAGACTACGAGGTCAGGAGATCAAGACCATCCTGGTCAACATGGTGAAACCCTGTCTCTACTAAAAATACAAAAATTAGCTGGGTGTGGTGGCACGCACCTGTAATCCCAGCTACGTGGGAGGCTGAGGCAGGAAAATCGCTTGAACCCAGGAGGTAGAGGTTGCAGTGAGCCGAGATTGCACCACTGCACTCCACCCTGGGGAACAAGAGCAAAACTCTGTCTCACCAAAAAAAAAGAAAAAAAAGTGATTATAGGCCAGGCAGTGGCTCACACCTGTAATCTCAGCCCTTTGAGAGGCCGAGGCAGGTGGATCACTTGAGGTCAGGAGTTTGAGACCAGCTTGGCCAATAAGACAAAACCCCGTCTCTACTAAAAACACAAAAATTAGCTGGGCCGTGGTGGCACGTGCCTACAGTCTCAGCTATTTGGCAGGCTGAGGAACAAGAATCACTTGAACCCGGGAGGCAGAGGTTGTAGTGAGCTGAGATTGCACCACTGCACTCCAGCCTGGGCGATGGAGCGAGACTCAGTTTCAAAAATAAATGAATAAAAAGTGATTATAAATGGAGATTAGAAGGACAGTATTAAATCAAGAAAAAACTGATAAGAACAGCCGAAAACATGAGTTTATCTTAAGTCAATGTAAGAAAAGAAGAGCAGCTATCTTTTATGGTAATGATTTGGGGAAAGGGATGGGAGGCAGGGAAGAAAAAACGATGTCTAGAAAAGGGGCTTAGATGAGGGATTAGATACAGAACTATCTTAGTGATGAGGTGGCTCCGGAGAGGCTAGATTTAACTTGGAACGACGGATGGCCTAAGGTTTAGATAAAAAGTACCATGGCCTCCTCGGAATAAGGGCTTAAAAGCTAGACTAAGGGGGAAATAAGAAATTAATCTACACTTGCATGTAAAGTGGTAAAAAAAAATCCATGAACAAGTTATGCAAGTTATCCCTACCTGTTAAAACAAACAAACAAACAAACAAAAAACTCCTAAATCCCTTACACTACAGTAAGGGTAATTTTTGTCCTCAAAATGATCAACTGAACATGAGAAATAATGATGACCTACTGTGGAAGATTTGGAGCTGGGTGTCTGTCCTAGGGCCAAACTTTAATAAGAAAAAACAAAAACAAAGAAATTTTCTCCCCTATAGTAATACAGTTTCCTTGTCTAGCATACGAGGTATAAACAGTTCTATGTCTCATTATGATACCAAGTTTCTTCACTCAAAAAATAAAACTGCCAATATATCTAGGTTTCCATTAAACACTCACATTTTCTTTATTTGCAGATGAACTACACATTGCATCTCTCTTTCTATGGCCACGGTCCAAACCATTCGGAGTGCTACAAAGAAGCTGTGCCTAAAAAAGAGAGTTTGCTGAGAACGTCCAGCATCCTCAAGCCACAGGTGCAATGGAAACCCTCTGCCTCCCACCTGAAAAGCAAAACAAAACCCAAAAAAAGAGAGGCTACTCACTGGGCTACATTTCATTAGGTGCTGGTCATGATTCCTGCAGATTAAAACAAACTGCCTGTCAGGTTAGTCCCAAATACTGTTTGATTATTCTTCAGTGGATTGGTGCATCCCAACATTTTTCTATTTCATTCTAGGAGCCCTATTCCTAGTTGATATGTCTCTTCCAACAACAATACATAGGGTATTCTCTGTGGTAAATATCAAGACTCAAGTGACATCCTGGGGATAAGACCCTCATTTTGCCTGCATAACCATATAACATGTTCCAAAGATGAACGAGTTTTATACAATTTACAATTTACTAATTTTCCAGCACAGTGTATTGGGGCTAATTTTTTTTTTTTGAGACGGAATCTGGCTCTGTCACTCAGGCTGGAGTGGCACGACCTCGGCTCACAGCAAGCTCTGCCTCCCGGTTTCACGCCATTCTCCTGCCTCAGCCTCCTGAGTAGCTGGGACTACAGGCGCCTGCAACCACATTCAGCTAATTTTTTGTATTTTTAGTAGAGATGGGGTTTCACCGTGTTAGCCAGGACGGTCTTGATCTCCTGACCTCGTGATCCGCCCGCCTCAGCCTCCCAAACTTCTGGGATTACAGATGTGAGCCACCGCACCCGGCCGGGGCTAACTTTTTAAAAAAATTTAATTTCTGGCGGGGCGCTGTGGCCCACGCCTGTAATCCCAGCACTTTGGGAGTTCGAGGCAGGCGGATCACCTGAGGTTGGGAGTTCGCAACCAGCCTGACCAACACAGAGAAACCCGTCTCTACTAAAAATACAAAATTAGCCAGGCATGGTGGCGCATGCCTGTAATCCCAGCTACTTGGGAGCCTGAGGCAGGAGAATCGCTTGAACCCGGGAGGGAGAGGTTGTGGTGAGCCGAGATCGCGCCATTGCACTTAAGCCTAGGCAACAAGAGCAAAACTCCGTCTCAAAAAAAAAAAAAAAAAAAAAAGGCTGGGCGCGGGGGCTCACGCTTGTAATTCCAGCACTTTGGGAGGCCAAGGCGGGCGGATCACGAGGTCAAGAGATAGAGACCGTCCTGGCCAACATGGTGAAACCCTGTCTCTACTAAAAATACAAAAATTAGCTGGGCGTCGTGGCATGTGCCTGTAGTCCCAGCCTCTCAGGAGTCCGAGGCAGGAGAATCACTTGAACCCGGGAGGCGGAGGTTGTAGTGAGCCAAAATCGCACCACTGCACTCCATCCTGGCAACAGAGCGAGACTCCATCTCAAAAAAAAAAAAAAATTAATTTCTATCCTCCCTCCATGGATTTCATTATCTATCTGGGTTAGAGCATTTAAAGCAATTCAAGCTGGGCCCAGTGACTCACATCTGTAATCCCAGGACTTTGGGAGGCCAAGGGGTGGGTGGGGGTGGGGCGCTGATCACTTGAGGTCAGGAGTTCAAGACCAGCCTGGCCAACATGGTGAAGCCTCCATTTTTGTATTACTAAAATACAAAAATTAGCCGGGCGTGGTGGTGGACGCCTGTAATCCCAGCTACTCGGGAGGCTGAGGCAGGAGAATCGCTTGAACCCAGGGAGGCAGAGGTTGCAGTAAGTCAAGATGGCACCACTGCACTCCATCCTTGGCAACAGAGCCAGACTCCATCTCAAAAATAAAAATAAATACATAAGTAAAATGCTTGGTATGTGCTAGATACACAGTTTATTTACTCCTTACAATAGCTACTTTATGAGAAATGCTATTATTGTCTCCACGTTACAAATAAAAAAAATTAAGGTCCAATGAAGTTAAAAAAAACTTGTCAGAGTCACAACTGGTGAATGAAGTAGTAAGCCAGGAATCCACACACTGATTCCAGAGCTTATACTCTGTACTTTCTTTTTTTTTTTTTTTCTGAGACGGAGTCTCGCTCTGTCGCCCAGGCTGGAGGGCAGTGGCGCAGTCTTGGCTCACTGCAACCTCCGCCTCCTGGGCTCAAGTAATTCTCCTACCTCAACCTCCGAAGTAGCTGCGATTACAGGCATGTGCCACCACATCCAGCTAATTTTTGTATTTTTAGTAGAGACGGGGTTTCACCATGTTGGGCAGGCTGGTCTTGAACTGCTGACCTCAACTGATCCGCCTGCCTTGGCCTCCCAAAGTGCTGGGATTACAGATGTAAGCCACCGTGTCCGGCCACTCTGTACTTTCAATTACTAAGATACAGCACCTTTCACATACAAATAAAAGCCTATACATAAGTGTAGTATACCATTTTCCTTCATTTCCTTATAGATACTTCTGATTATGATGGTTAAAATGAATAGCCTTCATTTTCACAACACTATTTAGATGTGGAAAACTTAGAAACTGTTCAAGGTAAGGAACTAGGCCTCAAAGCCCACTTATACCCAGTATGAAAGGTTTTGTACTCTGCAGAGTCTGCACAGGATAAAATCTCTATGACCAGTGCTAAAAGGCTTTTGTGTGGGGTTCATTTAACAACAGAACTTACATCCCAGCTAAATGCACTTCCTGAAGTCCTGAAGAATCCAGGTGACCTGCAATCAAATATAAAGAATCAGTAAAAGGAGTTATTCTTGTCCATGCATCCTGTTTTTCCTTCAGATTTTCTTCATTACCAGTAAGCCGTATTAATTTCAAGGACTGAGCTTTTGAATACAAAGCCTCTCGATTGGTACCCATTTCATGGTACAAGGTACAATTTCACAGAAACGTAAGAATTTATATGTGTCACTAAAAGAAATCAAGTGTTGGGAAACACTACACTATGCTACCTATGGAGTTTTTTTTTTTCTTATGGGTAGAAAAGAAAGGTTATCACTCAGAAAATCTGAAATTAGAATTCTGGAAGGTTAACTTATGAAACATTCCTTTTGGAATATTTCATATAAAACATATAAAAATTAGTTGACAACATATTTCTTTTTTTTTGAGATGCAGTCTCGCTCTGTCGCCAGGCGGGAGTGCATTGGTGCTATCTTGGCTCACTGCAACCTCCACCTCCCGGGTTCAAGAGATTCTCCTGCCTCAGCCTCCCCAGTAGCTGGGCCTACAGGCACGTGCCACCATGCCAAACTAACTTTTGTATTTTTAGTAGAGATGGGGTTTCACCATGTTGGCCAGGATGGTCTCGATCTCTTGACCTCGTGACCCGCCCGCCTTGCCCTCCCAAAGTGCTGGGATTACAGGCATGAGCCACTGCACCTGGCCAACAACATATTTCTTTATGCTGGTTTCTTTGCCTCTGCTGAGATTAGACTGAGGCACAAAACTTCTCATATCCTAATGACTATACTTTCATTCCCACCATTAATCAGTCAACAAAATATATTCCTACTTGTCTAACATTTTCATATGCAAAGTAGCTCCTATTAGTGTTATTATCTTTCTCTTCCCATTGGCTTAATCATTCTCAAAAATCCTCTAGTTACCCACAAAATTCCATCTCTCTAGGCAGATTCTTTTTATACTTTCACCACCTTCCGTCTCTATCCTCCTTCCCTGTTTTCTCCCTTAAAAGTTATTCTTCCCTTTGAGGCCTTTATCTCCCTTCTCCCTACCAGTTTCATCAAGGTCTGCAGAAGTGGTAAGCTGAGTGGCAGTTATCTCCCCACTGCTAAGATTCGAAAGATCGAGGCAACGTTTTGGGGTTCCTCTGTTGAGACATAATAGTACATCGAAATTCCCATTAGATTATTATATCCTTAAAAGTCAAAGATCATGTCATCCTCTTCTTTTTTTTTTTTTTTTTTTTTTGCAGTGGAGTCTTGCTCTGTCCCCCCAGCTCAAGTGCAGTGGCACGATCTTGGCTCACTGCAACCTCCGCCTCCCGGGTTCAAGCGATTCTCCTGCCTCAGCCTCCCAAATAGCTGGGATCACAGGCGCCTGCCACCACGCCCAGCTAATTTTTGTATTTGTAGTAGAGATGGGGCTTCACCATGTCAGCCAGGCTGGTCTTAAACTCCTAACCTCAGGTGATCCACCCACCTCGGCCTTCCAAAGTGCTGGGATTACAGGTGTGAGCCACAACGCCTGGCCAAGCCTGTTCATTTGAAACACCCCTTAATGACTATCAGATCATCTGAACAGTGTCCAAATAAATCTAATTGCTTTTGGGAAATATATCAGACTGGGCTGAGAAAAATCTCCCACTACCATAATCTGTACTTTATTTTCTCCTTACCAACATACTGAAACAGATAATTTTTTTTTTTTTAAATGAGGCCCAGAGTTTATTGGCCGAGGGGGATCTTGACTCCACATTCCCGGTCCTGAGCACTATGAACACAGGCTTGATTTCTCCCTGGGGTCCCTAGTTTTTCTCAGGTACTACTTCTCTTTGCTAGTTGAGACATGGTATGATCAGAATTCAAAGTACAACTGCAATAACACTAATATTAATACTAATAAAGTGACCGACTCGTAATGCAGCGGTTTTCAAAGACTTTTCCCAGTTATCACATCATTTGATTCTCACAAGATCCTAGTAAGATAGGAAGCGATTATTATTTCTTTGTCTTTTCTTTTCTTTTTGAGATAGAGTCTCACTCTGTTTCCCAGGCTGAAGTGCAGTGAGGCGATCTTGGCTAACTGCAGCCTCCACCTCCCGGGCTCAAGCAATCCTCCCACCTCAGCCTCCCGAGTTGCTGGGACTATAGGTGCACACCACCACACTCAGCTAACTTTTAATATTTTTTGTAGAGACGGCGTCTTGCCATGTTGCCCAGGCTGGTCTTGAACTCCTAGACTCAGGCGATCCGCCCTCCTTGGCCTCCCAAAGTGCGGAGATTACAGGCATGAGCCACCTCGCCTGGCTGAGATTATTTCTTGTCACAGAAAAGAAGGTGAGACTCAAAAGGGTTACACAGTCAAGGGCAGAGTTGAGACTTAAAGCCTGACCTTTGAGCCGGGATAATTGAAAACAAACCAACAAACAAACCCAACTGTTTGGAAATAGCAAAGGCAATACAGTGTAAAAATAAAAGTATATTTACCCAGACAAAATGCTTAGGTTTGCAGAATCACCAAGAAATTTGCCCACTGGAGTTCTAGGGACATCTGGACAGACGGTAAAGGAAGTGTCTCTCTCCAGGAGCAGGTTTAACATTTTCCTTTGATTAGACCTAAAACTGGGTCCTGAGCCAGAGCTTCCTTCCTCTCTTGTGGATGAGAAGAGTTCCGTAGACATGGTCTTCGAATTCTCACCAGGAGAAAAACAAAACCTAGCTAGGAGGAAAACGTCATCTAAATCGGTACATCACAGTTCCCTCAGCTTTCCTAAACTCCTCCACCCTTTCCAGCCAGGCGAATCAACACTGGAAGAGGGGCAACCCCGAAGGGTGATTCACAGCCTGGCTTAAGGTTAGAACCTGAATTCACCGACGAGAGGCAACCTTAGGACCTTAAAGATGGAATGAAGAGAGGATTTTGACTTGTTCCACGCCACACAGCTCGAGACTCCTGACTAGAAAGAACCCGGGTCTCGTAACTCGCGATAGTCCCCATTCGGCCCTCCCAACCTCTGTCTGTGGGGGCCCGACTGGACCCTAAGGGGGACAATGGGGTCTCCGTGATTCCGTGGCGGAGACGGCTGCGGACTTACCTCAAGCCTGGAGTCTGAGGCTTGCCTACAAGAGGAGAGAAAGTAGATAGGGATCGGACACAGGCGAAGACTTGAGCAGAATGAAAGGAAATCTAGGGGAAAGGAGGTAGTTAACTAGATTGCAGCTCTGCCTTCCGACTGGGTAGGCCAACGTCGGACTCAGAGTCTTCCCTGAGCAGAAGGCCAAAGTTACGGCCTCTGAGCAAGAATATCAACAGCCGCAGGCGTTGACCATTCAAACCTTCCGCCAGCCCAGTAACCTATCCCCGCTCGCCTCTAAGCTGCGTCAGCCAATCTCCGCGCGCGCGCCCAGGGCCTCATGGCCTATCGTTGGGCTCGCAGATCACCTGGGGGCGTGTGCTTGCTCTGGAAATGGTAAGACTTGCCCCGCCCCATAGCCAGAGCAGGATAGTGTTTGGCCCACCAGCGTTAGGCAGGCTGCGGGGTAAGCTCCGCCTCACGGGGAGCCTGGCGCATCATTGGCTCTCCCTCTCACCAATCTCCACACCCTTTCTGTTTTCCTCGTTCCCTCAGCCCCACGAACCCCGGGAGATTTAAACCGCGCCTTACTAGTGATGTCCATTCACTAGGGTAATACTAGGAGAGATTATTTTGGGTGGAGGGTGTTGTAAGCGTTTCATTTTCTTCGCTTCTTTCTCGTGCCGTTTTCGCGGACGTTTTCTTCTAAGTTTTGCTGGCCTTCCACGGGAGATGGAGCGTTTGCTGCCGGCGTGGCAAGTGTTGGGGCGAGACGGGTGTGTGTGTTTATGCTGAGAGGCATTAGCCCCTTCCAAGAGCTTTGTTTGGTGTTTCTTTTAGTGTGCAGCATCTCAGAGACTCTAGCTCACGTGGGTAAAAAGAAATTCCGTTGCAGGGAAAGTGGAGGAATTAAATCATCTTGGTATAATCCTTATCGCAATCCAGAGGACCTCAAAGATTGGTTATTAATGAAAATTTGAACATTGACGAGGTGATATTTATAAATTATTGGCCGGACGCGTTGGCCCACACCTGTAATCCCAGCACTTTGGGAGGCCGAGGCGGGCAGATTACATGAGGTCAGGGGTTCAAAACCAGCCTGGCCAACATGATGAAACCCCGTCTCTACTAAAAATACAAAATTTAGCCGGTTGTGGTGGCACACACCTGTAATCCCAGCTACTTGGGAGGCTGAGGCATGAGAACTGCTTGAACTCGGGAGACAGAGGTTGCGCCACTGCACTCCAGCCTGGGCATTAGAGTGAAACAAACAAAAAGACATTCCTAATGTTAGGGATTTGCTTTTAAATAATCCTGTGCTGGGGGAAGGTATTGATGATACAAGATTGACCCTGACTGTTGAGTGATGGGGGCAGGAGGGTCCATCATATCTGTGCTTCTCAAGGTTTAATTTGCACACTAACCACCTGAGGACCTGCTAAATGCAGATTCTGATTCGGGATGTCTGGGTTGCGGTTGCGGCCCAAGATTCTGCCCTTCTAACAAGCCCCCAGCTGATGGTGAGGTAGCTGGTCCTACGACCATACTTTGCGTGGTAAGGTATTACCCCATACTTCTTACTTCAATGTATATTTGAAAATTTCCATAATAAAAATGTTCAAAATAACCTTGGAAGCTCTTTAAGATGTAGGCTCCAAAAACGATAATTCGATAGGTCTAAAGTGGGGTCATTATCAAGGCCCCCAGGTGCTACCCATGCAGACGGCTTGCAGATCATGCTTTGAGAAACAAAAGTCAAAATGCAACTTGTGTCTGTTGTCAGGATCTTGGTGGTGGTAGTGGCTGAGAGGCACAGTGTAGCCAGCTGGTTTTTATCCTAATACCCTTTTCATCTGCAGAACCTGCTTCCCCAGAAAGGAGATGTGTGAAGATTCTTTGTCCTCTAGGATACAGACAGTGAGTGTAGGAGTTAGCACAGAACCTTGCTATGCCAGGTGAGTTTGAAAATCAGGCTGGGGATTAAGGGAGTGTGGGATGAGTTGTTATCTGCTTTGACGACTACAGTATAATCACACTTTGTGGGAAATTGTATACTTCCCTGCAGGTGGGAAGTAGAGACAAAGTTATTCTCTATTGGTGGCAAAAGCAGATAGATTATGGCAAGTGCACACCTGGCTACCAGTGCTTTCTGCACCAGGTCCTCAAGTAAGTGCAGTTGTGGGTGGTCACAACAAAGGTGTCAGCCAAGTGGCTTTAGTTCAATGTCAGGTGATGGAAATATACTAAAATCTGAGCACTCTGACAAAGTTGCAGCATTCCTAAAACAAATTCTCCAAAAATCTAGCCCCAAAAATAAGTTTCTGAGATTTCTCAAATGGAACTTATACACCTAGCTCTTAAGAGTATTTTTTTTTTTTTTAAGATGGAGTCTCGCTCTCTCCCGGGCTAGAGTACAGTGGCGCAATCTTGGCCCACTGCAACCTCTGCCTCCTGGGTTCAAGTTATTCTCCTGCCTCAGCCTCCCGAGTAGCTGGGACTACAGGTGCCCGCCACCACGCCTGGCTGATTTTTGTATTTTTAATAGAGGTGGGGTTTCACCATATTGTCCAGGCTGTTCTGGAACTCCTGACCTCAAATGATCCACCCACCTCGGCCTCCCAAAGTGCTGGGATTACAGGCATGAGCCACTGCGCCCGGCCGCCCTTAAGACTTTTTACAGATGCAGTGGTGCGCCTGTAGTCCCAGCTACTTGGGAGGATCACTTGAGCCCAGGAGTTTGAGGCCAGCCTGGGCAACATAGTGAGACTGTCTCCTAAAAACAACAACAAAAAAACTTTTTTTTTTTGAGACAGTTTCTTTCTTGTTGCCTAGGCTGGAGTGCAATGGCGCAATCTCAGCTCACTGCAACCTCTGTTCAAGTGATTCTCTTGCCTCAGCCTCCTGAGTAGCTGGGATTACAGGCATGCGCCACCACACCTGGCTAATTTTTGTATTTTTAGTTGAGACAGGGTTTCGCTGTGTTGGCCAGGCTGGTCTCAAACTCCTGACCTGAGGTAATCCACCCACCTCGGCCTCCCAAAGTGCTGGGATTACAGGTGTGAGCCACCATGCCCAGCCAACAAAACTCTTAAAAGCTCTACGTTTGTTAATGAGGTTGTTTTCCTAGCAAACATTTTCACTATCTCCTCATGATTCCAGCTGGCTTAGCTAATTGCAACATACTTAGCTAATTACATGTAAGTTTACATGCATACATACAAACTGTGAAATGGTAGAATTATTTTAAAGGGAAGTCAAATATTGTCTTTTATATCTTGATTTATGAGGGTGTTGGAATATATCTAAGTTATCCTTCCCAGAAGAAAGAATATTAGGGAGGTGGGAAGTTTGGTGTTTAATCTGATTTGAAGATTTACTTTTTCTGTTGGATTGAGGGCATTGATCCTATGTCATCCTTGGGGAATCCCTATCTAGGCTCCTGATTCACTGTGATAAGCAGTGAGCTGTGTTCCTTCACCTTGACCTCAGTCTGACTCATACATGTTGTTGCCAGGGCACAGTGACAGCCCGGGCTTCACCCTGAAACACCAAACAAGAACAGGAGGTACAGCCATCACTCCTGGGATGCCCAGATCAGGCAGTGGAGAAGAGCCCTGCATTCCTGGGATCCTCCCAGCCAGCCTCTGCAGGGCAGAGGGGCTGAGGGGTGTGTTTTCTATTCCTGGTTCTTTTTATGACTGGTAGGCTTAGCCCTACTTCTCCCCACTTTGCAGAGGTTTAGCTTTCACTGGGTGAAAAGGGAAGGTCTGAATCGAGTGCATGTTCCTCCAACTCGGCTGTTCCTTCCTAGGCAGGGAATGAAGAGTCTTAGAACCAATGGATTCCACTCCTTTGGATGACCTCCTGGATGACTGGCTCCAGGCCCTGGAGCCCTCAGAATATGGATGGAGAGTATCCTTTGCTGAAACCCACTGGAGCAGGGTCACAGATGGGGTTTGGCCCATGAGGGCATAATTAAGATGCAGTTCAAAGCAGTGGCTCAAGAACAAAAGACTAAAAAGGGGGCAGCAGGGAAAGAGCAGGACATGAGTAAAAAATCCTTGGGAACTAAAAGTGGAATAAGGAGATTTAATTATGGGTAGGAGTGTTGGGCTGCACTGGGAGGCCATTTTATAGATGACGAAAGGGGATGTAACCTTCCTTTGAAATGAGGCCTGAAACTTGACTTGCAGGGTTTTTTTTTTTGTTTTGTTTTTTTTGTTTTGTTTTGGGTCTCAGTTTCTTTCAATGTTTTGCAAATGAGCCAATGCCTACTTTTAACTCAACCATTTAATTCATAATAATTAAATTATTAATTTAATTAATAATAAAAAGGTGAACAGCTTAGTGGTGAAAAGCAAGGGCTTTTAGACTGCTTTTTGAGAGTACCTTTGCCTACCATGTGGGCAGTCACTTAACTTCTTGGGCTGTTTCATTTGTCAAAGAGAAGGTTTTGTTTCATTTGATGATTGTAAGAAAAAATGAGAATATATATCAAAGTATGTAGGTCAAGTGTGGTGGTTCACACCTGGAATCCCAGCACTTCGTTTTTTGTTCATTTGTTTTTTTTTTTTTTTGAGACAGAGTCTCATTCTGTTGCCCAGGCTGGAGTGCAGTGGCACAATCTCGGCTCACTGCAATCTCTGCCTCCCCGGTTCAAGCGATTCTCCTGCCTCAGCCTCCCGAGTAGCTGGGATTACAGATGGGCGCCACAATGCCCAGCTAATTTTTGTATTTTTTAGTAGAGACGGGGTTTCACTTTGTTGCCAGGCTGGTCTCGAACTCCTGACCTCAGGTGATCCGTCTGCCTCAGCCTCCCAAAGTGCTAGGATTACAGGTGTGAGACACCACGCCAATCCCAGCACTTTGTGAGGCCAAGATGGGAAGATTGTTTGAGGCCAGGAGTTTGAGACTACCCTGGGCAACATAGCAAGACGCCTCTCTCTACAAAAATAGAAATAAATATGCTGGGCATGGTGGCACACCCCTGTAGTTCTAGCTATTCAGGAGGCTGAGATGGAAAGGATTGCTTGAGCCCAGAAGTTCAAGGCTGCAGTGAGCTGTGATCGCCTCAGTGCACTCCAGCCTGAGCAACAGCAAGACCCTGTTTTTACAAAAAAAAAAAAATGTAGCATGGTGTCTGGTACATAAGAGCAATTATTGGAAACCATGTGTCCCCTACTTCATGGCCCCTAACTCTGCTCCTTTTGCCAAGGGGAAATAAGCAGTGCAAGGTAAATCTTTCCACCCCTATTTTCTCAGTTAGTACTGTACCTCATTTTTCCTCTACTCTTTTTCAGTTTGTAGACTTGGTGGCTCCTGCCTCCTCCCCTCCCTGGCTCAGTGAGGACGACCCCCGCCACTGGCTCTACTTTCCAGCTGATCACAGCTATTTACCTGTCCCAGTCTTGAGTAAGGCACAAAATATTTACAGAAAACAGATGTCTTTCAGAGGACTTGCTGCTAAGTGTAATAGTGAAGATTACTTGCATTACTGCTACTTTCCAATCAATTAAAAAAAAGAAATAGAAAACTTTGTATTACAAAGAGATCACAACACGAACGCATTGTTTAAAGCCTCTCCTTTATCCACTTTTTTGCTTGTCTCCCTAAACCATCTGTGATGCTAGCTGAGACTCGAATTTACATAAGAGCCAGAAACCATCAACCCAACCTCTTCACACACTAACGTCTACATTCAATCTCTTTAAAAAAGACTTAAATTTTGGCTCATGTGGGAGGTGGTGGTAGTGGTGGAGACTTAATAAAAGGTGGTTTTGTCTTCCTGAAGTGGAAATATAGCGCCGTCAACATCTTTTCCCCATCTGCCTGTTTCCTCCTTCCCTTTCTGTTTAAGGAAAGTCTAACCACCGCACTTCTCCCCACCTCCCCGCACCTCCCCCCAGGCAAACGCAAGCAACTGAACCGCCTATGATGTCATAATCACAATCCCATTACCTCATCCTGCTGGGGGGGAGGGGGCGGAGAGAGAAGAGAGGGAGTGAACAGCCCTGGGCTATCCTGAGCTTTACAAAGTGTTCTGGGTGAGGGCAAATTACAGAACCAAGTGGAAACGTCCCCGCAACCATTATAAGTCCTGGGTTTTTAAGGTTCAGGCCGATCCGGCAGCTGCAAGAGGGGCTCCTGGGACTCCGAGCAGGCCCTAATCCGCGCTTGGACCACACTTCCCAGCAGCCTTCACGCCGCGGACGGGTCCTTTGCTGGGGGAAGGGGGATTCCTTCGAAGAGGTGGTCGTGGAGGGCGGGGCAGCAGAGCAGGTGAGGGGCACTGTGGCTAATTGCGTGACGCGGCCCGAACCGAGTGGGAGGCTGCAGTTGGGCCGTTGGAGGGAGGGAGGGCAGGGGCGATGCCTTTGTTTACCTTCTTCCGACATGGCCTCCCCCGCGGGTTTCAAGATGTGCCTCCAACTGGGGCCGTCCACTTTCTGCGATATTTTGGAGGGGGTGACTCGTTAGTGAGGAAACCACCCCCATCCCTAAATCAAAGCGCCAGGCTCGTTCCCAACAGCGCTGTCCGAGAGACACTTTGAGAGAGACACGACACGGAGCTGCGCCCTCCATGGGTGGCTTGGGGGGATTCTGCGAGCCGGAGCTGTCCCCCTACTCTCCTCAGGGACTCGTTGGTTCGCGCCAGCGCCTTTTAAGGGCACCGTGGGGCGAACCGAGCGCTCAGAGCTGCTCCGGCCGCGGCCCTGGGAGCTGGAGGAACCGCGGTAGGTGGTGGAGGGCAGGTGGCGCTGGGGCCTCGGGGCGGGCACCTCAACCGTCCCTCCCTCCTTCCCTCTTTCCCCTCCCCCAGCCCGACCGCCCGCGCGGCCGGGCCTCGCTGGCCGCCTCTGCGGGGAGAGCACGGGACCCGGTGGGGGAGGGGGTGGCGGAGTGCTAAGTCCCAGACCCTCCCCATCCCCTGCGTCCTGAGTTCGCTTCCCGCGGCCAGATGATGGAACCTAGTGGGAAGAGGCGAACGACAGCCCCCCTGAGCGAGCCCTGGCGCACCCCCCCCCCCGCCCCGGGGACCAGCGGACGCCCCATGCCCCACCCCGCGGGGACAGGCAGGGCAACAGAGGGAGAGGTTGAAGATTGGAGGGGCCTAGCCTTTTGCTTCTTCATGGGGGTGGGGGGAGGGGTGTTCCCCACTTGTCACCCCTTTCCCCACCAGAACCATATGGAAGAAGAGCAGGCAGATCTCCACCTACCTGTTCATGCAGCTCCCTGCCTTCCTCATGTTTTTCTTCAGTCTCCCCAGGAGGTGTGGGGCTGGGACCTGAGGGGAAGGTCCCCAAAGGGTTTGTGACTCTCCTCCCTGTTGGCCTGACCTGATCCTACCTTGTCTTGGTACAGCACAACCTCAGCATCCCTGAAACAGGAGTGTCAGGGGTTACTGCCATCCAATAGGAGATGGGGTGGGGGTCTGATCTTTATTTTTGGGGGCTGCTGGTGGAGGGAAAGCCTGGACTGAGAGTTAGGTCTGGTGGGGTTGCTGAGAGGGCCTAGCGGCCTGCTGCTCTGTGAAGGGCTGAGCCCCGTGCCAGTTGTTAAACTGAGAAGTTTTAACTTGTTTAGTGAATATTCAGGGCTGTCTCTACCCTTCAGATACACAAAATGGAAGGGGAAGGAAGGCGGCAAGAGAGGGCTTCTTACACTTTTTTCAATGCCTGCTTGAGAAAGAGGAGGCCCCTCGCGGAGCTGGTTTGCCTTCTTTTGTGTCCTGGTTTGATTCCTTATGGCTTCCGTTCTGTTCCCCCTCGCAGCCTGGCCTGTTTTAGGAAACTCAGGCTGAGAGTATCAGTTGCGTGGTGGTAGTTGCATTGTTCCAATTACCACTGTGTGTGGCCACATCCCAACAATTAAAATGCAGAAAAACACAAATTCACTGTCTTGACTTGATCCTAGAGGTGGCTGGGAGTTTGCTGTTTGTCCAAATGCCTCATGAAAAGCTGGAGAGTTTGCTTCATTCCCTGCTCCTCATAGCTGGTTAGCCTGAGGCCTGGGGTCTCTAGGGTAAAATCCTGCACTTAGGTTCCCTCTCTGGTTGATCTTTGAGGGCAGCAGAGTTAAGAAACCAAGAGCAGAAGTGATATAAGCTTTAGCTTCTCCCGTAAGAATATAGGGGAAGCAGCTGAAGAGAGCTCCCCGGAAGCTAGAATTTTGTTCAGGGTGGTAATAATTATGCATGAAAATGATAGTTAACTGTAATGATGATTGACTTCTCTTGCACCTTTCTTCCAGAGAACTCCAGGTACATCCAGGTTTATCTCTTTGCTCTTCCTTGTGCCCTCCTTCTAAGGTGTGAGTGGGGTAGAGATAATTCCTCTTTTTTGTAGAGTGATCTGCCCCCAAGGTCACAGAAGGAAGAGCCCTCTTGGGCTTTTCTTAGTGTGCAGGTGAGGGAGGATGGTATTCAGCCAGAGAGATGGACCCTATTGCCTTCTTCATCTTATTGATTTCATTACTTCTGACATTCTGAGGCCTTGAAGATTCACAAACGGGAACGAGAAATGGTAGTCTGTGTGGACTCCTGATTTTTATAGGTCAGATGGTACATTTTGTACATTTTAATATGTTATATTGTTCCTGTGACAGGTTAAGATTATTCTGCCCACTTTACATATGGGTAAACTGAGGCCAAGGAGTATTAAATGATTTGTCAAAACTCTTAGCAAATTGGATTAATAATTAGATTTCTTGATGATTTGTTCTCTTGACTAGCTAATGCTACACACATTCTCTGGTAAGCTGTCAGCTTGCTGCTCATTTCCGGGAATAGATAGAACAAAATCAAGACACTGGCTTAACCTCCCCTTTTCCCTTGAGCAAGGCCCCTCAGGTAATTGTGTGGGCTTGAAGCCTGTTATCTGATACAGTTAGTTTGCTTCTATCAGAAGTTGACCACGAGAAAGAATCTTGGTTAACTGTATCCATGGACTTTGCATCAGATGAGGCTAAAAACTTAGTTGAACAGTCATGGAGTTGTTGTTTACGACGTCTGTAGAGTTGAAATGTATTGGAATTACCCTGACCATTTCTTTATCTTCCCATTTGATAAGAAAACAAACACTGTATCTATTGGAAAACAATAATATATCAGATGTTTAGGCTGTGGGAGGACATAAAATCCTATGTACTCAGGTCTAAAGCAGAAAGTCTTGCCTACAACCACTGTTCTTCCTTGTTCTCTTATTACTATTTCTGTAGTTTAGGAGAAGGGTACCTCTTTTCACTTCTGACTGGAAGATAAAATACTGGGCTGATCTTGATGGAAATAATCATTTGGGCATCCCTCTCTCTCACTTGAGCAGCTGTTTTCTAAGTGGTGCTGGTATTCCAGTTAGAAACAACAGAGCATGAACCAGTTTAAGGGTAGCAAATAAGTTTCAACTTGATTGCCAACTCTATTTTATTTCATATCTGGACTGCCAAGTTCATAATTTCTGAAGCTGTGTTTAGGCTTAGCTGGAAAGAGCTGTGATCAATTGATGTCTGCCAGAGGCCTGGCTTAGGGGTGCTGTGGTATGTGTGCCATGCATTTTCCATCTCTGGACCAGGTGCATCTCTAATATCACTTGGGGCTGGTCCCTCTAATTGGCAGACTCAGCAGGCATGACTGGAGAGGGAAGTCCCAATGGTGCTAGAATGGTGCTGCAGTGGCAGAAGACGGCTCACAAGTGAGGTCTGGAAGAACAACAGGGAAGACATCCATCATTTGCTCCAAAGTGTGCAAGTCAAATCCTGGGGAGAATCATGATAACCCTGATCACTGAGCAGCTACAGAAGCAGACTCTGGATGAGCTGAAATGCACACGCTTCAGCATCAGTCTGGTAAAAGACCAGTCTTCCTGCTTCTCCACGACCCCCTCCCCCTTTTTTCTGAGGCTGATTGTTGCTATTACTTTACTCTTGTCCTGTGCTGTATGAATCATGGTACTTAACCTGGAAGAGCCCACTAATGGCTCAAAACCCAGCCCAAAAGGAAGGGGGCAGGGATTTTTCCACCGATAGAGAAGGGACAGCAAAACTTGGGTGGAGAAGGGTTTGAGATGTTGGAAGATGTGGATTGTTTGACTTACTAACTTTGGGAAGACAAGAGGAAGAACACTTAATGTCCCTAACATCCCTGTAGCTCATGAATCGCAGAGGAGAACTGAAGAGGGCTTCCTAGAAATCTGTCAGTGTGTCCTGAATCCAAATCATGATGGATATTCTCTCTTTCTTAGCCTTTGCCTGATCATGCAGACATCTCCAACTGTGGGAACTCTTTCCAGCTTGTGTCTGGTAAGGCATCGTGTGTGTTTGTGTACGTGTGTGTACCCATTCCTCTCTCCACACATTTCTATCATTGGTTTCCAGTGACCAGGGCTAGCGAGCCTACCTCTAGAACCTTCTTGCCAGGGTCAACTTCTGAGATTGACAGTTGTCTTTCATGTTCTAGCATGAAAGTTATCTGGTTGGTTTGCTCTTATTCTAGCTTTGTGGGGACTTGTATAATCTAATTTTTTGAATAGGTAATACATTCACATGGTTCAAAATTTAAAAAATAACAACAAAAAGGTTATGCTGAGAAAAGTCTCTCTTACTCTCCCGTTCCCTATCTACCCAGCTTCTACCACCTCCCTAAAAGTATTAGTTTCTTATACAGTATATGTGACTAGAATTTCTTTATATAAAAAGAAGCAAATGTATATATTTATTTCCTTTCTTTTTTAAGTTCTCGGATACATGTGCAGAACGTGCAGGTTCGTTACATAGGTGTACATGTGCCATGGTGGTTAGCTGCATCTATTTTATTTCCACGTTTTTAACACAAAAGGTTGCATACTATATATTATTTTGTACCTTTAAAAAAAAAAATGGGACCGGGCCTAGTGGGTCACACCTATAATCCCAGCACTTTGGGAGGCCAAGGTGGGCAGATCACCTGAGGTCGGGAGTTCAAGACCAGCCTGACCAACATGGAGAAACCCCATCTCTACTAAAAATATAAAATTAGCCAGGCGTCGTGGCGCATGCCTGTAATCCCAGCTACTCGGGAGGCTGAGGCAGGAGAATCACTTGAACCCAGGAGGTAGAGGTTGCGGTGAGCCAAGATTGCGCCATTGCACTCTAGCCTGGGCAACAAGAGCAAAACTCTGTCTCAAAAAAAAAAAAAAATTGCTGGGCACAGTGGCTCATGCCTGTAATCCTAGCACTTTGGGAGGCCGAGGTGGGCGGATCATGAGGTCAGGAGTTCGAGACCAGCCTGGCCAACACAGTGAAACCCTGTCTCTACTAAAAATACAAAAATTAGCCTGGCATGGTGGTACACACCTGTAATCCCAGCTACTCGGGAGGGCAAGGCAGGAGAATCACTTGAACCCAGGAGGTGGAGGTTGTGGTGAGCCCAGATCATGCCACTGCACTCCAGCCTGCACAACAAAGCAAGACTCCATCTCAAAAAAAAAAAAAACAAAAAACAAAAAAAACTTTAATATAGCTAGGAGATCTTTCCCTATCAGAATGCTGAGTATTCATTCCCTTGTTATATATAGCTACATATTATTACACTGCATAGATGTACAGTGGCTTATTTAATGAGTTTTCTATTGATGTGCATTTAGGTTATTTCTAATCTTGTTTGGATACATAAAACTGTAGTGGGCCAGACGTGGTGACTCATGCCTGTAATCCCAGCACTTTGGGAGGCCGAGGTGGGCAGATAGCATGAAGCCAGGAGTTCGAGACCAGCCTGGCCAGCATGGTGAAACCCCGTCTCTATTAAAAATACAAAAATTAGCTGGGCATGGTGGCAGGCGCCTGTAATCCCAGCTACTCAGGAGGCTGAGGCAGGAGAATCCCTGGAATCCAGGAGGCGGAGGTTGCAGTGAGCCGAGATCGCACCCACTGCACTCCAGCTTGGGCAACAGAGCGAGATTCCATCTCAAAAAAAAAAAAAAGAAAGAAAAAAGAAACTGTAGTGAATAACCTTGTACATATGTCATTTTTTCACATGTGAAAATATATCTGAGGTATAAATTCGTAGATTATTAATTACTGAGTTAAAGGGCCCCTGATCGTAGGGACATTTAGATGGAGGCATCACTGGTGGACAATCAGAACTCCCTAACTCGTGCTGCTCAGCAGTTCTGCATCTCATTTTCTTTTCTGGGATACCTAGCAAGGGAAGTGAGTTGGCAAAAACATGTTCATTCAGTCTCTTCCTCCTGTTTATTAAAGACTTGCTGAAAGCCAGGTATTGTGTCATAAGTATAGAGCAGGAACTCATGGTCCCTGCCCTCATAGTGGTTAGTAGAGGGAAGAACTATAGACCAAATACACTCAGTATGAATTTTGCCACCATCAAGTCTGACTTCGTATACTTGTCGTTTGCCCCAAATATCCAGCCCCTGCAGAATTCCAGCCAGCTAGCCAGAGGAGTTTGGATTAGGCCCTTTGTCCCTTAATGAGCCGTCTCCCAAAAGTCACAATTTTGGTTGGAATACAGTGAGTGAGGATTGTTTCTTTTAGTCCATTTTCCCTTCCTTCTCTTGGTCCCTCCATCTGTTTGGATTTAAGAGAAGGCCTAGGGGAAGGGAATCGGAATATGTGGGTGGCCAGACAGAAACGAAGATGAGCAGCACAAAGTCAGGGTTTCCCAAGCCCAGGTTTCACTGTCAAAGGCCTTCCCCACCCTGTTTGCCCTCCCTAGGAATAAAAGTGATCTCTTACCTGCCTGATTACCTCTTACTTCTTGGCAGTCCTAACTCCTGACTTGGTGCTGTTGACACATGAGAGGAGGAAAGGCCGAGAAAGAAGAGCATAGGCCTGCTTTTCAGCATCCAGGGCAAGCGTGGGGGAGGGGCGAGGGAGAGATGAGCAGGACACTCACAAACGTGTTTGTTTCTCTTGACTTCTTTTACCTTTGAGAGGGAGTGGCAGGCAGTAGATGAAATGTTTTTGATTCCAGGTAGTTGGTCACAATGGAGGCAATAGAGCATAGTGGTTTAAAAACCTAGCCTTCGCATCAGACAGACCTGGATTTGAATCCTCCTTTGGTCTTTTGAGTGCTATGTGATTTTGGGAAAGTTATTGAATTTCTCTTATCTGTGAAATGGGGATAATGATAACGATACTACCTACCTCATAAGGTTTTTGGAAATTTTCACATAAAATGCTCCATACATTATGTGGCAAATGGTAAGTTCTTAAAAAATGTAAGCTATCATTAATATTATTCTTATTATAAATGCCTTCCAGAAGGTGCTTCCTGGAGGGGCCTGCCCCACTGTTCCTGTGCTGAGTTCCAGGACAGCCTCAACTTCAGCTACCATCCCTCAGGCCTGAGCCTGCACCTCAGACCACCCAGTCGGGGAAACTCCCCCAAGGAGCAGCCCTTCTCCCAAGTCCTAAGACCTGAGCCCCCAGATCCAGAGAAGCTTCCTGTGCCCCCTGCCCCTCCATCCAAGAGGCACTGCCGCTCACTCTCAGTGCCCGTGGACCTGTCTCGCTGGCAGCCGGTGTGGCGGCCCGCCCCCTCCAAGCTGTGGACTCCCATAAAGCACCGGGGCAGTGGTGGAGGGGGTGGGCCGCAGGTGCCTCACCAGAGCCCCCCAAAGCGGGTCTCCAGCCTCAGGTTCCTCCAAGCTCCCAGTGCCTCTTCTCAATGTGCCCCAGCTCACAGACCCTACAGCCCTCCTTTCTTCAGCCTGGCCCTGGCCCAAGATTCCTCTCGACCCTGCGCCGCCTCCCCTCAAAGTGGCTCCTGGGAGAGTGATGCTGAGTCCTTGTCACCTTGCCCACCTCAGCGCCGCTTCTCCCTGTCACCCAGTCTGGGCCCGCAGGCAAGCCGCTTCTTGCCCTCTGCCCGGAGCTCTCCCGCATCCTCCCCAGAGCTGCCCTGGCGACCTCGAGGTCTCCGCAACCTTCCCCGAAGCCGCTCACAGCCTTGTGATCTGGATGCCCGCAAAACTGGGGTCAAGCGGCGCCACGAGGAAGACCCCCGGCGTCTGCGGCCTTCGTTGGACTTTGACAAGATGAATCAGGTGGGACCAGCAAGACTAGGGGAGCTTAGATGGGAGTGTGGGGACTGTTCTGTTTCCACTTTTGAGCTAGCCCCTAGCTTCATTACCCTGCCGCCCCCACCACCAACAGCACCTCCTTTAGCTCTTAGCTAGGGTGACCTACCATCCCAGTTTGCCTGGGACTGTCCCAGTGTTAGCACTGAAAGTCCCCCCATCCTGTGAAATGCCTTAATCCTGGGAGTTAGAGAAACTGGGGTGAGACCCATGTTAAACCTTCCAACAGAGATCCCAAATTGTCCTGCAAGAGGTACTTTCCCTCCTTTCCAAGAATGCACAAGCTGCAAAAAATTCCATCAGTACCTACTCCTTGTGCCCAAAGCTGTTTTTGCCACTTGCCTGTCACTGCTTCAAAGTGGGTCTGTGAGGGCTGAAGCAAGATGGGCTGCTACAGTGTATTCATCTGTTAGACAAATGTTTTTTGACTTCCTGGTGTGAGTACAATTATTGTATGTATGCACTTTGCTCACTTTTTTCATATTATTCTTTCTAGACCACTAGGTTACAAACCTCTTTAAGAATTAATTAATTTTTTCATACAGTCGTCCATCCCATCTGCAAACATTTACTGACTCTGACTAGGCACTGGCAGTACAAAGTAATGAAACACTGCAGATGATGTTCCTGCCCTCACGGAGCTTCTATTCTTCAATTCAATGGAAACAATGGGCTCCAAATTTTGTCAGAAAGTTTACAAACGCCAGGCATGGTGGCTAACGCCTGTAATCCCAGCACTTTGGGAGGCCAAGGCAGGCGGATCATGAGGTCAGGAGATTGAGACCATCCTGGCTAACACGGTGAAACCTCGTCTCTACTAAAAATATAAAAAATTAGCCGGGCGTGGGCCGGGCACCTGTAGTCCCAGCTACTGGGGAGGCTGAGGCAGGAGAATGGCGTGAACCCGGGAGGCAGAGCTTGCAGTGAGCCAAGATCACGCCACTGCACTCCAGCCAGGGTGACAGAGTGAGACTCCGTCTCAAAAAAAAAAAGTTTACAAACCTCACCCTAAAGAATTCTTGCCTTCAGGTGTAACTGTCTTCTTTGTTTGTTTGACAGAAACCATACTCAGGAGGTCTTTGTCTCCAAGAAACAGCCCGGGAAGGCAGCAGCATCTCTCCACCATGGTTCATGGCCTGTAGCCCCCCACCCCTCTCTGCTTCCTGCAGCCCCACTGGGGGTTCCTCCCAGGTGCTGAGTGAAAGCGAAGAGGAGGAGGAGGGGGCTGTGCGGTGGGGTCGGCAGGCGCTGAGCAAGCGGACACTGTGCCAGCGGGACTTTGGGGACCTGGACTTGAATTTGATTGAGGAAAACTAAAACTGAGAGGCTACTTCCTGGGGCCACACAGACTGACTCTCTCATGGCTACTAACAAGTGTCGAGTCCCCAAGGCTGGGGGCCGAGCCTGGGAATGGGGGTGAGTGGAGGGCTCCGACTCAGGGCAGCTGGAAATCTTCTCGCTCCAGCAAGCTCGACCATGCCAAGAGACTGGCCGGGACAAGATAAACGGAGCTGGTGGCGGGAGGGACAGCCCCAGAGCAGACCCTTCCTATGGCGGCCCTGAGTGTGAGTATCCCTGCCACCAAGAGAGCAATGGGCAGGGAAGGAAGGGGTCTGCCGACCCCAGCTCGGGGAATTTCACTAGCCCCTTTGCTTCAAAGGGCACTTGTGTCTTAGAATTTGGCCAGGGTGGGGGGTTGAGTCAGCCTCCTCAGAGAAACTGCGTGAGAGTGTGTGCGTGCATGGGAGTGTACTTGTGGAAAGGTGTGTTTGCGTAGCCTTAGGGAAGGAAGGCAATTGCTCCTTAACAGCAGAGTATCATGATACCCCCAGGATCTTGAGTTTTTTACAGGATGTTGGGTTTGCTCAAGGAGTCAAGAGGAGGGCACCAAGTTTTCCTTTTTTCTAAATAGCTCTGGAACCAGGCTTGTAATCCATAGCATCACCGACTCTGCAAAGGATTTCATTTTGGGGTACAGCAGGGTGTTTTAAGTGCTGTGACTTCAGCTAATGATCTTTTCTTCAGCCCCACCCCCTCCCCACTAGCTCGATCTAGTATATTGGGGAATGCAGGTGGGGGGTGTCACCATATTTTTTCTGAGCTGGCCTTTTTTTCTCATCAGATTGTCCAGGCTATATTCCACCTGCCTCTTTTGCCCTCTTGAGTAGAGTTGCACACAGCACATGGGCAACTGAAGCAGGGTTGAGGGGCTCTCTCTCTCTCTCCTCTGCTGATGGGACCCTTTTCCCCTCACCCTCTGCCCTTCTAAGTCATAGACTAGGTAGGAAGGCCCTATATTGGTCCCCAGCATCTACTGAGGCAGACCTGCAACAGAAGTGGCATTCAGTCCCCAGCAGACATGGGTGAGCTCACCCCAGCACTGCTGTTGGGAAGGTGACTGCAGGAAACCAATTCTTACAAGATCCAGGCCCAGCCTTTTTGACCTGCTTGAGAGGGAAGAAGGGGTGTTTAGCATTTAATAGTTTGCTTGTCTTCCACTCCTGCCAGGAAGTGTTTATTTGCCTCTAATTGGGCCTGAGAGACCATAGGGAGGTTGGGGCTCACTGAGGGATTGGCTGAGGATGTATAAAGCAAAGGCTGTGAGAAGCAGTTGGGAGTTTGGTTGTCATTGGATTGAATTTACTTTTTTGTTTCTCACCCGCAACTTGAGCCAGGACAGCTGGTCCAAGTGGCCACAGTGATGGGTTTAAGTACCTTGGTAGGGCTGGCACCAGTGGAAACACATACTGAAGCTGCCACCACAATAGCTTGTGAGGTTTTATCCAGCTGTGGTTAGACCCTGCATGACCAAATTTGACCTGCCCTTGTTTATGGCAAGAAGGGCATTTTTCTCTTCAATTTCCAGGGTTTCCTAGGACCCAGTTCCTCATGTAAGGGAGGAAGACCAAGGTCTTTGTGTTTTCTTCCTCATGGAATTGAACCTGACATTTTCTGGATCTCCTGCATGTCAGGAGCATCAGTGAGGCTTCAGCCTCCTCGTCTCCACTCCAGAGAGGAGGTGGCTATGTCTTCTTAAGCCTCTGGCCCTCAGAGGCTCCTCCCTATCTCCTGGCTAGTTACCACTAGGCTACCAGGTCTCTAGGGGCCTGAGAGAGGCCCTCTAGAGAATCCAGGGAAACTGTGAGCCCAGGAGTTGCCCATCTATGGTTTCATTCCTCCCCTGGCTCTTCTCCCTCTTCAGGCCATAATTTCCCTGGTGCCAATTTCTTTTCCTCCTGGGGCATCCTCATCCCAGGGCTCTCTGCTGTAGATTGGCTGTGCCAGCTTCCAACAGGTTACTGGCAATGCCAGTGAGTTTCTGTAGGCCCTAAGCTGAAGAAGTGAGGCAGTGATTCTGCCTCCATCCTGGTTTCCCCAAAGCCCCAGGGCACCATCCTTAGGGGAGAAGGTCTACAGTTATCATTATTTTAATTCCATTACTTTCAGTCTGGAAAACTAAGCTAGTCAGAACTGTCATCTTGCTTCCCAATCTAAGAACCTGTGGCCCTGGAACACTTTTCAAGAATTGGTTCATTTTGCTTTACACAGTAGATCTGTTCCAACAGTTCTGTGTAAACCAAATGCTATTTTTCAATGCATTTGGACTGCTGACCATTTAAAAGCAGCCTATGATTGCTTCTTTTTGTAAAGCAAGCAACCTCCCTCCACTTTAGCTGTTTTGACTATTTGAATTTTCACATATTGGGCTTACCCAGAGTGGAGCACACCTCCAGGGCATGTGGCTGACACTGGGTCAATGTCTGCATCTGTGCTGTGTGTGTAGTGTGGTTGGCCAGTAGGTGAGTATCCCTGTGTGTGTGAGTGAAGCCACTCCCCAGGCTGGTGCTCTCCTCCTGTGCCCAGTGACTGCCCAGTGGCAGCTCAGCTGCCCTTCACTCCCACCTGCTGCCAAAGTCCCTGTGCTAATGGGATTACAAATACAAAAAGTGGAAAAAAATTTTCGTAAACTTTGTTTTATATTAAAAGAAAAATCCATAAGTCTGTGTGTGTTAAACATGAGGTTCTGCCTCTGTGGCTGTGTTTGAAAAAATAAAGTTTTATTAGAATAATCCATTTTCCCAAGCAACCTTGTGTACTACAGTGTCTTCTTCCCTTCCCCACAAAGACAAGGAAGAAGCAGGGTAGAAGGCCACCTAACTGTTCCAGCCCCTTCATCTAAGATGTGGGTCAACCTTTCAAAAAGGGGCAGTATTTGGACCCTAGGCCCTTTGCCGGCCATGGCAGGATGTTATACTGTGGCCCAGGCTTCTGCTAAGGCCTTGGTTATTTTTGGCAGTCTGGTTTGGTCTCTCTTTCCCTGGCAGTTATACTTGTCTCCTCCTGCCTGCTGTCACTCTCACTTCCAGCAAGTTGAAGTCAAGTATGAATGCATTCCAGCTCCCTGAGAAATGGTTTATGGTACAGTCAGGAACTTGTCTAGATTGGTTTGTAGGCTTTGGGAAGTAGGGAGAAGGCAGGGTGGGAGACAGCCAGGGATCTTTCTTAAGTTTTCACATGTTACATCCTGGAGAGATAGAGGTTTAGTCATCAGAATTCAGATTCCATAGACCTAGGCAATTTTTCCATCCTAAAAATACTGCTTTTGGAAAATAATCCTAGCTGCAAAGCTTCTCTTTTGTTGTAGAAGACAGTATTTTCCCTAATGTTTCCTTTGGGAGTGTTGGTTTGCCAAAAGAAGCTATGTGGCTCACTCTTTAGACCTTTCTGTTCCACCCTTTCTTCTCTCTATGTTGACATTCTTCCAATGTGTGTGGGTGAAGTGTAGTTGCTTAGAGATCCAGGCAGGAGCCTCTGTCTCTAAGGCTTAGCCTTTCTTTACCAGTTGTGGTGCTAATTTGCCAGGCAGCAAGAAGAGTCAAGTTGCTTAGCTTATGTCCTGGTTTCCTGCTTCAAATTGGTGGCACTCATCATTGAATACCAATGAAGTGTGTGCAGGACAGGACTGACTTGACTACCTGGAGCAGGAATCTTTGCAGGGGTGCACATACACCCTAGAAAAAGTGAGGGTTGTCACCTGCCCTGGAAACAAAGGAAGGGCTTTGGGGAAGTGGTGGGCAGTGGCATGTGGTTAAAGAAGCTTAGAATTACAGGGTTTTTTTTCTTTAAAACTGATGTTTCATTTCACCTACTGCTTGAGCAGGGGTAAAGTTTGAACATCTAAAATGACTTTGTTTCCCCCTTTTTTTCTTTTGAGTTTATTTTTGTTGGATTTTTCTGCTATTTTCTGTGAGGCCAAGTGTGATTTTATTTTTCATTCCTGAAGTCTTGTTAATATAGGAAAGAACGTAAACTCCATGAGGGCAAGAGTTTTGTTTTATTCAATATTGTGTCCCCAACACTTTGGGAAGTTCCTGGCACATGAAAAGTGCTGGTCACATTTGTTGAATGCATTTCCCTTTTGCCTTTCCCATCCGTGAACTTAGGTACATTTCTGTCTCTCTGCTGTGAGAAACTAGCCTTGGACATTGGGGCAGTAGTTAAATCTCTGTATGGGAGAAAATCCCAGCAGATAATTTTGATAGAAAAATTGCAAGGCAGATAGATCTTGTATGGATTCACCCTTGTTCCCCTCCTACCAACTACAGCTTATGGGCCATGTGCTTTAAGAGGTGGCTCTCAGCCCAGAAAAACATTCTGAGTCAGGCCTCAGGTTGGCTGTGGGAGATGGAAGTTAAAAAGAAGTGGAGGGAGGAATGTTTCCTTGGTGCTCCACAGGGTTGGTTCTAGAATGATTTTCCTATATGTTTTATACTTTAGTAAAAGTATAAAGTCAATAGTTGGTTACCCCTCTCCCCAAGCCTTTGTTACAAGAAAAGTAGGTCAAGGGTGTAGACAAGGTTATGGACAGGAGATAGCTGGGGTAGGCACAGAAGCCTTGGAGAAAGAACCAGCTACCACTATTTCCTGTCTGTAGGGAAAATCAAAAAGTCACTTTTAGAACAACAGTCATGGGTTATTACTATACCCTTTATCTTTTGTATCCATTTTGTGTATACTCAGTCTCTGCATCCATGAGACCATGGAATGTGCTAGTCCCTGATATTGCCAGCTTTAAATGATTGAGGCAATTTCCTGTTGCTTATTGTGGGTAACAATCTAGCCAAAAATCTCAGCATCTCACTTTCTCTGCAGGCTCCTTTTCTAATCAGGAGCTATCAGTCTCCCACACCTGTATTAAATGCATTCAGATAAGAGTTACAGAATTTTCTTTGCCCCCAGCCCCACTAATTCCATGGTAAGATGGAGTGCTACTAAGAGAACCCCTTTACTGTTGGTCTATTTCCAGTTCCCCTAAGAGTTGAATGGAGAAACACGTAGACTTAATAACATTGGCAGACTAGGAAGGGGAAGAAGTTAGGTCGGTTTTAGGAAAAACACCAAGATGTTGGGGGGCACGTTGGCCTTCAGTCAGTGGAAAGAGTGGCATTATACATCCAATGGAAGTAATACATTGGCCAATTGGAAAGGAACCTAAGAAGTGCTGGCAGTATAGAATGGGATGGTGCTGTTATGGGCCATTGAGAAGGAAGACATTGTGTCTCATGGACCAATGGGGAGAACATTTCCTACAAGACAGCAGGTAGGAGCTCATATTTTCAGGATAGGAAATCAATGGGGGTATTGGAGACACTAAATAGCTCAAAACATCCACTCTCTAGGTACCTTGCCCCTCACCCCCTTACCCCGTAAATGTCTTTGGTATCCGAGGAGAGCAAGCTAAAGCCCTCTCATATATACGACTCCCTGAAGGAAGATTGAGACCAGGGATGATGCCATGGGGAAGCTGAAGGACCCGCCCACTTCCCTACCCCGGCCGGACCTGCAATTCCCCTCCAGACCGCAGGGGGCACTGCAGGCCCCGGGGAGATTGGGGCGGAGCGCTGCGAGGGGCCAGGAGCTGTCGCCCCGCTCCAGAGCGCGGGGGGCGCTGTGCGGGGCCCAGGCTGCGGCTCCGCTCCCGGCCACGGGGGGCGCTGCGCTGCGCCGGTGGTTGGTGGTGGCTGTTGGGGGGGGTGGGGGGGAACGGCGGCCGCGGGTGGTGCGGAGGGAGGCCTTGCGGGCGGATCGGGCGCTTGGCGGCGGAGGTGGTGGGAGGCGGCGGGCGGGAGCGCGGGTCAGGCCGGCCCCGGCGATGGCGGACGCGGCGGCCTCCCCGGTGGGCAAGCGGCTGCTGCTGCTGTTCGCGGACACTGCGGCCTCAGCCTCGGCCTCGGCTCCCGCGGCGGCAGCGGCGAGCGGAGATCCGGGGCCTGCGCTGCGCACTCGAGCCTGGCGGGCCGGCACGGTGCGGGCCATGAGCGGGGCGGTGCCCCAGGACCTAGCGGTGAGTGGCGGCCGAGTCGGGCACTCGAGGCCGGGGCTGCGGGGCCTGCGGGCGGCCTCCCCGGGGGCCTTTGTGAGGGGGCGGTGGGATGGGGGTGACCCATTTCCGTGCCCCCGGGTCTCCTTAGCGCCCCCCGCCGGCACCTCCGCACCCCGAGCGCTTGCCGGCATGGCTTCCGCGTCGGGGTGTGCGCCCCGGTTTCCCCCGGGGGGCGGCCAGGGCGTCCGGAGCTGCTGCTTGCAGCCAGCAGGCCCCGCCTCCTGGGCGACCCTTTTCTCGGCGTTCCCCCCAACACGCCTTCGGAGCAGGCTCTCGAATCTTGAGCTCCCGGGAGCCTCAGAGTTCGGCCAGTGTTGCCGCTGCCCTCTCGAAGACGCGGACCTGTGGTCCCCAGCCTCTCCCAGGAGACCTGCGCCCTGTTCCTTTTCTCCCAGAGCCCCAAGTGGGGCGGGAATGTGGGCAGTTATGGGAGGCACGGAGGCTGCAGTTGGAGCTGGTCGGGGCTTTTTTATCTGGCAGTTACTTCCTCATCTGAGCTGGGCTCGGCCTGGCGGTCTCCAGAAAGGCCAGCTCTCGGCACTGTCTCGAGCTCTCCTCTCCTTTCCTTAACGCTTCTGGGTGACAGGAGCTGCAGTTGTGGCTGTTTTTGTTAAGTTTGAGATCTTTCTTAGTGGCCGAACGGGGCTGCTGGGTAGTGCTTTTTGCTCCCAGCTCAGCTACTCCCCCAACCTTGGGAGAGGTTTTGTTTTGAAACTTTGTGTTTGGGCTTGGCCCTTTTTGAATGCCTTGGTGTGTTTTGTGATTAAAGTTGTTCAGTCATACAACTTAACTAGCATTCGGGATCATGATGTGTTATTCTCGTTAATGTGGCGGTAAAATATAGTGTTTGAGTTTTGGCAAGCCACTTTATTTCCTCATTTTGATAGGGGCCCTAGCTTCTCTGGTGAGATAAGGCTATGAAAAATGGTGTGTGTGCGTGTTGGGGCAGGGGGTGGTCTTTTGGAATGTAATAGATCAGCAAGCAGAAAGTAAATTTTCTTGATGAACTTGCTTTTGCAGATATAAACGGGAACGCAGTTTGTGAGATTTGGAAGTAATGTTGTAGGCTTCCGATGTTCATTTTTCTTCCTATTGATCAACGGTGTTAGACTGTCCTTTTTCACTAATATACAAGCTTTATGGATTTTTTTTGTGGATGGCTTAGGCTTTGCTTCTGCTACTTGGGTTCATTTGCTTTGATTTTTCTTCATGCTGTATAAGAAACGTTACTAGGACATTTATAAGGCCTCAGTGGGGCAAATTTGCAAAAAGATACTAAAAATTTAAGGGGATGGAATGATGATTAAGACTGGGATTTGGATCTCTATTCCTCTGCGCTTTCTTTAAAAGATGGCTGGGATGGGAAAAGAAGTGTCCATTTCAGATTCATTCTACCACCTTGGAGGCAAAACATACTTAAGATCCACTATTATATGCATACTTTGACCGAAGGCCTACTTTGCCCTAGCTATTCATTGGGATTTTTTTCTGGTTCTTGCAGTGGTCGTCTCGTTTCCTCCATCAGATGAATTGCTAATGAGCTCTGCACCTGAAATGGCTCCCCATTCACTTTGTCGTTTGCTGTGCTCCCTAAGGGCAGAGGATTTTGGAGCTCACTTCCTTGCTGGACACCCACTAAGCTAAATACTGAATAATTTTACCACTGATCCCACGGAACTGGGTTCTCAAACCAAGTAAAAAGTTGCAGTGATTCTTGGAAATTAAAGCAAAGAACATTACAGCTGTGTTGAGGTCTTGCATAGGGCTGTGTGAATGTAGAAGCAAAGGCAGGTTTGTATTTTGAGAATACATTTATGCTTGTCTTACATGTATATCCAGGGACATAGATGAGAAAACAGCCAGACCAAAACTCAGAGCCTTTAGATTTTTTCACCAGCTTGCAAAATTGTTCAAGAATTGGTATTTTGTTGAGGTTCTATTAATGACAATGACCAGTGTAGGATGAGAATGGGCCGTTTTCTTTTTTTCTCATTAAGAGAGATTTCCTTTGGACCGTAGGCATGTGGACCTTTCCAATTTGCACCACACACGGTAGTAAACACAACTGTCTTCCAATCAAAAGTGTTCTTCCCGTACTCAAGGGTGGAGTTTGCAAGCAGCTGGCCTGTGATTGGGCAGATTTTCATTCAGTTATGTTTAAGATGTTTTCAGGCATGCTTGGTTTTGAGTAATGCCTAGCAGGGCGCCCCCTTTTAAGGATGAGTAATTGAGGGTTGGATGAATGAGTTTCTGAAGTGATTGAAAACACACTTCTTAATTTTAGATTCCACGAATACATCTCTTTCTAAATACTTTTTGATTCAGATATCCTATAAAATACAGTACTGATCCATTAAATGAAACCTTTTTTGGAAAACAGTAACAAAGCCAAGTGCTACCTTAAGGTGAGATGTGAAAAAAAGGAGTCAGGATCCTGTTGATTGAGAGTTTTGTTGATAAGGTTCTCATAGGTGGACATCTTCACCAGCAGAAGCCATGCTGACAAATTACTCAGATGTTTAGCCAAGGCATGAAAACAGCTTTTCCCCCACTTTCTAGTGGAATAGTAATTTTATTTGTGTTTTAAAATGGGCCTTTTATTTTTTTAGAATTAGTTTATGGGTTGTATGCATTTATCTCTGGCTTTTCTTTCCTAATCTGGTGTCCTCTTTGTGTTCCTAAATCATTATTGGCTCATGTAAGTTGCAGAGACCTTGGGACCGTCACGTATATGGGTATTGTAGATAAAACAGACCAAAAAAAGAAACCCATGGATTTTCCTTTTTTTGGTTATAAAAGCAAAGCTTGTAATTTGCAAAATGTCAAACAAAGGTTTACACAAGAAAAACCAGCAATCTCTTTGCTCATCTTTCTTAATGCTAGTACAAAAAACATGAAAACATTCAACCGTATACAAAGAGTTCCCTCTTTTTTTAGCAAATGGTGTCCTACTGCACAATATTTGCACCCTGCCTTTTTTTTCTTTCATTTGACAGTATACCATGGGGATCAATACTTACAGATTTTACTCATCGTTTTTGGTAACTACCTTATATTCCATAGAATGGATGTACCATAATTTATTCAGTTATTCCTCCTGTTAATGGACATTCAGGTTATCTAAAGTTTTTTTGGCAGTATAGACAATGCTGTCATTAATATACTTGTATACATATTTTTATGTAATCCAGGTTTTATTTCTGTAGTTTAGCAATCCAGGGTTGAAATGGTTCGGTTAAGAAGTATATGTATTTTTTATTTTATTACATAATGCCAGGTTATTTTCCAGTAGGTGTATAGCATTTCCTACTCCCACCAACAGTACTCAGGGTGCTTGTTTCTCTTTACCCTTGCCTTCACTGGTATCATCAGTCTTTCTCATTTTTGCCAATCTGATGGGTGAAAAACAATATCCATAATTTTCATGACTATTTGTCCTTTTTTTCCATGTGTACTGGCTTTTTCATTTCTTTTATTTGTTACTTATGGATATCTTTTGCTCATTTGAGAAAAATAGGAGTTGTCTTACCACTCTCTGCAAGTTCTGTGCATGGATATTAACTCCTTCACCTGCGTAGTGGGTTGTATTTTGTTTCACTTGTCTCTTGACTTTTTTTTTTTTTTTTTTTTTTTTGAGACACAGTCTCGCTGTGTCACCCAGGCTGGAGTGCAGTGGCTCCATCTCAGCTCACTGCAACCTCTGCCTCCCGGGTTCAAGCGATTCTCCTGCCTCAGCCTCCCGAGTAGTTGGGACTACAGGCGTGTGCCACCACGCCCAGGTAATTTTTTGTATTTTTAGTAGAGATGGGGTTTCACCATATTGGCCAGGATGGTCTCGATCTCCTGACCTCGTGATCTGTGCCCACCGCGACCTCCCAAAGTGCTGGGATTACAGGCGTGAGCCACCGGGCCTGGCCTCTTGACTTTTTTTATGGGTTGCTTTGCTATACAGAAAAATAAGAATTTTATGTTATCAGAATTATCGGGCCTCTTTTTGTTTGTTTTGTTTTTGAGACAGAGTCTTGCTCTGTCTCCCGGGCTGGAGTGCAGGGGCATAATTACAGCTCACTGCTGGGCTCAAGCAATCCTCCCAGGGACTACAGGCATGCGCCACCGGGCCTGGCTAGTTTTTGTATTTGTTGTAGAGATGGGGTTTCGCCATGTTGCCCAGGCTGGTCTGGAACTCCTGGGCTCAAGCAGTTGCCTGCCTCAGCCTCCCAAAGTGCTGAGATTCCAAACATGAGCCACTGTGCCTGGCCTGACTTTTCTTAATAGTTTAGGATTACTTGACTGGGAAGGAATCCCCATCTTGAACCTATATAAATATACTTTAAAAAACATTTTTTTTTTTTTTGAGACAGGGTCTCACTCTGTCACCCAAGCTGGAGTGCAATGACACAGTCACAACACACTGCAGCTTCGACCTCCCTGGGCTCAGGTGATCCTTCCGCCTCAGCCTCCCAAGTAGCTGGAACCACAGATGCACACTACCACGTCTGGCAAATGTTTGTATTTTGTATAGAGATAGGTTTTGCCATGTTGCCCAGGCAGGTCTTGAACTCCAGTCAAGCAATCTGCCTGACTTGGCCTCCCAAAGTGTTGGGATTACAGGCGTGAGCCACCATGCCCAGCCAACATTTTTGTTTATTTTTACCTTTAGATTTTTGGTACATCTGGAATTTATTTTTTTATTTTTATTTATTTATTTTTTTTGAGACGGAGTCTCACTCTTGCCCAGGCTGGAGTGCAGTGGCGCGATATTGGCTCACTGCAACCTCTGCTTCCTAGGTTCAACCAATTCTTCTGCCTCAGCCTCCCAAGTAGCTGGGACTACAGGCATGCATGAGATTAGGTTTCGCCATGTTGGCCAGGCTGGTCTGGAACTCCTGACCTCAGGTGATCCACCCACCTCGGCCTCCCAAAGTGCTGGGATTACAGGTGTGAGCCACCGTGCCTGGCATGGAATTATTTATTTATTTATTTATTTAGAGACAGAGTTTCACTCTTGTCGCCCAGGCTGGAGTGTAATGGTGTGATCTCGGCTCACTGCAACCTCTGCCTCCTGGGTTCAAGCGATTCTCCTGCCTCAGCCTCGCAAGTAGTTGGGATTACAGGCGTCCACCACCATGTAATTTTAGTAGAGATGGGGTTTCACCATGTTGGCCAGGCTGATCTCGAACTCCTGACCTTAGGTGATCTGCCTGCCTCGGCCTTCCAAGTGCTGGGATTACAGGCCTGAACCACCGCGCTCGGCGGGAATTTTTTTTCTTTCTTTCTTTCTTTTTTTTTTTTTTTTGAGACGGAGTCTTGTTCTGTTGCCCAGGCTGGAGTGCAGTGGCGCGATCTCAGCTCACTGCAACCTCTCTCTCCCAGATTCAAGTGATTCTCCTGCCTCCAGTCCCAGTAGCTGAGATTACAGGCGTGCACCACCACACCCAGCTAATTTTTTTTTATTTATTAGTAGAGACGGGGTTTCGCCATGTTGGCCAGGCTGGTCTTGAACCCCTGACTTCAGGTGATCCACCCGCCTTGGCCTCCCAAACTGCTGGGATTACAGTCATGAGCCACCGCACCCAGCCTTTTTTTTTTTGAGTGGTTTTATCTGTCATCCAGGCTGGAGTACAGTGGTGCAGTCATAGCTCACTGCAGCCTCAAATTCCTGGGCTCAGTTGGTCCTCCTGCCTCAGCTTCCTGATTAGCTGGGACTACAGGTGCACAACATGATTCTCAGCTTTTTATTTATTTATTTATTTATTTTTATTTTTATTTTTTTATTATTATTATACTTTAAGTTTTAGGGTATATGTGCACAATGTGCAGGTTAGTTACACGTGTATACATGTGCCATGCTGGTGTGCTGCACCCATTAACTCGTCATTTAGCATTAGGTATATCTCCTAAAGCTATCCCTCCCCCCTCCCCCTACCCCACAACAGTCTTCAGAGTGTGATGTTCCCCTTCCTGTGTCCATGTGTTCTCATTGTTCAATTCCCACCTATGAGTGAGAATATGCGGTGTTTGTTTTTTTGTTCTTGCGATAGTTTACTGAGAATGATGATTTCCAATTTCATCCATGTCCCTACAAAGGACATGAACTCATCATTTTTTATGGCTGCATAGTATTCCATGGTGTATTTATTTATTTTTTTTTTTTAGACACAGTCTTACTGTGTCAGCCAGGCTGGAGTGCAGTGGTGCGGTCTTGGCTCACTGCAACCTCCACCTCCAGAGTTCAAGTGATTCTCCTGGCTTAGTCTCCTGCGTAGTTGTGATTACAGGCGTGTGCCACCATGCCCGGCTAATGTTTGTATTTTTAGTAGAGACAGGGTTTCGCCATGTTGTCCAGGCTGGTCTTGAACTCCTGACCTCAGCTGATCTGCCTATCTCAGCCTCCCAAAGTGCTGGGATTACAGGTGTGAGCCACCGTGCCCCCCCCACCTTTTTTTTTTTTTTTTTTTTTTTAAGAGATTGGGTCTCACAGTTTTGCCCAGGCTGGTTTCAAACCCCTGGCCTTAAGTGATCCACTCAGCTCGGCCTCCCAAAGTGCTTGGATTACAGGCATGAGCCACTGCACTTGGCCTGGAATATTTTTGTAATTGGCAAGTGAGATGAGGGACCTAATTTGTTTTCTGCTGAGTGACCAGTTGTGGCAACACTAATTTTTTTAGGTAAACCATTCTTTTCTTTCTGTAGGTGTAATTAAATGATGCTGTACATGTAGTATCACTTGGTTTTGAATGTGTATCATAGTTATCTCATGTATCCAGAAGTTACCAGAGAAGTGAAAGCATATCCGCCCTATTTTTTTTTATCCCTTAATCTTTCATCTCTCTTTCAAGGAAAGACGGATTCTAAAATACTCCTTTCCTTTGATTAGAGATAATGTAATAATTGTAGCAATGTCTAGGCTAGTACTATGTTTCTTCTATCTGAGAGTCTTCCAGGAGGAGTGAAAGTGTATCTGCCTTCTGTTTTTACACCTCCCCACCGAACCTTTCCTCTGTCTCAGGGTGGGGTAGGTAGACTCTAAAATACCTCTCTATTTTGTTTCTAAATAATGTAATAATTATAGTCAGGTTCAGGATAGTACTATATTTACCGTATTTCCAGTGTACAATTCGCTACCTATGGTCAAACATAGAATTTCAGCCCTAGTTGAAATGGGAGTTTGTGGTTTTAAAAATGTTTGTGTCCTTTCATTACTTACAATTCCAAAAGTTGAAACTCTGAGTGATACCTTGATACTTATGCTCTATTTATTAATGTAAATAGAATATGTTTTTGTGATTCTGTGTATGGTTAGAGAACTTTAAATAAAAATGACATTGTACTTTTTGACATTAAGACTATATACTGTTTAATTGTGAGCCCGTCTAAGCACACTCATCATCTTAACTCTCCCCTTACAGCATCAGGTCTGTTTTTGAAACACTGAGCCATGGTTGAGTTTTTCAGACACTCAAGCACTTTGTATAGTTGATTTTTTAAAAAAAGATTGTGTGTGTGTGTGTGTGTGTGTGTGTGTGAATTTTAATAGTTCTATTTCTTTTTTTTTTTTTTTTTTTGAGACGGAGTCTCACTTTCACCCAGGCTGGAGTGCAGTGGCACATTGTCGGCTTGCTGCAACCTCCACCTCCCGGGTTCAAGTGATTCTCCTGCCTCAGCCTCTTGAGTAGCTGGGATTACAGGCAAGTAACTCGGATTACAGGTGCCTGCCACCACACCTGGCTAATTTTTGTAGTTTTAATAGAGACAGGGTTTTACCATGTTGGCCAGGCTGGTCTCGAACTCCTGACCGCAAGTGATCTGTCTGCCTTGGCCTCCCAAAGTGCTGGGATTACAGGCGTGAGCCACCACGCCCGGCCATTAATTTCCATTTGTTTCTAAGGGACTTGCTTCACTAACTCCCCACCTGCCAAGGGTTCATTCCCTTTTTTTTAAATACACAGCTTCCTGGGTCTCTTCTCCAACTTGTAGTTTATTTATTTAGTTCCCCTTCCACCAGCAGACTCAAAATGGTGGGTAAGAAACATGGCATTTTCCATTGTGATTTTCTTTGCAACAGCTGGGGTGGGTTCTATATAGGCTTTGCTTCCACAAGGCCTGGGGGATGCAACACCTGTTGATGCTTCTCAGTTTTCCACTGCCTTTGACAGGTTGGTGGTTTTTAAGCCCTTTCCACTGTACCATCCCTACTGCCCCTGGTGCGAAAGCATCATCTTTTGCTCTTGATCTCTAGGTGGGTAAAACCTGCCTGATTAGTAGTGATTCAGATAGTGTGACCTCCTTCAGTTTTCTAAGGGCTGAAACTCCTTTTTTTTTTTTTCCTTTTTTCATGACTTCAGAGGTAATCAGGCTCTAGGGGACTGATTCTCTCTAACCAAACTCTGGAGACTGAATTGTAAATCCACATGCAAGGTTATTAATTTACAGTGGGAGGTATACCTATCCAGAGATCTGCATAGAGCCCCTTCCTGCTCTGCTCTAGAGACCAAATTACTATAAGAAGGGTCCTTGATGTGCAAAGAATTGGACAAGGGAAATTGGGTGTTGCCAAAAGGCTGTTTAAAGCAAGCAGCCTTGATTTTGGTGATCCTTCACTTTTCTAGTATTTTCTGGCTTCCGTTGCTTTGTTCCTTCTTTAAACTTTTCTTTTAATGCTGTCATCCATTGAAATCCTATACAGAGAAAAGAAAGCCTGCTCATCCTTCAGGCCCATGCATCCTAGGAGCTACAAACCCTATAAAGCCTTTCTGATTCCCCAGCATGTTGTTTTTATTCTTTGTTCCTTTAGCACTTTGTGGATACCACTTTTTGGAATATTTATTGTAGTTTTTCTTGTTATAGATATGTGTAGCAAGATGTATAGCTTGTGAAGAAGTTCAGGAAACGCCACCCCAAAATATGCTGCATTGGATCTCAAACTGAAGGCACTTGGGGAGCAGCAGATGGAGGGCTGTCTCTGAACTTACTTCATCTACCTAAAGACACATCCTCCAAAAGGAACTCTAGGCCGGGCGCTGTGGCTCACGCCTGTAATCCCAGCACTTTGGGAGGCTGAGGTGGGCGGATCACTTGAGGCCAGGAGTTCGAGACCAGTCTGGCCGACATGACAAAACCCTGTCTCTACTAAAAAATACAAAAATTAGCCGGGCATGGTGGCGCACGTAATCCCTGCTACTCGGGAGGCTGAGGCACAAGAATGGCTTGAACCTGGGAGGCAGAGGTTGCAGTGAGCCAAGATTGCACCACTGTACTCCAGCCTGAAAAAAAAAACAAAAGAAGGAACTCTATTGTCATGAATCCCTTCCCTGCTAACCTTATGAACCAGGGAAGATTAATTCCTATCACAGGAGATGAGACTGGAGGTCTATATCACATGCAGAAAGACAGCCTTAGCTGTCACCTGTTCTTCTGAGGGCCCATTGATTTTTTTTTCCCAAAAATCATTAAGTCGGGTGCAGTGGTGTGCACCTATAGGGAGGATCACTTGAGCCCAGGATATATATATACATATATGTGTATACACACACACACACACACACACACACACACACACAAAATATCTTAAGTGAATAGTGTACGTGGTTTACTCTCCCCTAAGTTGCCTATAAGAAATATAGAAATATAATTATTTCTATGGTTTTGTTATATAATTATTTCTATAATTTTATTATATAATTTTTCTATAATTTTATAGTATAATTATATAATTATTTCTTTTTTATATACTTTAAATTTTAGGGTACATGTGCACAACGTGCAGGTTTGTTACATATGTATACATGTGCCATGTTGGTGTGCTGCACCCATTAACTCATTTACATTAGGTATATCTCCTAATGCTATCCCTCCCCTCTCCCCCCAATAATTATTTCTATAATTTTATATGATAATTATATAATTATATAAAACATATTTCTATAATTTCTATAGAAATATAAGAAAACTTCTCAGTCTCACTGGGTTCTGGGTATTTACTTTTCCTTGTTGTGATGCCCCTTACATGTAACAAATTTGTATTATTTTTCTTTCCTTAAACTGCTGACTGTTTATTTCAATCACCTAACCCTCAGAAGGTAGAGGGAAAGTCTTCCATCCTCCACACTTGCTTATCTATTCTACTAGATAGTAAATTCATGGAGGTCAGGAAACACGGATTTTTCTGTTTTTTCTCTTCTATTCCCTGACCACTCTGTCTAAAAAAAGTAGAACATTTTGAAGCCCCTATTAGGCTGATGTTCACTTCCGATTTATTACGGAATTTCTACTCCGTGGCCCCGTTGTCTTTATAATCTTTAAATTTTTTCTTTTACATGTTTTTATTGATACGGACTCACTGTTAATTTTTTCATCTTGATATTGGAGTCACATTTGGGACTCCAATCCAAGGTACACTGGCCCTTAGTTTTGTGATTTGCATCTGGGTTGTTTTCTTAGATTTGAAGCATTTGGTGTTTTCTTTCTCTGATTCTAAAGTAATACATGCCTATTATACAAAGTGTAGAAATTATTCTAATAATTTTTTTTTCTTTTTTGAGACGGAGTCTCGCTCTGTCTCTCAGTCTGGAGTGCAGTGGTGTGATCTCGGCTCACTGCATCCTCCGCATCCCAGGTTCAAGTGATTCTCCTGCCTCAGCCTCCTGAGTAGCTGGGATTACAGGCTCCCGCCACCACACCCGGATAATTTTTTGTATTTTTAGTAGAGACGGGGTTTCACCTTGTTAGCCAGGATGGCCTCGATCTCCTGACCTGGTGATCCGCCTGCTTTGGCCTCCCAAAGTGCTGGGATTACAGGCGTGAGCCATTGCGCCTGGCCTCATACTGCATTTTTAATTTTGAGTTTTGCTTTTTCATTTAATGTGGCAGTTATTCTATTTAGTTTTTCTTTTTTTTTTTTTTTCGAGATGGAGTCTCACTCACTCTGTCGCCTAGGCTAGAGTGCAGTGGCACGATCTGTGCTCACTGCAACCTCCGCCTCCCGACTTCAAGTCATTCTCCTTCCTCAGCCTCCCAAGTAGCTGGGATTACAGGTGCCACGCCACCATGCCTGGCTAATTTTTGTATTTTTAGTAAAGATGGTGTTTTGCCACGTTGACCAGGTTGTTCTCAAACTCCTGACCATAAGTGATCTGCCTGCCTCAGTCTCCCAGAGTGCTGGGATTACAGGTTGTAAGCCAGCGCACCCAGCCTGTTATTTTCCTTTTTTACTAAAAATTATTCATTTTATGGGTGATTTTAATTTTCTTGGTGCTTTTCTCTATTTTCCACAGGTAATTCATGTGTTGCTTTTATAACGCAAAAGATAATAATAAATGCTGTGCAAGGAATTTGAATGTAATCTTATGAACGTAATTTTTTTTGGCTGAGTAATTTAACTCTTCTCTTTTCGTTGGCTATTAAAGTTGTTTCAGATTTTAGGCTTCATCTATAATGCCATGGTGAGCATTTTTGTGAATAAAACCTTTTCAGTGTTTAGGGTTATTTATTAGGATTATGGTCCAGAGTGGTATGATAGACACTGAGTATGTACATATTTAAGATTCTTGATATATAGCAATTAAAAAAAAAAAAGTCATGCCAGTTTTTACTCTGACCTGAGTTTGCTTATGGAATAAGCATTTATCTGGAGCCCATATTCTGCTACGCATTTAAAGTCTTTATTTCATATAATCCTAAGGCAATCCTTTGAGGTCTTTATTGTCCCTATTTATAGGCAAAGGAAGTGAGGCTCAAAGAGGCTGAAGTGACTTGCTCCAGGCTACACAGTTAAGAAATGGGAGAGGTGGGATGCAAATCCATATCTATCATTCTGCAACCCCTGAAAGCACTATATGTGCTGGAGTTTTTATTCAGGTTATTTCCTTTGTTCCATGTACTTCACATTTAATTTATTCAGGATGTTAGAAAGTAGAAAACTTTGGGGATAATTGGTAGAAAGCTATCTCTTGAGAATCAAAGAAACTGTAAAGAGAAAATTATTTTTTATTTGAAAACAGAGATATTCAACTCATGCATCTTCGCCCACCTTGACAAGATATCCCACAGTTGTGTAACATTATTTTTAACAGAGTTTACATTTTGTTTGGAGTATAGGTAGGAAAATTGGAAAATTTAGGAGCCTTGGAAAGTTATCTTTGATTTCCTTTACCATCTCACAATCATCACCATATCCTGTTATTTTTATCTCTAATTTCTCAAATATACTTTACATTCATACAGGATTCTTTTTTTTCTTTCTTTCTTTTTATGAGACAAAGTTTCGCTCTTGTCTCCCAGCCTGGAGTACGATGGGGTGATCACTCACTGCAACCTCTGCCTCCGGGGTTCAAGCGATTCTCCTGCCTCAGCCTCTTGAGTAGCTGGGATTATGGGTGCCTGCCACCACGCCTGGCTAATTTTTGTATTTTTAGTAGAGATGGGGTTTCACCCTGTTGGCCAGGCTGGTCTCAAACTCCTGACCTCAGGTGATCTGCCTGCCTCGGCCTCCCAGAGTGCTGGGATTACGGTCATGAGCCATGGCGCATGGCCTATACAGTATTCTTATTGGCTTAGGTCTTTTAACTGGGTTATTACTGCTTCATAATTGGTCTCCCTGCTTCCAGTTTCTTCCATCCATATCTTCCAACCTGACCCCAAAAGTAATTCTTTCCTCTTTAAAAAAAAAAAAATTATAAATACATTATTTTAGTCCAGGGGCAGTGGTTTACACCTGTAATCCCAGCACTTTGGGAGGCCAAGGCGGCTGGATCACTTGAGGTCAAGAGTTCAAGACCAGCCTGGCCAACATGGTGAAACCCCGTCTCTACTAAAAATACAAAAATTAGCCGGGCGTGGTGGTGCTTGCCTATAATCCCAGCTACTCGAGAGGCTGCGGCACAGAATCGTTTGAACCCGGGAAGCGGAGATTGCAGTGAGCCTAGATCGCGTCATTGTACTCTAGCCTGGGTGACAGAGTGATACTGTCTCAAATAAATAAATAAATAAAATCTTTTTAAAAAAGGAAACATCTACTGATGAGGCTAAAATACTGTTCACTCTCTCATCCCAACCCTCCTACTCACAATCCCCTCCCCTCAAATAATCTGCAACTTGCTTTTTTCCCCTCACATAATATATCTCAGTCATCTTTCCACATTAGTCTATTAGATAGATCTCATTTTTAAAAACTCCTATTATTTATTCCATAGTATAAGTTGTATTTTAGTTATTCACCTAAGTATAAAATGCTTTATAATTTTCATTTTGATTCCCTATTTAAACTGAGTTTTGAGAACTTCCCCCCATTGTCTTTCCTTTTTCTTTCCTTCTTTCTTTCTTTTTTGAGACAGGGTCTCACTGTTGTCCAGGCTGGAGTGCAGTGGCGTGATCATAGTTCACTGTAGCCCTGACTTCCTGGGCTCAAGCAGTCCTCCTACCTCAGCCTCCCAAGTAGCTGAGACTTATAGGTGCACACCACTATGCCCAGCTAATTTTTTATTTTTGTAGAGACAAGGTCTCACCTATGTTACCCAGGATGGTCTCAAACTCCTAGGCTCAAGTGATCCTCCCACCTCAGCCTTCCAAAGTGTTGGGGATTACAGGCATCAGCCACCATGCCTGGCCCCCATTATCTTTCTATAGTTTACTAGGTCTCCCCACCACCTTTAAAACTGTCAGTGCTCCTTCAAGGCTTATAGAGGCAACATAAACTCAGATAGGTCTAGGGAGGAACTAGACTTGTGAGAAACAGCTGGGTGACAGACCAAAAGATATAGTGGGCATTGGCAGCTGCTGGAGAGTGCACACGCTGCCTAAAGATATTCAAATGCATAATATAAACAAACGAAAGAACACTCCTGGCCAAACAACATCTTTGTCAACAGGTTTCAATTTTTCAACCATTAATATGCCAGTCAAAGCTCTTTACAGCTTACTTACTAGCCTCCTCCTACTACTACTCCCAGAACACTTGATCTGCGTTTATTTTTCTCTGCCTTTGTACCTGCTGGAAAGTCTTTCTTTCTGTTTTCTGCCAGAAGGATGCAGCTTGTCCTTTAAGACCCAGTTTGTATACTACTACCTCTTCTGTGAAACTGTTCTGGTTTCCCAAGGCAGATGACTTGTCTAATCTAACATAGCCTATTCAGATCTTTATTATTACCCTGATTACTTCGCACTGTAATAATTTCTGTACCTCTCTGTTGGGCTCATCTAGGGTGTGAGTCCCTACTGTCAAGTTGCTACTTTATTTAACTTGATATTCTTGGCCCTGTCAAGTGCTTCACTTATAAGAGGCATTCCATTTTTGTTAAGAGTGTGAATAAATGAATACTGTTATTAATTATAGTAAGAATGGCCTTGAGAACAGCCAGAATCCAAACTGATGATTACATGACAAATATGAAGCCCCATATCACTTAGATTACTACCATCTGATTTTGTCAAACTTAGGATAATATATTTTATTTTTAAAAAACTTATTTAAATGTCACTAAAATGAATATAAATCACATGTAGACCACAAAGAGAAATGAAAGCAAGAGTTTTAACACTAACTTTTCTTAACTAATAAAATACTTTACTTGGAATCCTTGGGTCCTAATCGAAGCATGTGTTGTACCATTTGCTACTTTTACTCTGATAGTAGAAATTTAATCAGACTTTTTAAAAAAATTTCTTAGCTGATCATGGTTTGTATTAATCAGGCTTTTAAAAAATTATCTCAGTGGGGCATGATGGCTCACCCCTGTAATCCCAGCGCTTTGGGAGGCCGAGGCAGGTGGATCACGAGGTCAGGAGTTCGAGACCAGCCTGACCAACATGGTGAAACCCTGTCTCTACTAAAAATACAAAAATTAGCTGGGCGTGGTGGCAGGCACCTGTAGTCCCAGCTACTCAGAAGGCTGAGGCAGGAGAATCACTTGAACCTGGGAGGTGGAGGTTGCAGTGAGCCGAGATCGCACCACTGCACTCCAGCCTGGGCAACAGAGTGAGACTCCATCTCAAAAAGAAAAAAAAAAAAATCTCAAACTGTTTAACTGTTTTAGTCCTCCCCTACTAAGATTATCAACCTCCCTTGGTCACCTCTGACTCAATCCAATCACTACCCTTATTTTTGCTAGTTTATATCCCTTCTTTGTATCCTGTGGCCTGGCCACTACCATTAAGGGTATGTGTTCTATGTACTTAGATTTAAAATGGTTGTTCTTCTTCTTTTTCTTTCTTTCTTTTTTTTTTTTTTGGAGACAGGGTCTCACTCTGTTGCCCAGGCTGGAGTACAGGGGCATGATCGTAGCTCACTGCAGCCTTGAACTCCTTGGCCCAAGCTGTCCTCCCATCTCAGCCTACTGAGTAGTGGGGACTACAGATGTACCCCACCATGCCTGGTTTTTTTTTTCTATTTTTTTTGTAGAGACAGGATCTTGCTATGTTGCCAGGGCTGGTTTTGAACTCTTGAACTGCTGGGCTCAAGTGATCCTCCCGCCTCAGCCTCCCACAGTGCTGGGATTACAGGTGTGGGCCACAGCGTCCCACTTGAAATGATTCTTTACTTTGTATGCTCTAACTCTTTCATTTTTGTAGCCAGGAAGCGAAGTACAGTCCTGGGCCAGAAATAAGCTTCACTCTTGGGGGAATATGTTTACATATATCCATAGTCCATATTTACATATATCTACATTCCATATTGCTCTCAAAACAAATTCATATTATCAGATTGGAGCTGTCATTTGATCCCAGAATGTGTAGTACAGGGTTGTTTCAGATTTAACACTTTATTCCATGTCCTTTGCTCAAGTAAGGTAAGAGATAATTGCCCTTAAATTAGGTAAAATGTAACTCCCAAATATTTTAGCTTTTTCTAATGTTTTTAGGTATGCGATAATAGTATTGAATTCTTGAATATTAACTTTTTAAATATTCAAGTTCTTATGTACAAAGAATAAAAATCATTACAGCTTTAGCCCAGTGACTTATTTTAGTGTTGTTCTTGTATTTGTGTGTTGCTATAACTTAGAATGTTATGATTCCTATGTTGATTTTTAAAGTGGTTGGCAGTTTAGAACTATACATCATGGCACCTAGCCATACACCATGGCACCTAGGTTACCATGGAACCTCAACCTCTGGTTTTCTGAGGACACCTGGTAGAGTACTGTGTCACTCAGGGTCAGATCCAGTCTGGGCATTGAACATTCCAGACTGCTTTTCATGGTTTGCAAGGTCTTGTCTGTCCTCCAGCCGTTGTATCCTCCTGACATCAGTTCATCTTTGTGATGGTAGCACTTCTCTTCTCTGGTTCAAAATTGAAGTCATTTTTTAATTCTCCCGTACTCCTACATTCAGCCAGTCATCAAGCTTTGTGATAGGGCTCTTGGATTCTCATAAGCACAAGTCACTTCCTTCCTCATGTTATTACCCCCAACTCTGGGTCATGTAAGAACACTCCCTACTACTCCCCCACCGTATACACACACAAAAAACCTTTTAATGATAGTTGCACGCACACACCCACACCTCCCATTGACAGCTGGATGAAGCCCCAATCTTTTATCCAAGTGTTCAAGATCTTCCACATCTACTCCTAGCGTTTTTAGCCTCATTGGCTACTGCTTCCTTCCGACAGTGTGTTAAATAGGTCCTGACCATCCCAGAGCTTAACTGGGGCTTTTGTTGTCCTCAGCCTCTATCAGTTCCTCTGCACATCTGAAGTGATCTTATGCCTCTGAATACCCACCATACCTTATTTTACCCTATTTCTGTTTATCCTGTGACATACTATTGCCCAAATAGTGCTTTATAATCAACCAAAGTGCTTAGAATCTGTTCCTTTATTTAATTTTCACAACCAGTCCATGAGGTAAGAAAGATGTGTCATATCACACAAGAGGAAACTAAGATTTGAGGAAGGAAAAGTAAGTTGTCTAAGTTTTGCAAGAGAGTGGAACTGAGACACTAATCCAGGCCTCCTGGAACATGAGCTCCAAGCTTTGTACGTTATGCTGCCTTTCTTGGTGCCGGAGTCTGCACTTAAATGTAAGTTTGAATATATCTCTCTCTTTCCAGTTGCTTGTAAGTTACTTGAAGGCAGGGGCTATGTCTTATTCCCCTACAACATGTATGTATGAATGAGCCTATTTATATATTAAATATAGTACAGTTCAGTGTTCTGTCCTTTTTCTTAGTAAAAATCATGCTTCTCTCTGAGCCTTGCATCTCCATCTTTTTATTAAGTAGAAATGAAGCTTACTTTTCTCATTGCTAATTTCTTTGTTGGAGTATTACAGATAATAGAGCTAGAACTTTATAATGAATTTAACTTCTGGGATAACTTTTTAGCAATGCAGTTCACAAGTATTTGTTGCCTGTGAAGAGATTAAACCGATAGCTAGGCTACTGAGCTATGGTTCCATACTTTCCAAGTATAAATTTCCTGAATTTTCATATCATTATAATTTTTATGTTGGTTACTTGAGAACATGTATACAAACAAAAAAAAAGCCATTGTGAATTCAGTAATATTTTCCTTCATATTTTTTCCACTGTGGTAAAATACACATAAAATTTTATTAAGTTTTTAATGGATTTGAATTTTATTAATTACATCATCTACATGTATTTGAAAAATCATAGCACATACATCTGCAAGACCTGGCATTCACTCTACAGGAAATGCCTGGTGCCCCTAGTACTTACAGATCCTCCTGGTAACTCCACAGTTGCCAGTTGGGAGTCACATGTGTGGGGATTCTAATACTGTCCTGCATTACTTAGTGTTGCCTTAAGAAGTTTCATGTGAGTTTGTTTTTTTTTTTTTCCGAGACAGAGTTTTGCTCTTGTTGCCCAGGCTGGAGTGCAGTGGCACGATCTCAGCTCACTGCAACCTCCGCCTCCTGGGTTCAAGTGATTCATCTGCCTCAGCCTCCTGAGTAGCTGGAATTATAGGTGCCCACCATCATACCCAGCTAATTTTTGTATTTTTAGTAGAGACAGGGTTTCACCATCTTGGCCAAGTTGGTCGTGAACTCCTGACCTTGTGATCCACCCGCCTCGGCCTCCCAAAGTTCTGGGATGGCAGGCATGAGCCCCCGTGCCTGGCCGCATATGTAGCTTTTGATGCTGTGTCCACTCATCTTCAGAAGTCAGAATTTATATAGAAAGTCAAAGCTGGGGCCAGCCAGGGTAGCTCACGCCTGTAATCCCAGCACTTTGTGAGGCTGAGGCAGGAAGATTGCTTGGCTCCAGGAGTTTGAGACCAGCCTGGGCAACATAGTGAGACCCTGTCTCTACAAATAATCAAAAATTACCTGGACATGGTAGTGTGTGCCTGTAGTCTCAGCTACCCAGGAGGCTGAGGGAGAATTGCTTGAGCCTAGGAAGTCGAGGCTGTAGTGAGCCATGATTGTGCCACAACACTCAGTTTGGGCAACAAAGTGAGACCCTGTCTCAAAAAAAAAAAAAAAAAAGTCAAATCTAAGCATAATATTTATTAGAAAAATGTAGCTTCATTTAATGTAATCTGCTTTCAGAGCTGTATAAATACAGTGCCTACTTAAGTATATTTCAAGAAGTGGAGTATCTGTTCAGGGAAGAAGAAAGCATTGTTGTGACTACAGCAAGTGTCTGCTAACAGATGTGAGATTACTGCTGACTGTTGCACTTAAGAATCCACATGCAGCTGGGTGTGGTGGCTCATACCTGTAATCCCAACACTTTGGGAGGTCAGGGTAGGAGGATCACTTGAGCCCAGAAGTTCAAGACTGGCCTGGGTAACACAGCAAGACCCTATCTCTACCGAAATAATTAATTTTAATTTAATTTTAAATTTTAAAAAAGGCTGGGCACGGTGGCTCATGCCTGCAATCCCAGACTTTGTGAGTCTGAGGTGTACAGATCCCTTGTTCAGGAGTTCAAGGCCAGCCTGGGCAACATGGTGAAACTGCGTCTCTACAAAAAATAAGCCGGGCATGGTGGCACATGCTAGTAGTTCCAGCTACTTGGGAGACTGAGGCAGGAGGATCTTTTGAGCCCAGGATGTGGAGGTTGCAGTGAGCTGAGATCACGCCATTTCACTCCAGCTTGGGCGACAGAGTGAGACCCTGTCTCAATCGATCAATCAGTCAATAGAATCCACACGCAGGAATGGGAGGGCAATGTTTTTCAGCATTTTATCTTTTTGAATTTTTGCCATATGCATACATCACCTATTCAAAAAATAATTAAAAGTTCACAGTCATTTCAATAGAAGTATTAAAAATGTCTTCCTATTGGATTATGAGCTTTTTGAGACCAAGAAGTATGCCAGATTCCTTTCTGTATTCCTGAACCTAGTATAGTACCTTATATATGGTAAGCCCTCAGCTAGTATGTGTAGATACGAATTAGAAACTAAGAGTTGCAAATTTCAGTAGGGACATGACTAAAAATTACTGAATGACTGTGAATAGTTCATGCCTCCTTAACTCTGTTCCTCCTCTTCAGAATGTGGCTGAGACCAGCTTCCTGGCTCTGAAGATCAGCTATTATTGACACCCATTAAAATAACTTAAACACAAGTTAGAATTATTCCTAGTCAGTTGTTCAAAACAGTGGGGTTTATGTTCATTTATAAGTATAGTGTGAGATTTTTCCAAGTGTGACTTCCAAACTGCTTTTTATCTCTTGCAGATCTTTGTAGAATTTGATGGCTGTAACTGGAAGCAACACTCCTGGGTAAAAGTTCATGCTGAGGAAGTTATCGTGCTTCTGCTGGAAGGGTCTCTTGTATGGGCGCCCCGTGAGGACCCAGTCCTTCTCCAGGGCATTCGAGTCTCCATTGCACAATGGCCAGCCCTGGTGAGTGGCTTTTACTGGGTGGGAACATGTCTGAGCTTTACTCCTATAATATAACTATGACATGTTAGGGACAGAGTATGTGTAAGAACTACATACTTTGTCCTTAACGTACATTTATTCTGAAGTTACTAATGCAAAAATTAGGAGCAGTCTTTTCTCCTTTGTCCTCCAAAATGTTTTATATTAGGTGATATTTGATATGAAAGAATTTTTTTGGCCAGACGCGGTGGCTCACGCCTTGTAATCCCAGCACTTTGGGAGGCTGAAGCAGGAAGATCCCTTAAGCTCAGGAGTTTGAGATCACCCTGGGTAACATGCCAAAACCCCATCTCTACAAAAAATACAAAAATTAGCTAGGTCTGGTGGCACATGTCTGTGGTCCCACCTACTTGTGGGGCTGAGGTGGGAGGATGGCTTGAGCCCAGGAGGTTGAGGCTACAGTGAGCCGTGATTGTGCCACTGCATCCAGCCTGGGGGACAGAGTGAGACCCCTGTCTCAAAAACAAAAAAAACAACAATGAAAAGAATTTTTTCACCTTTAGTCTTTTCTCAGAGCAAGGTTTTGAAACATTATTTGTAACCTTTAAAGTTTTTTTTTCAATTATGGAGTGAAAATAGCATTATAAAATTTATTTTATTTTTTGAGACAGGGTCTGGCTCTGTCACTCAGGCTGGAATGCAGTGGTGCAATCAGAGCTCGGTGCAATCAGAGCTCACCGCAACCTCTGACCCCCAGGCTTAAGCCATCCTCCCACCTCAGCCTCCCAAGTAGCTGGGACTACAGACGCACAGCACGGCACCCAGCCTAATTTTTGTATTTTTTTGTAGGGATGGTTGCTCATCATGTTGCCTAGGCTGGTCTTGAACTCCTGGTCTCAAGCAGTCCACCTGCTTCAGCCTCCCAAAGTGCTGGGATTATAGGCATGAGCCACTGTGCCTGGCTGTGTGTTATAAAATTTAATTGTGAGAGTATCCATTTGTTTCTGTCTGTCTTATTAGCAAAGTATAGGTATAAATGGTAACTTCTAAAAAATCCTGATTTTCATGTGGCTAACCAAATTAAATAAATAATATTCAAAACAATTTTTTTAACTGATTGATGGTATATGTCATCACTTACTAAACTGTCTTTTCTTTTTCTTTTTGTCTTTTGTTTTTTGTTTTTTTCTTGAGACAAAGTCTCACCCTGTCACCCAGGCTGGAGTGCAGTGGCACGATCTAGGCTCACTGCAACCTCTGCTTCCCAGGTTCAAGCGATTCTCTTGCCTCAGCCTCCCATGTAGCTGGGATTACAGGCATGCGCCACCATGCCCAGCTAATTTTTGTATTTTTAGTAGAGACAGGGTTTCACCATGTTGTCCAGGCTGGTCTTGAACTCCTAACCTCAGGTGAGCCACTACGCCCAGCCGTTTCATTTGTTTTTGTTGTTGTTGTTGTTAAGATGGAGTTTCGTTCTTGTTGCTCAGGCTGGAGTGCAATGGCTCGATCTCGGCTCACCACCCCGCCTCCCAGGTTCAAGCAATTCTCCTGCCTCAGCCTCCCGAGTAACTGGGATTACAGGCGCCCACCACCACTCCCGGCTTATTTTTTGTATTTTTAGTAGAGACAGGGTTTCACTGCATTAGCCAAGATGGTCTCGATCTCCTGACCTCGTGATCCACCCGCCTCGGCCTCCCAAAGTGCTGGGATTACAGGCGTAGCCACTGCGCCCGGCTTCTCATTTGTTTTTAAGGCCACTTTCCAGTTGAACTTTTAGGAGAAGCTCTTGTATAATAAGTGCATGTGAGGTCTCTTCATGACTTTTTTATAGGCTATTTATTTATGAAATGGTAATATGAATTAACCATGCATATTTATGCTGTTAATTATTTTATAAATTTCACAAAGATTTCAAGAGTTCTGAGATGATAACAGTATAACTCTTTATTCTGGGAATTTACTATAATTTAGCTCCCTTGAAGCCTAATAAGATTAGCCTGATCCCTAGGCAGAATTAGGAGAATTTCTGATTCCTCTTGTCCTTTTTAGCCAATAAGAGTATTGAGCTGACTTTCTGCATTAGTTAGCTTCCCATGACTATTTGAGGGGTAGATGCTAGGTTGGGAATGTTTCCAAGGACTTATGCTTTAGCTTATCTGTATTTACTGGGATGAAAGATATAATAATTATTTCTTTGAAGTTAGAGATTTGTTTGAATTGCTGTTTTTTTATTCCCAAGTTCTAATCAATTTCTTGTCATTGTACTTCACAGACTTTTACTCCCCTTGTAGATAAACTGGGTTTGGGTTCTGTGGTTCCAGTGGAATATCTTCTGGATCGAGAGCTTCGGTTCCTGTCAGATGCCAATGGGTTGCATCTGTTTCAGGTATTTAACACTTGCTTTAGTCTTGAGCCTATTATTTTTTTCGCTGCTAATTTCTTTGTTGATATAAACATAGGTGTTTCTCCTTTTACTGGGTGGGAACATATTAGCATTTCTTTTATTACTTCCTCCAATAAATATGCTGTGCCTTTTTTATTTTATTTTATTTTATTTATTTATTTATTTTTTTTTGAGACAGAGTCTCGATATGTCCCCCAAGCTGGAGTGCAGTGGTGCGATCTCAACTCACTGCAACCTCCGCCTCCCCGGTTCACTCCATTCTCCTGCCTCAGCCTCCCGAGTAGCTGGGACTACAGGCGCCTGCCACAAAGCCCGGCTTATTTTTTTGTATTTTTGGTAGAGATGGGGTTTCACCATGTTAGCCAGGATGGTCTTGATCTCCTGACCTCGTGATCCGCCCGCCTCGGCCTCCCAAAGTGCTGGGATTACAGGCGTGAGCCACCACGCCCAGCCTATTTTATTTTTTTGAGACAGAGAGTTTTGCTCTTGTTGCCCAGGCTGGAGTGCAATGGTGTGATCTTGGCTCACTGAAACCTCTGCCTCCTGGATTCAAGCAATTCTCCTGCCTCAGCCTCCCAAGTAGCTGGGATTACAGGCATGTGCCACCACACCCAGATAATTTTTGTATTATTAGTAGAGATGGGGTTTCACCATGTTGGTCAGGCTAGTCTCGAACTCCTGACTTCAGGCGATCCACCTGCCTTGGCCTCCCAAAGTGCTGGGATTACAGGTGTGATCAACCACGCCTGGCATTTTTAAATTTTTATTTATTTATTTATTTTGAGAAAGCCACCTTGGCTGGCGTGCAGTGGCTCCATCTCGCCTCACTGCAACGTCCACCTCCCGGTTTCAAGTGATTCTTGTGCCTCAGCCTCCCAACTAGCTTGGGATCAAAGGCACATGCTATCACATCTGGCTAATCTTTGTAGTCTTAGTAGAGACGGGGTTTTGCCATGTTGCCCAGGCTGGTCTCAAACTCCTGGCCTCAAGTGATCCACCTGCTTTGCCCTCCCAAAGTGCTGGGATTACAGGCGTGAGCCACCATACCCAACCTCCCTGTGCATTTTAAAGTTTTTCTGCTCCCTTGCAAAGTACTTTTGGTGGCTGAGGCTTCTTTCTTCTACACAGCCCCACCCTACCTTAAAACCGCCCAAGATTTAAGAACACAATTCTGAGTCCCTTCAGAAGAGGTGGCTTCGGCCAGGCGCGGTGGCTCACGCCTGTAATCTCAGCACTTTGGGAGGCCGAGACGGGCGGATCATGAGGTCAGGGGATCGAGACCATCCTGGCTAAAACAGTGAAACCCCATCTCTACTAAAATACAAAAAAATTAGCTGGGTGTCGTGGTGGACGCCTGTAGTCCCAGCTACTCGGGAGGCTGAGGCAGGAGAATGGCGTGAACCTGGGAGGCAGAGCTTGCAGTGAGCCAGGATCGTGCCACTGCACTCCAGCCTGGGCGACTGAGTGAGACTCCATCTCAAGAAAAAAAGAAAAAAAAAAAAAAAGGCAGAGGTGGCTTCTCCGAGGTGGCTGTTTGTGTAACTTGAGTCCAAGGGGGCCTATTCATTATTGACATCCAGGAGTTTGGACTGGTTCCAAGCAGCATGAAGTATCATAGTTACAAAGAAAAGGGACAAGTTAATAGTTAAAACAAACCAGCGTCTGAGTTATAGTTTCAGAATTTAGGGAAATGTATTTATTTTTCACTTGTAAGGGTTGCTGTCTGCAGGAAGAAAATTAGGAGACTCCTGAGTTTTACTGTCTTACTGAGACAGACCAGAGCAGTTATTTCCTAAACTGTCTTCTGTGAGATGTTAATTATGATTTCTTTGTTGATATGTCTTCCCCGCTCGTTAGGTTAATGATGATTTCTTTGTTGATATGTCTTCCTCGCTCGTTAGGCCTCATTCCCTCTCAGCAACCTTGCTTTATTCATATTTATAATCCTAGTGCTTTATGAGATAGCACTTAGTAAATGTTGGATAAATACTGAAATAAGCAAAAAGATTTGCGAGGAATACAATGTTTTATGGTCAGATAAGTATGAGAAACACTGGCCTAAATAAGTTTCTTTCCTGTGTGACTTCTCAGAGCCTTTAATAGCCTATTGTATGTAGAAAGATACATAATATTTCCTAATCCTAATTGATCCTAGCATTCTTAATTTTTGCAGAACATCTCATGAGAATAGAGTTCTCTTTTTTTGTTGTTCACAAGAGACAGGGTCTTGTTCTGTCACCTAGGCTGGAATGCAATGGCGCAGCCATACCTCACTGCAGCCTCAAACTCCTGGGTTCAAGCGATCCTCCTGCCTTGGCCTCCCAAAGTACTAAGATTACAGGCATGATCACCACGCCTAGCCTGAGACTAAGGTTCTATAGATATTGTTTGGCAAATGTTGATATACAGCTCCTTAGGATATGATTTTTCTCAGCTGATTAGATGTTTGCTATTCATTTTAACATTCAGTTGTTTTCTTCTTTTATCTTTACCAGATGGGAACAGATAGCCAAAACCAGATTCTTTTGGAACATGCTGCACTGAGAGAAACAGTTAATGCTTTGATCAGTGACCAAAAGCTACAAGAGATATTCAGCCGAGGTAAGAACGGATAGTCTTCTGTCCCTGAACTCTGATTCAGGTGAATGATCACTGTTGAGTGATAGTATGGAATCCCATGCAACCTTAAACATTTGTACTTATCTCCTTTTTGTGGGCAGAGTCAGATGCCACATGAAAGATAATAATTATTATTTATTAAAAAATAAAAATAAAGAGTATCTTCAGTTAGCTGGATCTCTAAAATAGAGATCTCATTCTCTCTCCATCACTCACTCGTCTTATGGAGGTGTCTGTAACAGAGGTGAGACTGTGTTATTCTGTCTAAGGTCCATCCATCCCCTTAAAGATGCTCTTAGAACAAAAACAGGATCTCATTCAGACCAATGTTTCTGGTTCATTCTGCATTTCATAATATACAGTTTTATTGTGAGTTGAGTTTTAGTTTTTTTTATTTCTTAAATATTGCCATGTACTAGACAGTGTTAAGGCATTGGGGATATAGCAATTAATTAGAAAATCTTTGCTTTTTTAACTTAAAATCTGCAAGTTTCTTAAGAACTAAAAACTTAACACCAACAAATAACACCTTGGAGTGCAAGGTATAAAGTAATGTGTTCACAGACTCATTCACATTAAAAGCTTGTTGTTTTTAATAATGAAAAAAATTATTAGCTTTCAAGTTCAGATACAAGTTTTGCCCAAGATTCTACACAAAAGGTAAACTATTGGCTTCATTTATGTCGTACATTCACTCCCCTTCCTTTCTTGATCTCATGATAATCATTATTTTCAGGGAAATAGTTTCCTTGTTTCTCTTTTGTCAAAATAAACCTAAACAGGTAAAGGTAGAAAAACTGACCTATTGGGGAAGGAAGGTGTCAGGATAAAATGATGTTAAATAATCAAGGAAAGATACGGCAGAAGAAAGAATATGAGGAAAATTGGTAGCAGAAAAGAAAATTGAGTGGACAGGAGAGGTAGGGAGATACATATATATATAGATTATATATATCATGATATATATATATAGATATATATAGATATAATGTATAGAAAAGTTACGGAAGCTTAATTTTAGCTCTGATAGAGAATAATCTAAAATTGGTAATGATTTAGCTATATAGTCTCAAATGTACAAGGATATGTGGGAGAGAGAAACTGTCCTTAGAGGATAGCTTAAATTGCAGGGTAACATTACCTGCTGATAAAGTAATATATTTGAAACTCTGCGTTCCTAGGAAGACAGGTGCTATATTTATATTTGTTCAGCCTATTATTAGTGCAGAAGGCTGGAAACTTCATAAATTGAACTCTTCACCCACTGTTATTGAAAGTCAGATACCAGAATGTAAATGGTCATATATAAACATAACATAACATAACAGCACTTTCAACTTAGTGGCCTCCCACTTTTTTCATGTACATGTAGTTAGATACATGTCAGGTATCTACCTACATTTTCATACTACTGTAGTTTTTTATTTGGAAGTTTCCTTTCCCTTCCTATAATACTTGCAGAACTGGAAGATTGAGGCAAGGGGGAGTTGGAGGGCTGGGAAATTCTAAGGAATTTCCAAATAAATGAAGAATTTACAAAGACCACTGGAAGAAACCATTCAGGTTTTGTTTTTAAATTGCTCAGTATGGTAAATCTGGAATTGCTCATTTGTTCAGTTCTATAAAAGAGGACCAAAAGTGCCAAATATTTACATTATCTAATTTTCCTTTGGCTTTTAGGAACAATTATGAAATATAGCTTAGCCAAAAATACTCAATACTGACTGATCTCCCTTTTAGGTCCCTACAGTGTTCAAGGTCACAGGGTCAAAATATATCAGCCAGAGGGGGAAGAAGGGTGGCTCTATGGTGTTGTGAGCCATCAGGACTCCATCACTCGTCTTATGGAGGTGTCTGTAACTGAGGTGAGACTCTGTGTTATTCTGTCTAAGGTCCATCCATCCCCTTAAAGAGGATGGTTTAGATAGGCGAGCACTTCATTATGTGTAAGATGACTTGGGTTTCATCCCTGGCTCTATTACTTAATAGTTGTATAACCCCTAGAAAGGCTATTGAATTTTCTTAACTTCACTGTTCTCATCTATAAACTAGAAGTAAATATGTAAACCCCCACTGACCTTACAACACTGTTTTGGGTCCTGAGATAAAGTATCTGAAAGTGCTTTGAAATCTGTAAAACAATATATAAATGTATGACAGTAGTAGTATTATATTCATAAAGGTTAGTAGTTGGAGTGCAGTGGTGCGATCACAGCTCACTGCAACATTTGCCTCTCGGGCTCAAGCAGTTCTCCCACCTCACCCTCTGGAGTAGCTGGCACTACAGGCGTGTGCCACCACACCTAGCTAATTTTTCTATTTTTTGTAGAGAAGGAGTCTTGCTATGTTGCCTGGCTGGTCTCAAACTCCTGAGCTCAAGTGATCCGCCCACCTCAGCCTCCCAAAGTGTTGGGATTACAGGCATGAACCACTGCACCCGGCCAGAATATTATTATATTATATTTATTTATATGATATATATGAGTTATATGATATATAATTTATATGATATATATAATTTATATGCTCTATAATTATATAAGTCACACTTTAGTAACAAATAAGATCATATAGTACATATAGTTATATAATTTACCTTTTTTACTTAATTGTATATAGTGAGCATTTTTGTATGTAAATGTAAAGATCTGTCTCATCCTTTAAAATAGATGCGTTCTTTTCCACTACATGGATATATCATGACTAATCTAAAATTGATAGACATTTAAATCATTGCCAATATTTTCACTAATATGTCACAGTGAACATCCTTGAACATTTTTTACATTATTTATTGGAATAAATTTATATGTATAATTGCTAGGTCAAAGAATATGCACAATAAATTTGAAATTTTCTATCAAATTGCCCCCCACTGAGTTTTTATTCTTTAATAGTAGAATGATTCTTTTTTAAACAGAGTCTCACTGTGTTGCCCAGGCTGGTCTCGAACTCCTGGTCCTCCTGCCTCAGCCTCCCAAAGTGCTGGGGTTACAGGCATGATCCACCATGCCCAGCCTGGAGTGATTTTTTTTTTTTTTTCTTTTTGAGACAGAGATTTGCTTTTGTTGCCCAAGCTGGAGTGCAATGGCACGATCTCGGCTCACTGCAACCTCCGCCTCCCAGGTTCAAGCAATTCTCCTGCCTCAGCCTCCTGATTCGCTGAGATTACAGACACGCCACCACACCCAGCTAATTTTTTGTATTTTTAGTAGAAACAGGGTTTCACCATGTTGGCCAGGCTGGTCTTGAACTGCTGACCTCAGGTGATCCACCCACCTTGGCCTCCCAAAATGCTGAGATTACAGATGTGAACCACCGCACCCAGCCCTAGAGTGATTCTTTTAATGATTATTGGTTCTGAAGGTTTTTTGTTTCATACTATACAGAATAGGACAGTTTTAGAGATACAGGATTCAGAATTAACATCGCTAAAAGACACAGTTGGACATGAATTCACTTCTTTCATTCATTCACTTAAATATTTGAATGCTTACCATATTCTAGACCTGTTGTAGCAGTAAATGAGACAGTAGAGATCTCTGCTCTCATGGAGCTTTCATTCTAGTAGGTGAGTTGAATCAATAAAGAGATAATTACATTGATTAGGAAATTATATAATTATGTCTTTATGGACAAGGCATTAAATATCTTTTTCCCCTCCTACTGTAGAGTGGTGAGATCAAGTCGGTAGATCCCAGACTAATCCATGTGATGCTGATGGATAATTCAGCGCCTCAAAGCGAGGTACAGTAATGGACTGCATTCCTGAGCAGACTCATGAGCTTGCATTATCTTGCTGTGTGTAGATCCCTTATATATGTGTTTTCCATGGATGCCTTTTGAGTTGTTCAGCTTTAGCCACTGTACATTTTTTTGCTCTCTCCACAGTCTGTCTAATTAAGGGGGGATATTCTCAAGAAAGAGACCTAGTTTGAGCAAACCCTTTTAAGCATGACTATGTTCCCTAGTTCTTCTAAAGTGCAAGGCTGGTTTCTTCCTATATTCTGTCAGGACAGGTATATTTGAAAGATATAGTAGTCAGTTAAAAGTGCAATAAGCAGTAGTAATACTCGTGATCTACCAAGTAACAAGAAGTGAAGGATAAACTACGTCCACTTTTTTTTTTTTTCCATTCGGTGGCAGTGAGCTCCAACGGAGTCTGAAATTCTGTATTCCCAAGTAGAATCAATTCAAGCTGGTACCTAGTTCAGTGCTCAGCCCCCAGTGCATTGGTTACTCCATAATTGTTATGAACCAGCCCAACTCTTGGTTTATTCAGAATTAATATAGCCCCAAAAAAGATACATTAAAGCTCTCTGGGCCAGGTGCAGTGGCTCACGCCTGTAATCCCAGCACTTTGGGAGGCCGAGGCAGGCGGATCACCTGAGGTCAGGAATTCAAGACCAGCCTGACCAACGTGGTGAAACGCTGTCTCTACAAAAATACAAAAAAAAAAATAGCCAGGCCTGATGGTGGGTGCCTGTAATCCCAGCTACTCGGGAGGCCGAGGTGGGAGAATCGCTAGAACCTGGGACGTGGAGGTTGCAATGAGCTGAGATCGCACCATTGCACTCCAGCCTGGGTGATAGAGCAAGACTCCGTCTCAAAAAAAAAAGTAAATAAATAAAAATCTCTGCCTGAACCAATCGAGTAATTCTGTGTGAATTTCCTTCAGTTGACCAGCTGTCCACATATTCCTCACAGTATCTTGGCACCTCTGTAATATTGCTGTCGTTGCCACTCCTGCTAAGTATATAGTCTTTCCTCATCTTTATCCAGTCATTCTTGACTTCCTAAAACAAGATCAGAATAGGAAAAGAAAAAAAATTTTTTTTTTTTGAGGCAGGGTCTCGCTATCTTGCCCAGTCTGGTCTCAAACTCTCACCTAAGCCTCCCAAAGTGCTGGGATGACAGGCATGAGCCACTGCACCTGGCCAGGGTTAAATTTAAGAACTGTTTACTACATGTAATATTACCACAAACAGGGTAAGTCTCTTGACTGTGTTTGCATGCCAAAAACACCTGCTACTTTGATCGTGTATTGGTCCCCTTTTTTGTTCCTTTCCTTATTTCATTCCTTCATTAAGCATATATTGTATGCCAGGTACTGTTCAGCTGGCCAAATAGAACTGGGGAGTACTGGTCTCAATGTTGTAGGCTGCTTACTCACGTATGAGTAGCTCACTGTAAGTAGGACTTACATATAAGTTGTTTAGGGACTGGTAGTATGTTGCTGTGAGCCAGGCTCTGCAAGTTGGCTGGATGACTTATAGGTGGGATGTTTGTTTTTGTTTTTTTCTTTTTTTTTTTGAGATGGAGTCTTGCTCTGTCACCCATGCTGGAGTGCAGTGGGGTGATCTTGGCTCACTGCAACCTCCGCCTCCCGGGTTCAAGTGATTCTTCTGTCTCAGCCTCCTGAGTAGCTGGGACTACAGGCGCACACCACCATGCCCAGCTAATTTTTGTATTTTTAGTAGAGACAGGGTTTCACCATATTGACCAGGCTGGTGTCAAACTCCTGACCTCGTGATCCGCCCACCTTGGCCTCCCAAAGTTCTGGGTTTACAGGCGCGAACGAACCACCACGCCTGGTGATCTTTGGTTTTTAGCAGCAGATGTTGGGTCTTCCTTTTTTGGTATTAACATGATATTACTGTTTTCTTTGCTAGCAGAGTCCAATTATTTTTTATAGTTCTGCCAAGTTTTATAGTAACCCTTTTTAGAGATCCATGATCACCTCATCTCCTTTAAGTATGGGTGAATGAACAAGAAAGAACAGAGTTCACTGATTGTGATCTGCAACAGTGAAAACTGGGTGGTGATAGAGATTGAGAAAGAATTTAAAAGCTTTTAAAAATCAAAAGAGGCCGAGGCAGGTGGATCACCTGAGGTCAGAGTTTGAGAACAGCCTGGCCAACATGATGAAACCCTGTCTCTACTAAAAAACACAAAAATTAGCTGGGCGTAGTGGCGGGCACCTGTAATCCCAGCTACTTGGGAGGCTGAGGCAAGAAAATCGCTTGAACACAGGAGGCGGAGGTTGCAGTGAGCTGAGATTGTGCTATTGCACTCCAGCCTGGGTGGCAAGAGCAAAACTCCGTCTCAAAAAAAAAGAAGAAAAAAATCAAGGCCAGGCGCGGTGGCTCACGCCTGTAATCCCAACACTTTGGGAGGCCGAGGCGGCTGGATCACGAGGTCAGGAGATCGAGACCATGGTGAAGCCCCATCTCTACTAAAAATACAAAAAAAATTAGCCGGGCGCGGTGGCGGGCACCTGTAGTCCCAGCTACTCTGGAGGCTGAGGTAGGAGAATGGCGTGAACCTGGGAGGTGGAGCTTGCAGTGAGCCGAGATCGTGCCACTGCACTCCAGCCTGGGTGACAGAGCAAGACTCCGACTTAAAAAAAAAAAAAAAAGTCAAAAGAAAACAACACTTAGCAAACAGATAAAGTTCTTGAATGAAAGGTTTAGAGGCTGGGCGTGGTGGCTCATACCTGTAATCCCAGCACTTTGGGAGGCCGAGGTGGGCAGATCACCTGAGGTCCGGAGTTCGAGACCAGCCTGGCCAACATGGCGAAACCTCATCTCTACTAAAAAAATACAAAAATTAGGCCAGGTGCAGTGGCTCACACTTGTAATTCCAGCACTTTGGGAGGCTGAGGTGGGTAGATTACCTGAGGTCAGGAGTTCAAGACCAACCTGGCCAGCATGGTGAAACCCTGTCTCTACTAAAAATACAAAAAATTAGCTGGGCATGGTGGCAGGCGCCTGTAGTCCCAGCTACTTGGGAGGCTGAGGCAGGAGATTCGCTTGAGCCTAGGAGGCGGAGGTTGTCATGAGCTGAAATCACACCATCGCACTCCAGCCTGCACGACAAGAGCGAAACTCTTGTCTCAAAAAAAAAAAAAAAAAAAAAAAATTAGCCGGATGTGGTGGCACACACCTGTAGTCCCAGCTCCTGGGGAGGCTGAGGCAAGACAGTCACTTGAACCCGTTAGGTGGAGGTTGCAGTGAGCCAAGATTGTGCCACTGCACTCCAGCCTGGGCAACAGAGCAAGACTCCATCTCAGGAAAAAAAAAAAAAAGGAAAGAAAGGTTTAGAAACTTAGATAATATTACCAAAAGTATAGGCAAACAAAAGTTAATCTTGAGCTTTGCATAACAGTTTTTTGTTTTGTTTTGTTTTGTTTTTTGATAAGGAGTTTCCCTCTTGTTGCCCAGGCTGGAGTGCAGTGGCGCAATCTCGGCTCACTGCAACCTTCCCCTCCCGGGTTCAAGTGATTCTCCTGCATCAGCCTCCCCAATAGCTGGGATTACAGAAATGCACCACCATGCCTGGCTGATTTTGTATTTTTAGTAGAGACAGGGTTTCACCATGTTGCCCAGGCTGGTCTCAAACTCCTGACCTCAGGTAGATCCACCCACCTCAGCCTCCCAAAGTGTTGGGATTACAGGCATGAGCCAACACGCCAGGCCTCCTGGGTTCAAGCGATTCCCTTGCCTCAGCCTCCCAAGTTGCTGGGACTACAGGCATACGCCACCACACCCAGCTAATTTTTTATATTTTAGTAGAGATGGGGTTTCACCATGTTGGCCAGGATGGTCTCAATCTCCTGACCTTGTGATCTGCCCGCCTTGGCCTCCCAAACTGCTGGGATTACAGGCGTGAGCCACTGTGCCCAGCCCAGGTTCACTTTTCCTTTGGTCACAGACTCACAAACGTTGGTTTAGTGACTTCTGGTTAGAGAAGATGTCCTATTTCAGTACTTAAAATGCAAGTTTCTTTCAAGCAAGGAGGTAAATATGTAATAAAGTGAGTTATTTCATCAAGGGGTAAATGAGCTCCCACCCTAGCTTTAGCACTCTATTTTGTAAAAGAAACTCAACAAATTGTTAAAACCCTCAAAGAAGTCCATTTAAGGCAGTGTAATGTTTTATTTAAGAGAAAGTTTGCCAAGTGAGTTAACCTCTAGTAACTATTATCTTGAATGTGTGTGTATAAATTGAGTCACACAAAGATTAGAGCTTTTAACAAAGGGGATGTTTTAGAACTGGCATTGGAACTTGGCAGTCTATGCCTGCTTTGTCTGCTTCTAGAGATGGGAAAGAGCTAATGGTGTGTGGTATTCACAGGATGAAAGTTTCCTTGTAATCTTTTTTGAATTTTGTTTTGTAGGGGGGTACGTTAAAAGCAGTAAAATCTTCCAAAGGAAAGAAGAAGAGAGAAAGCATAGAGGGGAAAGATGGCCGGAGGAGGAAAAGTGCTTCGGACTCTGGGTGTGACCCTGCATCAAAGAAATTAAAAGGAGACAGGGGTGAAGTAGACAGTAATGGGAGCGATGGAGGTGAGGCAAGCCGAGGGCCCTGGAAAGGAGGGAATGCCAGTGGAGAGCCAGGGCTGGATCAGAGAGCCAAGCAGCCACCGTCTACATTTGTCCCCCAGATAAACCGCAACATTCGCTTTGCCACTTACACCAAAGAAAACGGCAGGACTCTGGTGGTGCAGGATGAGCCTGTAGGTGGGGACACACCTGCATCTTTCACTCCATATTCTACAGCCACAGGTCAGACACCTTTGGCCCCAGAGGTGGGTGGAGCCGAAAACAAAGAGGCAGGAAAAACACTGGAACAAGTTGGCCAGGGCATAGTGGCTTCCGCAGCTGTGGTCACTACCGCCAGCTCCACCCCAAACACAGTGAGGATCTCAGACACTGGCCTTGCAGCAGGGACTGTGCCAGAAAAACAGAAAGGCAGCCGGTCGCAGGCCTCGGGAGAGGTGAGTTACTTCAGGGGCAGATTTGCAAGATTTGGGTTTACTCTTTCGCCCTCCTTTATTGCTAACATTAAAAAACATTCAAGTGCCCCAGGGAAGGAGTATTTCTGAGATGTGCTTAAATTATACTCTGTGGAAGGCCTTTACTGCTCACTGGGCAAATGTGTATAGTTTAATAACTTTATCAGCTCTTAAAAGGCACCAGAACAGTTGGGTGAATCAAAAACTGATGATACAACCTAATTTAAAGACATGTTAAAGTAGATCTGGTGGGGAATGTTTTAAATTCTATTATCTATTTAGTTCACGTAGTGATCAAGCCTCTGCTAGGCCTATAAGAGGTGAGGTTAATGAATTACAGTATTGGTAATAGTGAATACTATAATTAAGGCTATGTGTGCAAGCTACCATTACCCTGTTTTCAATTCATCATTTTCTATGATATTTTCCCTTGAGGCTGAGTTAATTTCCATCATTTGATATGGCCATGGAAGGTTTTTTCTCCCTATCTTCACCTTTTTAAGCCTTACCTGAAAATTTGATGGATTTCATCACAACAGTATCTGATTTCCTTTGTTCTTTATCTGATATGCATATATTGTTGCTAAAATGGAACCTCTGTTAAATGTAAGTTAACATCAAGTTGTCTCCCTAATCCAAAATATCAAAATCAGTATAATATATTCTTTTTGACTAATTTTGGTCACCAAAATATGATTTATGGTGCTAGTCATCTTTTTTTTCCCCAAACAGCTATTAACTCAAGCTAAAATATGAAATACAGAGATGAAATGCTTAATGATTTTTAAAAATTATATATAGGAAACTACTGTGTGCTGAGTACTGTATATTATATATAAGGAATTGAAACTCCTATTTGAAGGAGCTCACATCCTAAAACGGAATCATTTCAGAAAAAACAATGCCAGACAAAACATGACAAACGTGACTTCTTTCCCTCCCCAACAAGTGCAGATTGTTAATCCCTAGTGTGCAGGGATAGGGAGGGAGAGGAAATGTCCACACAGACGAGGAGAAGGCCTGTAAATGCAAATTTCACACTGTTGATGGTTTGTCCTGTTGGTTGACCAGCATTCCCAAGATAACCAGGTGAGGATCTTATATGGATTTCCAGTGTAAATCATCATAGTGTCTGAATTATTTAAAAACAACTCCATGTTGGCCAGGCACAGTAGCTCACACCTGTAATCCCAGCACTTTGGGAGGCCAAGGCGGGCGGATCACAAGGTCAGGAGATCAAGACCATCCTGGCTAACACGGTGAAACCCCATCTCTACTAAAAATACAAAAAATTAGCCGGGCGTGGCGGCGTGCACCTGTAGTCCCAGCTACTCGGGAGGCTGAGGCAGGAGGATGGCGTGAACCTGGGAGGTGGAGCTTGCAGTGAGCCGAGATTGTGCCACTGCACTCCAGCCTGGGCGACAGAGCAAGACTATGTCTCAAAAAAACAAAACAAAACAAAAACAACTCCATGTCAAAGGCAGTGTGAATGTAAATGGAGCTTACAAAATAGACCAGGTTTTACATGCTATAAAAGAGATCCATTGAATGCTGCTACTCTTAGAGTAGCAAAGCTGAATATATGAAATTCAGATTGAAAGAGTATTTTCTTTTAAACAGGTTGAGGGAATTTCTGTGACTATGACAGTCATGTTGCTGTGTTTCTGTTTGGTTCTTCTTCTAGGATATGATTTAAAAGTATAGAAATGAGCCAGGCATAGTACAGCTCATGCCTGTAATCCTAGCACTTTGGGAGGCCGAGGCGGGCGGATCACGAGGTCAGGAGATCGAGACCATCCTGGCTAACACGGTGAAACCCCGTCTCTACTAAAAATACAAAAAATTAGCTGGGCGTGGTGGCAAGCGCCTGTAGTCTCAGCTACTCGGGAGGCTGAGGCAGGAGAATGGCGTGAACCCGGGAGGCAGAGCTTGCAGTGAGCCAAGAGAGCCAAGATTGTGCCACTGCACTCCAGCCTGGGCAACAGAGCGAGACTCCGTCTTTAAAAAAAAAAAAAAAAAAAAAAAGGCTGGGCTTGGTGGCATGTGTCTGTAATCCTAGCTACCCAGGAGGCTGAGGCAGGAGAATCACTTGAACCTGGGAGGCGGAGATTGCAGTGAGCCAAGATTGCGCCACTGCACTCCAGCTTGGGTGACAGAGCGAGACTCCGTCTCAAAAAATAAATAAATAAATGTGTAGAAATGAATGTTTTCATTACAATGGCTGATCTAAAATAAAGACAGAGCCAACAGGAAACTTCTTGCCCTAAAAACTGGCTTGACATGAGTTTCTCATCACCTTTTTATAAGAAAAGGATTTGGAATTTAATCATTTGAAGGAAAATGAAAGACTATCCAAATTATTTTTCATTCATGTGTGTATTTATTTTTAAAGGGTAACTTTAGGAGTGAAACATGAGCTACCCATGCTAGTTCCTTGCAGTCATGCAGGTATCAAGGCTCCTGGCCAAATCCTGCCTGTGAAGCAACAGCAGCACCTCAGGGCTGTGTCTGTTCTTTTTCTCTATTGTAGGGAGTAAGTTGAAGTCAATACTTACTGGTTAGTAGGAAGATAAAAGAAAAAAGAAAAGGAGTTTTATTTTTTAACTCTAAAATACCCTGAAGTAGTCTCTGTAGCAGAGACAGAGGCAAGCCTAGGTGGCCTGCTTGATTCGTACGTCTCTATGCTACTCCTCAAGGAAATCCTGAATGTTAACTCCTCTTGTGTATTTAAAGAATAGTTTAATTAAAACTCTCTCCCCTCTTTATAAGAGAATAGCCCTTTTGTTTATCGGGAATCACTTTTTTTTTAATTGTAGTAAAATACACATAATGTAAAACTTACGACTTTAAAATGTACAATTCTGTGGCATTTAGTACATTTACAGTGTTGCGAAACTATGAAGACTATCTAGATCCAGAAATTTCATCACCCCAAAAGGAAAACTCCATATCCATTAAGTGGTGATGGAATAATTTTTATTTCCAGTGTTTTAGAGTGAATATTAAGGTATATCATCCTCTACTACTTGAAAGTAATCTATGGTTAGCAAGTCAAGTACTAGGATCTGGGTTTTATTAAATTAATAAATATAAGTTTGGGCTCATACCTACCTATGGGTCTCTTCTCTCTCTCTCTCTCTCTCTGTGTGTGTGTGTGTGTGTGTGTGTGTGTGTCCCTTTCTCTTGTCTGTATCTGGGTACATTAATATATAGGAAAGTCCTTCCTTTTTTTTGTTTTTGTGAGGGAATCTTGCTCTGTTGCCAGGCTGGAGTGCAGTGGCACGATCTGGGCTCACTGCAACCTCCGCCTCCTGGGTTCAAGCAATTCTCCTGCCTCAGCCTTCCGAGTAGCTGGGACTACAGGCACGTGCCACCATGCCCGGCTCATTTTTTGTATTTTTAGTAGAGACAGGGTTTCACCGTGTTGGCCAGGATGGTCTTGACCTCCAGACCTCGTGATCCGCCCATGTCAGCCTCCCAAAGTACTGGGATTACAGGCATGAGCCACCGCGCCAGGCCCCATTCTTCTTTATACAGTCATTCACAAGCAGAAGTTAACATTTTGAAGGTAAAAGAAGGAAAGGGGAGTGTTCTGTTATTTCATTCTTCAGTTATGCTGAAGGCTTTTTTTGGGATATTGTCAGTATATACATTTATCCTCTTTGGATTCTTATTAGATTCTAATTATAACAAAGGTCTTGGTAAATAGCTTGCTTTCTTTAATTTAGCATCTTTACGTCTAACGTTAATTGAAGTAGATATTCAACTTGTAGGTTGACTTGAACCCATAAATAGATGCCGAAATCCAAAAGGGTCCATGTTGTGGACTTTCAGATTAATAAGGAAAACACTTTTCTTTAACGTGCAGTAGGCTTGTCCTAGGATTAAAGCCACTTTTTGTAAAATGGGCAATTTTACAGTAGCCTAAATAAATCAAAACTTTAACAATAGCTCCCAAGGTCATTGAGATATATTAATATTACAGGGGTCACTGTAAAAGCTGATGTCTATTCAGGAACCCTTTTCTCCAGTTCCTTAGAGGAGCTCTTCACTTCCAAATAGATACCAAAAAGCCTACAAGGCCTTCTAGCACTGTGACGACCAATTGGATAACAACCAAGGGAATTGCAGGATGAATGACATCCTGCTATCTCTGGTTCACCTTGCTAAAGATGCCCTCAGTGTAGTCTGTGGCAGATTTCTTCCCCACTGCTGGTGAACTCCAGTTACAAGAGCAGATCCATGGAATTGTAAAAGAGAAAAGTTGATGGACCCCCAAGAAATGTTGATCTGGTGATAGTGAGGTCCAAGAAAGAGATCATTAGATTGTCATGAGAAGCCAGCATCACTAATTCAGGCTATCTTCCTTTCAGAATTCAAGAAATTCTATTCTGGCCTCTTCTGGATTTGGAGCACCTCTCCCTAGTTCATCGCAACCTTTGACTTTTGGAAGTGGAAGGAGCCAGTCCAATGGTGTTCTAGCCACAGAGAACAAACCTTTGGGCTTCTCTTTTGGCTGTAGCTCTGCACAAGAGGCACAGAAAGACACTGATCTCTCCAAAAACTTGTTTTTTCAATGCATGTCCCAAACTTTACCTACCAGTAACTACTTCACTACTGTTTCAGAGAGTTTGGCTGATGATTCTTCTAGTCGGGACTCATTCAAACAAAGCCTTGAGAGCCTGAGCTCAGGCCTGTGTAAAGGCAGATCCGTTCTTGGAACAGACACTAAGCCAGGCTCTAAGGCTGGCAGCTCTGTGGACCGGAAAGTGCCTGCAGAGTCCATGCCCACCCTCACTCCAGCCTTCCCACGGAGCCTCCTAAATGCCCGTACCCCAGAGAATCATGAAAATCTATTTTTACAGCCCCCCAAATTGTCCCGAGAAGAGCCTTCTAATCCTTTCCTGGCATTTGTGGAGAAAGTTGAACACAGCCCTTTCAGTAGTTTTGCATCTCAGGCATCAGGTAGCTCCTCTTCTGCTACCACTGTCACCTCCAAGGTGGCACCCAGCTGGCCCGAGTCTCACTCCTCTGCAGATTCGGCATCTTTAGCAAAGAAGAAACCCCTCTTCATTACAACTGACTCCTCCAAGCTAGTATCTGGTGTTCTGGGCTCAGCTCTTACCAGTGGGGGCCCAAGCCTCTCTGCCATGGGGAATGGCCGCTCCAGCTCGCCCACCAGCAGCCTCACTCAGCCCATTGAGATGCCAACTCTCTCCTCTAGCCCCACAGAGGAGAGGCCAACTGTGGGGCCTGGGCAGCAGGACAATCCCCTCCTCAAAACCTTTAGTAACGTCTTTGGCAGGCACTCAGGCGGCTTTCTGTCCTCCCCGGCAGATTTTTCACAGGAGAACAAAGCTCCTTTTGAAGCTGTGAAAAGGTTCTCACTGGATGAACGAAGCTTGGCTTGCAGACAAGACTCGGACTCCAGCACCAACAGTGACCTGTCAGATTTGAGTGACTCTGAGGAGCAGCTGCAGGCTAAGACAGGCCTGAAGGGAATTCCAGAGCACCTGATGGGGAAGCTGGGCCCCAATGGGGAGCGCAGTGCTGAGCTGTTGCTGGGCAAAAGCAAAGGGAAGCAGGCCCCCAAGGGCCGGCCTCGGACTGCCCCCCTGAAAGGTGATCCTGCTGGGGCTATATTTGGGCTTTGCTCTGGCACTGGGCTCAAATGCCTGTCGTGTTCTTGTGCAGCAGAGGCACTCACTTTGATGGAGAGTTCTGTAATCTCATAGAATTACAGAGCCAAGAGGACCTGGCAGAGGCCCCTCGTCAGGCCTGGTTCAGGGCAGGATTGCATCTAAACCGGCACTGTAGGAGGAGTATCTGTCCCAAATAATGATAATCCCCCAAAGGAGGACTCTTGATCTTCCTTGGCGGTCAGTTATTTTTGGTCAGGAACTATTTCTTTGCATTTGTCTCATCCCTTTTTACTTCACTTTGGCCCATCCTCTTTACTTCAGAGGGGTTACTGGGAACTGGTATCCATTCCCACATAGCAGACATTTGTAGACTTGATGAAGCAGAGAGAATCACCCCTCAGTTTGCTCCTCTCTGAAACCTACATAAGGATTTTAACAGCTCTATCAAAATCCATTAACTTGTGTGGTGTGAGGTTATGGTCCAGAAGCGGGTAAAACAAAGTCTCATGGTAAAAGCAGCTGTTCTCAATAGGAATTGCTATGTTGTGGGAGCTCAAGAGGTCCTGATGAACAGAATAGCCATATCGTGAGAGACTAGAGGCAGGTGATGGCTACATTCTGGCTTCTTATGTTTTTCACATCCATATTCAAAGTTGTTTTGCCATAGTGGGGCACTTCCCACAAGTTCTGCATGGTTCTTAGCTCCCAATGGAAGCTTCTTTGCTCCTTGCTTTCCCTTCCTGTCAAGGATGGACATAATGGGTACATGCCCAAGCAGGGAAAGGAGTAGCAACCCAGGTCAGAACAAATGTCTGTCCCCAAAAGAATCATGCTATTGGTTCCTGTTTACACCTCATGACAAACTTTTCTTCTCTCCCCCTTGCCACAGTTGGCCAGTCAGTGCTGAAAGATGTAAGCAAAGTGAAGAAGCTGAAGCAATCTGGAGAGCCCTTCCTGCAGGATGGGTCATGCATCAATGTGGCACCTCATCTGCACAAGTGTCGTGAATGCCGCCTGGAGCGGTACCGGAAGTTTAAGGAACAGGAGCAAGATGATTCTACTGTAGCCTGCCGTTTCTTTCACTTCCGGAGGTACCCAAACTCCTGTTTTCCTCCTTTGCTAGTTTTCATTAGTGACACATAACTTCCACTCTTTCTCTGAGTCTATAAACATGTTTCATCATCTTGGTCTTTGCTTTCCTCAACTCCTTTGCTCTCAGCGTCTGTGAAGAGGCTCTGGCATAGTAGTCACTTAGTTGTTTGGATTGTAAAATGACATGTGATTTTGTCCTTGGAGAATTAAAATTGAGCAGTGTTAGCTGCAGCTCTGTGCTATTCCCTGAGTAATTCCTAACTTGGGTTGGTTCTATTTGAAACCACTATTATAAGCAGAAGGACTGCATTTCATATTATGGATCTACCTGACTGCTTATTCCTCCTCAGTGCTAGAGTAACTTGAGTCATGTTAAAAAGACGGGGAGGTAAGATTTGGAGATAATGTGAAGCATCTTTGAAATAGATATAACTGATGGAAATGTGGGAATATCGTCTGCTTTTACCAAACAATATCTCTTTAGTTACTTTTCTTCTGCTTGATAAACTTAGAAGGGGAGTTTCTTCTGAGTGACCTTTCAAGAATCTTTAATTTTTAAAGTAAATCCAAATGGTTTACCAATATGGTGTGGATTCACTTAGCAAATGTTTATTGAGCATTTAATGTGTGCCAACCCTTGTTCTGGCCATTGAATATTCAGCAGTGAACAACAAAAAAATCAAATTTCAGCCCTCAGAAGGTTTGGGGAGGCAGACAGTAAATAAGGAAAAAAGGCCAAGCATGATTACATGCCTTTAACTCCAGCACTTTGGGAGGCCGAAGCAGAAGGATCACTTGAGACCAGCATGGGCAACATAGTGAGACCTAGTCTCTACAGAAAATTTTAAAAATTAGCCGAGTGTGGTGGCACACACCTGTAATTCCAGCTACTCAGGAGGCTGAGGTGGGAGGATCACTTGAGCCCAGGAGGTCAAAGCTGCATTGAGCCTTGATCGTACCACTGCACTCCAGCCTTAGAAGCAAAGCGAGGCTCTCTCTAAAAGAAAAAGAAAAAATAATAAGTGATATGTCAGCTGATAATAACTATGAGAAAAATAAGGAAAGAGGATTGAAGTGTGAGGATGCTAGAGAGGCTACAGTTTTAAACAGGATGATCTGAGAAAGTGAGAGTTGAGGAACAGCCTGCAGGAGGTGAAAGAATACACCACACTGTGACAGGTATTCCAGACAGGTGCAAGCATCCCAAAGCTGGAGTATTTCTGGTGTGTCCATAAAGTTAGGTTGCTAAAATAGAATAAACAAAGAAGGAAAAGGAGTTGAGGTGAATGAGTTAATGATGGGTCCACATTTTAAAGGGCTATTCCAAAGGCCTTGGTTTTTACTCTGATGAGAAGTCATTGGAGGCCTTGAGCTGATGCGTGACACTGATTAATGTTTTAAAAGGCCACTTTGGCCACCTTTTTGAGAATAAGCTATGTAGAGGCAAGGGCAGAAGCAGAGAAGTTAGGAGGCTGTTGGAATTATCCAAGTGAGAAATGATGGGGCTTGGACCACGGAGATAGTGATGGACATGATGAGAAGTAGTTGAAGATAGAGTAGACATAATTTTCTGATGAATTAGATGTGAAGTATGAAAGAAAGGACTTAAGGATGATTCTATGTCTGGTTCTAGATATGTCTTTTGGCCTAAAAACAGGAAGAATGAGATTGCCATTTACTGATAAAGAGATTCTTTAGGGAAAAGCAGGTTTGGGGAGGAAAAGGGGGAGTTTTAACTTGGCCGTGTTAAATTTGAGATGCTTGTTAGATTTTCAAAGGAAAATACTGAGAAGGCAGCTGGGGATACAGCTCTAGAGTTAAGGGAAGGGGTCCTACCTGGAGATATAAATTTGGATATCACCAGGTATTTAAAGCTGTCAGTCTAAGTGAGATCAGAGCATAGATAAAGAAGAATAGCAGTCCAGGGACCAAACTCTGGTACTCTCCAATGTTTAGAGGTGAGAAAGATGGAAGCAACTAGTAAAGGAGACTGAGAAAGAACAGCTAGTGAAGTAGCAGGAAAACTAGGCAGTGAGGTATCCCAGAAGACAACTAAAGAAAGTATTTCCAGGAAGGAATAATGAACTGTGTCAAATGTTGCTGACTTGAATGGGGGCGGTAGCTCACGCTTGTAATCCCAGGATCTTGGGAGGCTAAGGTTGAAGGATCACTTGAGGCCAGCAGTTTGAGACCACCCTGAACGATGTAGTGAGACCCTGTCTCTACAAAAAATAATAGTAATAATAATAATTTTTTTTTTTGAGACGGAGTCTTGCCCTGTTGCCCAGGCTGGAGTGCAATGGCGTGGTCTTGGCTCACTGCAACCTCCATCTCCTGGGTTCAAGCGATTCTCCTGCCTCAGTCTCCTGAGTAGCTGGGATTATAGGTGCGCGCCACCATGCTCGGCTAATTTTTTGTATTTTTGGTAGAGACAGGGTTTCACCACATTGGCCAGGCTGGTCTTGAACTCCTAACCTGAGGTGATCCGCTTGCCTCAGCCTCCCAAAGTGCAGGGCTTATGGGTGTGAGCCACTGCACCCTGCACAAATCAATTTTTAATAAAAAAGTAAAAATGTTGCTGACAGGTCATGTTACATATGGACTAGAAGTGACTGATTTAGCAAGGTAGAATTACCTTATCAAAATAGTTTTGCTAGATTGGTAGGGGAATTGCCTGATTGTAGGGAAGAAAATAAAAGGGAAAGGAACCTATGGCAATGAGTATAGACAACTCTTCTTTTTTTTTAGATGGAGTCTTGCTGCCCAGGCTGGAGTGCAGTGGCGCAATCTTGGCTCACTGCAATCTCCGCCTCCCGGGTTCACGCCATTCTCCTGCCTCAGCCTCCCGAGTAGCTGGGACTACAGGTGCCCGCCACCACACCCAGCTAATTTTTTATATTTTTAGTAGAGACAGGGTTTCACCGTGTTAGCCAGGATGGTCTTGATCTCCTGACCTCGTGATCCGCCCGCCTCAGCCTCCCAAAGTGCTGGGATTACAGGCGTGAGCCACTGCGCCCGGCCAAGTATAGACAACTCTTTAGAGGAACTTTGCTCAAGCAGATAAATGGAGGGAGGGTATGGCTTGAGAGGATTTTTGTGGTAGAAATTGGAGCAAATTTATGTGCTGGCAGCAGTGATCTGATACAGAAGAAAATAGATGATGTTGAAAAGAGAGGAGAGATTTAGTGGAGAAATGCCTTTGGGTTGGGGAAAAGTGATAGGATGTAGTAGGAGATACTGGCCTTTGCTGGTTCAGAGCAGCGGGAACTCATGGAATACGTGGGCCAAGTTGCAGGGAAGTGTGGTAGTGTCGTGGTGGGAGCTTGTGGAGGTTGTTTTCTGGCTCCTCTTTTCTCAGTGGAATAGAAAACAAGGTCCTCACAGGGGAAGTAATATTGGAGGTATGAATAGAAGGAAGGTATGAAAATAGGCATCTAGAAGAGGGAATGTACCAAGAAACTGTATTGTGACTGTCAGGCAATATTAAGGACTCACTTGATGTAGGTAGACATGAATTTAAAGTGTTAAAAGGCCAGGCACAGTGGCTTATGCCTATAATCCCTACACTTTGGAAGGCCGAGGTGGGCGGATCGCTTAAGCCCAGGTGTTTGAAATTGGCCTGGGCAACATGGCAAGACCCTGTCTCTACAAACAGTTTTAAAAAATGAAAAATTAGGCCAGGCGCAGTGGCTCACGCCTGTAATCCCAGCACTTTGGGAGGCCGAGGCAGGTGGATCACAAGGTCGGGAGATCGAGACCATCCTGGCTTAACATGGTAAAACCCCGTCTCTACTAAAAATACAAAAACAAAATCAGCTGGGCGTGGTGGCAGGCGCCTGTAGTTCCAGCTACTGGGGAGGCTGAGGCGGGAGAATGGCATGAACCCCGGAGGAGGCGTTTGCAGTGAGCCAAGATCGCACCACTGCACTCCATCCTGGGTGGCAGAGCGAGACTCTGTCTCAAAAAAAAACTAAAAAATAAAAAATTATTTGGATGTGGTGGCATGTCCCTGTAGTCCCAGCTACTTGAGAAGCTGAGGTGGCAGGATTGTTTGAGCCCAGGAGGTCAAGGCTGCAGTGAGCTGTGATGGCACCACTGTGCTCCAGCCTGGGTAACAGAACGCAACTTTGTCTCCAAAAAATAAATAAATAAATTGTTACAATGAAAGTGGCTCTGTGTTAGCCGGGAGTGGTGTGGTTCATGCCTGTAATCCCAGCACTTTGGAAGACCGAGGCAGGCGGATCTCTTGAGGTCAGTAGTTCAAGACCAGCCTGGGCAGTAGTTCAAGACCAGCCTGGGCAACATGGCGAAACCCTGTCTCTACTAAAAATACAAAAATTAGCTGGGCATTGTGGCGTGCGCCTATAGTCCCAGCTACTCAAGAGGCTGAGGCAGGAGAATTAATTGAACGCAGGAGGTGGAGGTTGCAGTGAGCCGAGATCATGCCACGGCACTCCAGCCTGGGTGACAGAGCAAGACTCTGTCTTAAAAAAAAAAAAAAAATTGGAAAGTAGGTCTGTGTTTTTATCTGGTCACATTCAGCAGTATGGGTGCAGGTGTAGAACAGGTGAATGGAAAAACTAAGAGGAACTCTGGGACAGCTTTTTAAAGAATCTAGACCTACTAAATGTTATGTTAACAAGCTTTACTATTAGCAGAGAATGCATACTGTTTTGGTCGACTGGTGAAAATTCTTAGTCTGATTCCTGTTGTCTCATTTTACTTCTGTTTAGGTCCCAGGAGTTTAGGTGTGTGTTAGTTTGCGTTGCTCCTGCGATTTACCATGTATTTGATCATGTCTCAGGTTGATCTTCACTCGAAAAGGGGTACTCCGTGTGGAGGGGTTTTTAAGCCCCCAGCAAAGTGACCCTGATGCCATGAACCTGTGGATTCCCTCTTCCTCCCTAGCAGAAGGGATAGATCTAGAGACCTCAAAATACATCCTGGCCAATGTTGGGGACCAGTTCTGCCAGCTCGTAATGTCTGAGAAGGAGGCCATGATGATGGTGGAGCCACACCGTAAGTCACCTTCTCACTTGTCTTCCAGGTGCTCCTAGTGAAAAACTTTTATTTTCTTTCACTTAACGGGAAGATTGGGGACAGTGGCAGATGGCATTTTCTGTGAATGAATTAAGACCGATAAGACTTCTCTTTGTAGCAACCTGTCGTTGAGACCTTAACTATATCCAGCAGACCTCATTCTTTCAGTCTTTGGCAATTAACAAACCAAATACTCCTTCTCTGCTTGCCTTTGTTTTTGTAGCACAGCAGCCATAACATCCATTTAAATTCCCATTTGGGTTTGCCTCACTCTGAATATTTTCAGTTTGCTTTGAACCAATTTGTATTAATAAGCTCTGTGGTTTGTAAATAGATGGTGTGCTACTAGGTGCCATGTTTCATACCTAGAACCCACATTATTCATACATTTCAAATATTTCCATGTCTGTAAGATACTATGCCCTATTTTCCAGACTAAGAAAAATTATACTGTGAAATTATATCCTAAATTTCTTTTTTTTTTTTTTTTTTTGAGACGGAGTCTCGCTCTGTCGCCCAGGCTGGAGTGCAGTGGCACAATCTCGGCTCACTGCAACCTCCACCTCCCAGGTTCACACCATTCTCCTGCCTCACCCTCCTGAGTAGCTGGGACTACAGGCGCCCACCACCAAGCCCGGCTAATTTTTTGTGTTTTTAGTAGGGACAGCGTTTCGCCGTGTTAGCCAGGATGGTCTCGATCTCCTGACCTCGTGATCTGCCCGCCTCAGCCTTCCAAAGTGCTGGGGTTACATGTGTGAGCCACCGCGCCCGGCCCTGTATCCTAAATTTCAAGGGAGGAATCCTCTTATTTTTAAACTCCCCCAGTTAAAAATTTTTCAATTCCGGCTGGGCACAGTGGCTCATGCCTGTAATCCCAGCACTTTGGGAGGCAGAGGCAGGCAGATCACGAGGTCAGGAGTTCAAGACCAGCCTGGCCAATATGGTGAAACCCCATCTCTACTAAAAATACAAAAATTAGCTGGGCTTGGTGGCGGGTGCCTGTAATCCCAGCTACTCGGGAGGCTGAGGCAGGTGAATGGTATGAACCCGGGAGGCGGAGCTTGCAGTGAGCCAAGATCGCGCCACTGCACTCCAGCCTGGATGACAAAGCGAGACCCCATCTCAAAAAAATATATATATATATTTTTTTACAATTCCTTAAGTGACAACATGTGGCAGTAATTCCTTTTTGACAATAGGTTATATCCTGGTATTACCATGAGCCCTTGAAATACCATTATATTATAAATAAGTTATATAGTCTCTTTGTTCAGAAATACTAGAAATTATTGTATTTTGTTTCTCCTACAATTATAGAAACACAGACTTTATGAATCTTTGAGTTTTATTGCTGAACAAAATAGCTTGAGTAGGGATCAGTGGGTCTGGGGTCTTTTGTTATTGGTCAGGATGATCAATGCCAATTCTGTTTCCTCTTTCCACCAGAGAAAGTGGCATGGAAGCGAGCTGTGCGTGGTGTACGGGAGATGTGTGATGTGTGTGAAACAACTCTCTTCAACATCCACTGGGTTTGTCGCAAATGTGGATTTGGGGTCTGCCTTGACTGTTACCGGCTCAGGAAAAGCCGGCCACGCAGTGGTAAGTAAACATTGTCCTGTGTAGCTCGAAAGGTAACGTGGAGGTATGTCCAAGATGTTGTGGGATTTGAAAATTGAGGCAGGAATGGGCTTATGCCTCTCTTTAGCTGCTTGGCTTCATTCAACTTTGTTGTATTTTAAGACCTTAAAATGGCAAATATTTAGCCTAGGAAGGCTGAAACAAGACAAGAAGGATTATTCTTAATTTTTCCTTGGTTTTTTTTTTGTTTTTGTTTTTTTTAAGGCAGATTCTCGCTCTGTTGCCCAGGTTGGAGCGCAGCGGCACAATCATGGCTTACTGCACCCTTGACCTAGGCTCAAGTGATCCTCCTCGACCTCTCAGAGTGCTGGGAATCATAGGCATGAGCCACCGTACCTGTGTTTTTTTTTAAATAACATCTTTATTGAGATGTAATTCACATGCCATAAAATTCACCCCTTTTAATGTGTACAAGGCTTAGCGTGGTGGCTCATGCCTGTAATTCCAGGACTTTGAGAGGAAGATAGGAGGATCACTTGAGGCCGGGGGTTTGAGACCAGTCTGGGTAACACAGCAAGACCCCATCTCTACAAAATAAAATAAAATTAGCTAGCTAGATATGGTGGCACATGCTTGTAGTCACAGCTACTCAGGAGGCTGAGGCAGGAGGATCACCTGAGCTCAGAGTTTGAGGTTATAGTGAGCTATGATCATACCACTGCACTCCAGCCTGGACAACAGAGTGAGACCTGTCTAAAAATCAATTAAAGTAAATCTACAAGGTTGTACAGCCATTATCTAATTCCATTTTCATCACCCCACACCCCACCTGACAACCCATACCTGTTATCAGTCACTGCCGATTCCTCCTCAGCCCTTGGCATCCACTAGTCCACTTTTTTCTCTTTTTTTTTTTTGAGACTAATGCTAGTTTAACAAGTAGTCTGCTTTTTGTCTCTGTAGATTTGCCTATTCTGGACATGTCATAAAAATAGAATCAGCCAGGCGCCATGGCTCACGCCTGTAATCCCAGCACTTTGGGAGGCCAAGGCGGGCAGATCACAAGGTCAGGAGTTCGAGACCAGCCTGGCCAATATGGTGAAACCCTGTCTCTACTAAAAATACAAAAATTAGCCGGGCATGGTGGCGCATACCTGTAATCCCAGCTACTCAAGAGGCTGAGGCAGGAGAATCGCTTGAACCCGGGAGACGGAGGTTGCAGTGAGCTGAGATCACGCCACTGTACTCCAACCTGGGCAACAGAGCAAGACTTCATCTCAAAAAAAAAAAAAAAACCAAAACATACACTATTGTGTCTAGTCTAGTGCATAGCTAAGTAACTTGCTAAACAGTTTGATTCTTCCAAGGCTTGCTTTACACTTTGTTATGCCTTCTGTGACTAGCCCTTTTCACTTAGTGTAATGTTTTAAAGTTTCATCTGTGTTTTAGCACATGTGAACCATTCATTCCTTTGCATTGCCAAATAATACTCCTTTTTTGGATATACTTCATTTTGTTTATTCACCAGTTGATGGACTTTTGGGTTGCCTCCGCATTTGGCTATTATGAATAGTGCTACTGTGAACATTTGTGTACAGTTTTTTTGTGTGAACGTATGGTTGCATTTCTCTTGAGTATATATATACATGTAGGAGTGGAATTGGCTAGGGCATATGACAATTCTACTTTTAACCTTTTGAGGAACTGCCAGACTATATTCTAAAGTAGCTGCACTATGTTACAATCCCACCAGTAATGTATGAGGGAATTTTCCACATTCTTGCCAACACTTGTCCTTTGTCTTTTTTGTTATAGCCATCACAGTGGCTGTGACGTAGTATCTGATTGTGTCGTTTTGATTTGCTTTCCCCTGGTGACTAACGATGTTGAGTATCTTTCCATGTGCTTTTTTTTAACTTTTCTTTTTTCTTTCTTTTTTTTTTGTTGTTGTTTTTAAGAAAGGGTCTCGCTTTGTCACTCAGGCTGGAGTGCAGTGGCATCATCATGGCTCATTGCAGCCTCAACCGCCTGGGCCCAAGCAGTTCTCCCACCTAAGCCTCCTGCATAGCTGGGACTGCAGGCATGTGCTACCGTGCCCAGCTAATTTTTTTTGGTAGAGATGGAGTCTCGCTACATTGCCCAGTCTGGTTGCTAATTCCCAGGCTCAAGTGATCCTCCTGCCTTGGCCTCCCAAACTGCTGGAATTATAGGTGTGAATCACTGTGCCCAGCCATTTGTTTATTTTCTTAGGAAAAATGTCTATTCAAATTATTTGCTGCCTTTGGTTCTTCCTTTATCTTATTACGTGCCAGAAACCCTCCTTGCCCCTTGACTTTTTCATTCTTCCCTCTTCGGAGGTATAATATAACCATTGTACAGTGGTTTAGAGTTTAGGCTACTGTGATGTGGCACCTATTTCTACCTCTTATTGTACCAACTATTGTATCTTGGGCTAGTTACTTAATCCTGCAGAGCCTCAGTTTTCTTGTCTGTAAAACAAAGATATCAGTACTTCCCTCACAACTTTGTTGTTTTGAATGAGATGTTGTATGTAACATGGTTAGAATAGGACCTGACACCCACCAGGTATTCCATAAATGTTAGCTGCTAGAGTATTCTGCACCTGCCCATGAAAGATTAACTGTCACAGGAATTGCCCTCCTGCCATAAACAATGAGAAAACTAGATAAAATATATGAAACCACAGTTTTTGACATTGAACAACAGGCAACATGGGACTGTTATCTCTAAGAGAAGGGAAAAAACCAAGGTGATCCCTACAGTTGCCCTGGCTTACTGCTTAGGCACAGTTTCTAGGCTACAGCAAGGGAAAGAGAACCAAAACTGAAACTGGCAACCTTACTGACTAGAGACAGAGATGACAGTCTGAGAAGAGTAAGGCAAAGTGCTGAAAAGGCTGGAACTCTCTACAGAGACAGCCCCTTGGTTTTTTGTATATATAGTAATCTGTGCATGAATGAGATGAAGTTCCTCAAAGCCCAAGATGGAACCTTCAGAAAGCAATTGACTGAATAATTCACAAAATTCATGATTTGTATTCCCACCAGCCAGTGTGAAGAGTAGTGGGACTAATTTAGTCTCAGAATAAAAACTATTCTGGAGCTTCCATAACAAAGTATAAAGCAAGCCTTGGAAGAAGCAAACTGATTAGCAAGTTACATAATTGTGCACCACACTAACACCAAATACCCTTTAAAGGAATATTTAAAGGAGCACCCTTCAAACAAAACCCACTACCCAGAAAAGTCACAACCTTGCATTTAATCAGTAATTATCGAGTGTGCAAAAATACCAACTTACATGACCAGTAAGCTGAGGAGGGATAATCAATCAATAGGAAAAAACCCCAGAATGACGGTGATAATAGAATAGAAAAGAACCAGCCTGGCACAGTGGCTCATGCCTGTAATCTCAGCACTTTGGGAGGCCCAGGCAGGTGGACTGCCTGAGGTCAGGAGTTTGAGACCAGCCTGGCCAACATGTTGAAACCCCGTCTGCATGAAAAATAGAAAAAATTAGCCAGGCATGGTGGCGGGTGCCTGTAATCCCAGCTACTCGGGAAGCTGAGGCAGGAGAATCACTTGAACCCGGGAGGCAGAGCTTGCAGTGAGCCAAGATCGTGCCATTGCACTCCAGCCTGGGCAACAAGAGCGAAACTCTGTCTCAAAAAAAAAAAAAAAGAATAGAAAAGAACCTTAAGCCAGGTATGATGGCTCACACCTGCAATCCCAGCACTTTGGGAGGCTGAGGCAGGAGGATCACTTAAGCCGAGGAGTTCAATTCCAGCCTAGGCAATATAGCAAGACCCCATCTCAACCAAAAAAAAAAAAAAGAACTTTAATGTAGCTACTATACATCTTATAAATATGATTAAGGATTTAAAGAAATACATGATGTGATGAGGAGAGAAAAAGAAGATATATAAAAGCCCAAATGAAAACTTCCAGAGATGAAAAATATCTCAGGTATTTACACCAGATGAGATTAACAGCAGATTAGATAATGTAGAAGAAAAAAAAAAGACTAAACTTGCAGACATTGACAAAAGAAGCTATCTAAAACAAAGCAGAGAAAAATGACCTACATTTATTAATTGAAAAATGCCTTGTAGAGCTGCAGGAAATATCAGGTAGTCTACCAAACATACAAGTAGAGTTTCAGAAAAAGTGGGAGAGCAGAGGCAGAAAAAATATTTAAATAAAACCAAAAAATTTCCAGATTTGGTGAAAATTATGTAAACACAAAATTAACAAACTCCAAACAGTAGAAACATTAAGAAAACCACACCAAAGCACATTTTGTGTAGAGTAACAAAGATAAGAATGACAGGCTGGCCGGGCGCCATGGCTCATGCCTGTAATCCCAGCACTTTGGGAGGCCAAGGTGGGCGGGATCACCTGAGGTCGGGAGTTCGAGACCAACCTGGCCAACATGGTGAAATCCTGTCTCTACTAAAAATACAAAATTAGCCGGGTGTGGTGGCACATGCCTGTGGTCCCAGCTACTTGGGAGGCTGAGGCAGGAGAATCACTTGAACCTGGGAAGCCAAGGTTGTGGTGAGCCGAGGTCATGCCATTGCACTTCAGCCTGGGCAGCAAGAGCAAAACTCCATCTAAAAAAAAAAAAACAAAAGAATGACAGCCAATTTATGAGAAGTCCTGTAGGCCAGAAGACAACAGAAAACAATGGAATGAACTTTTTTGTTTTGTTTTGTTTTTTCTTTTTTTTCTTGAGATGGAGTCTGACTGTCTCCCAGGCTGAAGTGCAGGGGTGTGATCTCTGCTCACTACAACCTCATCTTCCCGAGTTCAAGCTATTCTCCTGCCTCAGCCCCTTCAAGTAGCTGGGATTACAGGCATGTGCCACCATGCCCTGCTAATTTTTGTGGGGTTTTTTATATTTTTAGTAGAGACAGTGTTTCGCCATGTTAATTAATCAGGCTGGTCTCAAACTCCTGACCTCAGGTGATCTGCCCATCTCAGCCTCCCAAAGTGCTGGGATTACAGGCGTGAGCCACCGTGCCCAGCCTACAAATTTTTTTTTTTTTTTGAGACAGAGTGTCGTACTGTCGACCAGGCTGGAGTGCGGTGGTGCGATCTTGGCTCACTGCAACCTCTGTCTCCCAGGTTCAAGTGATTCTCCTGCCTCAGCCTCCCAAGTAGCTGGGATTACAGGTTCCTGCCACCACGCCTGGCTAATTTTTGTACTTTTAGTAGAGATGGGGTTTCACTGTGTTGGCAGGCTGGTCTTGAACTCCTGATCTCGTGATCCACCCGCCCCAGCCTCCCAAAGTGCTGGGATTACAGGCATGAGCCACCATGCCCCGCCACAAATATTTTTTAAAAGTAGCCAGGCATGGTGACACATGCCTGTGGTCGCAGCTACTTGGGAGGTTGAGGTGGGAGGATCACTTGAGCTGAGAGGTTGAGGCCGCAGGGAGCCATCATCACTTCACTGCACTCTAGCATAGGCAACAGAGTAAGACTCTGTCTTACAAAAGAAAAAAAAAACGAGTGACCATTCTAGCAGCTTTTCTCAAACCAAGAAAAGCTGATAGAATGCACCACCAGCAGATCCACACGATAATAAAGTTAAAGGTAGTTATTCAGGCAGAAGAAAATGAAATGGAAATCAGAACTTACACAAAGTAATGAAGAACATCCTACATGGTATATATGAGTAAATATAAAAGATCTCTTTTTCTCGTTTATAATCTTTTTAAAAGTTAATTGTTTAAAAGCAAAAATAGTAACAATATATTTTGGGGTTTATACTATATGTAAAATTCAAATATATAATAGCAGCACAGAGGAAAAGAGGGAAAACTGGAAGTATAGTTTTGTAAGGATCTTACACTTTATGTAAAGTGAGATTAATATTTGAAGATAGACTTTGATAAGTTGAAGATTAATACTGAAAATGCTACAGCAACCACTTAAAAACAAAGAAATATAGCTAGTAAGTCCAAAATGGGAAACAAAATCAAATCACAAAAAATATGTAAGTAGTTCAAAAGAAGGCAGGAAAAATGAAACCAAAAAGAAATGGGACTGGCTAGGTTTGGTGGCTCACACTTGCAATCCCAACACTTTGAGAAGTCAAGATGGGGATTACTTGAGGCCAGGAGTTCAAGACCAGCCTGGGCAACATAGCAAGACTCCCATCTCTACAAAAAATTTAAAAATTAGCTGGGCGTGGTGGCACACACCTGTGGTCCCACCTACTCAGAGGCTGATGGGAGAGGATCACCTGAGCCCAGAAGGGTGAGGCTGTAGTGAGCCATGATTGCACCACTGCATTCCAGCCTGGGTGACATAGTGCAACCCTGTCTCAAAAAAAGAAAAGTTAAGGTCAGGCACAGTGGCTCACGCCTGTAATCCCAGCACTTTGGGAGGCTGAGGCAGGTGGATCACCTGAGGTCAGGAGTTCGAGACCAGCCTGGCCAACACGGTGAAACCCTGTCTCTACTAAAAATACAAACAAAATTAGCTGAGCATGGTGGCAGGCACCTGTAGACCTAGCTACTCAGGAGGCTGAGGCAGGAGAATCACTTAGGTGGAGGTTGCAGTGAGCTGAGGTCGCGACATTGCACTCTAGCCTAGGCAACAAGAGTGAAACTCTGTCTCAATAAAAAAAAAGAAAAGTTAAACAATTAACTTTTTAAAAGAGTATAAATGAGAAAAAGATATTTTATATGTGCTAATCTTCTGCCTACATGATGAAAAAGAGAAGGTACAGTTTACCAATGAGAGAATGAGAGATGTAGGCACAGTGGCGTGTGCCTATACTCTCATCTATTTGAGAATCTTAGGTGGGAGGATCACTTGAATCCAGGAGTTTGAGACCAGCAGGGGAACATAGTGAGACCCTATCTCTTTAATAATAAAAAAAAAGAATGTGAGGACCTCAATGCAGATCTTTTAGACATTAAAAGGATAAGTAAAATTATGAACATTATTATGCCAATAATTTTTTTTTTTTTTTTTTTTTTGAGACAGCGTCTATCTCTGTCGCCCGGGCTGGAGTGCAGTGGCACGATCTCAGCCCACTGCAACCTCCATCTCCCGGGTTCAAGCGATTCTCCTGCCCCAGCCTCCCAAGTGGCTGGGATTATAGGTGTGTGCCACCAAACCTAGCTAATTTCTGTATTTTTAGTAGAGACGGGGTTTTGGCATGTTGGTCAGGCAGGTTTCGAACTCCTGACCTCAGGTGACCTGCCTGCCTCAGCCTCCCAAAGTGCTGGGATTACAGGTGTGAGCCACCACGCCCAGCCTATGCCAATAACTTTTACAGCTTAGATATAATGGACAAATTCCATGAAAAACACAAACCATCAAAATTCCCTCGAGAACAAATAGAGAACCTAAATAACTTTACATTAAGAACTTGGTCTTTTCCTCTTGGAAGCCCCCTCTCTCTCACTAGAGAGAGAGCTGATTTCCTTTCTTTATCTTTCTCTCTTTTGCCTGTTAAACCTCCACTCCTAAATTCCTCATGTGTGTCCGTGTCCAAAATTTTCCTGGCACGAGATGATGAACCTCAGGTATTTACCCCAGACAACGTAGCTGCTTCATACTGGGGACCTCGTCCCAGATATCAAGGTACAGCATTCATCAAAACGCAACATCTGGTGGAGGCAAACCAGTGTTACAACCCATCGGAATGGCTAACAGCAATCAAACTCCAAATGGTGCTGCAGACAGAACCACACATGGACGTGCCTTTCTTCCGAGGACTCTTAGATCGGCCCCAGGAGGAGCCCTACCTGCTGTTCCCCACACAACACCTCTTTTCAGCAGGAAGTAGCCAGAAAGAGTCCTCGTCCAACAGCCCCTAATAGTAGTTAGGGTTACCACTCCAGAGCGGGGAATGATACAGGTGTTAAGAAGAAATTACTTAGGTGGATACTGAGGGTACAGAAGTCCTTGGTAAGGTTTTCCATTTAATGAAAAGCAGCCCCAAATTATTTTCTTTCTAACAAAGAGCAGCCTGTAAAATTCAGTTGCAGACATAGATGTTAGCAGTTATGAAATCATGTTCAAGATGGGAGCTTCATCTTCCCTTCGCTTTGTCAACCATATGTACAGTAAGGAGCAGACAAGATGGCACCAGCCAAGGGGAAAGTTCATTTGCATAATAACATTAGGGTGGGGTAGCCAGCCTTCCCCTAAAGCTATGTAAACATCATACCTGATTGAACCAATCTGTAATCCCTATGTAAATCAGACGCCGCCGCCTCAAGCCTGAGTAAAATCCAGCACATCTGCCACCAACTGGTCTGGGAGTCCCCTCTCTCACGAGAGAGAGCTGTTTTACTTTCTCTTTCTTTCTTTTTTTTTTCTTTTTTTCCTATTAAACCTTTGCTCCTACACTCCTTAAAAAAAAAAAAAAGAAAGAAATTGAATTTGTAGTTTCAAAAATCTTTCAACAAAGAAAACTTAAGGTCTAGATGGTGGCCTTACTAGTAAATTATAGCAAACATTTAAGGAGGAAATAATACCAATTATACACACAGTCTTTCAGAAAATGGGAGGAAGCACTTACCAGCTCGTTTTATGAAGCCAGCATTATACTAATATCAAAACCAAATAAAGACATGAGAAGCATAGAAAGTTACAGCCCCAGTATCCATCATGAACATAGATGTAAAAATATTCTATAAAACTTAAGCAAGTTTAAGTCAAGAGATATATAAAAAGAATAATACATCATGAACAAATGGGGTTCACTTGAAAATCAGTGCAGTCCACTATATTAGTAGACTAAAAAATAACCACATGATCTCAAGATATAGCAGAAAAATCATTTGTCTAAATTATCAAAAACCTAGGCTATGCATTCTCATCAGGTGAAAATTGGCTCTTGCTTGGGAGGGAGAATCTAAAATGTTAACAATTTTTTGTGCCCTTTCAGGGGGCCATAATACATAAACAGATATACAGTATATCTGGTATTAAAATTTCTTGGGTGGAGAGCACAATGACCACAAAACAAAGTCTGAAAAGGCTCTTTGGAGAATGATAATGAAATAATGTTTGAAAAACACAACTATGTATAAGTAGAATATCATATAATATGAAAGATTGACTTCTTCCTCTTAGGTTCAGGAACAAAGCAAGGATGTCAGCTTTTGTAACTTCTATTCAGTATTTTACTGGAGTTAGTGGTCAGTATGAAGAAATAAAAGGGAAAAAGGGGAAAAGGAAAACAAAAGAAGAGACATACAGATTGGAAAGAAGTAAAATGATTTTTATTCTCAGACAACATGATCATCTATGTAGAAATCCAGAGATCTACAAAAAAGCTAATATTATAATGAGTTTTTTCAATATTACATGATACAAAGTCAACATACAAAGATCAATTATTTTTCTGTATGATAGCAATGAACAATTAGAAATTGAAATGTAATGGGAGGTTGAAGCAGGAGAATTCCTTGAACCTGGGAGGCAGAAGCTTCAGTGAGCCGAGCATCATAAAATCATGAAGTGCTTAGGGACAAATTTAGCCAATACCTACAAGACACATACACTGAAGACTACAACATATTACTGAGAGAAATTAAAGAATACCTAAATAAATGAAGAGATATACCATATTTGTGGATCCAAAGATTGAATATGGGCTGCGTGTGGTGGCTCATGTCTGTAATCCTAGCACTTTGGGAAACTGAAGTGGGAGAATCACTTGAGGCCAGGAGTTTGAGACCAGCCTGGGCAACACAGCAAGATCCCATCTCTACAAAAAAATTGTTAAAAGATAAAGAAAAAATAACAATAATGAAAAATAGGCCGAGCGCCGTGGCTAACTCACGCCTGTAATCCTAGCGCTTCGGGAGGCCGAGGCAGGCAGATCACCTGAGGTTGGGAGTTCGAGACCAGCCTGACCAACATGGAGAAACCCTGTCTCTACTAAAAATACAAAATTAGCCAGGCATGGTGGCACATGCCTGTAATCCCAGCTTCTCGGGAGGCTGAGGCAGGAGAATTGCTTGAACCTGGGAGGCAGAGGTTGCAGTGAGCTGAGATCGTGCCATTGCACTCTAGCCTGGGCAATGAGCGAAACTCCTTCTTAAAAGAAAAAAAGAAAAGAAAAGAAAAGAAAAATAGAGGGTTGAATACTAAGACGTCACTTCTTCTAAATTGATATGTAATTAAATGCAATTCCAAATCAAAGTCTCAGTAGGCCATTTTGTAGAAATTGACAAGGCGGTTCTGAAATGTATGTGAAATACAGTGGATCTAGAATACCCAAAACAATTTTGAAATAGAGTCAAGTTGAAGGACTTGTACTACATTTCAAGAATTAATATTAAAGCTACAGTAATTAAGACACTGTGGTAAGGGAACAGAAAACAATCTAGAAGTAAACCCACACATACATAATCAATTACGACAAAGGTGCCAAGGTAGTTCAGTGGGGGAAAGGATAACCCTTTCAACAAATGGTACTGGAACAATTGTATATCCATATTCCAAAAAAAAAAGAGGAACCTCTGGAGGGACCAGCCCCACAGGGTCAGTGGGTCTCTCCCCGTGTGCGGCGACAAGAGAGTGTAGAAATAAAGACACAAGACAGAGATAGAAGAAAAGACAGCTGGGCCCGGGGGACCACTACCACCAATGCACGGAGACCAGTAGTGGCCCCGAATGTCTGGCTGTGCTGTTATTTATTGGATACAAAGCAAAAGGGGCAGGGTAAAGAGTGTGAGTCATCTCCAATGATAGGTAAGGTCACGTGGGTCACATGTCCACTGGACAGGGGGCCCTTCCCTGCCTGGCAGCCGAGGCAGAGAGAGAGAGGAGACAAAGAGAAAGACAGCTTACGCCATTATTTCTGCATATCAGAGACTTTTAGTACTTTCACTAATTTTCTACTGCTATCTAGAAGGCAGAGCCAGGTGTACAGGATGGAACATGAAGGCGGACTAGGAGTGTGACCACTGAAGCACAGCATCACAGGGAGACGGTTAGGCCTCCGGATAACTGCGGGCAAGCCTGACTGATGTCAGGCCCTCCACAAGAGGTGGAGGAGCAGAGTCTTCTCTAAACTCCCCCAGGGAAAAGGAGACTCCCTTTCCTGGTCTGCTAAGTAGCGGGTGTTGTTCCTTGACACTTTTCGCTACTGCTAGACCACGGTCCACCTGGCAACGGGCGTCTTCCCAAATGCTGGCGTCACCGCTAGACCAAGGAGCCCTCTGGTGGCCCTGTCCGGGCATAACAGAAGGCTCACACTCTTGTCTTCTAGTCATACCTCACTATGTCCCCTCAGCTCCTATCTCTGTATGGCCTGGTTTTTCCTAGGTTATGATTATAGAGCGAGGATTATTATAATATTGGGATAAAGAATAATTACTACCAACTAATGATTAATGATATTCATATATAATCATATCTAAGATCTATATCTGGTATAACTATTCTTGTTTTATATTTATTATACTGGAACAGCTCGTGTCCTTGGTCTCTTGCCTCGGCGCCTGGGTGGCTTGCCGCCCACAAACCTCTGTCTTTACCTCCCACCATATACAAAATACTAACTCTAAGTGGACCATAGGCCTAAACATAAAAGCTAAAACTAAAACTTCTAGAAAGAAATAAAATATTTGTATCCTTGCACTAAAGAAATATTTCTTAGATAGAACACAATGCAAATGAAAAATATAAAAGTTTATTTTTTATTCTTTTAATTTTTTTTTTTTTTCTGAGACAAAGTCTCGTCCTGTCACCCAGGCTGGAGTGCAGTGGTGCAATCTTAGCTCACTGCAGCTTCCACCTCCCAGGATCAAGCGATCCTCCTGCTTCAGCCTCCCGAGCAGCCAGGATTACATGTGCCCGCCACCACCCCCAGCCAATTTTTTTGTATTTTTAGTAGAGAAAGGATTTCACCATTTCACCATGTTGGCCAGGCTGGTCTCGAACTCCTGATCTCAGGTGACCCACCTGCCTCAACCTCCCAAAGTGCTGGGATTACAGGCACATGCCATTGTGTCCGGCCTAATATAAAAGTTTAAAACTTTACCTTTTCAGAAGACACGTAAAAGCTGGGCACGGTGGCTCATGCCTGTAATCCCAGCACTTTGGGAGGCTGAGGCAGGTGGATCACCTGAGGTCAGGAGTTCGAGACCAGCCTGGCCAACATGTTGAAACCCTGTCTCTACTAAAAATACAAAAATTAGCTGGGCGTGGTGGCGGGCACCTGTAATCCCAGCTGCTTGGGAGGCTGAGGCAGGAGGATCGCTTGAACCCAGGAAGCGGAGGTTGCAGTGAGCCGAAATTGCACCACTGCACTCCAGCCTGGGCAAAAGAGTGAGACCCCGTCTCCAAAAAAAAAAGACATGTTTAAGAAAATGAAAATAGCCCAGGCACAGTGGCTTATAACCTGTAATCCCAACAGTTACGGAGGCCAAGGCAGTGGGATTGCTTGAGCCCAGGAGTTCAAGACCAGCCTAGGCAACACGGAGACCTCATCTCTACAAAAAAAATTTAAAAATTAGCGAGACGTGGTGGCTTTCACCTGTGGTCCCAGCTACTCAGGAGGCTGAGGTGGGAGAATTATTTAACCCTGGGAGGTTGAGGCTGCAGTGAGCCACGATCGTGCCATTACACTCCAGCCTGGGTGACAGAGTGAGACCCTGTCTCCAAAAAAAGAGAAAATGAAAAGCTGCTGTGCACAGTGGTGTAACACCTATAATCCCAGCTACCTGGGAGGCTGAGACAGAAGGATCACTAGAGTCCAGCAGGAGGTTGACACCAGCCTGGGCAAACAAGCCCATTTTTTTGTTATTGTTGTTCTGTTTTGGTTTGGTTTTGTAGAAATGGGGTCTCACTGTGTTGCCCATCCTGGTCTTTAACTTTTACGCTCAAGCGATTCTTCCACATTGGCCTCCCAAAGTGCTACAGGTGTGAGCTACCATGCCAGCCCAAGCTAGTTTTAAAAAGGTTTGAACAGATACGTCACCAAAAAATATAGTCGATGGCAGGTAAGTACATGGGAAAAATTGTAATTAATTTGGGAAATACAAATTAAAACCATAATGAGAAATTATTATGTCCACTAGAATGGCTACAATTCTTAAAACTGACAGTATTGGCCAGGCATGTTGGCTCATACCTGTAATCCCAGCAGTTTGGGAGGCCGACGCGGGTGGATCACAAGGTCAGAAGATTGAGACCATCCTAGCTAACATTGAACCCCTGTCTCTATGAAAAACACAAAAAATTAGTTGGGCATAGTGGCACGCACTTGTAGTCTCAGCTACTCGGGAGGCGGAGGCAGGAGAATTGCTTGAACCGGGGAGGCAGAGGTTGCAGTGAGCCGAGATCACACCACTGCACTCCAGCCTGGGCGACAAAGCGAGACTCCATCTCAAAAAAAAAAAAAGAAAACCGGACAGTATCAAGTATTATCAAGGATGTAGAAGTAGACCTCTTAAATATTGCTGGTAGGAATGCAGATTGGTACCATCACTTTGGAAAGCAAGAAGGTCATTTCTTACAAAGTTATAAAGCTAAAATTAACTATATGACCTGGCATCGCACTGCTAGGTATTTACAAGAGAAATAAAAACATTTCCACAGAAAGACCTATACATGAATGTTTATAGCTGCTTTATTTATTTTTTTGTTTTTTTGTTTTTGAGACAGGGTCTCTTTCTGTTGCCCAGGCTGGAGTGCAGTGGAGCGATCTCTGCTCACTGCAGCCTCCGCCTCCCAGGCTCAAACAATCCTCCTACCTCAGCCACCCAAGTAACTGGGACCACAAGCATACATCACCATGCTTGGCTAATTTTTAATTTTTTTACCATGTTGCCCAGGCTGGTCTCAAGCTCCTGGGCTCAAGTTCCTGAGCCCACCTCAGCCTCCCAAAGTGTTGGTATTACAGGTGTAAGCCACTGCACCCAGCCGTGTAGCAGCTTTATTTATAATAGCCAAAAATTGGAAACAGTCCAAATGTTCACCAGCTGATGAATAGATAAACAAGTTATGATACATTGCTGCCATGGAATACTACTCAGCTATACAAAGGAATGAATTACTAATACACACAACAATATAGATGACTCAAAAGCATTATGCCAAGTGAAAGAAACCCAACACAAAGACTGCATCCTACATGCTTCCATTTTATATGACATTTTTGAAAGGCAAAACTTATTATTATTTTTTTTTGAGATGGAGTCTCGCTCTGTCGCCCAGGCTGGAGTGCAGTGGCGTGGTCTCAGCTCACTGCAAGCTCCGCCTCCTGGGTTCACGCCATTCTCCTGCCTCAGCCTCCGGAGTAGCTGGGACCACAGACAACCGCCACCACACCTGGCTAATTTTTTGTATTTTTAGTAGAGACAGGGTTTCACCGTATTAGCCAGGATGGTCTCGATCTCCTGACGTCATGATCCGCCCGCCTCGGCCTCCCAAAGTGCTGGGATTACAGGCTTGAGCCACTGCGCCCAGCCAATAGCAAAACTTTAGTATTATAAAGTTGATCACTGATGGCCAGGGCTTGAGGGAAGAGAATTGACTACAAAGAGCCTGAGAGAACTTTTGGAGATGTAATAGAAAGGTTCTATGTCATGATTGTGGTAGTTGTTCATTCAGTTTCTCTAAACTCACTGAAGTAAACACTTTAAATTGCTGGATTTATTCTTTATAAATTATACCTTAGGTTGGGCACAGTGACTCATACCTGTAATCCCAGCACTTTGGGAAGCCAAGGCAGGCCCAGGAACTTGAGCCCAGGAGTTGGAGACCAGCCTGGGCAACATGGCGAAACTCCATCTCTACAAAAAAATACAAACATTAGTTGGGGGTGATGGTGCACTCCTGTAGTTCCAGCTACTTTGCAGGCTAGGGTGGGAGGATGGCTTGAGCCAGAGAGGCGGAGGTTGCGGTGAGCCATGATCAAGCCACTAGACTCCAGCATGGATGATAGAGCCAAACCTTGTCTCAAAAATAAATAAATAAATAAAATCTCAGTAAAGCAGGGGCTTTTTGTTTTTTTAAGTTAGCTGTTATCTCCTTCAGCCATGAGAAAATTGGCCTTTGGGGTTCTGAAACTCCATTCACTGAGAAGGATCCATTTTTGTGACCCTTATAAAATAAGTGAAATCATTTCTATTTCAGAGACAGAAGAGATGGGTGATGAAGAAGTTTTCTCCTGGTTGAAGTGTGCAAAGGGACAGTCCCACGAACCAGAGAATCTCATGCCCACACAAATTATTCCTGGCACAGGTAAGGAAATTCCTTTTTTAGATTTGGTGGAAGAAATGTTTTTAGTTGAGATAGCCATACACCATAAAATTTTTTGAAATGATTTAGCCTCATTTTTTCTTTTAAGCATCATCAGATTTCTCTGAGAATTTGGATCTTTATTATTATTATCATTATTATTATTGTTATTGAAGAGACCCTTCTGTATTATTGAAGAGACACTTCTGTATTATTATTGAAGAGACTGTCTGCTCTGTCACCCAGGCTGGAGTGCAGTGGTGTGGTCATAGCTTACTGCAGCCTTGAACTCCTGACCTCCAGTGATCCTCCCACCTCGGCCTGCCAAGTAGCTAGGACTACAGGCATGCACCACCACACCTGGCTTATTATTTAATTTAAATTTTTTTTTTTTTCAGAGACGGAGTCCCAATATGTTGCACAGGCTGGTCTTGAACTCCTGGCCTCAAATGACCCTCCCACCTCGGCCTCCCAAAGTACTGGGAGTATAACTGTGAGCCACCGTGCTGAGCCAAATTTGGATCTTTAGATATGTGTTAGTGTGCACGTGGCCACTGCACACTCTGCTCCCCATTTCTGATCAGAGGACCTGGTCTTGTTTCCAGATATCATTTCCCATTCCTGTGGTTGGCTGGACCAGAATGAAAAAGCCAGTGCCTAGGCTTTCAGAAAGACTTCTGGTTTTAGGCTTGTAAAACAGCTAAAATGGTCAGGTGTGGTAGCTCATGCCTGTAATCCCAGCACTTTGGGAGGCCAAGATTGGAGGATCAGTTGAAGCCAGGAGTTCAAAACCAGACTGGTCAACATAGCAAGACCCCATCTCATATAATTAAAAAATAAAATAAATCCAGCTGAAGATAATAAGATATCTTGAATCCATGAGGAAGACAGCTTGCTCAGCATTAGGAATGAATGGTTATGTTTGTGTCACAATCCCAGTTTACTTCAGTGATTCTTCCAGAAGTTCTGTATGCCTACCTTCTGTACTTCCATTAACATACATCCATTGAAGATGATGACTCTGCCAAACTACTGCCTATATTATCCTCCACTTAAGAAAGCTTTGCCACAGGCCAGGCATGGTGGCTCACACCTGTAATCCCAGCACTTTGGGAGGTTGAGGCGGGTGAATCACTTGAGGTCAGGAGTTCGAGACCAGCCTGGCCAACATGGTGAAACCCCACCTCTACTAAAAATATAAAGTTAGCCAGGCATGGTGGTAAGCGCCTGTAATCCCAACTACTAGGGAGGCTGAGGCAGGAGAATTGCTTGAACCTAGGAGGCAGAGGTTGCAGTGAGCCAAGATCATGCCACTGCACTACAGCCTAGGCGATACGGTGAGACTCTGTCTCAAAAAAAAAAAAAAAAAAAAAACATAACAAAAAACCAAAGAAAACTTTGCTGGAGCATCCCCTGGATCCCTTATACCCCACTGCTTCTAAGCCAAAGGGTTTCCTGAGTGCAGTGGTAGGATGCCTGCTCCCTGCAGCTCTTAGTATAAATATTTAGCCATATAAAGTTTACATTGATCTGTTAGTTTTTACCTTTTTTTTAAGGTATAACTTACAGTAAAGTATACAATTCCAAATGTTTACACTCTTTGGGACGGAGTCTCACCCTGTTGCCCAGGCTGGAGTACAGTGGCACAATCTCAGCTCACTGCAACCTCTACCTCCTAGAATCAAGCGATTCTCGTGCCTCAGCCTCCCAAGTAGCTAGAATTACAGGCACGCACCATCATGCCCAGCTAATTTTTGTATTTTTAGTAGAGATGGGGTTTCACCATGTTGGCCAGGTTGGCCTCAAACTCCTGACCTCAAAGCAATTCTTCCGCCTTGGCCTCCCACGTGCTGGGATTAGAGGCGTGAGCCACCACACCTGGCCAATATTTATACTCTTGAACACTAGAGAATCTACCCCTAGAGTTTCTCCTGGAGGATACCGTGTTAATGTTTACTAGAAGAGGGAAAGGGGTGTAGCTTAGTGCTTAAAAGTAACAGAACTTTAGGGGTAGATATACCTGGGCTAAAGTCTTAGTGCTCCCGTTTACCAGCTTTATGTACTTGAGCAAATGGCCTAACTTCTTCTCTCAGCCTCAGTTTGATCATCAAAAATTGAAGTAAAAGCAGCTACGTTATTGAAATGTGGTAAGGATTGAGGGAGATAATGTAAAGAACACTCTTAGCACAATATGTGGCATATATGAGTATTCTGGTGTTATTTTTATTGTTACATTTTTTTCCCAGCTCTTTACAATATTGGAGACATGGTACATGCTGCCCGGGGCAAGTGGGGAATTAAAGCAAACTGCCCTTGTATCAGTCGACAGAACAAATCTGTATTGAGACCTGCCGTCACCAATGGGATGTCACAGGTAAACTGGTGTGTGTGGGTATAACTAAGTGAAGCCTAAATTTTTTTGTACCAGGAAATGCCCCCTTTTCAACTCTGTTATGCCAGGCTACTGTAGGATTCCTGAGGAATCAGGAGATGGAGAAGCCTTTCTAGAGAGAGCTTAAATAACTTTACTCAAAGGATTTTAATTACCCCTGATTGGTACAGTTTCTCTTCATCTTTAAACCAGTTCATGGTTGACTGATAGCACAAAGAGATTCTTAGCATCTTGTCAAGATACATACCTCAGGGTCTTTGTATGGGTAAAGAATATAGAAAAGGTTGCTAAGAATACTGCTGGTCTTCTTGAGTCTTATCTGAGAAGATACATGGTCCCTATCACTGGATTCATCTCAGGTGCAGAAGACAGAAATATGAAGATTGGCTCACTGAGTTGGGTTCAGAGGCAGTGGTTTTCACATTGCTTTGTCAGTTTTGGTTTTGGTTTTTTTTTTTTTTTTTTTTTTCAGACAGAGTCTTGCTCTGTTGCCCATACTGGAGTGCAGTGGCATGATCTCGGCTCACTGCAACCTCTGCCTCCCAGGTTCAAGTGATTCTCATGCCTCAGCCTCCCAAGTTTCTGGGACTACAGGCATGCGCCACCACACCTGGGTAATTTTTTTATTTGTAGTAGAGACAGGGTTTCACCATGTTGCTCAGGCTGGTCTCAAACTCCTGACATCAAGTGATCCACCCACCTTGGACTCCCAAGATTCTGAGATTAGAGGCATGAGCCACCGCACCTGGCCTGGTTTTCTCTTCAGACACGCACAACCAACTGCTTACATTCCATGGCCTTTCTGGCAACACTGCTACAACACATCGTTGATGATAAGAGGCACAGGGATTAATGCTGAGGGTTCTTGAGATATATTTTCAGTAGAGTTGACTATATAGAGTATGTAAATAGATAAAGCAAATTATTTAGAAAAATCAGTAAGAGTAATAAACATTTATTTAGCATTTATCTGTGTCAGAACTATGCTAAGCCCTTTGCATATGCTATTTTATGTAATCCTAAGAACAGCACTACGAGGTCATTTAAATTACCAATTCACCATTGCAGAAATTGTGTCAGGCATGCTAACTATTTTAGATTACAAACTTCAAGCCTTGTTCACTGATCTTTCCACAGAAGCTAGCCTGGTTTCTGGCATGTTGTAGGACTCAATAAATATATGTTGAATTAAATAATGTATGAAATGCCAGTTTACATGACAGATTATTCTTCCCAGACCTATTTAGTATGTGAAGCCATTACTAGTTGTATTTTTTTCTACCCAAGCACAGCACTCTAATTATGTTGGCCTTCTGCATTTTAGCTTCCTAGCATAAACCCTAGTGCCTCTTCTGGAAACGAAACTACCTTCTCTGGTGGAGGAGGACCGGCACCAGTAACAACTCCAGAGCCGGACCATGTTCCCAAAGCCGACAGCACTGACATCAGATCTGAAGAGCCTCTGAAAACAGACAGTTCGGCATCAAATAGCAATAGTGAACTGAAAGCCATCAGGCCTCCTTGCCCTGACACGGCCCCACCCTCCTCCGCCCTGCACTGGTTGGCAGATTTAGCAACTCAGAAGGCTAAAGAAGAAACAAAAGGTGAGATGCACACAAACCTCTGCTCTGCCTATGGTAGAAATCATGAGTTTTTTCCAGGATTCTTTGAACTCACACATTACCATCCACATTTATGAAACATGCTACTTACTTTCTCTGGCTAATCACATGAGGGACTGCCGGGGCCTGGCGTGGTGGCTCACGCGTGTAATCCCAGCACTTTGGGAGGCAAGGCGGGCAGATCGCGAGGTCAGGAGATCAAGACCATCCTGGCTAACATGGTGAAACCCCGTCTCTACTAAAAATACAAAAAAATTAGCTGGGCGAGGTGGCGGGTGCCTGTAGTCCCAGCTACTTGGGAGGCTGAGGCAGGAGAATGGCATGAACCTGGGGGGCACAGCCTGCAGTGAGCCAAGATCATGCCACTGCACTCCAGCCTGGGTAACAGCAAGACTCTGTCTCAAAAAAAAAAAAAAAAATATATATATATATATATATACATATATATATACACACACACATATATATACACACACATACACACACACACACACACACACACACACACACACACACATATATATGAGGGACTACCTTTCAACTTCTTTCTAGAAGTGGAACTTCTCTAAAAAGGCAGATGCCTGGGCCCTACCCTGGATCTCTAGTCAGAATTTATACAAGGGGTTTTTTTTGTTTGTTTGTTTTGAGACGGAGTTTTGCTCTTGTTGCCTGGAGTTCCGGCTGGAGTGCAGTGGCGCGATCTTGGCTCACTGCAACCTCCGTCTCCCAGGTTCAAGTGATTCTCCTGCCTCAGCCTCCCAAGTAGCTGGGATTACAGGCATGTGCCACCACGCCCAGCTAATTTTTTTGTATTTTTAATAGAGACGAGGTTTCTCCATGTTGGTCAGGCTGGTCTCAAACTCCCGACCTCAAGTGATACACCTGCCTCGGCCTCCCAAAGTGCTGGGATTATAGGCGTGAGCCACCATTCCCAGCCATATACAAGACTTTTAACAAGCTTCTGAGATGGTTCTGTTATGCAGCCAGGGTTGAGAGCTAGACTTAGAGCAGAAGTTTTCACTGGGCACAAGAATCATCTGGGGAATGGTTAAAAATGCAGATTCCTGTGTCCCGCCCAGAACTATGAAATCAGAATCTCTGGGGGTAAAGATCTCCATTTTTAACAAGCACTCCAAGTGACTTCAGTACAGGTATCCTGAAGATACACTTGAAACACTGTCTTAGGAAGTGAGGGAGATGAAAGATGGATGACAACAAAAGGGAGTTTGAAATTCAGATCTGGTAAAGAAGTAGTAGGAGAGTTTCTCCTTGGCTGTGAGACCTCCTATAATTATAGCTTGTAAGGCTTGACCCAAACAAACCATACACAGTTTGGGGGGTGCAAGGGAAAGGAGAGAATCTTTCCTCCTTCCCATGTGACTGATTTTTAGGAGTCAGTTGTGTGCTGATTATTCCTTTTTGTACCTAATGCTGTTCCTGGTTATGTTCTTACAGAAGCAGGGTCCCTGAGGTCGGTGCTCAATAAAGAGTCTCATTCACCCTTTGGGCTGGACTCGTTCAACTCCACTGCAAAGGTCTCTCCGCTGACTCCAAAGCTTTTTAACAGTCTGTTGCTGGGTCCCACTGCCTCCAACAACAAAACCGAAGGGTCTAGCCTTCGAGACCTCCTTCACTCCGGGCCGGGAAAACTTCCTCAAACCCCCTTGGACACAGGCATACCCTTTCCCCCGGTCTTCTCTACATCCTCAGCAGTAAGTGTCCTCTGCAACTGTAGCCTTTTCAGCTTTTCCATGAAAGAACCATCAGAGATCAGATAATTGGGTTAGAGGGTACATGGGTGATTTGTGTTCTCTACATTGTCAAGCTGACAAGGTCTCTCTTTAAAGTTTTGGGAATCTTTTTAAGTAGTGAACCTTTTGTACCATGTTAGGAAGTCTGTAAAAGTTGAGATTTTGAAATGTTTCGGTCATCAGCAGAAAAGTTAATACATTGATTGCTTGTTTTTCTTGATAATAGCAGGCATTAATTTTTTTTTAACCTGGACAGTACATTTGTATTGTATTCTCTTGGATATCTAATAGATGTCTCAAACCTTTAATGCGCCTAAGCCTGAACTCCTGATCTTCTGACCATAAGCTTGCTTCTCCTTAGTTTTCCCCTACTGGTTGGTGGCATCTCTGCCCTTGTGATTGCTTGCACCAGAAATCTTAGAATCATTTGGGACTCGCCTGTCTTACCTTTCATATCTAATTTGTTAGCAAATCCTTTCAAATTTGATCTTCAAACTATATTCAGAATCCACTCATTTTTCATCAGCTCTGTTGCTTCCTCTGTTCTGAGCCAACATCTTGCCTAAGTTTTTGCAATAAATTCCTTACAGGTCCCCTTGTTTCTGCCCTTTACAGTCTACAGTGTATTTTCAACACAGTAGCTAGAGAGGTTCTTTTAAAATATGTCATCCCATGGGAGGCTTTTTATTAAGAAATAAAGAAAAATAAAAGAAAAGGAGAAAAATAATAAAATATAAGTCAGATCATATCTTAACCTCTGCCTGAAATCCTTCAAGGGCTTCCTTTTTCTCTCGTAAGATGAGCAGAGTCCTTGTAGTGCTTACAGATGAGTAGAGTCACGCACCTGGACTATGAGGCCATAGCCCTATCTGTTCATCTTGCTCTCACCTCCCTGTCTTCAACTACCACTCTCTGTTCTGTTCACTCCGTTCCAGCCACACCCACCTTCTTGCTGTTCTTTGAACATGGCCTGGCATGCTCCCTCTTCAGGGCCTTTGCACTTGTTATTTCCTCCACCTAGAATTTCTTTCCCATGTAACTACCTCACTTGCTTCATCATCAGCTCCCTCACCTAAACCTTCAGTAACCCTTTCTTCATACATCACCCTTTTTAAAATTCCATCACACTGTCAGTTCTGCACATACCGATTTTCCCTGCTTTGTTTTTTTCACAGCACTCATTACCATCTGACCTATTACATGTTTGATTTTCTGTTTCTTGCCTCTCCTAAAGGCATTTTTGACTGTTCTATAATATATCCCTAGTGCCATGGTGTTTGATCCAGTCATGTTTAGTAAGCATTTATTGAATGAATGAATTCATAAGGTACAATATCTAAAAGATAGAAAAGAGGCTGGGCACAGTGGCTCACACCTGTAATCCCAGCACTTTGGGAGGCTGAGGCGGACAGATCACTTGAGGTCAGGAGTTCGAGACTAACCTGACCAACGTAGCAAAATCCTGACTCTTTCTAAAAAACTACAAAAATTAGCCAGGCATGATGGCACATGCTTATAATCCCAGCTACTCGGGAGGTTGAGGCAGGAGAATCGCCTGAACCTGGGAGGCAGAAGTTGCAGTGAGCCAAGATCGCACCACCGCACTCCAGCCTGGGTGACAGAGGGAGATCCATCTCAAAAAAATAAATAAAATAAAAAAGGTTTCGACTGAAAAGTTTCCTTTGCACCCTTGCCTCCCAACCACCTGTTTCCCTTTCTAGAAGTCTCCAGTGTTTCTCGAGATATTATCATATGTATGTTTTTCCCCTAAATGTTCTACACCTTGCTATTCTGATTTTTAGTTTATATGTCCTGCAAATCATTTCAAGCGAATACATAAATACATTTCTTCTTGGGTTTTATGACTAATGGCTGAAACGTGATGAACTGTGGGTGACTGAGCCCTCTATACAATTTGGGTTATTTGTTTCTCTTTTGGATAAGTAACTTTTTTTTTTGAGACAGTCTCACTCTGTTGCCCAAGCTGGAGTGCAGTGGCACGATCTCAGCTCACTGCAGCCTCCACTTCCCAGGTTCAAGCAAATCTCCTGCCTTAGCCTCCCGAGCAAGTAGCTGGGACTACAGGCACGTGCCACCACACTGGGATAATTTTTGTATTTTTAGTAGAGACAGGGTTGGCCACCATGTTGGCCAGGCTGGTCTCGAACTCCTGACCTCAGGTAATCCACCTGCCTTGGCCTCCCAAAGTGCTGGGATTAACAGGCATGAGCCACCGTGCCCAGCCTGGATAAGTAAATTTTAAAAAGCAAACAAAACAATTACTTTGGGTACCGTTTTATGTATACTTGTTCATCATACTGCCAGTTCTTTTTCTAATTCTCCCATGATGTTACATAATTATACATACTTTATAGAGATAGGGATTAGTAATACTGTAAGCATAGGATTATCCAGTTTATAAAAGCTTCCCTACCTTCAGTTCTGTGACCTTAGGTATGTCACTTTCATCTCTGGGCCTGAGCTTTCCCATCAGCTGAAACAGGTGAGTGATTCTCAGTGGGATGGTAGTGAGGAAAAAATTGGAGAGTAGGAGACTGCTTTCAGAATGTACTTCCTCTTGGACACTCTGCTACACCCTTCATTGAGGTACTCCCTGGTAGAAAACCATTGCCTTGATAAGTCACTTCAGTTACTTAATTGAAGTATTGTATCCCTTGGGCATGCTGGTTAGGAAAAATTTAGAACCCTCAAACTGAGTGACCTTTTTACACTCAGTTACAGCATTTGATGATCCCTACAGTCTACATGCATGTGTGCTTTGTATACTGAATGGCTGATGCCAAAGGTATTTCTTAGGTCTCAGATCTCTCGAGGCAAAAGGGATCTTTCTATACTTTTCTTTCCTAAATGTTAAGGTAAAATATGAAGGATAAAAGAATTTAAGATGTTGACTTATTATCCCCCTTCCAGTTGTAAAAGACATTTTAATAATTTTTGTAGAATTTAATCAGACAGGTCAGAACTCCTTGTGAATACAATTGTGAGACAGTTTTTTGAATGCCGTTCTCATGGTGCCTCAGTCAAGCTTACCTGGTGGATTTGTGTCTGGCAGGGAGTGAAGAGCAAGGCCAGCCTACCCAACTTTCTTGACCACATCATTGCCTCAGTGGTAGAAAATAAGAAAACCTCAGATGCTTCAAAGCGGGCCTGCAACTTGACTGATACCCAGAAGGAAGTGAAGGAGATGGTGATGGGGTTAAATGTGCTAGATCCCCATACTTCTCACTCCTGGCTTTGTGATGGGAGGCTTCTGTGTCTCCATGACCCCAGCAACAAAAACAATTGGAAGATCTTCCGGGAGTGTTGGAAGCAAGGTCAGGTAAGCAAGAATAAGTCGTTCCAAGGGCCAATTCTCTGCCTGCCTACCACAGATACCTGGACAATTCCAGGTCTCTCTTTTTGCCAGGGAGATTTAGACATAGTGAGGTTATTGTAATAGCCTTGCTACTTCGAGTTGTCTTGGATTTTTAAAAGCAAGGAGATGGCCAGGCACTATAGCTCACGCCTGTAATCTCAGCACTTTGGGAGGCCAAGGCAGGCGCATCATCTGAGGTCAGGAGTTTGGCCAACATGGTGAAATCCTGTCTCTACTAAAAATACAAAAAAAATTAGCTGGGCATGGTGGTGGGTGCCTGTAATCCCAGCTGCTTGAGAGGGTGAGGCAGGAGAATCACTTTACCCGGGAAGCAGAGGGTGCGGTGAGCCAAGATCATACCACTACATTCCAGCCTGGGCTACAGAGCAAGATTCCACCTCAAAAATAAATAAATAATAAATAAATAAAAGCAAGGAGATTACTAAAAACACACTTTGCATCCTCTTGTTTCTAAGCTGTATAGTTCTGTGTTCTTAAAAAGGCAGTTGAAATTTCTGTTAGGTGGTGATCTGGCATTGATATCTTTAGAGAAAAATCCTTAAGTGTGATTTTAAGATGGGGCAGAGAAGGGGTTGGAGGTAGGTAGTACTTTTCTAGGCAAATGTTTTAAGGCCACACAAGTTTTTTGATAGTGTGATAACACTCCCTAGTTTAAAAACTTTAGCAGGTGCTTGAGGAAGGGGAGCTCATGGCATTGTCATTTTCAATATGAGGAAGTGTTCTCAAAGTTGGACTTGTCAGATTTTTGTCCTTTCACCTTAAAACAATGGTAGGTATTAGGGCAACAGAAGTGATTTCCCCAGGGTGAGAATGAAGCATAACAATGGAGTAGAAGCATTTCCTTTCACTTTAGTTGACATGTGGAAATCCATGGATTATACAACTAGGAAAGAACAGTAGAGCTTCCTGGAGAAGAGGAGGCCCTCCTCAGGAAACCCTCCTATTCTGTCTCAGCCCTAGAGCTGGAAGTTTTTCCTAGATTGCTCTGATTGGGATATTTTTGTTTCCACAGCCAGTGCTGGTTTCGGGGGTACATAAAAAGCTCAAGTCTGAGCTCTGGAAGCCAGAAGCCTTTAGCCAGGAATTTGGAGACCAGGATGTAGACTTGGTGAACTGCAGGAACTGTGCTATAATTTCCGATGTGAAAGTTCGGGATTTCTGGGATGGTTTCGAGATCATATGCAGTAAGTAGCTTTCATATCTAGTTCAGTGATAGCAGACTGGAAAATAAGCATCTATACGCCCAGCTCTGCCCTTGAATAATAAATTATATTCTGGGGCATAATGGGACTTGAAAAAATAAATGAATAAAAAATTAAAAACAGACAGCCGGGCGTGGTTGCTCGCTCCTGTAATTTCAGTCTTTTTGGAGGCTGATGTGTGGATCACTTGGGGTCAGGAGTTCAAGACCAGCCTGGCCAACTTAGCGAAACCCCACCTCTACTAAAAATACAAAAATTAGCTGGGTATGGTGGTGTGTGCCTATAATCCCAGCTACTCAGGAGGCTGAGGCAGGACAGTCACTTGAACCCAGGAGGCAGAGGTTGCAGTGAGCCAAGATGGCACCACTGCTCTCCAGCCTCGGTGATGGAGTGAGACTGTCTCAAAAATAAATAAATAAATAAATCCAAATTATACCCACTTGGTGGGGGAACATTCTGCCCTGGTGCCAACTGTGTAGCTTACATGGCAATCACATGACTCCCAGAGCATGCCTGGACTTAATCATGTGATTCCATGGGCTATGCAGAGCACTTTCACTCTGAGGAATGGGGATAGAATCCCCGTAAGATGGAAAAATAAGACACACACTAAAGTAGCAAGTGAGGAAAACAAAGCCCACCTTGTCCATTATGGGGGTTTACAAGTCTGAAATAAAAGGTTAATCTCCCAGGGCCAGGCACGGTGGCTCACACCTGTAATCCCAGCACTTTGGGAGGCCGAGGCGGGTGGATCACAAGGTAAGGAGATCGAGACCATCCTGGCTAACATGGTGAAACCCTGTCTCTACTAAAAATACAAAAAAATTAGCCGGGCATGGTGGCAGACACCTATAGTCCCAGCTACTCGGCAGGCTGAGCCAGGAGAATGGCATGAACCTGGGAGGCGGAGCTTGCAGTGAGCCAAGATTGGGCCACTGCACTCCAGCCTGGGCAACAGAGCGAGACTCCATCTCAAAAAAAAAAAAAAAAAAAAAGATTAGTCTCCTAGGCTGGGCGCAGTGCCTTACGCCTGTAATCCCAGCACTTTGGGAGGCCAAGGCAGGCAGATCATCTGAGGTCAGGAGTTTGAGACCAGCCTGGCCAACATGGCAAAACCCCGTCTCTACTAAAAATACAAAAATTAGCCAGGCGTGGTGGTGGTTGCCTGTAATCCCAGCTACTCAGGGAGAATCGCTTGAACCCGGGAGGCCAAGATCATGCCACTGCACTGCAGCCCGGGTGACAGAGCAAGACTCTGTCTCAAAAAAAAAAAAAAAAAAGAAAAAAAAGAGATTAGTCTCCCAAAAGTTACTGTTGAAAATCGGACACCAGCCAAACCAGCAGATGTTTGTGGGAGTATTCTCTGTCTTCCAGAACGACTACGGTCAGAAGATGGGCAGCCAATGGTGCTCAAACTCAAGGACTGGCCTCCTGGGGAAGATTTTCGAGACATGATGCCAACCAGGTTAGTGACCTGCAGTGGTGTCATCTTCAGAAGCCATCACAAAGTAATCACAGAAAAGTGAAATTTGTCTATTGGCTTTCTTCCCCTATAACAAGCTAAGTCATCTTTCCTGCACTTTTATAGGTTTGAAGATCTGATGGAGAACCTTCCTCTGCCAGAATATACCAAACGAGATGGCAGGCTCAATCTGGCCTCTAGGCTACCTAGCTACTTTGTAAGGCCTGATCTGGGCCCCAAGATGTACAACGCCTATGGTATGAGGGAGAGGCTAAAATTGCTCTTTTGGGGGACTGTTGTTCTTATTTCAACTATAGAAGGATATCTGTGGTCAATGTCAGGTATAGAGATGATTGCAGGCAAGTGCTGGAGAAGTGAATAGTATCCAAGGTGGTCTTGAATATGTTTGCTTTTGTCATATTGGTTTTCATAACATCCATGTGGGCCCAGACCATAAGCTTACATGTCTCCAGTAGTGAGGAAGTTTCCTGTTAAGAACTCTACCCAAGGAGCCATATTCTCGAGTATAAGAGACTTGACAGAATAATAATGAAGAGGTCTGGGTGCCATGCTACCCAGCCAGTGCTTTGTTAAGGCCAGGGATGACCTAAATCACAGTGAAAGCTCAGCTTTATCTGAATACGCCCTAATGCCCATATCTGTTTTGTTTTTCATGGAGAGATTGTTTTTTGGAGGTAGATTTGTTCCATGGCCAGTGTCAATGAGAAATCAGTCTTAAAACAGTATAAAAGAGATGAAAGTGATTTCTTCATAAACAAATAGACTTCACTCTCCTAATTTTACTCATTTAACAACACCCTTGAGCATGTTTTCAGATGTAGTGTCGACGTGGATTCTTCCAAATATTGGCCCTTCACCTTGCATATTTTCCTTTCTCCTTTAGGGTTGATAACAGCAGAAGATAGAAGAGTTGGTACAACAAATCTTCACTTAGATGTGTCTGATGCTGTTAATGTGATGGTGTATGTTGGGATTCCCATCGGGGAGGGTGCTCATGATGAAGGTATGCTTTCTAGAATCCACTGCTTTAGGATGGTGAGGCTTTGTCTTGGGAATACAGTTTTGTGTTTTCATCCTTAGGGCCAGTGGCTTTTCCTTTTTTTTTTCTTTTTCTTTTTTCTGTTTTTTTTTTTGGGGGGCGGGGAGGCAGAGTCTCGCTCTGTCCCCCAGGCTAGAGTGCAGAGGTGCGATCTTGGCTCACCGCAACCTCCGCTGCCTCCCACGTTCAAGCGATTCTCCTGCCTCAGCCTCCCAAGTAGCTGGGATTACAGGTGCCTGCCACCACGCCCGGCTAATTTTTGTATTTTTAGTAGAGACGGGTTTCGCCATGTTGGCCAGGCTGGTCTCAAACTCCTGACCTCAGGTGATCCGTCTGCCTCAGCCTCCCAAAGTGCTGGGATTACAGGCGTCAGCCACTGCACCCGGCTTCTTTTTTCTTTTCTTATTCCCCTGGTGGCTTTTTCTTGTTTCTTCCAGGTCTGATGGGAAGTGGGTGCCCAGTGGATGTTGCTAGATAAAGGGGGAGGTTCTAATAGAGAAGAGTACTACTTTGCGTATCTTTGACTAGAGTCTCTTTCTAGAAATGCTACCCTTTTCCACTTTGTAGCCTCACAAAGAGAAATGAAGAAAGGGCAGAGTTCTGACCTGACCTATCAGCCAGATCAGCTGTGGAGTGACAGATGATAAAGCCAGGACCTTCATAAAAATGAAGCATAAAAGTGATATTTTGCTGTATTTATACTTCCTGCCATCTCAGTGTTAAAATTAATACATGTTCATTATGGAAATTTCAGAAAAAGGGATACTTTTTTAAAAGAAAATAAGTAACTCAAAATCTTAAGGTTCAGGGATAATTTCTTTTTTTTTTTTTTTTTTTTTTTTTGAGATAGAGTCTCACTATGTTGCCCAGACTGGCTTCAGACTCCTGGGCTCTGGCATTCCTCCCACCTCAGCCTCCCAAGTTACTGGGCCTACAGGCAAGGCCACTGTGCCTCACTTTACATTTGCCTTTTTTTCTTTTCTTTTTTTGTTTTTTTATTTTTTCTGCAACTTCCGCCTCCTGGGTTCAAGCAATTCTCATGCCTCAGCCTCCCAAGTAGCTGGGATTACAGGCATGTGCCACCATACTCGGCTAATTTTTGTATTTTTAGTAGAGATGGGGTGTCACCATGTTGGCCAGGCTGGGCTCGAACTCCCAATCTCAGGTGATCCGCCCACCTCAGCCTCTCAAAGTGCTGGGATTATAGACATGAGCCACCATGCCCAGCCTACATTTGCCTTGGATTTTGCACACCTGCAGCATTCATTATGGTGTAGGTCATTGTAATAGACAAGCATTAAAAGCCAACCCTCTTCACTTGGTAGTGATGCTTTATGCTTTGTAGGCTTAAATCCAGAATCCTAGTGTTTGAAGGGGTCTTGAGAAAATATACAGACTCCATATACTTGTAGCGGAAGATAACCTGCAAGTTAAACATAAGATATGGCAACACAGTTTAAGCAAAAAATATGTTTTAAGGGGAAATTATACCTCCAAAAATGCTGAATCTCTAATAAGTAAGGAAGGTTTAATGTTGTTCTGTGTGTAGGGAGCTTAGACCAGTATCAATTTTCTGATTCTGCCTTACATTATTCCAGAGATGGAGAAGAGTAAAACTCAATTTATTTAAATTGGACATTTCATTTCACTCAGTGGTACTGAAATGGCTGACTACATTGAAAGTGTCATTTTGCTCTTTTCAGAGGTACTCAAGACAATTGACGAGGGAGATGCCGATGAGGTGACGAAGCAGAGGATTCATGATGGAAAAGAGAAGCCAGGTGCTTTATGGCACATCTATGCAGCCAAGGATGCAGAGAAGATCCGGGAGCTGCTCCGAAAGGTACGCCCCTGGGTGGGCTGTGCTCCCAGCTCACATATCAAGAGTCTCGTTGCTGAGACACCCTATCTAGGGTTTCTCATGTAGAGTCCCTTGGCATTAAAGACTTGTTGGCCATGATACCTCTGGTGGAAAAGCCCAAAGGCTTGAATCCACACCTAGAGGATGTTGACTAGAATAAAGTTTTGCCATCCCCACCCCATCTTAGGACATTGCTGCAGCAAGTTGGATTTATGCTGTTAATGATTTTTAATTTTCCCATCTTTGGATTTGATTATGGCTTCAGGTTGGAGAAGAACAAGGCCAAGAGAACCCCCCTGATCATGACCCAATTCATGACCAAAGTTGGTACCTGGACCAGACCCTCCGTAAGCGACTCTATGAGGAGTATGGCGTGCAAGGCTGGGCTATTGTGCAGTTCCTAGGTGATGCTGTTTTCATACCTGCTGGAGCCCCACACCAGGTGGGTTCCTGCTTGGGGGTTGGGCTGAACAGTTCCATGGGCTTTCTTATTTCTGCTTTTCTTGCTAATCTACCAAGAGATTTAAGTAGCTGGATTGGACTGATCTCTCTTATGCTGCAACTTATTTTATGCTTTTATTTTCTTCCTTGTAACATTAAGGCTCATTTAAAAAATTTTAAACAGGGCGGTCCTGGTAGCTCAACGCCTGTAATCCCAGCACTTTGGGAGGCCGAGGCGGGTGGATCACCTGAGGTTGGGAGTTCAAGATCAGCCTGACCAACATGGTGAAACCCCATCTCTACTAAAAATACAAAATTAGGCAGGCATGGTGGCACATGCCTATAATCCCAGCTACTCAGGAGGCTGAGGCAGGAGAATCGCTTGAACCCGGGAGGTGGAGGTTGCAGTGAGCCAAGATCGCACCATTGCACTCCAGCCTGGGCAACAAGAGCGAAACTCAGTCTCAAAAAAAAAAAATTTAAACAATGCAAGCTATTAAAGAAAAAGTGACAAGTCCTAGCTCAGCTACTTGTAGCATACTCTTCTTATCAATCCCCTTATCCTACCTTCCCAATCTAGTTTCTTTCCTCAGAGATAGCCTACTGTTAACAGTTTGGTGTATATTTTTCCAGAACATTTTCTGTGCAAATACTGATATTTTTATGTATTTCTTTTTTCCTTTTTCTTTTTTTTTGTTTTTTTGGTAGAGACGGGGTTTCGCCATATCACCGTATCAAGCCCAGGCTGGTCTTGAACTCCTGAGCTCAAGCGATCAACCTGCCTCGGCCTCCCAAAGTGCTGGGATTACAGGCATGAGCCACTGCACCTGGCCATTGCTTTTATTTATACATTTGCACTTACAGCTTTTCTGTGTTGTTATAAAAATGGAAATATTATACCTATTTCTCAAGGGTTTTTTTAACTATATCATGGACATTTTCCATATGTTATTGAATCTCTAATGTCTGATATTTCTCCTCTGCACTTTGCCCTTCTCAGGTTCACAATCTATACAGTTGCATAAAAGTAGCAGAAGACTTTGTATCTCCAGAACATGTAAAGCACTGTTTCCGCCTGACTCAGGAATTCAGGCATCTCTCTAACACTCATACAAATCATGAGGATAAACTGCAGGTAAATAACTCCTCCCTCTACCCCACTCTGTCTTCTCATTGCATACTCACATACATTACGCAGAAAGCACATTCTCCTTTCTGAGGGTATTCTCCGAAGGTCTAATTGTGGAGGAGAAATGATGCAGGGAAGAAGTTTGGGGATATGGAGTCCTTTTAGGAAGCATTTAATTTTTTTTTAAGTTTTTCTTCTTTTTTACAAAAATTAGCAGGGCATGATGGCGCATGCCTGTAGTCCCAGCTACTCAGGAAACTGAGGCAGGAGAATTGCTTGAACTGGGAGGTGGAGGTTGCAGTGAGCTGAGATCATGCCACTGCACTCCAGCCTGGGCAACAGAGCAAGACTCCCATCTCAAAAAAAAAAAAACAAAAAACAGTTTTTCTTCTTTTTAATAGAATGGGGTCTATGTTGCCCAGGCTGCTCTCAAACTACTGGGCTCAAGAGATCCTCTCACCTCAGCTTCACAAAGTACTGGGAATACAGGTGTGAGCCACTGCTTAACCTAATCATTTCTGTTGTGACAGTCCTCATTTCTGTCCGTTTCAGAGTTATAGTATTACAAGTGTTAGTAACTAACTAGACTGACCTCCCCAAACAGGTGGAAAAAGCACTATGGCAGTGTGTTCTAAGCATGTTTCTGAGAAGAAATATTGCGCTGAAGCTGCTTCTCATAGCAGATTTCTATGCAGACTCAATTTCTTAGAGCTCTGCTAGGGATTACAGTTCATGTCCCTAAGAACTGTATCCCCTTGTAGAGCAGAGCTGAACAATCAGATTAGGTTTCCTCTGCTCTTGAAATGGATTGGAATTTTAAGGGCAGAATTTCATCATTAATACACTTAGGTACTTTAGTTGCATAAAAAGAACAAAGAGGGCTGGGCGGGTGGATCATGAGGTCAGGAGATCAAGACCATCCTGGCTAACATGTTGATACCCCATCTTTACTAAAAATACAAAAAATTAGCTGGGCGTGGTGGCACACACCTGTAGTCCCAGCTACTTGAGAGGCTGAGGCAGGAGAATCACTTGAACCTGGGAGGCAGAGGTTGCAGTGAGCTGAGATCACGTCACTGCACTCCAGCCTGGGCGACAGAGCGAGACACCGTCTCAAAGAAAAAAAAGAATAAGGAAGCAGAATTCTCTAGGCTTTCACTGTGGCCTCTTTTCTTCTGGCATGCCTGTGGCTCAAGTGTATCTTTTTTGGTTGTTGATAGATCAGATTGAAGAGGTTTTGGAGTGCAGTGGCGTGATCTCGGCTCACTGCAAGCTCCGCCTCCTGGGTTCATGCCATTCTCTTGCCTCAGCCTCCCGAGTAGCTGGGACTACAGATGTCCACCACCACGTCCAGCTATTTTTTTGTATTTTTAGTAGAGACGGGGTTTCACTGTGTTAGCCAGGATGGTCTTGATCGCCTGACCTCGTGATCCGCCTGCCTCGACCTCCCAAAGTGCTGGGATTACAGGCGTGAGCCACTGCGCCCAGCCTGAAGAGGTTTTTCTTAATTGCTGGTAGATTCAATCACCTTCAACTCTGAGTCTGATGCACTTTTCCTTTCTTTTTTTTTTTTTTTGAGACAGATTCTCAGTCTGTCACCCATGCTGGAGTGCAGTGGCATGATCTCGGCTCACTGCAACCTCCACCATCTGGGTTCAAGCAATTCTCCTGCCTCAGCCTCTCGAGTAGCTGGGATTACAGGCACCTGCCACTGTGCCCGGCTAATTTTTGTAGTTTTTTAATAGAGACGGGGTTTCACCATCTTGGCCAGGCAGGTCTTGAACTCCTGACCTCATGATCCACCCGCCCTCGGCCTCCCAAAGTGCTGGGATTACGGATGTGAGCCACTGCGGCTGTTTTTTTTTTTTTTTTTGAGACAGTCTCACTCTGTCACCCAAATGAAAGTGCAATGGTGTGATCTTGGCTCAACTGCATCCTTCGTCTCCTGGGTTTAAGTGATTCTCCTGCCTCAGCCTCCCATGTAGCTGGGATTGCAGGCATGCACCACCATACCCAGATAATTTTTGTATTTTTTGGTAGAGACGTGGTTTCACCATTTTGGCAAGGCTGGTCTCGAACTCCCGACCTCAGGTGATCTGCCCGCCTCCACCTCCCAAAGCGCTGGAATTACAGGAGTGAGCCACTGCACCCAGCCAACCATAGTTTTTATACAAAGTATAATCAACGTTGGTGTTTGTTTATTGAGATGGAGTCCCGCTCCGTTGCCCACGCTGGAGGGCAGTGGCGTGATCTTGCCTCACTGCAGCCTCTGCCTCCTGGGTTCAAGCGATTCTCCTGCCTCAGCCTCCCGAGTATCTGGGGATTACAGGCACGTGTCATCACACCGAGCTAATTTTTGTATTTTTAGTAGAGACAGGGTTTCACCATGTTGGCCAGGCTGGTCTTGAACTCCCGACCTCAGGTGATCCACCTGCCTCGGCTTCCCAAAATGCTGAGATTACAGGCGTGAGTCACCGTGCCCGTCCAACATTGGTGTTTACATAGAATGAGAATATAAAGGTAACATGTCACCTTATCCATAACACCTTTCCCGAGCTAGGGATGTTGGGTGTGTTTCTGCAGTCCCAGCCACTCAGGAGGCTGAGGTGGGAGGATTACTTGAGCCCAGGAGTTTTGAAGCTCTCGTGACCTATGATCACCCCACTACACTCCAGCCTGGGCAACAGACTCTGTCTCTTTATTTAAAAACAACAGGCTGGGCGCGGTGGCTCACGCCTGTAATCCCAACACTTTGGGAGGCCGAGGTGGGCAGATCACAAGGTCAGGAGTTCGAGACCAGCCTGGCCAATATGGCGAAACCCCGTCTCTACTAAAAATACAAAAATTAGCCAGGCATGGTGGTGGGCGCCTGTAGTCCCAGCTACTTGGGAGGCTGAGGCTGGAGAATCGCTTGAACCCAGGAGGCGGAGGTTGCAGTGAGCTGAGATGGCGCCACTGCACTCCAGCGTGGGCAACAGTGTTAGACTCCATCTCAAAAAAAAAAAAAAAAGACCTTTCCTGACTACCCTGTTTAGAATAACAACTCCTGCTCCAGCACTACCAGTCCCACTTTCACTACTTTATTTTTCCTGTAGTATTTTCACCATCTGAGATATAGCTATAGATACAGATATAGATATATTTTTTTAATCTGTTACTTAACCCTACTAGAATGTAAGCTATTTAAGCTCTGTGAAGGCAGGAATTTTACATTTTACTCACTGCTTTTCCTTAGCACAATGTCTGACACATAGTAGGTATTCATAAATCTTTGTTGAAGCAATGCAAAAAAATTAATGGAGAATAGTAAAAGAAGGACTTGGATGCCCATGACCCAGCTTAAGAAATTATAGCACACATACATATACAGCAACTACATGGTTGAAGCCCCCATGTACCCTTCCCCTTTGCATTTCCCCGCTTTTCCTCCCCAGAAATAACCTCAGTTTTCTTGTCAGCCCTTTAAAAGAAAGCTGTCTTTATTCTCTTCACCTTAATATGCCTGTTCACTTTTTTCAATAACTTTTATTGTGTGTTCCAATTTCACAGGTAATATATCCAAATCAGAAAACATATAAGCACGAAGGGAAAAAATAGGCCATAATCCTGCTTTCCCCTCTTGTTTTAATGCATCCTTATTAGCTGTAGAACCTTAAGGAAGCCTCTTAACCATATAAGGAAACAAAGTTCTCCAGGTGTTCACTGTGGCCTTAGTTTCCGCAGTTTCTCCTCTGTAAATTGGGCATGATAATAATAGAACCTACCTCATAGGATTCTGTCAAGGATTAAGCAAAGGTCCACATAAAGAGCTCAGCAGCAGCGCCTGCCCAGGACATAGTAAGCACATAAATGATGGTGATCAGATGGCCTTTCACATAACTTCATTATTCTTTTTTGAGTACACACCTCATGCCCTATGTGATTTGTAAATGACTGTGGGGATTGATACAGGAACGCACAGTCCTTTTTGGGAGTTTCCCCACTAAACCAGTAGGCTTACAGTCAAGGTAGAACGTACATTTGCATGGGGCTGCTGTGAACTGACTTTGCTGTACACCTTCTCTAGGTGAAGAACATCATTTACCATGCAGTGAAAGATGCGGTTGGCACCCTCAAGGCTCATGAATCCAAACTGGCAAGGTCCTAGGCATGGAGAAACTCCAAGCTCCTCTGTGAAGCAGGTCTTTCACTCACAACACTTAACAGGGAACGGCAGGGCTCTTTGCTGGAGCAGAGGCCCTTCACCCAGAGCCAGTGTGGTCAGTATTCCAAACTCTCCAGCCACTCTCTTCTACGCTGCCTCAACACTGAAGGTTGACACAGGAAAGTCGTACTGTTCACACACACAGTTTGAGACTCCAAGCCAAGAGTGCCACATCCCTATCCTGTGGCCTTTTGGAAATCCAAATTGCCTGAACATGGCGGGGCTTTCCTGCACATTCTCCTGATTTGAGATTCACGGGCACACCTTTCTTTTCTTTTCCTCTTGTGCCTAGTTAAGTGGAAATGTGTTTGGAGATAGGGGAAATCACATAACTGGTACAAGTATGGGGTAATTGCTTAAACATGCCTGGTGGAAGTCTGATAGCGTCTCTGCACGTGACCTCTGACAAAGCCCATCCCAGGAGACGGGGTGAAGCTATTCCCCACACTCTCCTGTGAACACTGGAGTCTTGCAAGACCCAGGGAGAACCCACTGCTTTTCCCAGGAGGCTCCAGGATTAGGAAATGTGTGTATTTAGTGAAAAATAGGTTTGTAGTGAAATAGTTACTATTTCATGAAAGTAGATATTTTTAGAATTTTTGAAATACCACAGTTGTTTTCCTGGATTATAAGGAAAGGCACATTACATTTAGTCTTCCTTTCGATATAAAACTCTTTGAAGAAATATGATTTTTAGAAATCAGCTACCCATTATAGCACAAAATCAGCCAAAGCAGAATTTTTAAAAATTGGCTTTTTTAGGATTCTTTTTCTCCCCCTCCCATCTTAGTCTTACCTTGAGGGAACAGTCATATGAGAAGGAACTTTGTCACATCTAAGCTGTGGTGTGTTCCCCATGTGTGTGTACAACACTGGTGACTCCAGGAACCATTTTCACCTATTACCAGTGTTCCCTGGGGACTCCTCTTAATGTTTCCAAATGGGAAGGACAGTTGATTTCCAACATGAGGTTTTTTGTTTTTTATCCAGAAATATTTTCAGCAAAACTTTCCAACTGAGTGGAGTCTGATTAAGGATTTATTTGAAAATGGTGGGATTCATTGGCCCATAGGTACATTGGAAAATGTATATCTCTCCAGCTGTACTGTAGTGCCCTGCAGGCTGTTTATATGTTCACAGTTACTTTTTTTTTTTTTTTTAAATAAAAGTCATTTAATGTAGAATACTTTTAATTTCACTTTCTGTATTTTAATTTTGTTGAAGGGCTGATTGGGATTTCCATGTTCTTATTAAAAATCTAACAAATCTGTTTGGAGTGGACTAAATTATTCGTGTACCAACCCTTCTAAAATCAACATCAGATTGGGAGTTGGGTTGGAGGTGGGGGATTCATTTCCAGGTCTTCATGACTGTGCTACACCCAGATATTTTTCTTTGCTTGTTGAGACTGTGCCATGTTAGAAAAAAGGAAAGTGCCAGGGTGAGGTCAGTATGGTTTGGGGAATTGGGGGTAAGGGGAAGGGGCCACATGAATTAGAGGGTAGAAAGAGAGACATGTTTCCCCATACTTTATGCTTTGTGAATGGAGTGGGAAAGTTGGGGTCCTCCCTTCCTGTGGCAGAGTCTGGGGGGAAGGGTCATGGTGTGTGGCCTCAGCAAAGTTGGACAGTCTGTGGTGGGATTCTTAAGCAGGCAGCCTGGCTGCCTACATGAAACGTGTGGCCATAGATCCACCTTAGAGATGGTGGGAGACACTCATGTGGGATTTATCAAGCAGTAATTAAAGTGTTTCATTGTGGGGTGATAACAGACTGCATTCCAATTAGGAGATGTTTTCTGGAGAGGAAGTTGTAAAGAATAGCAAGAGGGGTTATCAGAGGCTGCTTTTCTGGAACGTTTTGGGAAACATCTTCCAAAGTGTTTGAACCTGGAAATATAATTTACCAGGTTAGAAATAGACCATTGTGTTGTTCAGGGATACTGAGCTTGAATAAGACCATGACTCTTTGAAATACACAGTTCTGAATGTGTCCTTTCAGCCCAGATGGGCACAGGTTGATGCTGTGGTCACCCGAAGGATTACAACTCAACATAAAGGGTAGAGGAATGCAGAAGCTCTAAAATGGGACAGGAAAGGAGAGCAATAGGGCTGGGGGTGTTGGTGGATGGTTGGAGGTTGGTTGCTTTCCTGAAGATCAGGAGGCAGGCTAGCCTACATTCTGGATATAAATGTCTTTAGAATCAGGACATTCACTGCCACTAGTGCTTGCTGATGGGGGTGGAACTGGAGCCCCAGGACCCTCTCGCAGCCCCTCTGTTTGAAAAGAAGGTTGACCCTTTGTTGTCAGTAACCACATTGAGAGCATAAAGCTCTGTTCCGCTGCAAAGCTTAGGAGCTGACAACCTAAAAAAGCAGACCAGCAGCCCGGTGGCTCACACCAGTGATCCCAGCACTTTGGGAGGCTGAGGCGGGTGGATCGCTTGAGCTCAGGAGTTGGAGATCAGCCTGGGCAATATTGCAAAACCCCATCTTGGCAAAAAAAAACAAAAAACAAAAAAACAGGAATTAGCTGGTGGTGTTTTGGGCCTGTAGTCCCAGCTACTCGGGAGGCTGAGGCGGGAGGATCATTCAAGCCCAGGAGGTGTGCTGAGATTGTGCCACTGCACTCCAGCCTGAGCGACAGAGTGAGGACCTGTCTCAAAAAAACAAAACATCATCTGGTCAGGGGAGATCCTCTTTCAACGGGGTGAGAAGGAGTGGGGTGGACAGGTGCGGCTGTACCTGTGACTCAGGAGCTCAGGTGGATGTCTTCAGGGCCTGTAATGAGGAGAGTTTGCTAGTCAGCAGTTGGGGGATGTAACCTGTTTAAAGTAGGCTTCCTGGGGTCATCTTAGCAGCATGACTTGGTGGCTTTGTGACTCTCAACAGATTATTGAGCCTTAAGCTTCTCATTCCCTTATCTTCAAAATGAGGGCTTTTATAGCGCCTGCCTTATAGGGTGGTCAAGAGGATTCACTGGCAACGCAGTGAAGCTCTTAGCACAGGGGCTGGCACACAGTAAGCGCCTGGTGTGGGCAGGGCAGGAGGTGGGCAGGGGTCGATTTCAGGATGTAACCATGGAGACCTCCACGACAACAGCCTAGGGCTTGAAACCCAAGAAAGATGAACAAGCGATTCGAGGAAGGCAGGGCACTGAGGGTCGGAGGCGCATGCCCGGCCACAGCAGGTGCCGGGGCGGGGGCGCGCCGCCGCCGCCGCGGCGGCCTCCCGGCCTCCCCTTTAAGAGCCGCCACCGCCCACGGCCCGCCGCTGCGGCAGGGACCTCCCCTTTAACGGCGGCGCTGGGCGCTCCGCTGCCCCCGCGGCGGCTGCTGCAGCGGCTGCTGCTGCTACTGCGGCTCCTGCTGCCGCCGCCGCCGCCGCTCGGCCTCAGGCAGCTGCATCCTCGGCCGGGCCGGGTCCCCGCCCCGCGCCGCGCCCGGCCCCGCCATGGTGTCCTGGATCATCTCTCGCCTGGTGGTGTGAGTGCGGCGGCGGCGGGGGGTGATGCGGGCTGTGATGGAGGGCGGGGGTGTTAAAGCCCGGGTGGACTTCTCCGAAGCTTCGTGCAGCAGAGTCACCTAAAGGCGCTGCGTCCTTATTTGGGGCCCCCAGAGACATGGAGATGTGGCACCCAGGACTGGAGGGGGGAATATTAGGGGAGCGTGGCAGGCCTGGCTTCCCAGGGACCTCACCCACATTCTTTATTAATAACCTCTTTTATTTCTACCGTCCTTGCTCCTGCGCCCATCCTAGAGGCTGAGCAGCACGGCTTGATTTAAAAGGGGAGGCAGGCGCGTCCCCTCCCCCACCTAGCAGGTCTGGGCTGGAGGAGATCCTCAGACCCGGGCCCTGTCCCTCTGGGGGAGGTAACAGGGTGATGGAAGAGAGTGGAGCAAGGCAGGGCCTCATCATCATTCCGCAGCTCAGAGCCATCACCAGGCCCCTTGGTCTCTCCCTTCCACTCACTGTCAGGAGACTGGGGACGAGGGCATATGCCCTTAGGCCCCCTAGGGAGGAAGTCTGGGTATCGGGAAGCAGAAATGCTCGGAGGACAAAGTGTGAGAGGTAACTGGGAGAGGGGATGTGTGTGCTCAGCCTGGGATTGTGGACCCCGCTGGGGGAGGACGCTCCGTGGCCTTCATTCCAGGCTGCCAGCCACACTGTGGAGCTGTGTCTCTGGCACCTCCCCGGGCCCCAGGAGGGAACACACACCATTCCCCACGAGCCCAGACTTTGTCCTTGAGGATTCTGCTCCGCACTCCACTTGCACCAGCCGGTTTGGAAGTATCCCTCCTGTCCATGTGGAAACAGGCGACAGCCACACATTGTCAAGGGGCTGAGCCTGACAGGGGCTCCTCGTGGTTCTCGGAGCTATCCCCTGCCCTAATGAGGACACTGCCCCTCGGCCTCCACCGTTGGGGACTGACACCGGCAGCCCCACCCTGCTCCCTTCTTCCCATTCGGTACAGCCGGGCCGGCCAAGTGCTTCTGTCCTGGTTTACTCTAGACTCCTTCTCTTCCCCCACCCATCCCAGGGGGAATGGAGGGGCCTCACGCCTCCATGTGGCCTTCAGGGTGGCTGCTTCTCTCTTGCCTGGGCAAGCCCCAAAGGGCATCGGTCCTCTTCTTTCCCGGCCTGTGTCTTGTCTGCATTCTGTACTTGGATCACCAGCGGGGCCCTCCCCTGAGCCCTGTCCCTGTGGTGTTTACATGGGGGAATAAGCCTCTTTGCCTCTCTCAGGGCCTCCTGCCCCTGTGCCCTCTGTTCCCTAGGGCCCCAGGGCCACAGTGGTACCTCTGCCTGCCAGGTAGGGTGCCCTGTTAGGTGGTGTCAGGTTCCCTCGCAGAGCCTGGCTCTGAGGGAGGTGGAGGGTAAGGGCAGATGGGTGTGAATGGGCATGAGGTCAAGAAGGAAGACACCCTGTGGCAGTGACCTGACTCCCAGTCTCCATGACATATTTGTGTGTAACCAAGGATCATGGCGCAAGGGACTACATTGGACCCTCTGGCCTCTGGGCCTTTCCCTGCCTCCGGGGCTAGAGAAAAACTGAACAGTGGAGCGGGGAGGGGGCATCACCCTACCTGGCTGGGCATGTTCCATGCTGCTTTGACCTTAACCCCTGACCTGAGTTCATCAGTCCAGCGGGGAGTTCTGTCTCTCTTCCCATTACTTACCCAGGGGCTGATGCGGAGCTGGGAGGGAGAGGCCACTGCCCTTGGCTGAGAGGCCCAGTAACCATGCCTGCCTCCCTAGGCTCATCTTTGGCACCCTGTACCCAGCCTATTCTTCCTACAAGGCCGTGAAGACAAAAAACGTGAAGGAATATGTGAGTGGATGACCCTTCACCCCCTACCCAACCCACATGGCACAGAGAGGGGAGGGCACTGGGTCCTATTACAGATGGGGGTGACTTTGCACCAACACTGTCAGCCACTAACAAGACCCACCAGCAAAGGAGGGCCCTGGGTGTCCCACACAGCGCCTCCAACATGGCTGGCAGGCAGAAGTGGGGTCCTTGGTGTTCTCCCCAGCCCAGGCATGTTCAACAGGCAGAGCTGGGGTCCTGGGTGTCCCTGGCCCCTCAGCCCCGTGCCCCAGCCAGCGCTTCCCTCTGTCCCTCAGGTGAAATGGATGATGTACTGGATCGTCTTTGCCTTCTTCACCACGGCCGAGACGCTCACGGATATAGTGCTCTCCTGGTGAGGTCCAGCGTCCCCTCCTGTATCTCAGGGCCCAGGGCCTCTGCCTTTCTCTACCCAGCCAGCCAAACAAAAGACTGGGCCTGGGGGTGAAGCTCCTCCCATTCCTGACAATTTCATGGGGTCCTTGATATCTCCCCTCTCATGCCTAACTTGACCTGCAGAAGAACAGACATAGTAGTGCCAGGCGAGGGGGCTCACACCTGTAATCCCAGCACTTTGGGAGGTCTAAGTGGGTGGATCATTTGAGGTCAGGAGTTTGAGACCAGCCTGGCCAACATGGTGAAACCCCGTCTCCACTAAAAATACAAAAAAAAAATAGCTGGGCATGGTGGCGCCCCTGTAATCCCAGCTACTAGGGAGGCTGAGGCAAGAGAATTGCTTGAACCCAGGAGGTAGAGGTTGCAGTGAGCCGAGATCGCGCCATTGCACTCCAGCCTGGGCAACAGAGTGAGACTCCGTCTCAAAAAAAAAACAAACAAACAAGGAGTAAGAACAAACATAATCCCCATGTTTCTTTCTGGCGGCAGCCAGAGCCCCTCAGTGGAATTCAGGAAACCCGCTTCTGCCATGCTGCCTGCGACCTTAGGCAGGTCACAGCTCTCGAGGCCTCAGTTTCCTTATTTGTAAAATAGGCATATGATTCACTCCTATAAATGCTGGATACTTGCATTTCCAAGGCATTTTCCAGGCTGTACTAGACTACGTATGTATGAGCACTTTGAGGACAGGGAATATGTCTTAATCATCTGTATATTCACAGCAGGAACTCAAAAATGTTTACTGAATGATCAGATACCTCTTGGAAGAGGGGACTAATAACACAGTTCATCGGAACTCAAGAAGAGAATTTTACCAAGGGGGAGAGGACAAGAGATCATTACATTTATAGATAAGACCCTTGCATTTGAGAAAAATAGTTTTAGAAGAGGAAAGAGATGGAGAGATGGGTTAAAAATTGAGGGTAAAGGCCGGGTGTGGTGGCTCACGCCTGTAATCCCAGCACTTTGGGAGGCCAAGGCAGGCAGATCACGAGGTCAGGAGATCGAGACCATCCTGGCCAACACGGTGAAACCCCGTCTCTACTAAAAATACAAAAATTAGCTAGGCATGGCAGGGCGCAGTGGCTCACACCTGTAATCCCAGCACTTTGGGAGGCCGAGGTGGGCGGATCATGAAGTCAGGAGATGGAGAGCATCCTGTCCAATACGGTGAAACCCCATCTCTACTAAAAAACAAAACACAAAAAATTAGCCGGGCGTGGTGGCGGGTGTCTGTAGTCCCAGCTACTCTGGAGGCTGAGGCAGGAGAACGGTGTGAACCCAGGAGGCGGAGCTTGCAGTGAGTCGAGATCGAGCCACTGCACTCCAGTCTGGGCAACAGGGTGAGATTCTGTCTCAAAAAAAAAAAAAAAAATAGCTAGGTATTATGGCACCTACTTGTAATCCCAGCTACTTGGGAGGCTGAGACAGGAGAATCGCTTGAACCCAGGAGGCGGAGGTTGCCGTGAGCCGAGATCGTGCCACTGCACTCCAGCCTGGCAACAGAGCAAGACTCAGTCTCAAAAAAAAAAAAATTGAGGGTAAAGGCCGGGCATGGTGGCTCCTGCTTGTAATCCTGGCACTTTGGGAAGCCAAGGCAGGAGGATCACTTGAGCCTAGGAGTTTGAGATCAGCCTGGGCAACATAGCAAGACCTGCCTATTAAAAAAAAAATTGGCCAGGTGCGGTGGCTCATGCCCATAATCACAGCACTTTGGGAGGCCAAGGGGGGGCAGATCACCTGAGGTCAGGAGTTCGAGACCAGCCTGACCAACATGGTGAAACCCCTTATCTACTAAAAATACAAAATTAGCCGGGCGTGGTGGCACATGCCTGTAATCCCAACTACTCAGGAGGCTGAGGCAGAAGAATTGCTTGAACCCAGGAGGCAGAGGTTGCAGTGAGCCAAGATTGTGCCATTGCACTCCGGCCTGGGCAACAAGAACGAGACTCTGTCTCAAAAAAAAAAAAAAAAAAAAGATGAGAGTAGGGCAAGGGTGGTGAGGTGAAAAACAAAACTGAGGGTAGTAAATATAGATGCCTTTTTTTTCTTTTTCTGAGATAGAATCTCACTCTGTCATTCAGGTTGGAGTGCAGTGGTGTGATCTCGGCTCACTGCAGCCTCTACCTCCTGGGCTCAAGTGATCCTCCCACCTCAACCTCCTGAGTAGCTGGGACCACAGGCACACGCCACCACACCTGGCTTATTTTTTATTTTTTGTAGAGATGGGGTTTTGCTGTGTTGTCAGGCTGGTCTTGAACTCCTGGGCTCAGATGATCCTCCCACCTTGGCTCCCAAAGTGCTGGGAGATTACAGGCCACTGTGCCAGGCCTATACATGTGTCTTGACACAGCAAAAGAGAGAGCTTTGATGAAGACTTTGTGAGGACATAGGTGACCTGAAGGAGTTTGTGACCAGAGGAGAAGGCACTATGGGGACTGAAGGGCAATCCTGGAGAAGTGAGGGTCGTGTCACGGTGGGGCAGGAGGGTCCAGAGCAAGCTAGAGAAGTCCCAGGCCTCTCGATGATAGGGAGGGCAGAAAGGGAAGGAGTGAAGACCCAGGTGTAGGCCTGCACAGTCAAGAGTTTCCCTTGGTGTTGACCCTAGGGCAGAGGAAGGGGGGTTTTCTCTAGGAGTGAGAGGGCTGGGGCTTGGGGAGAGGATGAGGCCAGGAGAGTCGCTGCTGGGGGAAATTCCTTCTAGTGTCACTGCTTACCTTCCTGTTTGGAGCTTCAGCTGAGCCCTCCAGACCCTTTCAGATTAGAAAGGAGCAGTCCCATGAGCCCCATGGGGACCCCAGTGCACTAAGAGTGAGGGGCTGTGCAGGGTCACACATGGGGCCGGTGCTGCTGGACACAGGGCACCTCCCAACTCCCTGCCCTGTACTCTGCGCTTGCCCCTGTCCCAACAGGTTCCCCTTCTACTTTGAACTGAAGATCGCCTTCGTGATATGGCTGCTGTCCCCTTACACCAAGGGCTCCAGCGTGCTCTACCGCAAGTTCGTGCACCCAACGCTGTCCAACAAGGAGAAGGTTTGCCCCCACTCTCAGCTCACCTCCCAGCCTGCCCCCAGCCAAGGCAGTCCAGAGCCTGCAGCCTCATACAGACTGGCCCTCCCTGTGGGGCCCAGAGCCCAAAGTGACTTGGCAGGGCTGCCGTGGCCTCCCGGAGCAGGCAGGGGCCTCTGTCCAGGGGTGAACAAGGGTAGGGCAGGACCTCTCCTCTTCTCCCTTCCCCTCCAATCCCATAGGAGATCGACGAGTACATCACGCAGGCCCGAGACAAGAGCTATGAGACCATGATGAGGGTGGGCAAGAGGGGCCTGAACCTTGCCGCCAATGCTGCAGTCACAGCTGCCGCCAAGGTGAGATGGGGGCAGGCTCAGACTCCCAGGGCCCCTACCTTGTACAAAGGGCCCTGGCCAGGCCCCTTTGCATCCACCCTGTACTCGGGGCTGTAGAGACTCTGGGCTCATGCAGCTGGAGGCTCCAGTCCAGGCTCTACTGCTATCTGGCCGAGTCACTTTGATTGTCCGGCCATTTCCCCATCTGTCCCCAGAGGCAAAGTGTGGCCCTGCCCCAGCCCTCAGCTCTGTCTGTGTGGGACTGGGTGAGGACAGTGTGGGGAGGGCACCGAGCCTGGGGCTGCTGCCAGCACCATGGTGACCTCTATCTCCACCCCGCCCCTTCCCCCCGGCTCTCCCGGTGCGTGGTGGTGACCCTAGGGCCAGGGGGTGCTGTCAGAGAAGCTCCGCAGCTTCAGCATGCAGGACCTGACCCTGATCCGGGACGAGGACGCACTGCCCCTGCAGAGGCCTGACGGCCGCCTCCGACCCAGCCCTGGCAGCCTCCTGGACACCATCGAGGACTTAGGTACAGGCAGGGCCCGGGGTTGGGGTGGGGCCCCAAGGGCAAGGAGTCCAGATGGGAAAGATTCCCCCACCTCCTTTTCTCCCTGCACCCAGGAGATGACCCTGCCCTGAGTCTAAGGTCCAGCACAAACCCGGCAGATTCCCGGACAGAGGCTTCTGAGGATGACATGGGAGACAAAGCTCCCAAGAGGGCCAAACCCATCAAAAAAGCGCCCAAAGCTGAGGTGAGGGCACTGGCCAGAGCTTGGGGAAACAGGCAGGGGGTGGCGGCTCCAGGCTGAGCCCCATCTTCCTCCTTCTTTCCACAGCCACTGGCTTCCAAGACACTGAAGACCCGGCCCAAGAAGAAGACCTCTGGCGGGGGCGACTCAGCTTGAGCCCCTCCACCCCCGCAGGCTGCAGAGCAAGGATGAAGCCTCAGGAGGGGCCTCAGACCCAGCCCCTGCTCCACACTGTGCCAGTAGCCTAGGTGTCTCAGGCCCCTGGGCCCCGCAGATGGCCATTTCCGGTGCCTGCCCAGTGGCCACTCTTCTGGAAGGGGCTTGGAAAAGAGGAAGGAGGCCCAGCTGTGGGGGTTGAGGGTAGAGGGTGGACCAGAGGCTGAGGACTGAGCCACCCAAGGAGGTGGGGACTGCTCGGCCTCCACCGCTGTTCCGCTGCAGCCCCGCCCTGCCCCACCCACCCAGTGCCTTGCTGAAGCCCATAGCAATCCGCTTCTCAGAGGTCCTGTCGTGTTTCCACTGCTCGCCTTGGTTTGGGAGCAGGGAGGGGGAAGTCCTAGCCCAGATGGACCAAGGACGGGCCTGAAGGCACATGGGGGAAAGGGAGCACACGGGGAGGACGTTGGGGACCCTGGGTGGGGCCTCCAGGTGCAGCTGTGGATGGAAGACAGGGATTGGCCTGTGCTTCAGCGACCAGGATGGCCAGGCCAGAGCTGCAGCTGGGGGCTCTTTTCCTGGTCATTGGGTGGGGCTGAGTGCCACATGTTCCCACATTAAAAAGGGGGGTCCAGGGCTGTGTGAGTGTGTCTTTCTGGGTCTAGGGCTCGGGGTAGTTTGGGTCAAGGACTGTCCCTCCAGCAGTCGCCTCCTCCCACCCTGAGCCCCACAGTCATCTGGCCCTTTCCCTGCTCAACCCTCCATCCTAGGCTCTGAGCCTCAGAGGACCCAGCCCATGAGAGAACGGGGATCTGGGGGGCCTCTCACCTGCTCCTATGACCTTGCTCCCTTTTAGGTCACCCCATTGCCACCGTGCCCCTGGGCTGGACTCCCGTGCTCCTCAGGGCCCACCCCTGCTCTGTCTGGTACAGGCCCCTGCTGAGTGGGCCCCTCTCCTCTGCCCCTGGGGTCCATCCCCTCTTGCCCAGGGTCCCCATCCTGTACCAAGCAGACTGGGCCCTAAGACCCCTGGCAGAACCCAGCCTCTGCTCACACCCGCCCCAGCTTCTGCCACGGCTTCAGTCAGGGCCAGGAGGAACACGTGAAGGAGAAAGAGAAATGCAGGAGCCGCGGGGCTCCCGGTTCCTTGGGAAGAGGGTGCCCATTGGACCTTTGGCACTGGATGAGCCAATAAACCAAACTCTGGCACCTCATTTATTTTGGCCTCTGTGCTTTGTTCTTGCCACACCAGCTGACAGGTGGGAAGGACCTCAAGTGAGAAGCAGGGTTCAGCTGGGGGAGTGGGGAGGCCAGCCTGTGACTGACAGGAGCTCTGGTGCCCAGCTAAGAGATGGGCTTGAGGGGGCTCAGTCTGGGAAAATGGTTTTGGGACTCAAGATAAAACCAGAGGCCTAGGCTGGGCGCAGTGGCTCATGCCTGTAATCCCAGCACTTTGGGAGGCCGAGGCGGGCAGATCACGAGGTCAGGAGATCAAGACCATCCTGGCCAACATGGTGAAACCCCATCTCTACTAAAAATACAAAAATTAACCAGGCATGGTGGCGCGTGCCTGTAGTCCCAGCTACTTGGGAGGCTGAGGCAGGGGAATTGCTTGAACGTGGGAGGCAGAGATTGCAGTGAGCCAAGATCGTGCCACTGCACTCCAGCCTGGTGACAGAATAAGACTCCGTCTCAAACAAAACAAAAAACAAACAAAAACCACAGAGGCTTAGCTGGGTGTGGTGGCTCACACCTGTAATCCCAGCACTTTGGGAGGTGGAGGCAGGAGGATCCTTGAACTCAGGATTTTGAGACCAGCCTGGGCAACATGCGAAAATCACATCTGTATTTTTTTTTAGGGGGGGAAACTGAGTATTGCCAAGGCTGGAGTGCAGTGGCGCGATCTTGGCTCACGGCAACCTCTGCCTACTGGGTTCAAATGATTCTCATGCCTCAGCCTCCCAAGTAGCTGGAATTACAGTCATGCGCCACCATGCCCAGCTAATTTTTGTATTTTTAGTAGAGACTGGGTTTCACCATGTTGGCCAGGCTGGTCTCGAACTCCTGACCTCAAGTGATCTGCCCGCCTCGGCCTCCCAAAGTGCTGGGATTACAGGCGTGAGACACCGCGCCCAGCCATGTCTCTATTTAAAAAATAATAATAATAAATAAAAACCAGAGGCCTAAGAAGGGCCAGGGGCCCCAACCCCAAGGACTGTCTTTTCCCTCAGAATCTTACCCCAAGTCTTGAGTGGACCTTCTGGTATCCAACAGAAAGTGCTAGGTGTAGGCTCTGGGGGACAAAGATCCCAGTGAGGCCCCCAGGGGACAGAGGATAGGATATGGAGCTGTGGGGCAGGCCTCGGGGACTGTGCCTAGAAAGACCAAAGGGGGTTGAGCCAGAGAGGTTGAGCGAAGAAGCAGAGATGGGGAAGACAGGACAAGGGCTTGTGAAGAAACCAGCCCTGGGGACAGAGAGGGAACCAAGGGCTGAGACAAAGAGGCACAGCCTGTGTGGCACCAGGAAAGGCAGAGGTCCAGCCCTGACTACTGGGCTAGGTTGGAGGAAAGGAGGAGAAGGGAGCTGCAGGGCATGGGGTCCGAGCCCTGGGACGCAGAGCCAGAGCTCCAGGGGCCAAGAAGCACAACTGACTGGGGATGAGCCCCCGGGAAGCCGGAACCCAGGGGGAGGGAAAGGCTGGCAGAGGAGCAGAGGCAGGTACGGAGGAGAGACTAAGGAAAAGAGCCGTAAGGGAGGAAAAAGGGGATCAGAGAAATAGCTCAGCCTGTGGAAGGAAAATGAACGAAGCAGACCATGGGGTGGGTAGGGGGTATGAGTAGGACCCAGACCCAGGCTCTGGACCCCAAGTTTGGCAAAGCGCCCCTACACTAGGCTTTCCTCCTCCTTCCCTGGCATCACAGGGCATGTGCACCTTCCACACTTGAGCCAAGCTAGCCAAGAGCCCCCTGAAGTGAGGTCACAGTGGGGGATGTGAGGTGTCCCTTTTGTCTTTCCTTGGAATCCTCCAGTCAACCAGCCCTCTGAGGGGCATCACCTTCACCATCAGCCTCTCAGCAATTTTGGCTCATTTTTCCATCGGAAAGGAGAGGAAGCTACCACAGTAAAATTTAGGGGAGGGATTCATTCTAGAAAAGTCCCCAGAGAGTAAGATGCTGCAGTCCCACGCTAACAGCTACCATATGCCCAGGAAACCAGGTTAGGCGCTCTTTAACCTAAATCTCATTTGCTGCATACCACACACACACAAACACACACACTGGCTCACACTCAGGAGGAGCATGCTCACATCTACAGTGACTGGTGGCTAGGCAGGTCACATCCAGATTCTGCATTGTCAAGCTCTCCGTGCACATCAGGGGTTCCCTGTGTCCACAGGAACATGCTCAGATTTCCAAGCTCATTGGTTTGTTGCTATGGAAACATTCAGGCTTCTAGAACTCTGGGCACAGGGCCTGCCCCCTGTGGTGCAGAGGAGAGAAGAGATGGAGGGTGACAAGAAGAACGGGTGGAAAGGCTCCTGGGAAAGAGGCTGGCTGGTGGCACACATCTGGGCCTAGGTGACCCCTTGCTGTCCCCTCATTCCCTGGGACAATCTCCCCTCTCCCCTTTCCCCTCTGCCTCCGTAGATCTCTCCAAGCCAGGGTAGTGGGAAAGAGATGTCAGAAATAGGTGGATGGCCAGAGCTATGTGGAGGGTGCTCGATCACTGCCTGGGTCCCCAGGAGCCTTTGAGAGGTATTAGCTTTGGGTAGGGACTGGGGCAGGCTAGCGCTGGGTCCCATGCCCAGGCCTCCTTGGGATCGCTGGGCAGCCCTCCAGGCCTGAGGTACCTGACTATAACAGCCTCAGGTCTCTAGCTTCTTCAGCTGGCCCCCCCTCCCTTTCTTGTGGGTGCCCTACACCCAGAGAACCTGCTTAAAATGGGATTTCCAGGCTGTGACGTCAGAGGAAAGCCAGCAGCTCCATCCAGCCTCTGCCAGCTCTCCCTTGATCGGCAGAGCTGAGCCCAGCTTTGCTTGGCCTGGAGGGAGGTAGGGCGGGCACAGAAGGGAGGGCCTTGGGGGCTCTGAGCCATGGTCCCCATATCTGTGGCATCCAGAATGACAGGGAGAGGCTGTTTGCAGGCCCAAAGCCCCTCCTGGCTTCCCCACTATCTTCAATTTCCGCCAGTGCACGATCACCCCCCTCCCACATCCCCCCAGTTTCTCCCTCTCTGAGCTGGGTCAGGTCCGTCGGGAGGAGGAGGGCATCTCCTGTCCTTACCGGACAGCGGCTTTTGTGTGTGTCCTGCCTGAAACGGTGCCATATCCAGGCTGGAGGCGGCGAGGCGTGGGAGGGATGCCTGCGAGGATGGAAAAGCCCACTAGGTGGCGCAGCTGCCTCCCTATGTGGGATTCCCCGGCCCCGCGGACAATCCTCTCCCGCGGCCAGTAGGCTCCAGGTTTGGTGAGCAGAGTGCCTCATCCTCCGCTCCCTGGAGTTGGAGGTTCATGAAGAAAGCATTCTTGTGGGTGAACAGGACAGCTGTGGGTTCTCCAGCAGTCTCCCCCTAAGCCCAGTCTGTGTGCACACCTACTGCCCCAGGAGATGGTCAGACCTAGAAGAAGCCCCCCACTTGCAGTGAGGTTCCAGCACCCAGCAAGCACCCTCCCCCGAACAGATAAATTGCCAAGCTCACCCTGGGATGATTTTTTTTTTTTTTTTTTTGAGACAGAGTCTCGGAGCTCTGTCGCCCAGGCTGGAGTGCAGTGGCGCGATCTTGGCTTACTACAACCTACGCCTCCTGAGTTCACGAGATTCTCCTGCCTCAGTCTCCCAAGTGGCTGGGATTACAGGCACAGGCCACCATGCCTGGCTACTTTTTGCTTTTTTTTTTTTTTTTTTTTTTTTAATATGGAGTCTCGCTCTGTCGCCCAGGCTGGAGTGCAGTGGCGCGATCTCGGCTCGCTGCAAGCTCCACCTCCTGGGCTCACGCCATTCTCCTGCCTCAGCCTCCGGAGTAGCTGGGACTACAGACACCCGCCACAACGCCCGGATAATTTTTTGTATTTTTAGTGAAGACGGGGTTTCACCGTGTTAGCCAGGATGGTCTCAATCTCTTGACCTCGTGATCCGCCCGCCTCGGCCTCCCAAAGTGCTGGAATTACAGGCGTGAGCCACCGCGCCCGGCCTTTTTTTCCTTTTTAATAGAGATGGGATTTTGCCATGTTGGCCAGGCTGGTCTCGAACTCCTGGCCTCAAGTGATCCGCCCACCTCCCAAAGTGCTGGGATTAAAGACGTGAGCCACCGCACTTGGCCCCAACCTGGGCTTCTGAAATGGCATCTAGAGAGGCTGCTGGAGCTGAATTCAGGATCAAGAGGGGAGAGGGACCCCTGAGGCAGCAAGGGATGGGGACTGGGGCGGGGAGGTAGGAAGGAGAAGTTGGGTCCAGAGGCAGGGAAGCTCATATAGCTGTGACATTCCCTGGATATGGTCTCCCTGATGGCCACAGTGGCAGTCCCAGGCCTGCTCCAGGTGCCCCCTGACCCTTCCTGTATTTTCATCTGGGGTACTATGGAGTTGAAAAAGACAAAGTCAGGCCAGGTGTGACATGGTGGCAGACACCTGTAATCCCAGCTACTCGGAGGCTGAGGCAGGAGAATCGCTTGAACCTGGGAGGGGGAGGTTGCAGTGAGCTGAGATTGCGCCATTACACTCCAGCCCAGGCGACGATGTGAGACTCCATCTCAAAAAAAAAAGAAAAGTAAAAAATAAAAGAAAAAGACAAAGTCCCTAGTCTCCACATCCTGGAATCCCATAGTATTCTTGCAGGGGCTGGGGGTGAGGCTCCTCAATGATCTACCTTTCCCTGACCTTTTTCCCAAGTTGACCCTACCAGCCCTGCATCCCCTATGAATTACCCTCTCCTTTTGTCCCAGCCAGAAAAGTGATCAATAAATAATGCTGCTTGAAATATTAATGGTGAGTTTTACACCAGCATCCCTTAACTGTGTGTGCCTGTCATTTTCCTGATAGGGAAATGCATGGTCCTCCAGACAGCTCATTCCTGTCTTGGCCAATAGAGGGTCTTTCTTTGCCAAGACTTCACCCCATTCCCATCTCAGCCAGAATCATGATTCAGTCCCATCAACTAAGAAAAGGAAGCGTCCCCCAGAGATCACCTCAGTTAGCACCTCCAACCCAGGAAGGGTGGAGTAAGCTAAGCCAGGTAGAAGCCTTCCTGATACCTCGATTTCCCACGGTGTGATTGAGATCCCATTTCCTCTGTTCCATGTCCATCCTGGGCCTGCCAGGTCCAGCTTTCTGGGTGGCCAACTCAGAATAAGACTGCAGCCTCCCTGCCCGCTCCTGGATTATTTGGAGTCTAAGCAGAGGACATTTGTGTGCTCCTAGACTCCTCGAGCACAGGTCACTCTCACCTGGTTTTGTTCTCCCGGAAGAAGGGGAGGAGTGGGAAGGACAAGGAGGTGGAGAGGAGGAGCATTGAAACTCTGGAGCCCAACTTACCCAGTACTAGTTCCCTGCTCTGCAGAAGCCATGACTGCTCAAATCTATTTTTTTTTTTTTTTTTGAGACAGAGTCTTGCTCTGTCACCCAGCTGGAGTGCAATGGCATGATCTCAGCTCACTGCAACCTCCACCTCTTGGGTTCAAGAGATTCTCCTGCCTCAGCCTTCCAAGTAGCTGGAACTACAGGTGCGCGCCACCATGCCTGGCTAATTTTTGTATTTTTAGTAGAGTCAGGGTTTCACCATGTTGGCCAGGCTGCTCTCAATCTCCTGACCTCAAATTATCTGCCTGCCTCGGCCTCCCAAAGTGCTGGGATTACAGATGTGAGCCACCATGCCTGGCCTCAAATCTTTTTTTTTTTTTCCTGGAGACACAGGGTCTTTCTCGCTTCATTGCCTACACTAGAGTGCAATGGCACAGTCACGGCTTACTGCAGCCTCAACCTCCTGGGTTCAAGCAATCCTCCCACCTTAGCCTCCCAAGTATCTGGGACCACAGGCGCACACCACCACGCCTGGCCAATTTTTTTTTTTTTTTTTTGAGAGAAGATGGCCTTTATTGCAGCACGAACCAAGTGAGGAGGACTGCATGTAAACAGCTCTCCAGGAGCCACCAAAGGTGATGGGCCCACCCTATCCCTGCAACAGGCCCCCCAGGGGCTAGAGCGCAGCTCCCCCCAGGAAGGGCAAGGGGTTCTTGTAAACAGGGGCCCAGACAACACAGAGAGGGGAGGCAGCATCATCAGGTGCAGTTTGCTACAAGAAAGATTGTTCTTAATTTCAAAGATGAGACACCGCCATGCCTAGCCCTGCCCTCCCGCATGCTGGAAGGCTCTGGAAGCAGCTCCTGCCTGCCTGGGGAGTTAGGCCCACCCACTGCCCGTGAGCCTGGCCCAGGCACACTGCAGCCACACAAGAAACGCTGGCAGCTGACTCCATATTTCAGAAACACAATTAGAAAAGAACTAGGCCAGGCATGGTGGCTCATGCCTGTAATCCCAGCACTTTGGGAGGCCGAGGCTGGCAGATCACGAGGTCAAGAGTTCGAGACCAGCCTGACCAACATGGTGAAACCTGTCTCTACTAAAAATACAAAAATTAGCTGGGTGTGGTGATGCATGCCTGTAATCCCAGCTACTCAGGAGGCTGAGGCAGGAGAATCGCTTGAACCCAGAAGGTGGAGGTTGCAGTGAGCCGAGATCGCGCCACTGCACCACTGCACTCCAGCCTGGGCAACAGAGTGAGACTCTGTCTCAAAAAAAAAAAAAAAAAAAAAAAAAGAAAACTGGAATGTTACATTTTTCTCCCATACATTAAAAAATAAGAAAAAACGAACATTTTGACTGTAGACGCTGGTAGGTGGCATCTGACTTTAACCTGAAGTTCTCCTTGGAATCCTTTTCTGCCTGGCGCTCCGCCGTCCACAGTCAGCCCCAGCCCCAGGCCCCCCTCACCGGAAGATCCTGGCCCATCTCAGAGGAGGGCGGGACCCTGCGGGGTGCCTGGCAAACAGGGCAACCACTGGGAAGACATGGACTGACTTTCCTGTTAGGGTCTGTGACCTTCGGCAAATGGAAAAGGAAACAGTAACAGAAGACGGTGGCCTCCTGCCGGGACCTCAGCGGGAGGTTTGCTGGTGAAGGTTCTGGGTGAGCTGGAGATGGGTGATAAGGTGGGCTTGCTGGGCGGTGGCCTCAGGCTGTTCCTGGGCACCTGTCACATAGAGCCCTGTGGGCACACTGTGGGGCCCCACACCCGTCCCCGGGTTGTCCTGATACATAAGAGCAGAGACCCTGGAAGAGAAACCCGCTTGCCCCGTGCAACACAGGGCTCCCAAACGCTTCCCTGTGGAATCCTGCTCCCGAGGACACCTTGTCTCGCTCCACGGAACCCTTTCCCCAGCACCCCCTGGAAACACAGCAGCCGGGAACAAACTCTGCATGCCAGGAATGAAGCCCTTGGCTAAGCCAGAGACTCATCAGTGCATGGATGGTGGTGAGGGGTGAGGACAGGCCCTGGGGTGGTGCTCAGTCCTGGGGACACCAGCACTGTCCTGCTCTGACCCACAGGTGGGAGAAGGATGCTGTGCTTCCAGAGTGTGAGGCCGGGAGGATGACTCAGGAGGACAGAGGCCTGGGGCTGAGGCTGTGCCCAGAGCCAGTGTGGGGAGGGGCGTGGGGGCCTTCGCAGAAGCAGCTCAGAGAACTGAGGTTGGAATCCTGCCCCAAGCATAGGTTTCTGGGACAGCAAGTGCCTAGACAAGGCAGGCGACATGACAGTCACTGGGCTGGTCCAGAAACAAGGTGCTGAAGACGTTGTTGAAGAAGGAGAGATGGTACCTGCAGGCTCGCTTGCAGTCAGGGTTGAAGTTCACCTCCAGGATCTGCAGCTGCATCACCCGCTTTCCATCTGGACGGTTGTCCCACTTCAGCATGAGGTCGATGGCATACATCTGGCCAATTTTTTTAAATGATTTTTTGTAGAGACAGGGGTTGCCCTATGTTGTCCAGGCTGGTCTCAAACTCCTGAGCTCAAGGGATCCTCCTGCCTCGGCCTCCCAAAGTGTTGGGATTACAGGCGTGAGCTACCGTGCCCGCCCCACTCAAATCTTTGCATGCACATTTCCTTCTGCCTGAAGCACCCTTGTTTACCTGCTTCACCTGGTCAGCTCCTGTGTGTGCTTCGAGTCTCAGCTCAGAGTGACTCCTCCACCCCACTGCCAAGTTGTCAGATGCCCCTCCAGGCCCCTGACATACCTGTCCTTTCCCCCTGACAGCACACATTGCCCTGTGTGCCCATTGCCTGCTTCCCAGTCTGTTTATCCACCAGCCTGAAGGCTGGGGCATAGACAATGGGCCCAGCTGGCTCCCCACTGTTTGCCCAGCATCTCCAGCACGGGGCCTGGCACACGATAAACACTTGGCACATTTGTGTAGAATGTTACAAGGATGCCCCTGCAGCAATCTTTCCCTTCTGGAAAAACAGCAACCTTCAAACTTCAGTGTCTCTCAGCTGAGCTGTTGCCTACGCCCGAGGATGAGTGTCTGCGCTAAACAAGAGCTGCCCGGATCGGCTGCCCTTGCCCTGGCTGCCCCAGCGTGTGCCCACGCTCACTTGTGCTCCTTTTCTCTCTCTCACACACAGATGGGAGTCAGCTTTCCAGCCACATTCAGTTCTCGCTTTAATTCAAATGCTAAATTGGGAAGAAGAGCAGCTTCACACTCTCGATTTAGCCTGGGAGAGAAAAAGTGAGACAGCCTGGATGTTGCCAGGGAAAGGAGAAAGAGAAAGCAGGGTCTGGGGTTGGAGTGTGGTGGCAAATGTACCAGAGCCCAAGGGAAAACAATGAAAGCCCCACCACCCAGCTCCTAAAAGTAAACCACCCAGAGCTCTGACCCCAGGGTGGCCCTTAAAGCCTCTTTCCTCCAGCAGGGCAACCCTTCCCGGCATTATCTCCATCTGGAGAGGGTGTGATGAGGGGCAGCACGGGAGTCTCTGAATATTAAAGCTACCCAGAGAGGGAGATGTTGCTACTTTGGTCACTGGTAGTAGGAAACCATGAGGTCTTTCTTAAATCTGACTTTGATTCCCCTTGTGAGAGCTACAGGTTATGATGAATTAGAACCCTGAGTCCACAAACAGATATTTCCACATCAATGTTCACAGCAGCATTATTCCCAGTCACCAAGAGGTGGAAACAACCTCTGTTCATCAGTCGGTAAGTGGATAAACAAAATGTGGTATATATATACAATGGAACATTATACATCCTTAAGAAGGAATGGGATTTTGACACATGCTACAGCATGGATAAGCCCTGAAAACATTATGGCAGGTGAAATAAGCCAGACACAAAAGGACAAATATTGTATGATTGCGCTTACATGAATACCTAGAATAGTGAAATCCATAGAGACAGGAACTATAATAGAGATTAGCAGGCAGCCGGGCATGATAGCTCATACCTTTAATGCCAGCACCTTGGGAGGCCAAGGCGGGCGGATCACTTGAGGCCAGGAGTTTGAGACCAGCCTGGCCAACATGGCAAAACCCTGTCACTACTAAAAATACAAAAATTAGCTGGGCGTTATGGTGCACACTTGTAGACTCAGCTACTCAGGAGGCTGAGGCAGGAGAATCGCTTGAGCCTGGGAGGCAGAGATTGAAGTGAGCAGAGATCATGCCACTGCACTCCAGCCTGGGCAACAGAGTGAGACTCCACCTCAAAAAAAAAAAAGCAGGGATTGCAGGGAGGAAGGAACAAGGAGTTATTTAAAGGGTGCAGAGTTTCTGTTTGGGATGATGAGAAAGTTCTGAAAAGGACAGTGGTGATAGTTGTACAACAGTGTGAATGTACTTAATGCCACTGAATTGTACACTTAAAATGGTTCAAATTGTAAATTTTTGTGTATTTTACAATAAAATATAAACATTAATAATTAAAATTTTAGGCCAGGCACTGTGGCTCACGCCTGTAATCCCAACACTTTGGAAGGCCAAGGTGGGCGGATCACCTGAGGTCGGGAGTTTGAGACCAGCCTGCCCAACATGGAGAAACCCCGTCTCTACTAAAAATACAAAATAAGCCCGGCGTGGTGGCACATGCCTGTAGTCCCAGCTACTTAGGAGGCTGAGGCAGGAGAATAGCGTGAACCTGGGAGGTGGAGCTTACAGTGAGCCAAGATTGCGCCGTTGCACTCCAGCTTAGACGACAGAGCGAGACTCTGTCTCAAAAAAAAAAAAAATACAGTTGTGTCCTGCCACAACAGCCCTCTCTGCAACTGGACCAGAGGGAAACTGGATCCTGTAAGTTCTAGACCCCTTCCTGTGCCTGCTTTTAGGAAGAGAAGTGCTGCCTCTGCCGGGAGTATAGCTGAGACCTTTCTGAGGATGTTCCTAGGGACAGGAGCAGACCCTCCTGCCCTTATGGCTATTTGTCAGCATGATCGTGGATGGAAGCGCTCTCTCTCTCCTGTGCTGGGCGCCAGCTTCCTTCTCACTCACGCATGTTGACTTTGGCTTAAAACAGGGTTCCCATATGGAGGGAGTTGATAGGAAGATGGTTGGAGGAAGGAAGAATGACAGGGCCCTTCCATCAGCCTCCCAACCACCCTGCTGCCACTGTACCCGGGGAGATGGATGCTCCTTTGGGCTGGGCAGCTTGTCAGTCGGTGTGGGTGTCAGCTTTTCTGGCTGTCTTTCTGTCTCTACCTAGGAGGCCCCTGCAGGAGCCCCTGTGATAGCCGGTGCTGATGCATCCAGACCCCACCCTCTCTCCTGGACCATTGCATGGGTGCCTGCCGGTCTCACCATCTGACCTCCCTGTGCCCCCCACAGCCTCCTGCGATGATTTTTTAAATGACAAGTTGGCTGTCTGACTGCCTGGGAAGCACTTCAGGGGGTGGGAGCTGGATCAGGGCCCCCGCATTCGCTGTGCTTCCCCCATGACAGCGTGTGTCACACTGCTCCAAGTGCTTCTTAACGTCTGTCTCCCCCACTGGGCTGTGAGCTGCCAAAGAGGGGGACCCTCCTTACCACTCTTTGCATCTTTAATGCCTAGAGCAGAAATGATGTTTGATAAATACTTGTTGAATGGATGAATTTAAGTGACCCGTTCCTATGTCTGTCTCCCCTACTGGACTTGACTCAAGAACCCTGCAGGGTGAAAGTGAAAGCTTCATCTGATTCATTCCGGGGTCCCACAGAAGAGTTCTTGGTAGGAGCTGGGGTTCAGCCGGAGGGCTCTGAAGCCAGGCTGTCTGCATTGGAATCCTGGCTCCACCAGTGGGCAGCTCTGTGCCCTGGAGCAAATCGCCTGCCCTCTTTGAGTACGTTTCCTCATCAGTGAGATGGGGGTGAGGATGGCACCTGCCTCATAAGGCACTGTGAGGACAAATGCCCATCAAGTGTTTAGCACAGAGCCTGTCACATGGTTAACGTGTATTGGGGTGAGGGTGGAGATAGAGAATGTATCCAGAGATTAAGGAAAATCAGTGGAAGCAAGCAGAATAGATATTATTGCTGTTTTTCCTGCATCCTGGTGTTTGTTGGAGTGGAAGTTGGGGGTGAAGCCGGTGCCAGAGTGGGGTGACCCCAGGGGCTGCCTGCCCCCTCCCTCCCCATCCCCCGCACCAAGGCCTGCAGGACCCAAGCTCACCCACCAAGAAGCTGAGCAGCCCCGGCGCTGGGCGGTGGTGAGGGGCCAGAAATAACCGCCGTTGCTATTCCTGCCTTTCTGGGCTGGGTGGAAACGCTGCCTTTCTAATCTAAAGGCTGCTCTCGACTTCCTGCACATCAGTGGGCTCTTATGTAATGCTCCCCTCCCTCTCCTGCCCAACGAGCTTCCAGAGATTTCTGCAGCCGGCTGGCTTTACTGCACACTCAGCTGGGGGTAGGGGGAGCAAAGAAACCACCAGAGGCTGGATTGTCCTCTGAGCCCAGGGTCCTGCCAGCCTCAGGCCTGGGAGAGAGACTGGCCAGCACAGAGCAGAGGGACGGATGTCCAAGGGCAGCAGCCTTGTTCTGCATCTGCAGGGCACTGCGGGACAGAGAAGACCCACTTCCACCCACTCCTTCTTCCCTTTACAGACCCCTGCCCCCGAGTACAGACTGTGCCCCTCCCAAGTGCTGATGCCCCAAGGTCTTCCATTGTAGGCCTAACCTGACTCTGCCTGGTGCATCACTCCCCAGGCAGCCTCTGGGGAGAGGAGCCCAGACCCCAACTCTCCCAGGCAGGAACCCCCCATCCCCGTCACCAGGGGCTCAATCCTCTGTGATCTCTTCCCTGCAACCCCTAGATCCCGTCCAGAGCACGCCAGGCACCCTCTTCAGACGCCCTGCGCCTCAGACCTCAGCATCACACTGCACGGCCCTTCACCTAGCTTGAGACCCAGGGCTGTCCTCTGGCATCTTGAGTGAGTAGATGAGACGGCTCACACTTCAGCACTCCAGGACGATCCTCCCTCTCTCTCCCTTGTCTTCCTCATGCTGCCCCCTCTCACCCACCCCCTCAGGGCACCTTCTGTCCCATCTCATGCCTGGCCTCCTCAGGTTTCTTCTCACCCCTCAAAGCCCTCCCTGGGGTAGGAGCAGAACTGCCCCAGACCCATTCAAAGCCCATCAGCCTTCGGCTGGAAAGTCAGTCGGAAAGTGTGACAGGTGCCCCAGACAAACCCCAAGAGAGTCACTTCCTGAGGCCCGGGCTGGCCACGTGCAAACCACGGCCTGAACAGTGCACTTGGGTGCTGACGTAGCCCAGGGCTGGGGAGGAGGAAGCAGCAATGGAAAAAGGGGCTTGTTTTCCTCTGAGAGCTGCAGCCGGCTCAGCCCTGGGTCGAGTGTTGGAGATGGGATGGTTCCACTGGCTTTCTCCTGGAGCCTCAGCGGCCTTGGGCAAGCTCAATTCTCTCTCCCCTCTGCCTCTTCCTCCTCTCCTGTTTGCAAGGAAAGGTCTAAGTGCAGATATCAGCTGAGGGCCTCTTACCTTTTCCCCGGCTTCTGGTATCAGTCACTTGGCCAGAAAGGTCTGAGAGCCCCAGGTCATCCCTAAGCACCCTTGAGGCCCAGTAGGCCCCTAGACCAGGGTGCAGAGTGACTCGGAGCCTTCCTTACCTCCAACATGGTTTCCTGCAGGCCCCAGGCTGGTTGTTTCATCTGGGCTGTTGGTCACAAGTGGGGTGCTCACTAGCCCCAACTGAGATTTGGCTCCTCGGGAGGGGCCAATTTTTTCACCATCTCCTCCCTTTCCTGTCCCCCCAATGACAGCAAACAGAAGTGTGCCATTGGCCAAAATATAAGACCAGAGGGGAGTGAGGTGGCTCAGATGCCCCAGCCTTGTGACTGAGAAGCCAGGTCAGCGGCATAACCCTATCTAGGGAGGTGACTTTCAGCCCTTTTCATGACAGGCTAAGGCCTGGGCAGCATGCACGGTTCTGAGCTCAGCTCCTCCCACCGTTCCTAGGTGGAAGCTGCCTTCCAGGGGCTCACACCACAGGGGCTGGGCAGGGTTGGGAAGGGCCACCTTCTCCTCTCTATGAGCTGTGAGGACAGAACAAGGGAGAGAGGGGGTGGACTGGTACATTTGGCTCTGCACAATTCTTGCTGTCCACACCTTCACCTGAGGCCCCAGAAAGATCACAGCCAGACTCCCTTCCCTCCTGAGGCCTTTGCAAGGCTGGCCCTCTGCCTGCAATGCTCTCCCCACCACACCCCTCTATGCAGTCAGTTTCCTCTCCTCTTTTTTATCTTTTATCGCTGCATAAATGCCACCTCCTCCAATATGCCTTTCCCTCACCTTCCTAGTATATCAGCCACACTCACCATGATCTGAAATTATCCTTTTTATTTGCATAACTGTTTATTTCTGTCTATCCCACTAAATGGTATTTTCCATGAGAGCAAAGCCTCACTGCAGAATCTCTAAGACTCAGCACTGCACCCAATACACACAGTGGGCAATAAACCTTTTCAAAAGAATGAATGTTTTATTTAACTTTACCTTCTGCTACTTCCCAAGAGGAAATCTCTCTACTCTAGCCCATTTCGTCCCCTTCCAGCCTCATTTTCCCCAGACAGACCACACATGGGCGCTCCTGGCCAACCCACCCCCAAGCCTGGCCTGAAACAGCTTCTCACTTCCCCACCACAAAGTTTGGGCCTTCTCACGTTCCTTCTCCTCCAAAATCTCTTCATTGTCCCTGACCGTCTCCCAGCCTCCTGGAATCTCTCCCTTCTCTTATCTCCTATGTCCCTTAGTGTCACTGAGTTTTGCTGGCTAACAGGGCTGCTTCCTTTCTATTCTTTATTCTCTTGTAACATAGAATCCAGGCTCTCTTCTACCCAGCTGTAAGATCCTTAGAGGCAAAGGCCTATGCCATGGATCTTATTCCCAAACCTTGACTGCAGTTAGTCCTCAGGGAAGTTTTTATTGTTGTTGATAATGGGTGTTCAACTGGTTAGGTTGTGAGTGAGAGAAACTAACTGAGGATGTTTTATTTTATTCAATAAAAAAGGAATTCATTGGCCTGCATAACTAAAAAGCTCAGGCTGAGTCCAGGGACCTTCTGTACGTTTGTCTCTCTCTTCTGTATGTCTCTTCTCTCTGACTTCCCCTGCATTGGCTTCATTCTCAGGCAGGCTCTCCAGGCCTGTGGGCGAAACGGCCTCCAGGCTTACATCCTATTGGCTTAGTACCATCAGGGAAAGGGAATTTCCCTTTCCCAAGAGTTCTGGAAAAAGTGATTCTCATTGGCCTGGTTTGGGTCATGTGCCCATCCTGACTCAATCACTACAGCTAGGGAAATGAACCACTCCTAGGCTAGGCCACCCCTGGGTGGATGGCCAGGCCCAGGGAACATACCTACTTATAGATGTAGAGTAGGGGCTATCTGCCCCCAACCACATGGATTAAGGTGGCTCCCCAAAGGAAACTGCTGGCTGGGGAATAGTAATAAAAAGAAAGGGGAATTGATGTTGGTCATGCAAAACAAAAGATGTAGACGTAGACTATGAGAATTTCCCATGCTGAGCTTCAGCAAGAACCTGACAAATACGTTAGGTGAGCTGCACAGGAGAATCATCGGGGAACTGGTTTGCCCTGGCTGGGGCAGAGGATGTTCTCTCCCAGTCTGGGTGGCTCTCCAGTGACAGCACAAGAATCCCAGGCCGATACCTTGGCTCAGTGCTGCCACTCGCAAGCTCGGGAAGATTGTGATGCAGCTGGTCCAGGGTAAAAGCTGTCTTTTTCAGACTTCCACAGGCGATTCTGCTGCACAGTCAAGGTTGAAAAATGCTGCTCTAGTAAACGCTCTACTGCAGCAAGATGGGTTCAGATCAACTCTTAGGGATTACGTCCCCTGTGATAGGATTGGTATGTTTTTCCCCATCTGCACAGCTTTCCAGAAAAGGGTCACTGGAGTTTTCTTGGAGGCTGAGGATGGGTGGGTGAACTGTGGATGACTCTATGGATCCAAAGCCTCTGAAAAGAACAATAGCCACTGTTTGTTGAATGCCAATTGCAAGGCAGGTACTGTGTGTTGGGACTTGACATATGGCAGCCCGCATAAGTTTCAGTCCTCACAACAATACTCCCATGTGGGTATTATTACTATTATTTATTTATTTGAGACAGAGTCTCACTCTGTCGCCCAGGCTTGAGTGCAGTGTTGTGATCTCGGCTCACTGCAAGCTCCACCTCCCGGGTTCACGCCACTCTCCTGCCTCAGCCTCCGGAGTAGCTGGGACTACAGGTGGCCACCACCACGCCCGGCTAATTTTTTTGTATTTTTAGTAGAGATGGGGTTTCACCGTGTTAGCCAGGATGGTCTCGATCTCCTGATCTCATGATCCGCCTGCCTCGGCCTCCCAAAGTGCTGGGATTACAGGCATGAGCCACTGTGCCCGGCCCCATGTGGGTATTATTAACATTAGCCCCATTTTACAGTTGAAGAAAGTGAGACACAAAAAGCATGGCTGGCTGGGCACGGTGGCTCACGCCTGTAATACCAGCACTTTGGGAGGCCAAGGTAGGTGGATCACCTGAGATCAGGAGTTCAAGATCAGGCTGGCCAACATGGTGAAACCTGGTCTCTACTAAAAATACAAAAATTAGCCATGTGTGGTGGGGTGCACCTGTGGTCCCAGCTACTAGGGAGGCTGAGGCAGGAAAATAGCTTGAACCCAGGAGGCGGAGGTCGCAGTGAGCCAAAATTGCCCCATTGCACTCCAGCCTGGGTGACACAGGGAGACTCTGTCTTAAAAAAAGCAAAAACAAACAAGTAAACAAAAAGCTTGGCTGGCTGGGTGCTGTGGCTCACACCTGGAATGCCAGCACTTTGGGAGGCCGAAGTGGGTGAATCGCTTGAGCTCAAGAGTTCAAGACCAGCCTGGGCAACACAGCGAAACCCCTCTCTACGAAAATACAAAAAAAAAAAAAAAAAAAAAAAGTAAAAGCCAGGCGTGGTGGCAGGCACCTGTAGTCCAAGCTACTCGAGAGGAGGAGGCTGGAGGATCACTTGAGCCTGGGAGGCGGAGGTTGCAGTGAGCTCGCGCCACTGCACTCCAACCTGGGTGCCAGCGTGAGACCCCGTCTCAGAAAGAATAAAAACATTAAAAAAAAAATTTGGCTAAGGTACCCTACCAGGGAGTGGCAAAATGGACATTCAGACACAAGGCCATCTGCGCTGCAACAGCCTGGCCTTCCTGCCCTTGCGGCAGGAGTCCTCTGAGAGGCGCATCACTCCTGCCCCAATGGACAACTCGGTAGACAGTGGGAGTGAGCCCCCCACCTCCCCAGCGGACTTGAGACGGCAGGCTCCGAGACGAGGGAGTCCTGGTTCATTAAGTTGGTTTTTATAAGAAAACATGTTTGGAGGGGGGACAGCCACAGAGGGATTAAGTCCAAGAAAGTTACACCCTCCCCCACCTAATCCCCCTGACCCCGACCTCCAGAGGCTGTTGGGGTTCACAGAGGCCCTCACCTCCTCCCTTCCCTCTCGGTGTCGTCAAGCACCCTCCTTCCCCACATTCTCTTTCTGCTTTCTTTTTAAATCCAGAAAAAACAGCACCTCCTCTGGATTCAGAGCTAGAGCAGGAGGAGCCTTCCCTTCCCGGAATCCCTGTTCCCTTTGGGGTGAGCAACTGACTGCGTCGTGGGGGCGGGGAGGGCTTCCCTGTTCGCGTTCGGCCCCAGGGAGACCTGCGGGAATCGTTCTCCCTCGCCACCACCCACCCCCTGCTTCCTTCTCCCCCTCGCCTTGGCCAGGCTCGGGGTGAGGAGTGTTATCCCGGAGTCTGGGCGCCTCGGCAGTGACGGCTCCCCAGGGACTGCAGGGGGAGCCCGGGCTGCAGCGCCTGCTCAGTTCGTGCTCACTGCGTCGAAGGCTCCCCCGGCCTGGCTCCGCGCCCAGCGCCGCATCCGGGAGGAGGAGCGAGGAGGCGGCGGAAGAGCCCGCGCGGCCGGAGTCCGGGGCTGGGAGTGGAGAGGGAACCTCCAGGGGGCAGCACCGAGCCGCCAAGCCGGTCCTCTCTTCGCGCCCAGCCCGGGGTCCCCAGACAGCCCATAGGGAAGCCCCTCTTTCGGATTCCCGCAGTGTGGGCCGGCCCTCCACCTGGACTGGATAAAGGGGGGAAAGTGACCCCTCACCACAAGGACCATTATCTCCTGGTGAGAACAAGAATCAGGCCTCTCTTGGGGCAATCAGCTTCCCCACTTCGGTCCCCCAAAGGTGGGCTCTTTGCCGGCGGGGACTAGGGAACAGCCTTTCGGTTCCGGGGGAGCACAGGGGACCCCAGGCACCAGCAGCCCCATCCCACCGACAGGTGGCAGAGGCAAGGCAGCTCACTGCTATACAGTGTCCCAAGAACCAAGTGGCCGTGACTTCCTATCCTCAATTTCCCAGCGACACCCGGAAAGACACCGTGCCATAGATCGAGGCCCGGGGTCAAGGCCCCGCCTCTCCTGGGCGGCCCCTGCCCAGGCGGGCCCAGCCGCTCCTCCCCCGCACTCCCGGTTCGCTCTCACGGTCCCTGAGGTGGGCGGGCGGGCCCTGGATGACAGCGATAGAACCCCGGCCCGACTCGCCCTCGCCCCCGCTCTGGGTCTGGGCTTCCCCAGCCTAGTTCACGCCTAGGAGCCGCCTGAGCAGCCGCGCGCCCAGCGCCACACGCCACGAGCCCTCCCCGCCTGGGCGTCCCCGGATCCCGCGAGCGCTCGGGCTCCCGGCTTGGAACCAGGGAGGAGGGAGGGAGCGAGGGAGCAACCAGCTGCGACCCGGAAATGCCATATAAGGAGCAGGAAGGATCCCCCGCCGGAACAACCCTTATTTGGGCAGCACCTTATTTGGAGTGGCCCGATATGGCCCGGCCGCTTCCGGCTCTGGGAGGAGGGAAGAAGGCGGAGGGAGGGGCAACGCGGGAACTCCGGAGCTGCGCGGGTCCCGGAGGCCCCGGCGGCGGCTAGAGCTCTAGGCTTCCCCGAAGCCTGGGCGCCTGGGATGCGGGCGCGGGCGCGGGCCCTAGGGTGCAGGATGGAGGTGCCGGGCGCTGTCGGATGGGGGGCTTCACGTCACTCCGGGTCCTCCCGGCCGGTCCTGCCATATTAGGGCTTCCTGCTTCCCATATATGGCCATGTACGTCACGACGGAGGCGGACCCGTGCCGTTCCAGACCCTTCAAATAGAGGCGGATCCGGGGAGTCGCGAGAGATCCCAGCGCGCAGAACTTGGGGAGCCGCCGCCGCCATCCGCCGCCGCAGCCAGCTTCCGCCGCCGCAGGACCGGCCCCTGCCCCAGCCTCCGCAGCCGCGGCGCGTCCACGCCCGCCCGCGCCCAGGGCGAGTCGGGGTCGCCGCCTGCACGCTTCTCAGTGTTCCCCGCGCCCCGCATGTAACCCGGCCAGGCCCCCGCAACTGTGTCCCCTGCAGCTCCAGCCCCGGGCTGCACCCCCCCGCCCCGACACCAGCTCTCCAGCCTGCTCGTCCAGGATGGCCGCGGCCAAGGCCGAGATGCAGCTGATGTCCCCGCTGCAGATCTCTGACCCGTTCGGATCCTTTCCTCACTCGCCCACCATGGACAACTACCCTAAGCTGGAGGAGATGATGCTGCTGAGCAACGGGGCTCCCCAGTTCCTCGGCGCCGCCGGGGCCCCAGAGGGCAGCGGCAGCAACAGCAGCAGCAGCAGCAGCGGGGGCGGTGGAGGCGGCGGGGGCGGCAGCAACAGCAGCAGCAGCAGCAGCACCTTCAACCCTCAGGCGGACACGGGCGAGCAGCCCTACGAGCACCTGACCGCAGGTAAGCAGTGGCCTACGCCGAGGGGGAACCCTTTCGCCACCATCCTGGCGTCCTGTCCTTCACCGCAGGAGTGCTCCTGGATCTTAGAATGAGAGCCGGGTTTCCCTTTCATTCCTCGCATCCCCAGAGTCATGTGTTAGAGGGATGCCAAGGAACCCCACACAGCCCACCCCCTGCCCTCATCCCTAGCGGAGCGCAGAGGACCGAGCTTTTGTTTTGGATGGAGAGCTCTGGAGCTGCGTGGGTGGGTGGAGGGGGAGGGCTTGTTTTGATGAGCGGGGCTGCGCCCCCCACCTCCAGTAAGACTTGCCTTGCCTTGCTTGCCGCCTGTCCCCAAGGAAGGACCGTGATCCTTGGCCGTGGATGTCCCGGCAGCCCGGGTTTGGGGGCGCGCACTAGCCGCGGCCATGGGGGTGCTGGCGGGAATCCCTCGCCCGCACAGCCGCCGCTGCGGAGCGCTGCGAGCTGCAGTGGAGGGGGATTCTCCGTATTTGCGTCAGCTGTTGTTGAAATGGGCTCTGCCACTGGTGCGGGTCCAGGAACATTGCAATGTGCTGCTATCAATTATTAACTACCTCGGGAGTCAATGGTAGCCGGCCCGGTCTCTTGCCTGGCAGCTCGGGTCGTCCTCGTCCTCCAGTGATTGCTTTCCAGTAACCAGGCCTCCCGCTTCTCTCTCTCCTGCCAGAGTCTTTTCCTGACATCTCTCTGAACAACGAGAAGGTGCTGGTGGAGACCAGTTACCCCAGCCAAACCACTCGACTGCCCCCCATCACCTATACTGGCCGCTTTTCCCTGGAGCCTGCACCCAACAGTGGCAACACCTTGTGGCCCGAGCCCCTCTTCAGCTTGGTCAGTGGCCTAGTGAGCATGACCAACCCACCGGCCTCCTCGTCCTCAGCACCATCTCCAGCGGCCTCCTCCGCCTCCGCCTCCCAGAGCCCACCCCTGAGCTGCGCAGTGCCATCCAACGACAGCAGTCCCATTTACTCAGCGGCACCCACCTTCCCCACGCCGAACACTGACATTTTCCCTGAGCCACAAAGCCAGGCCTTCCCGGGCTCGGCAGGGACAGCGCTCCAGTACCCGCCTCCTGCCTACCCTGCCGCCAAGGGTGGCTTCCAGGTTCCCATGATCCCCGACTACCTGTTTCCACAGCAGCAGGGGGATCTGGGCCTGGGCACCCCAGACCAGAAGCCCTTCCAGGGCCTGGAGAGCCGCACCCAGCAGCCTTCGCTAACCCCTCTGTCTACTATTAAGGCCTTTGCCACTCAGTCGGGCTCCCAGGACCTGAAGGCCCTCAATACCAGCTACCAGTCCCAGCTCATCAAACCCAGCCGCATGCGCAAGTACCCCAACCGGCCCAGCAAGACGCCCCCCCACGAACGCCCTTACGCTTGCCCAGTGGAGTCCTGTGATCGCCGCTTCTCCCGCTCCGACGAGCTCACCCGCCACATCCGCATCCACACAGGCCAGAAGCCCTTCCAGTGCCGCATCTGCATGCGCAACTTCAGCCGCAGCGACCACCTCACCACCCACATCCGCACCCACACAGGCGAAAAGCCCTTCGCCTGCGACATCTGTGGAAGAAAGTTTGCCAGGAGCGATGAACGCAAGAGGCATACCAAGATCCACTTGCGGCAGAAGGACAAGAAAGCAGACAAAAGTGTTGTGGCCTCTTCGGCCACCTCCTCTCTCTCTTCCTACCCGTCCCCGGTTGCTACCTCTTACCCGTCCCCGGTTACTACCTCTTATCCATCCCCGGCCACCACCTCATACCCATCCCCTGTGCCCACCTCCTTCTCCTCTCCCGGCTCCTCGACCTACCCATCCCCTGTGCACAGTGGCTTCCCCTCCCCGTCGGTGGCCACCACGTACTCCTCTGTTCCCCCTGCTTTCCCGGCCCAGGTCAGCAGCTTCCCTTCCTCAGCTGTCACCAACTCCTTCAGCGCCTCCACAGGGCTTTCGGACATGACAGCAACCTTTTCTCCCAGGACAATTGAAATTTGCTAAAGGGAAAGGGGAAAGAAAGGGAAAAGGGAGAAAAAGAAACACAAGAGACTTAAAGGACAGGAGGAGGAGATGGCCATAGGAGAGGAGGGTTCCTCTTAGGTCAGATGGAGGTTCTCAGAGCCAAGTCCTCCCTCTCTACTGGAGTGGAAGGTCTATTGGCCAACAATCCTTTCTGCCCACTTCCCCTTCCCCAATTACTATTCCCTTTGACTTCAGCTGCCTGAAACAGCCATGTCCAAGTTCTTCACCTCTATCCAAAGAACTTGATTTGCATGGATTTTGGATAAATCATTTCAGTATCATCTCCATCATATGCCTGACCCCTTGCTCCCTTCAATGCTAGAAAATCGAGTTGGCAAAATGGGGTTTGGGCCCCTCAGAGCCCTGCCCTGCACCCTTGTACAGTGTCTGTGCCATGGATTTCGTTTTTCTTGGGGTACTCTTGATGTGAAGATAATTTGCATATTCTATTGTATTATTTGGAGTTAGGTCCTCACTTGGGGGAAAAAAAAAAAAGAAAAGCCAAGCAAACCAATGGTGATCCTCTATTTTGTGATGATGCTGTGACAATAAGTTTGAACCTTTTTTTTTGAAACAGCAGTCCCAGTATTCTCAGAGCATGTGTCAGAGTGTTGTTCCGTTAACCTTTTTGTAAATACTGCTTGACCGTACTCTCACATGTGGCAAAATATGGTTTGGTTTTTCTTTTTTTTTTTTTTTGAAAGTGTTTTTTCTTCGTCCTTTTGGTTTAAAAAGTTTCACGTCTTGGTGCCTTTTGTGTGATGCGCCTTGCTGATGGCTTGACATGTGCAATTGTGAGGGACATGCTCACCTCTAGCCTTAAGGGGGGCAGGGAGTGATGATTTGGGGGAGGCTTTGGGAGCAAAATAAGGAAGAGGGCTGAGCTGAGCTTCGGTTCTCCAGAATGTAAGAAAACAAAATCTAAAACAAAATCTGAACTCTCAAAAGTCTATTTTTTTAACTGAAAATGTAAATTTATAAATATATTCAGGAGTTGGAATGTTGTAGTTACCTACTGAGTAGGCGGCGATTTTTGTATGTTATGAACATGCAGTTCATTATTTTGTGGTTCTATTTTACTTTGTACTTGTGTTTGCTTAAACAAAGTGACTGTTTGGCTTATAAACACATTGAATGCGCTTTATTGCCCATGGGATATGTGGTGTATATCCTTCCAAAAAATTAAAACGAAAATAAAGTAGCTGCGATTGGGTATGTGTTTCCTGGGTTAGGGGAAGGACTCTGCCCTATTGAGGGCTGTGAGGTTTTCTGAAGACTTGGCCTTTAGAGATACAAGGATCCTCCAGCCAGAGTCAGGCCCACTGTGTGAAACTGGAGTTCGTTATTTATGAGGACTGAGTATGGGTCTTCAAATAGGGTCTCGGTCTATCCACCCAGGCTGGAGTGCAGTAGTGTAATCACAGTTCACTGCAGCTTTGGTGTCTCAGGCTCAAGTGATCCTCCCACCTCAGCCTCCTGAGTAGCTGGGACTATAGGCACGTGCCACCACACTCGGTTAATGTTTATAGAGACAGGGTTTTGCCATGTTGCCCAGGCTGGAGTTCTTCTTGATAATGGGCCTGTTCCTCTTCAGTCTGTTGGGCTGAAGCTTTACCTTGGTTAGCTAAAGCCAAGAAAGGCAAGAGTTAGGGCTGGGACATGTGTGGCCAAAGGCAGTGTTACTCTCCTGGCATCAAATGTTGGGCCAGTCCCGTCCCCCACCTCTACTCAGGGTTGGAAAACCCATGATCTTGGGAATCCCTGCCATGTGCAGTTAGAGGAGGTAAGAAGTAGGCACAAGGCCTTTAGGGGAACAGTAACAATGCTGGGGCCGACTCAGCCTCTCCCTCCCATTCCCCAGGTCCCCAGCAACTTGAGGGCATCAAAGAAGCCTAGACGAGGTAAAGGCCAGTTCTCAAGCCAAGAATCCTTCCAGGAAGAAATTCTTATTACTTGCCAGCTGGAACTGCCATCCTTGGCAGCTTCGTGGGACAAAGGATAGAGTGGGCAGAAGCCTGGCCTGGTGTCTAAAGTTCCCATCCGGGCCAAATCTGTTCCCATTGTGTAGGAGGCCTGAGGTTCTAGGTTCTTTTGGGCCCAGTCCCCTGAGGGACCACTCCCACTGCTGGGGCAATCCCTGTGGGCACGTGAGCATCTGCCTACTCTGTGAGAGGCCTTGACCTGGCCACAGCAGACACCATGGGAGGAATGTGGATTGTTGGTTGGGGAGACGGACATAAGACACAAATCACAACATGGTATTGTGTTATGCAATATGGGCAAGAATGGAGCTCTTTGGGAGCACAGTGAAGGGCACCCAACCCACCTGGGGGTTTAGGAAAGGTGGAAAAATTGAGTTAGGAAGCATAAGCAGGAGTCAACCTGATTGACTTGGTTTGTGGGTGAGGCAGGGAGGACACTGGCCAAGTCTACTCAGCAGTGTGGATGAGACGGATTACTGAGTGGAAGCACTACCTCCAACCCCAATATCTAAGTCTTTTGTGAATTGGTCAGACTCCACGATTCACTGGGTGGATGGGTACAATAGATTTGATGTACTGGAATTCCCAACCCTTGGCTCCTCTCCCAACTTCTGACCCCTAAAATCAGAGGAACAATGAGGTATCCCCTTGACCTGGTATGGTTATCAGGCCCTGAGTGAAGTGAAAGTCTAATCTGCTTCTACCTCTTCTCCTTCCTCTAAGGGTCTCCCAGGTGGTTCTCAACCCACACTTTCTGGAGCCAGAGGGATTCCAATAAACCCCTGACATTGGCCCAATTCTTTCTTGTGCAGTCTAGCCTTCCCTGACCAACACTGTTGACCTCTGCCCTTTCCCATGGCACCAGACTCCTCAGCCTTGAGGAGGGGGAACAGGACACCTTCTCTAGTAAGGGGCACATCCCTGTGAGCCTCCTGGCAAAATTGCCAGGTCCTGATGGGACAATATTTGTATTGGCGCACCTCTTCCCAGCCCCACCTACCCCTCCCCATCTCACTCTAGGCCCAGGAACACAAGTCCATACCTGTTACACATTCTTAAGAGTTTCTCACTCCAGACTCCCAAGAAATAAAACATGGCAAGAATAAAATATGAAAGAAGGAGCATTGAGACTCTATTTCTTTAAAGCAGAGGGTCTTGTAAGTTACAAGTGCATCAGAATGAGATTCCCAGGCCCCATGAACGGAGCAGGTGACTGATACCTTACATTTGGGATAGGGTCCTGGAACTGGCCTTGATAACAAGGTCATTCTGATGCAGATGGCTTGTTGCTAGCTAATATTTATTTTATTTTATTTTTGAGACAGGGTTTCATTGTCACTCAGGCTGGAGTGCAGTGGTGCGTTTATAGCCCATTGCAACCTTGAACTCCTGGGCTCAAAGTCTCCTCCAGCCTCCCAAGTAGCTGAGAATACAGATGCACTACAGGTGGCTAATTTTTAAAATTTTTTTTAAATTTATTTTTTGCGACAGAGTCTGGCTCTGTTGCCCAGGCTGGAGTGCAATGGCACAATCTCGGCTCACTGCAACCTCCATCTCCTGGGTTCAAGTGATTCTCCTGCCTCAGCCTCCCAAGTAGCTGGGATTACAGGCACCCACCACCATGCCTGGCTAATTTTTGTATTTTTAGTAGACACGGTTTCACCATGTTTGCCAGTCTGGTCTTGAACTCCTGACCTCAGGTGATCTGCCCGCCTTGGCCTCCCAAAGTGCTGGGATTACAGGCGTGAGCCACCACGCCCAACCTTTAATTTTTTTTTTTTTAAGAGATGGGAGGGTCATACTTTGTAGCCCAGGATGGTCTCGAACTCCTGAGCTGGAGTAGTCCCTCCCATCTTGGCCTCTCGAGGTGCTGGGATTACAGGCGTGAGCCAACACATTTGGCTGCTAGCTAATTTTTATTAGCCCGTCACCAGGGTTTCTTTAGGTTCTGACAGTCCAAACTTAAGTTTCTTTTCATGGCTGAAATAGGGAATGGGGCAAAAAGCTGCTCCCTTTTACAGTCCTATAGTATAAGGAATGTGTTGGCTGATATAAAAATAAAAATATAAAAATAATAAGTGTTTATTTAAATTCCTACTCCTGCTAGGGAAATAGAAAACCAAGGGCACGAGACAGTGCTGATAAGAGATCTCATCATTATAAAGGTTAAGGTTGGAGAAGGGTCCCGGAGAGTGTTGAACAAGTGATTGCTACCTGGGGAAATTGTCTAGGGCTTCAGGAATATGAGGAAGGACAGAGAGGAGTAGGGTAGAAGGGAGTTGGGGGTGGGGGACTGGGCTAAGGACAAGGACAGGTTTTGATTCTGAAGTGAAAGAACCAGGTCCTAAAGACCCTTGACCCTTCCTCCTCCTACCTGAAAGGTACTCTTTTGCTTGAATTTCAGGAACGTTCAGCCTCGTTCTCACCTGTTTTGAAAGATTCCAAGCACTCAGGAAGGCGGAGCTTGGCCCGGGATTTGCAGCACGCTGGAGTTTTCAGTGTGTTTCCTTCCACCTTCCCCCTATTCAGAACCGCCCCTATCCCCCAGGTATGGAACTGGAGGCAGGTAAGAGTACTATAGGGTCAAAGGTATTCCCTGCCAGTCCCCCTCCCTGCATCCACACTGTTTTCACTGTTTCAGGACACACTTAATGCAGTTGGAGAGGGGAAGCCATTGGGCAGAGGGATATCCCAGAGTCCTAAGGGAAATGAGGCCAAGTTTAAAAGAATCAGATGTCAAGCAAATAACATTTCAACATTTTACCCAGAAACCTTTGGGTGCTAATAAGATTTTTGCACCCAAATAGCAAATCTAACCCTCTACTTCAGTAATTTTTCTCTCAGTCTCCTTATCTCCATTACTAGGACCTAGGAGAGCCTCTGTGGCTAAGCTTACTTCAGATGACCTCTTAGGTCAGATCGGTGGCCCAGCAACTCAGATGCAAGTAAAATCTCATTTCCCTTTCCAGGGAGTTCTCTCCATCAAGCCCATTCTCCTTAGCACTTAGGGTTTTAAAAATTATTATTACAACTCTATTGAGGGCTGTGTATGGTGGCTCACACCTGTAATTACTGCACTTTGGGAGGCTGAGGCTAGAGATTGCTTGAGCCCAGGAGTTCAAGACCAGCCTGGGCAACATAGGGAGACCCCGTCTCTACAAAAAAATAAAATAAACCAGGCATGGCAGCCCATGCCTGTAGTTCCAGATACTCGAGACGCTGAGGTAGGAGGATTGCTTGAGCCTGGGACATCAAGGCTGCAGTGAGCTGAGATTGTGCCTCTTCACTCCAGCTTGGGCAGCAGAGCAAGACCTGGTTTCAAAAAAAGTTTTTTTAAACTATTTTTGTATTTTTTAAGCCAGGTGCGGTAGCTCATGACTGTAATCCCAGCACTTTGAGGGGCCGAGGCAGGTGGATCATCTGAGGTCAGGAGTTCAAGACCAGCCTGGCCAACATGGTGAAATCTGGTCTCTACTAAAAATACAAAAATTAGCCAGGCATCGTGGCAGGCACCTGTAGTCCCAGCTACTCAGGAGGCTGAAGCAGGAGAATCGCTTGAACCCCGGAGGCAGAGGTTGCAGTGAGCCAAGATTGCACCACTGCACTCCAGTTTGGGCAACAAGAGCAAAACTCCATCTCAAAAAAAGAAAGAAAAGAAAGAAAGGCAAGGAGGAAGCTTATCTGTGAAAAAGAAAAGCACTATCACAAGGAATATAGGCAGATGTACAGAACTGAAATTCGAATGGCGAGGATGGCAAGAAAAGCTGGCAACTTCTATGTACCTGCAGAACCCAAATTGGCGTTTGTCATCAGGATCAGAGGCATCAATGGTGTGAGCCCAAAGGTCTGAAAGGTGTTGCAGCTTCTTTGCCTTTGTCAAACTTCAGTGGAAACTTTGTGAAGCTCAACAGGCTTCAGTTAACATGCTGAGGATTGTAGACCCATATATTGCATGGGGATACCCAAATCTGAAGTCAGTAAATGAACTAATTTACAAGCATGGTTATGGCAAAATCAATAAGAAGCGAATTGCTTTGATACATAACACTTTGATTGCTTGATCTCTTGGTAAATATGGCATCATCTGCCTGGAGGATCTGATTCATGAGATCTATACTGTTGGAAAATGCTTCAAAGAAGCAAATAACTACCTGTGGCCCTTCAAATTATCTTCTCCACGAGGCGGAATGAAGAAAAAGACCACCCATTTTGTAGAAGGTGGAGATGCTAGCAACAGGGAGGACCAGATCAACAGGCTTATTAGAAGAATGAACTAAGGTGTCTACCATGATTATTTTTCTAAGGTGGTCAGTTAATAAACAGTACCTACTCTTGGCTGGGCGTGGTGGCTCATTCCTGTAATCCCAGCACTTTGGGAGGCAGAGGCGGGTAGATCACAAAGTCAGGAGTTCGATACCATCCTGCCTAACACGGTGAAACCCCACCTCTACTAAAAATACAAAAAAATTAGCTGAGCATGGTGGCGGGCGCCTGTAGTCCCAGCTACTGGGGAGGCTGAGGCAGGAGAATGGTGTGAACCCAGGAGGCAGGGCTTGCAGTGAGCTGAGATTGCACCACTGCACTCCAGCCTGGGCGACAGAGCGAGACTCCATCTCAAAAAAAAGACAAATAAATAAATAAATAAAACAGTACCTACTCTCAAACTGAAAAAAAAAAAAACATGCCCGGCCTCCTCCTTGCCTTTTGAAGCATCTTTTGGGCAAACTTCTTTCTCAGGTGCTTGATTTCCAGCTCTTCGAAATTCTTTTTCTTTTTCTTTTCTTTTTTTTTTTTTTGAGAAGGAGTTTCGCTCTTGTTGCCCAGGCTGGAGTGCAGTGGCACACTCTTGGCTCACTGCAACCTCCGCCTCCCGGGTTCAAGCGATTCTCCTGCCTCAGCCTCCCGAGTAGCTGGGATTACAGGCATGTGCCACCACGCCCAGCTAATTTTGTAATTTTAGTAGAGAAGGGTTTCTCCATATTGATCAGGCTGCTCTCAAACTTCCAACGTCAGGTGATCCGCCCGCCTTAGCCTCCCAAAGTGTTGGGAGTACAGGCGTGAGCCACCACGCCCGGACTCCTTCGCTTTTTCTTAAGGGTTTCTGGCACAGCAGGAACCTTCTTCTTCTCTTCTACACCCTGCATGTTCCAGCCGGAAAAAGAGGATAGAGGGTCTTATATATGGAATCATTCCATATGTCCTTGATTTGATCTGGCTTACTTCACTTAGCATCACTGTTCAGGATTCACTGATGTTGCTGTGTGTACACTGCAAATAGTTCACTCCTTTTCATTGCCAAGTAGCATTCTGCTATATGGCTGTGCCCCAGTTGTTCATCCTTTCCCCTGTGGAGGGACATCTGGGCTGGTTCCTTTGGCGCTATTATGGATAAAGCTGCTGTGATTATTGGAGCACAAGTCCTTGTGTGGATGTGTCCACATTTACTCCAAAGTTTCCCCCCAACTGTTCTGGCTCCTTCTTCCCACCATATCCACATTTTTTCACATCCCTGGTGCTTAAAACAACAAGCACCCATCTTCTCCCACACTCACAGTCAAAGTCTCCTAAAAGATATGCTTCCTTTAATCATTGCTCAATTAAACAGAGCGAGCCCCTTTGTCTTTTTTTTTTTTTTTTTTTTTTTTTTTTTGAGACAGAGTCTTGCTCTGTCACCAGGCTGGAGTGCAGTGGCAGGATCTTGGGTCACTGCAACCTCCGCCTCCCGGGTTCAAGCGATTCTCGTGCCTCAGCCTCCCGAGTAGCTGGGATACCAGGCATGTGCCACCACACCCAGCTAATTTTTGTATTTTTAGTAGAGACGGGGTTCCCCATGTTGGCCAGGCTGTTCTTGAACTCCTGACCTCGTGATCCACCCACCTCGGCCTCCCAAAGTGCTGGGATTATAGGCGTGAGCCACCGCCCTGGCCCCTTTGTCATTTTTATTGCTCTACTCCAAGCTCTCTCCTATTTGTTTCTATCTTTTTTTTTTGAGACAGAGTCTCACTCTGTCGCCCAGGCTGGAGTGCAATGGCGCCATCTTGGCTCTCTGCAACTGCCACCTCCTGGGTTCAAGCAGTTCTCTTGCCTCAGCCTCCCGAGTAGCTGGGACTACAGCCGCGTGCCACCACGCCCGGCTAATTTTTGTACTTTTAGTAGAAGTCTCGAACTCCTGACCTCAAGTGATCTGCCTGCCCCGGCCTCCCAAAGTGCTGGGATTACATGCATGAGCCACCATGCTCGGCCCCGTTTGTTTCTGTCTTCCTGGTAATGAGGTGTCTGGGCTAAGCAAGGTAGATTGTCATTATTTAGTCAGCTTGGCAAATGGACAAAAGTCCATGGTGATAGTTTTCTAAAGAGGAGAGGTGCCTGGGAGAGGGTGAGCCTGGGATTGATCAGATACTCCTATCTCAAAAACAGGAAGAGGCTAAGGGTCAGGTGATGTGGGACGCTGCCCTTGGGGGACTAGTCCCGAGAGGTTATCTGTACACTTTGCCTTTATCACCATCTCCTGTGGGCAGTTCCTGATGGGTTTTCTGGAACACGGGCCGCATTCACCCACTGGTTGTCACAGACTCTAATCTACCACATTTTCACCTCTTGGACTGGGGTTAGTACTGTAACTAAAACTTCTCTCTTTCCTCTTTGGACATCAGGAGTGTGGGGCTATGGAGCCACCAGAGGAGAGAAGGACAGCGGAGGCTGGAAGGCAGGTCTGGGTCTGTGCTCGCAACTCTGATAAACTGACACTTGCTGATGACCTGGCATGTGTGGTAGCTATCCTTCACAGTTATTCTTTCCAGACAGACAATAACAAGTATCAGTGAGGATGTGAATAAACCAGAACCCTCACATATTGCTGGTGGGGACGTAAAAAGATGCAGCCACTTTGGAAAATGGTTTAGTTACTTCTTATAAAGTTAAACATACACTTACCATATGACCCAGAAATTCCACTCCTGGGTATCTACCTAACAGAAATAAAAATATGTTCATGCAAAGACTTGCATGCAAATGTTCATAGCAGCATTATTCATAATAGCCGGAGTGGAAACAATCCAAATGTCTATTCAACCAGTGCATAGATAAGCAAAATGTGGTGTATCCAAACAATGAAATAGGCCTCAGCAATAAAAAGGAACAAAATACAGACGCGCGCCGCAACATGCATAAACTTCAAAACATTTTGATAAAGAAGTTAGGTGTGTGACTGCGTTTATATGAAGTGTCCAGAAAAGGCAAAAGTCTTATAGAGACAGAGAGCAGATTAGTAGTTGTCTGGGGCTGGGTATAAGAGAGTTATTGACGGCCAATGAGTTTGCTATTTTGGGGATCATGGAGATATTCTAAAACTGGATTGTTATGTTTGAACAATTGTTTACATTACTGAAAGTTATTGAATTATATACAAAGATGGGTGAAATTTGTGATATGTAAATTATAACTTAGGAAGAATTTTTTTTTTTTTTTTGAGACAGAGTTTTGCTGTGTCACCCAGGCTGGAGTGCAGTGGTGCGATCTTGGCTTATTGCAACCTCCACCCCCCGGGTTCAAGCGATTCTCCTACCTCAGCCTCCCAAGTAGTTGGGACAATTGGCATGTGCCACCACACTGGGCTAATTTTTGTATTTTTAGTAGAGACGGGGTTTTGCCATGTTGCCCAGGCTGGTCTCAAACTCCTGACCTCAACTGATCTGCCTGCCACGGCCTCCCAAAGTGCTGGGATTACAGGTGTGAACCACCACGCCCAGCTGGAATATTTAAAACATTATCCTTGCTTGCTGGGCGCAGTGGCTCACGTCTGTAATCCCAGCACTTTGGGAGGTGGAGGTGGGCAGATCACCTGAGGTCAAGAGTTCAAGACCAGCCTGGCCAACATGGTGAAACCCCGTCTCTACCAGAAATACAAAAATTAGCCAGGCATGGTGACGGGTGCCTGTAACCCCAGCTACTTGGGGGGCTGAGGTGGGAGAATCACTCGAACCCGGGAGGTGGAGGTTGCAGTGGGCCGAGATCGCGCCACTGCACTCCAGCTTGGGAGACAGAGTGAGACTCCCTCTCAAAAAACAAACGAAACAAAAACAAAAGAACAGGCTGCCCACCTGGGCCAGAGTGGCTCCTCAACTGCCAGATAAATCTAAAAGTCACCATTTCCACAGAACCAGCAGTGGGTGCCGTACTCAGAGAAAACCAACTCAGCCTCCCAGGAAGCTCATTTCTCCTCAGAACTAACTTCACTTCCTAGAACCTCATTTGTTGAACAAATTAACAGAGCACCTACGGTGGGAGAGTTGGTTCTGAGGATTTGGAGGGGCTCTGGGAGAAGGAGAAACTTAACCACCCCAGCCTTGCCAACCACCTTTGAATCTCATTAGAACCAACTTTGAATTCCCTGAAACTGGCTTCTCACAAACAGTGCATCCCCTCCAGCTGCCTTATTAGAACCAATTTTCAGTCACCTCAACACCAACTGTCTATCTCAAACTATCATCTCAGAACCACCCATTTAATAGTCTCAGATCCACCTGACTGGGTCCTTTGTAAGCCTTCGCTGGTCAGCTATGGCAGTGTTCTCAATCCTCTGTTAATGACACTAACACAATTTCTATTGCCCTCAAGTCCCCATAAAACAGAGACTCTCCAGTGGTGACTGCTTCCAGTCCCATTACAGCAGCCTCAGAACCAATTTTGTCACCAGATTTGTGATGACTCCCCTGCATTGTCTCCTCAGAATCATCGTTCATTCTCTTCAGAGCCAGATTTCATTTTTGGCTAATGAAATTGTCAAGGTCCTTACAACTTTCTCTTCAGAAGTATCTTGGTTCTGGCCGGGTGCAGTGGCTCACACCTGTAATCCCAGCACTTTGGGAGGCCGAGGTGGGCGGATCACGAGGTCAGGAGATCGAGACCATCCTGGCTAACACGGTGAAACCCCATCTCTACAAAAATACAAAAAATTAGCTGGGCGTGGTGGCGGGCGCCTGTAGTCCCAGCTACTCAGGAGGCTGAGGCAGGATAATGGCATGAACCTGGGAGGCGGAGCTTGCAGTGAGCCGAGATCGCGCCACTGCACTCCAGCCTGGGTGACAGAGCGAGACTCTGTCTCAAAAAAAACAAAAAAACAAAAAAACAAGAAGTATCTTGTTTCTACTCGGAAACATTTTTTTCCATCTCCTCAGGTCCAGCTGTCAGCCTTCGTAAGGCAAGTCTTTAGGTTATTCATCCCTGGGCTTCAGTTTCCCCATCTACTTCATGGGGGAAATAATGTTTATTTTTTTTCTTCTTTGAAAAGGTAATGTTGGCCAGGCGCAGTGGCTCATGCTTGTAATCCCAGCACTTTGGGAGGCCGAGGCAGGTGCACTGCTTGAGCCCAGGAGTTCGAGACCAGCCTGGGCAACATGGTGAAACCCCATCTCTACAAAAAATAAAAAAATTAGAGGAGTATGATGGCGCACTTGTTGTCCCAGCTACTTGGGAGGCTGAGGTGGGAGAAATGCTTGATCCTGGGATGTGGAGGTTGCAGTGAGCCGAGATCTCATCACTGTACTCCAGCCTGGCTGAAAGAGCAATACCCTGTCTCAAAAAAAAAAAAAAGATAAAAAACAAGACAAAACAAAACAACAAAGAGTAATGTGAATTTTTTTCTTATTATGAGATATATATTCATTGTGAAAAATATAAAAGCATACCTTTTTCACACATGTTGAAAGAAGAGAAAGCTTTGACACATGAAACTAACATGCTGATGGAGGGAGAATGAATTGGGCCCAGTTTTCCTGAGGGCTACAAGCACGTACTCAGAGCCTTGTAAAAGTTCATGCCACCCGGGAGGTGGAGGTTGCAGTGAGCCGAGGTCTAGCCACAGCACTCCAGCCTGGAGACAGAGCGAGACTCCGTCTCAAAAGGAAAAAAAAAAGTTCATGCCTTCTTTCCTAGCAATTCTACCACGACTGCTTTTAATCACAGTATTATGTGTAATGGAGAAAAATGGCAACAGCATACATGTCTGATGGGTGATGGCTGAAATAAACTGTTATATCATATGATGAATTACTAGGCAGTCATTATAAATCATGTTATAAAATAACTATTGACCTGAAAATGCTCACAATATAATACTAAGGAATGAAAGTAAGATATAAAACTTTACATGGTACGATTCCAATTTTATAAAATACATGCACATATAACATCATTATACATCAAATGCTGGTGATTGTCATTCTAGGTAGTGTATTTTTTTTTTTGAGACAGGGTCTCACTCTGTCAACCAGGCTGGAGTGCAGTGGCGTGATCTCAGCTCACTGCAACCTCCGCCTCGCAGGTTCACGCCATTCCCGAGTAGCTGGGACTACAGGCACCCGCCACCACGCCCAGCTAATTTTTTATATTTTTGGTAGAGACGGGGTTTCACTGTGTTAGCCAGGATGGTCTTGATCTCCTGACCTCATGATCCGCCCTCCTCAGCCTCCCAAAGTGCTGGGATTACAGGCATGAGCCACCGTGCCCGGCCTCTTTCTTTTCTTTCTTTTTCTTTTCTCTTTTTTTTTTTTTTTTTGAGACGGAGTTTTGCTCTTGCCCACGCTGGAGTGCAGTGGCGTGATCTCGTCTCACCACAACCTCTGTCTCATGGATTCAAGCAATTCTCCTGCCTCAGCCTCCCGAGTAGCTGGGATTTCAGGCATGCTCCACTACGTCTGGCTAATTTTATATTTTTAGTAGAGACGGGGTTTCTCCATATTGGTCAGGCTGGCCTCGAACTCCCGACCTCAGGTGATCCTTCCTCCTTGGCCTCCCAAAGTGCTGGGATTACAGGTGTGAGCCACCGTGCCCAGACTAACTTTTATTTTCTATACTTTTCTGTGTTTTCCAAATGAGCTGATTTTTGTTGTTGTTGTTGTTTGTTTCTGAGACGGAGTCTTGCTCTGTCGCCCAGGCTAGAGTGCAGTGGCGTGATCTTGGCTCACTACAACCTCCACCTCCTGAGTTAAAGCGATTCTCCTGCCTCAGCCTCCTGAGTAGCTAGTGCTGTGCCACCACGCCTGGCTAATTTTTGTATTTTTAGTAGAGATGGGGTTTCGCCATATTAGCCAGGCTGGTCTTGAACTCCTGACCTCAGGTGATCTGCCCTCCTTGGCCTCCCAAAGTGCTGGGATTACAGGTGTGAGCCACTGTGGCCGGTGAGCAGATGTTTTTATCATTGGAAGAAAATTGTTCTATTTAAGAAAGCAAAAGAAAAAGACTAGATAAGCAAGTAAATATTTTCTAGAATCTGGTTTATTATAAAGGTCCTCTGATGGACTATTTTCTTGCATTGCGGGAGTATGACCCTTTGATAATAAGCTGTTAAAGACTGGTAAAAAATAAAGATGGGTCCAGGTGGAATGGCTGATACCTATAATCCCAGCACTTTGGGAGGCTGAGGCAGAAGGATGGTTTGAGACCAAAAGTTCAAGACCAGCCTGGGCAACATAGAGAGACCCTGTCTCTACAAAAAGTACAAAAAATTAGCTGGGTGTGGTGGCACATGCCTGTAGTCGCAGCTACTAGGGAGGCTGAGGTCAGAGGATCGCCTGAGACCAGGAGTTTGAGGCTGCAGTGAGCTATGATCTTCACTGCACTGCAGCCTGGGCAACTAAGCGAAACCTAGCCTCAAAAGAAAACAAAAGAAAACACGCCTGGCACGGTGGCTGATGCCTGTAATCCCAGCACTTTGGGAGGCCGAGGCGGGTGGATCACTTGAGGTCAGGAGTTCAAGACCAGCCTGGCCAACATGGTGACACCGCATCTCTACTAAAAAAAAAATACAAAAATTAGCCAGGCATGGTGGCAGGTGCCTGTAATCCCAGCTACTCAGGAGACGGAGGCATGAGAATCGCTTGAACCGGGGAGGCGGAGGTTGCAATAAGCTGTGATTACACCACTGCACTCCAGCCTGGGTGACAGAGTGAGACTCTGTCTCAAACAAAACAAAACAAACAAACAAACAAAGATGGGAAAGATTTCCTAGGGACTCAGGCCTCTAGGCTTTTGCTGAGCGGATGCAAGTTGTTTAACATTCCCCGTAAGTGGATGGTCTGTCTGTTAGAGGCTGGCGGGATAGAAGCACCAGACAACTGCTGTTGGCTTCTAAATTTGGGGGCTGTAGGTTTTTTAAAAACCAGAAAGTGTTATTTTATTAGTTCATCAAGCTCCCTCAACTATTTCTTAGAGAACTCGTGAGATCTCGCCCCCATCACTGAATTCTCTTTCCATCTTCATTCCCCATGTACAACTCACACAAAGCACTAGGCTCAAAGCCTTTCTCTTAAATATCTTTCTTTTGCTTATTACTGAATTGGTGTTAGCCAGGTGTTCCTGTTGGTTATTCTTGGGTCAGACTTTGTTTTTATTGTTCTACAATTTCGTAGGCACCCCTTAGAAAGAAGAGCTCAAGTCTGGGTGACTCTCTTGGGGTCATCCTCAGTACTAGTTCATCCAGAGTCTATGTGGCTCCTTTGCTCTATCATGAATAGATCAAAATTTATCCAAGATGTATTATCAAATACCTACTTTATGTCAGGCCCTAAGCACATACAGATAAACAGGATAGAGTCTGGGGCAGCACCACATTGCATGCAGAAAGATTCAGAAAGAAATAATTACCATAGTGTGATATATGAGAGGTGTGTACAGAGCAGGGAGTGACTAATTCTGTCAAGAGGAGAGATGGAGGAATGGGGTGTAGAAGGAAGACCAGGAGTTCACAGGAGGACGTGCGGGCAAGGGAACAGCAAGTGCAAAGCCAGGGAGGTGTGTTCAGGAACCAGCAAATTAATGGTGGGGCGGCAGGAAGTACGGAGGGGAGGGGCAGGGAATGTGGCTGGAAGGGCAGGTTGGGGCCAGATTTGGAAGGCCCTCAGTAACAGTCCAAGGGGTTGTACTTTTCCTGAAGGCAACAGGGACTGAGATGGCATTAGTGTGTTGGCACGCCACTACTTTTGATGGTGTTTCTGGGTGTCTGAAAAGCTACACTGCTTCCTGTCTCCTCAGGAGAGTCCTCTACTTCTGATGTAGCAATAATAACAGTAATTTAGATGGATCACTTCGGACTGTATGCATGCCTTTTAATTTCAGCTTTCAATAAGGTCTGGGATACCTGAAACGCAACTATTCAATCTTTTCTCTTTTTTTCTTTTTTGAGACGGAGTCTCGCTCTGTCGCCCAGGCTGGAGTGCAGAGGTGCGATCTCGGCTCACTGCAAGCTCTGCCTTCCAGGTTCACGCCATTCTCTTGCCTCAGCCTCCCAAGTAGCTGGGACTACAGGCGTCCACCACCACGCCCGGCTAATTTTTTGTATTTTTAGTAAGGACGGGGTTTCACCGTGTTAGCCAGGATGGTCTGGATCTCCTGACCTCGTGATCCCCCACCTTGGCCTCCCAAAGTGCTGGGATTATAGGCGTGAGCCACTGCACCCGGCCCACATATATGTAAATTCTAAAAATAAATTCTAAATATCAATTTTGTGGCTAGATCAAACTTCATAATTTTTATTGTAGAAAATCTTAAATATCCTCAAAAGTAGGGGGAAATGATGTAATAACCTCCCTGTATCTATCAACCAGTTCAACAATGATCATTTCACAGCAGTCTTGTTTCTTCTATAACACCCTCTTCCCTACCCTCACCCCCACACACTGGATTATTTTGAAGCAAATCCCAGACATTATATAATTTCATCTGTAAATACTTCAGTGTATATCTTCATAAGTATTTTTAAGTTCTTTTGCTGGAATCAGAACCCAAAAAAGACCACACTTTGCATTTGGTCGATGTCTTTAAAGTTTCTTTTCAGCCACAATAGTTCCTTTTGCTATCTATTTGTTGAAGAAAACAGGTTATTTGTCTTGAAGAAAACAGGTTATTTGTCCTGAAGAATTTCCCACTTTTTGAATTGTACACATTGCCTTGTTTCCCCCCTTATAATTCTGTTCAATATGTCCTTTTATCCCATCAATTTCACATAAACTGGTTGTTACACCCAGAGGCTGGATCCGACTCGGGTTCACTTTTTAGGTGATGCTATACACTTGGTATTGCAACATAACAAGAAGTACATAATTTTTAGGGTTTTATTTTTTTTCTCTCTCTCTTTAGTTTCCTATATGGGATTTCTAAATGGTGAAATATAATTCACATAACATAAAATTCTCCATTTAAAGTGTACAGGCCGGGCGCGGTGGCTCAAGCCTGTAATCCCAGCACTTTGGGAGGCCTAGGCGGGCAGATCACGAGGTCAGGAGATCGAGACCATCCTGGCTAACACGGTGAAACCCCGTCCTTACTAAAAATACAAAAAATTAGCCGGGCTTGGTGGTGGGCGCCTGTGGTCCCAGCTACTCGGGAGGCTGAGGCAGGAGAATGGTGTGAGCCTGGGAGGCAGAGCTTGCAGTGAGCCGAGACCGCGCCACTGCACTCCAGCCTGGGCGACAGAGTAAGACTCCATCTCAAAAATAAAAAATAAAAAAATAAAAATAAAGTGTACAATTCAATGAATTTTAGTATATTTGTAGTGTTGCACATCCGTTGCCACTAATTCCAGAACATTACAATTATCCCCAAAATAAACCCTGTACCTGTTAGCAGACACTCTCCATTCCTTACCACCCCCTGCCCCCAAATCACTGACAACTACTAATCTACTTTCTGTCTCTACCAGTTTGCCTGTTCTGGATATTTCATATACATAGCATTAAATAATATATGGCCTTTTGTGTCTGGCTCCATTCGCTGAACATAATGTTTTCAAGGTTCATCCATTTTGTAGCATGTCTCAGTACTTCACTCCTCTTTATATCTGAATCATATTCCATTATATGGACACACCACATTTTATTTATCCATTCATCAGTTGATGGACATTTGAATTGTTTCCACTTTTTAGCTATTTGAATAATACTTGTTGCTGTGAACATTATGTACAGGTTTCTGTACAAACATATGTTTTCAATTCTCTTGGTTAGTTCTCTTTTTGTGTGCGTGATGTTAAAATGAATTAATCAGCCAGGTGCCTGTAGTCCCAGCTAATCAAGAGGCTAAGGCAGGAAGATCCTTTGAGCCCAGGAGTTTGAGGCTATAGTGAGCTATGATTGCACCTGTGAATAGCCACTGCACTCCAGCCTAAGCAACATAGGAGACCCTGTCTCTGAAAAAAACCCAGATTGATTGATGGGTCCAAGTATCACTGGCATTACAAAGTTTCTCTATACCTTTCATGCAATGGTTACAGAAATCTCCGATGATCAATGATCCTTATCTAAATCTATTATCTCATTAGGGGTTAAAAGGGTGATTTTATTTATTTTTTGTTTTTCTATTTTTTTGAGATGGAGTTTCGCTCTTGTCACCCAGACTGAGCACAATGACGTGATCTCGGCTCACTGCAACCTCCTCCTCCCAGGTTCAAGCGATTCTCCTGCTTCAGCCTCCTGAGTAGCTGGGACTACAGGTGCACGCCATGATAACCGGCTAATTTTTGTATTTTTGGTAGAGATGGGGTTTCACCATGTTGGCCAGGCTGGTCTTGAACTTCTGACCTCAAGTGATCTGCTCGCCTTGGCCTCCCAATGTGCTGGGTTTACAGGCATGAGTCAATGTACTTGGCCAAAGGGTGATTTTATAATTCTATCATTCCGTTTGCATTTGTTAGCCAGAATTTTTCTAGACTAAATCATAATTGTAAAGAAAGCACGATAAATACTCAAGTCTCTTCTTTCATTTGTCAAATGACAATATTTTGTACTTTCCTGTATGGAACCCCAAAGACATTCTGAATGTCAGCTGGGCGCAGTGGCTGACACATGTAATTCCAGCACTTTGGGAGACTGAGGCGGGCGGATCACGAGGTCAGGAGATCGAGACCATCCTGGCTAACACGGTGAAAACCCATCTCTACTAAAAATACAAAAAATTAGCTGGGCATGGTGGCGAACGCCTGTAGTCCCAGCTACTCGGGAAGCTGAGACAGGAGAATGGCGTGAACCCGGGAGGCGGAGGTTGCAGTGAGCCGAGATCGTGTGACTGCACTCCGGCCTGGGCGACAGAGCGAGATTCCGTCTCAAAAAAAGAAAAAAAAAAAAAAGAAATTCTGAATGTCTACATGGTCAAGGCTCTCCATGGAGTTGCAAATAAAAAATTATGATCCTGGCCTGGTGCGGTGGCTCAAGCTTGTAATCCTAGCACTTTGGGAGGCCGAGGTTGGAGGATCACCTGAGGTCGGAAGTTCAAGACCAGCCTGACCAACATGGAGAAACCCTGTCTCTATCAAAAATACAAAATCAGCCAGACGTGGTGGCGCATGTCTGTTAATGCCAGCTACTCGGGAGGCTGAGGCAGGAGAATTGCTTGAACCCAGGAGGCAGAGGTTGTGGTGAGCCAAGATTGCGCTATTGCACTCCAGCCTGGGCAACAAGAGCGAAACTCCGTCTCAAAAAAAAAAAAAAAAAAAAAAAAGGATTATGATACTGGAGACAGAAAACAAAAATAAATCCAATCTTGACTTGGAAAACTACAGGGTGTCTACTTAATGCCTCAGAGCAATACTGTACTCTATAAAATTCCTCCTAACCTTTCCTTTCTACCCCCTCTCTTTCCCTTCTCTCTTCCCCTTCCTTGTTCTTTATTATATAGATGGATTTAGCCTCTCTGCCTAAGTCCTTCTTTCTCCCAGCCTCTCTAGCTCTCCATCTCCTCCTGTCTCTAACCAGCACCCTCACCCACTCATTTTGATTCTGCATCACAAAAGATGCCGGACTGGGGATGGCTGAGAGCAGACTCTTGGAGTTGGGAGTGGGCATGAATTCTGAGCTGGAAACCTTTTGTGGATGGGTGAGAGGAGAGAAAACAGGGAGAAACACTCAAACTAATGAAGCTTATTTCCATCACATGTATTTTCTGCAATGAGCATGAATCACATATGGTGGAATAAAAAATAAATAAATAAAATGTTTTAAAAATAAGAGATGGTAGGGAAGGAAGTAAGCACTATTCTTTCTCAATTTCCAGTTCCCCTTCTTCTCCATACAGACTGCAGCATCCTTGGCTTTCTGTTCCAGGGCAAGTGAAGTGGAACCTTTCCTCTGACTCAGGATTTAAAGTGTTTCCCACCCCCTCAGGCCCACAGCGTGGGTGGCAGCCTTGGAGTCATGCTCCTGTCACCATGCAGAGGAGCTCTGTGAGCTATGGGAGCCAGGCTGGCTAAAGGCCTTCAGTGATAGATGAGAGGTCTCCCTGATTTTTTTGTTTGTTTGTTTGTTTGTTTTTTTGAGATGGAGTCTCGCTCTGTCACCCAGGCTGGAGTGCAGTGGCGCGATCTCGGCTCACTGCAAGCTCCATCTCCCGGGTTCACGCCATTCTCCTGCCTCAGCCTCCCCAGTAGCTGAGACTACAGGCACTCGCCATCACGCCCGGCTAATTTTTTTTATTTTTAGTAGAGATGGGGTTTCACCATGTTAGCCAGGATGGTCTAGTTCTCCTGACCTCGTGATCCACCCGCCTCGGCCTCCCAAAATGCTAGGATTACAGGCGTGAGCCACCGCGCCCGGCTGAGGTCTCCCTGATTAAAACTGCTGGGCTTGGCTGGGCCCGGTGGCTCATGCCTGTAATGCCAACACTTTGGGAGGCCAAGGCAGGTGGATCACTTGAGGTCAGGAGTTCGAGACTAGCCTGGCCAACATGGTGAAACCCCATCTCTACTAAAAATACAAAGATTAGTGACCATTTGTGTGGTGCAGTTGGTTGGTGTGCTTGCCTCCAACTCTGGAGATGGGCGCCCATTCTGGGGAGTTTCTCTTGCATTTTGGCCAGGCACGGTGGCTCACGCCTATAATCCCAGCACTTTGGGAGGCCAAGGTGGATGGATCACGAGGTCAGGAGTTCAAGACCAACGTGGCCAACATGGTGAAACCCCGTCTCTACTAAAATACAAAAAATTAGCCGAGCATGGTGGTGCGCACCTGTAGTCCCAGCTGCTGGCTAAGGCAGGAGAATCACTTGAACCCCAGAGACAGAGATTGCAGTGAGCCGAGATCACACCACTGCACTCCAGCCTGGCGTGGTGGCACGTGCCTGTATTCCCAGCTACTCAGGAGGCTAAGGCAGAAAAATCACTTGAACCTGGGAGGCGGAGGTTGCAGTGAGTGAAGATGGTACCACTGCACTCCAGCCTGGGCAACAGAGCAAGACGTGGTCTCAAACAAACAAACAAACAAACAAAAAACTGCTGGGCTCTCCAGCCTCTTCTCCAAGAAGCACCTCCTTGGGTCTTCAGGAGATCTCCCGAGGCTGTTCAATGGAGACATCTTGGTCTCTTAGGAAAATTTCAAGGCTTGGGAAGGGTAGTGGAGACCTCTCAAGTCTCCTGCTTCTGGAGTCCGGGTTGGGAGAGAGAGTCCAGTTGACAGCCAGAGTCCCAAGACACAGGGCCCCGTATCACCCATGCCTATCTGTCCACGCCCCATACATGCTCTGGTGGCAAGTGTGAACAAACAAAGTGAACAGCAGCCAAGTTTTAATCTGTGTGTGGAGCACTAGGGAAATGTAGGTGTGGGCAGATTTTTGTGGTCTCAGCCTATCTGAGCAGGAGCCCTAGGGGCGGTGAAGAAGCCTTGGTGAGTCAGGAGACAGCAGGGCAAAAAGGACAAGCACACGTGCTCTGGAGTCACACAGACCCAAATTCTGAGCCCTTGGTCTGCCATTTACATACTTCATGATCACAGGCAAGTTCCCTACTTCTCTGAACCTCAGTTTTCACCTGTAGAAAATGGGAGTAATTCTCATTCTAGTAGGTGTTAAAAAAAATAAGAAATTTAAAATAATTAAAGTTTTAAAAAAAAGCAAAATAAAATGGCCATAATGGTTTCATCTCATTGGTTTATGCGGGTTAAATGAGGCAATGTCTACAGAGTGCTGGGCTGGCTCTCTTTTTTTAAGAGATAGAGTCTCACTCTGTCACCCAGGCTGGAGTGCAGTGGCGCAATCTCGGCTCACCGAAGCCTCGACCTCCCAGGCTCAAGCAATCCTCCCCTACTTCAGCCTCCTGAGTAGCTGGGACTATAGGCAGGCACTACCACGCCTGGCTAATTTTTGTATTTTTGGTAGCGAGGGGGTCTCGCCATGTTGCCCAAGCTGGCCAAATCTCTCATAAATTGGGAGTTGTTACTGAGGAGTCCATATGCCTCAATTTCCTTATCTCTAAAACAGAGATAACAGTAGGATTACCTGAGGGGGGATTAAATGAGATAATAAATGAAGAGTGGTTGACACACTGTGGGTAAATGTTAACTATTAACACTATCAACACCTTCCCTGTTTTGCTCAAGGTCAAAACCCGATAGTTCCCTCCTCTTCTTGCTTTCTCCCTGACCCTGTTCCATTTGCCAGGAAATGACCCTTCTTATCTTTTTGGACAGAAGAATGCACTCAGAAGAGAGCACGTGGGAGAGCAGGAGGAGATCCAGGGGTCTCTGTCCTTGCTGAGACCTGCGTCTCCCCTCCCACCGCACTCAGACCCAGGGCTTTCCACGAGCATCTCTCTTGGACAAAGCTCTGCCCAAGGGTTCATTTTAGAGACTTCTGTAACTCAAGAGGATCAGTATTAATCTTCCCCACCTACAAGATGAGTGGCAGCCCAAAGCCAAGTGCTTCCCAGCCAGGGAGAGAAAGACATGGAAGTTCCCTTCTTTTCTGTGTCTCTCCCCGCCTCCTTTTTGCGGGGGAGCTGAATGTGCTCCTCTGGAGGGACTGAGGGAAGCCAGGGCTGGCTCAAAAGTGATTTTGCCTAGATGAAGCTGGCAGCTGGGAACCACTTTCCCTCCGCTTGCCCTCTGCCGGGGAAACTCCATGACGGAGACAAGGCAGCTGGCAGGGAGAAGCCTCTGGATTGGGGCTGCTGGGGCTGCTGCAGTGCCAGGCAGGGCCACACAGGAACACATGGGCCCAGAGGCAGATGCTGATGCCACCTTTCCTTGCTGAGGACTCCCTAGAAAGGCAGTGCCTTGGAGCCTGCGGGGAAGACTATCTTTACCTGTAGCACAGAAGCAAATATAAAGGAACACAGAACTAGTGGAAAAGGTACGGGGTTGGGCTCTGAAGAATGGGGTCCCAGCCCTGGTGCTGCCACTCCACGGCCGTGTGATTTTTGGTCAAGGTGCTTAAGATCTTTCCCCAAATTCTAGTTTCCCTATTTGCAAAATGAATGTTGTAATACGTCCCTCATAGGAACTGTGCAGAGAATTAGTTGAAATGATGTATGGGAAGCTGGGACACGGGAGATGGCTAATAAATATTCATTTATTCCACAGAGGAATCGAAGAGAAAGGAAATCGCTGGATTTTGGAGGCTTTATGATTTATCAGCTTATTCTATGGAATTAAGCCCTGGGCATCATGCTATTTGTCAGGGGCCTGGTTCTAGCGAAGATATGTGTTTATCTTTCACTATGAGATCCCAAGAGTCTCCCGAAATATTCTGGGCCTCAGAACTGGTTTCTCTGGGTGGCAGAGTATCAGAACACAGGGCAGAAGGAACCTGTTCCTCAGAGATCCAATCGACATCTCCCTTAAGCCTTTTGCTGCCCTCCACGAACCCATCCTTTTGTGCTGCCAGCTCCATGTCCCCATTCCGGGGGAGGCCAGAATGACACATCTACATGTCACCCCGTAGTCTACAATGTCGGGAAGGAGCTGTGTCCCTGCTGGAATTGAAAAACATCCTTGAGGGCTGCAACTTTTACAGGGAAAGTTACCATGCCAACGACAGCCTCCTTGCCTGACAGGGATGAAAGGAAACAAGGCTGTGGGTGACATGCATCTATTGTGTGTCCACAAACTTGCCTGGAATCTATCAGGGACTGCGGACTGCTGCTCAGCAGGATGGAACAGGAGGATTCAGGTTAGATTTCAGTGGGACTCCGGGATGGGCAGGACTGATGAGGGCAGGGCAGGGCCAGCAAGCGAGGATTGGGAAATGCTTCTCTGAGATTGATACCCATCTCTTGGTGAAATGTGTGGGTGTGGTACTGACAGCAGGCGTGGGAGGGGACGGTGTCCTAGATACCAGTTTCTGGCTGTGATGGGAACCTCGACTTCCCCCAGGTTCTTTCTGCCTTCACAGGATGGTCTAGGAGGTTACCTATGCTCTGGGTTAGATAGAAGAGGGCATGGCAGGTCACTGGGGCAGTGGGGCCACAGGCATGCCTATGGAGAAGGCCCAGTCTTGGCGAGGAGGCCCCAAGATGCCTAAGGAGGAGCGTCTCCTTCAAGGGGCAGGGCTTCCAGGGAGAATGGCCCCCACTCCCGAACAGGGAAAGGGCACAGAGGACTGAGGAGCTGGCACTGCCGAAGCACCTACGCCACGTCAGGCACTTGACACAGCCCCCATTTCATTTAATTATCTCCACAAACCTGCACAGCAGGAACTCTCACTCCCATTTCACGGAGGAGATGAGGACACAGGCTCAGGAGAAGGTGAGTACCCGTCCCAGCATCACCCGGCTGGCAAGGGGAGACGCTGGGGCTGGAACCTCGCTGTCTGAACTGGAAAGGAAAACTCCACATTCAGGGTGCCCTATTTTCTTCTGGAAAGATCTCTCCCGAAGCCGTCCGCTCCTCATTCTGCCCTTCGTACAGGCTTCCCGGGCCTGAGACGGCTGGGAAGAGGCTAAAGGGGCACGACCAGCCGGCGTCTGGGAAACCGCTCCTGCAGCCTGCAACTGCGAGGGCCCGGGGCCGCCACGCGGGCCCCCCGGCAGCCTCTCGTTTCACCCCAGCCTCCGGAGAGGGCCCGAGGCTCAGAGACGAAGGCACTGCACCCAAGGCCACAGATCGTGCATGGCTTTGCTGGAATTCCCACCGGGCCCGCAGGCGTCGAGGCCGCGTAGAACCCCGGAGCCCCTGCGCCCCTGCGCCCCGCCCGCGGCTGCGAGGCTCGGTGCCCGCAGAGGCTCCGGCGGAAACGGCTCCATCCCGGGCGGGCTCCCGCCCCCGGCCCGCCCCCGTCCGCCCCGCGCCATGTATGGCGCTTCCTCCCCGAGCCCTACAAGGCGCTTCCTCCCGGCCCCAGGCCCATACAAGGCGCTTCCTTCCCGGCGCGGCTGGCTGGCGGCCCGCGGGCTGGGAGCCCGGTCCGCTGGGCCCGCCCAACCTCGGAGCCCGCGGCCAGCGGACCTGCTGCCAAGGAGGGGGCGGCAGCGGCGGGAGGGACGGGAACGCGGGGCCTGGCCCGGCGCGGGAGGCGCGGGACGGGCCGACTTGGGGGTCCCGCTGGTCCCCGCTGGTTTCGTATTTTGCCTCGCTTTTCTCCCCTAGCCCGGAGCACAGCACGCCCTGCCGGAGGTCTTTCAGCGGCCCCAGCCCGGGACCTCCAGCCACACGGGCCTCCGAGCCTCGCCGGCCGCTCTCCCCTGAGAGTTGACAAGTGGGTCTTCCCTGACATCTCTCTTCCTCCCCGCTTGCGCTTCTCGTACCTCCCTGGCTTCAGCCGAGCTGCCCCCTCCGCCTGGAATACCCTTCCCACACTATTCTGGCAGAAAGAACTGCTACGCATCCTTTACTTGGTTCAGACTTCTGGCCTCCTGGAAATCCTTCCCACCCCCACCCATAGGTCACCAGCCTCTGCTGAGCTGATTTAGGATCATAGGATCTTAACAAAGTGTCGTTATCTGAGTGATCCTGTTTCAGGCCTGCCGCAGTCCCTTTTCACCTTGGACAGTCATTTTTGACTTTAGGTCTGGTCCCCAACGTCTCCACCTGCTATGGCTCCCCGTGGTCTGAGGCTCATGACCCCACAACCCTACTTGAGTAGTTTGACTCTGCAGGAGAAAGCTGGAGGGGTAGGGTGAGGGGAGCCACAGCTGGGGCAAGTGTACACCTGGAGTGAGTTGGGGCTGAGCACTGCCCCTGGGTGCCCCCATCACCCAGAAGGGCCTCTCCTGCTCAGCCTGACAGCTCTGGTTTATCCACCACTGAAAGAACCAGCAAGCCCCTACAGGCCCTCCCGACAGCGCCTCCAGAAACAAACCTGGCCCAGCCATGTGGTTACCCTGATCTGATCTGCCATGAGAAAGGTCACAAACAGGGACTGGATCTCAGCACAGAGGGCTGCCAGCAACAGTTCCCGAGCCCCCTCCCCCCATGTTCCAGCAGGACAGCTGTCACAAAGTCCAGCTTTCTGCTGGGGAGGAGACAAGCAAGTCCCCATGTGGCCAGCTAGACCCGCCTGTGAGCCTGTGATTGTTCTGCCACAGGTAAGGCAGGGAAAGAAAAGCTCAGAGCTTGGGGCTGAGTGGGTGAATATGTCAGAGAAGGGCCTTTTAGGGCCAAGCAGCCTCTGGGCTTGATCCAGAATAAAATCACTCACAGGCTTCCAGGCGCAACACACACACACACACACACACACACACACACACACACACACAGTGGCTTCCAGGCGCAACACACACACACACACACACACACACACACACACACACACACACACACAGTGGCTGCAAATCCAAAATTTAAGGAGCCTTGTGGGTCTCCACAGCCCCAGGTTGGCTGAATGCCTGTGAATAGGGTGCATGGAGAGAATCTCAAAGGTCCAGGAGGTAGGTTTGGGAAAAAACTGGGTCTCAGAATCTGGGCTGCACACTTAGAGCCTAGGATACCTCTTGGCTTGTTTTCCCACTTAGGGCTGCAGGCCCCCAGCAGCCTTCTCTGTAGATCTATGCTCTAGGATTGTGGGTAATGCAGTCCACAGAGGCCAGGCTCCTAGTGATGCTGCTTCCTGCCCTCTCCTCCCCTCCTCTCAGGCCCCTGACAGCCACCCGCCTTCCTGCTCCAGGAGGAGGGCAAGTCAGAGTGAGGAGGTGGGCTCCTTGCAGGGATGGGAGATCCCAGGCTGGAAACCAGTGAGCTATTTATGATTGAGCTTAGCCAAGGGGCAAGGTGTGAGGGGAGCTCCTGTAGGCTGCTACAGAATTTGCAGGAACCCCAGGCCTCTGCTTGGGTAGGGCTTTTATTCTCTTCTGTGTGCAGGGTCCTTGATTCTTTTTTTTTTGAGACGGAGTCTCACTGTGTCACCCAGGCTGGAGTGCAGTGGTCTGATCTTGGCTCACTGCAACCTCCGCCTCCCGGTTTCAAGCAATTCTCCTGCCTCAGCCTCCCGAGTAGCTGGGATTACAGGAATGCGCCACCATGTCCGGCTAATTTTTTTGTATTTTTAGTAGAGAAGGGGTTTCACCATATTGGCCAGGCTGCTCTTGAACTCCTGACCTTGCGATCCTCCCGCCTCGGCTTCCCAAAGTGCTGGGATTACAGGCGCGAGCCACTGCGCCCGTGTGGGGGCCTTGATTCTTTGAAAGCCCTATGAAACAGTAAGGGTCCTGGGCTATTCCCTGCCTTAAGAGAGGACCTATGCTCTAGTGGTCCTGGGGCTGGCTTTCGGGCCTGTTAGGAATACTGGAGCCTGGGATTGATAATCTTTCAACAACTGCCAATGTGACACCCAATAATACCACAGCCGCCTGTTATTTCCTGCATTTTTTTCTCATTGTTTTCCTGTGCTTGCTTCCTCCACAAAATGAGATTTCCAGACAGAAACCAAACCTTCTCAAGCTGGGCGCGGTGGCTCACGCCTGTAATCCCAGCACTTTGGGAGGCCGAGGCGGGCGGATCACAAGGTCAGAAGATCGAGACCATCCTGGCTAACACGGTGAAACCCTGTCTCTAAAAAAAATACAAAAATTAGCCTGGGTGACAGAGCAAGACTCCGTCTAAAAAAGAAACAAGAAACCAAACCTTCTCTTGCCAGTGGATTGGGTGCCACTTTTGTCTCCCGGCCCCACAAAACCCTCTGTGCTTTTAACCACCAAACCAGGGCTTTTTTTTTTTCTTTTTTCTTTTTTTTTGAGATGGAGTTTCGCTCTTGTTGCCCAGGCTGGAGTGCCGTGGCGCCATCTTGGCTCACTGCAACCTCCGCCTCCTGGGTTCAACAATTCACCTGCCTCAGCCTCCCAAGTAGCTGGGATTACAGGCGTCCGCTACCACCCCCGGCTAATTTTTAAATTTTTTTTAGTAGAGATGGGGTTTCACCATGTTGGCCAGGCTGGTCTAGAACTCCTGACCTCAGGTGATCTTCCCACCTCGGCCTCTCAAAGTGCTGGGATTACAGGCGTGAGCCACGGCACCCGGCCCATGGCATTTTTTCTTTGGCTGGGTTTGCCACTAGATTGAGCGCTCTTTATTGACACGGACTGTGTCTGCCTTGTTGACTACAGGTCCTCAAAAAACGTCATTTTATTCAGTTCAACGTCCTTTCCTTATAACATTGATGAGAAAAAAAATCAGTTTTCAGCTGGAGTTGTTTGGGTGGAGTTGGTACGTTCTCCCCGTGTCTGCATGGGCTTTCTCTGGGAACTCTGGTCTCCTTACACATCTCAAAGATGTACTCATTAGATGAATCAGCATGTCTAAATGGTCGCTGGATGAATGAGTGTGGGTGTGTTTGTGAGTGTGCCCTGCCGTGGAATGGCATCTTGTCTAGGGTTGGTGTTTTCCTTGTGCCCTGAAAGCTACTGGGATGGGCTCCTGCCACCTGAGACCCGCAACTGGAAGAAGTGGGGTGGAAAATGAATGAATGAATACAAATTATTGTCAAATAAAAATCTGTAAATATCCAATAATCATATGGTGCACAATGACAAACAATGCCATATGAAAGTGCTCAGCAAGCCTTCCATATTTGTGATTGTTTTTGAACTCAGGCAGGTGAAGCAGTAGGAGGTGCTCCTTGCAATTTTTGTTTTGCAAACATTTATTTCTTCATGTAACCCACCACCACAACATCCCTGATTCACCAAAAATTGAGTAAATAATCCTTGTTTTGTTTTTTTTTTTTGAGACAGTTTCGCTCTTGTTGCCCAGGCTGGAGTGCAATGGAGTGATCTTGGCTCACCACAACCTACGCCTCCCAGGTTCAAGCAATTCTCCTGCCTCAGCCTCCCGAATAGCTGGGATTACAGGCATGCGCCACCATGCCCAGCTAATTTTGTATTTTTAGTAGAGACGGGGTTTCTCCATGTTGGCCAGGCTGGTCTCGAACTCCCGACCTCAGGTGATCCACCCGCCTCGGCCTCCCAAAGTGCTGGGATTACAGGCATAAGCCACCACGCCTGGCCAATCCTTGTTCTTATGAATCTTTCTTAAATGTGTATATAGCTAACATTTTATTTATTTATTTATTTATTTTTTGAGATGGAGTCTTGCTCTGTCACCCAGGCTGGAGTGCAGTGGCACGATCTCGGCTCACTGCAAGCTCCGCCTCCTGGGTTCATGCCATTCTCCTGCCTCAGCCTCTGGAGTAGCTGGGACTACAGGTGCCTGCCACCACGCCTGGCTAATTTTTTGTATTTTTAGTAGAGACGGGGTTTCACCATGTTGGGCAGAATGGTCTCGATCTCTTGACCTTGTGATCTGCCCGCCTCGGCCTCCCCAAGTGCTTGGATTACAGGCATGAGCCACTGCACCCGGCCAGCTCACATTTATTTCATTTTGAGACAGTCTTGCTCTGTCACCCAGGCTGGAGTGCAGGTGTGGTCTCAGCTCACTGCAACTTCCACCTCCAGGTTCAAGAGATTCTCCTGCCTCAGCTTCTGGGATTATAGCTGTGTGCCACCACGCCTGGCTAATTTTTGTATTTTTGTAGAGAAGGGGCTTCGCCATGTTGGCCAGGCTGGTCTCGAACTCCTGACCTCAAGCAATCTGCCTGCCTCAGCCTCCCAAAGTGCTGGGATTACAGGCACAAGCCACTGCACCCAGCTTCACTTTAATGTTTAATATTAGAAGTTGGTGGGGCATGGTGGTTCATGCCTGTAATCCTGGTGTTTTGCAGGGCCAAGGCAGGAGGATCACTTGAGACCAGGAGTTCAAAACCAGTCTGGGCAACAGTGAGACCCCAACTCTATTAAAAATTAAAAAAAAATTAGCTGGGCATGGTGGCACACACCTATAGTACAGGCTACTCAGGAGGCTGAGGTGGGAGGTTTGCTTGAGCCCAGTAGGTAGAGTATGCAGTGAGCCATGATCCTGTCACTGTATGCCAGCCTGGGCAACAGAAAGAGACTCTGTCTCAAAAAAAGATCAAACAAATAAACATACTACAACGTAACATAAATCAAAACAATGTGGTACTGGTATAATAAAGTTAGAAATACAAACCTATATATCTATATCAGTTGTATATGGGATTATTATACCATACCCAGTTGGCCATAGGTATATGGGATTATTTCTGAGTTCAGAAGTAATTCAGAGAGTTCAGAGTTCAGAAATAATCCCATATACCTATGGTCAACTGATTTTCTCCAAGGGAGCAAAGAGCATTAAATGGGGGAAATAATAGTTTCATCAACAAAATGGTGCTTGCACAACTTTTTTTTTTTTTTTTTTTTTTTTTTTTTTTTTTGAGACAGGGTCTTGCTCTGTCACTCAGGCTGGAGTGCAGTGGCAGCACCATGGCTCACTGCAGCCTTGACTTCCGAAGCTTAAGTGATCTTCCCACGACAGCCTCCCCAGTAGCTGGGACCACAGGTGAGTGCCACCACATCCAGCTAACTTTTTTGTAGAGATGGGGTCTCCCTATGTTGTCCAGGCTGGTCTTGAACTCCTGGGCTCAAGTGATCCTTTTGCCTTGGGCTCTCAATGTGTTGGGATTACAGGTGTGAGCCACAATGCCCAACCCCACAACAACTAGATACTCACATGCAAAAGTATGATGTCAGACCCCTGACCTCATACCATATGCAAAAACTAACTCAAAATGGGCCAGTGACACATAATAGATAGGGTCTTGCTCTGTCATCCATGCTGGAGTGAGATGGCACAGTCATAGCTTATTGCAACCTCAAACTCATGGGCTCAAACAATCCTCCTGCTTCAGCCTCCCAAGCAGCTATGACTACAGGTGTGCACCACCACACCCAGCTAATTTTTAAATTTTTTGTAGAGTTGAGGTCTTGCTATGTTGCCCAGGCTGGCCTTGAACTCCTGGCTTCAAACCATCTTCCTGCCTTGGCCTATCAATGTGCTGGGATTATAGGCAGAAGCCACTGTGCCTGGGCTAAAACTCTAAGAGAAGAAAACATGGGTAAATCATGACCTTGGATTTGGCAAACAACAGATATGGCAACAACAGAAAAACAGATAAATTGAACTTCACCAAAATTAGTTTTGTGCATCAGAAGACATTATCAAGAAAGTGAAAATACTTGCAAATAATATATCTAATAAGGGTTTGGTATCTAGAGTATAAAGAACTGTTATAACTCAACAAGATAAACCAATTCAAGATGGGCGAAGGAGTTGAATAGACATTTCTCCAAAGATATACAGTATCAACCCACGAGAAACAAAAAACATATATTCACACAAAGACTAGTATGTGAATGTTCATAGCAGCATTATTCAAACAGCTAAAAACTGGACACCGTCCAAATATCCACCAGTGGAAGAGATAAACAAAATGCGGTATATTCATACAATGGAATACTACTTTTGTGCTGTTTTACCCACAACACTTCTGACACCAAATGTGTGGAGTTTTGTTCCCACATCAACCTATTCTCCAACTCTCCAGACACAACTTGGTGTCCTACAATTCAACTCAATTCTGACACTAATACCCTAAGTTAACAGACCCCACAGATTAAGGGTTCAGTTCCATAAGACTGCCCCAATATTAGATGCCAGTCACAAGTTACCACCTGTACTTCTGACTAACTGGCTGTAAGGGGTTCCCATGACCCCCTCTTCAAGTTTGATAATTTGCTAGAACAGCTCACAGAACTCAGGAAAAATCTACACATTATGGTAGGTTATTATAAAGGATACAACTCAACAGAACAGATGCATAGGGCAAGGTATGGGTGCAGAGCTTTCATCCCCTCTCTGGGCATGCTACCCTCCCAGCACTTCAATGTGTTCACCAACCTGGAAGCTTCCTGAACCCCATCATTTAGGGGGTTTTATGGAGGTCTCATTATATAGGGATGATTGATAAAATCATTGGCCATCAGTGATTAAGTCAACCTCCAGCCCCTTTCCGCTCTCTGGAGGTGGGAGGCAGGTGCTGAAAGCTGCACTTTTTTTTTTTTTTTTTTTTTTTTTTTTTTGGAGACAGGTCTAGCTCTGTTGCCCAGGCTGGAATGCAGTGGAGTGATCTTGGCTCACTGCAGCTTCTGCCTCCCAGGTTCAAGCGATTCTCCTGCCTCAGCCTCCTGAGTAGCTGGGATTACAGGCATATGCCACCAGGCCCAGCTAATGTTTTTTTGTATTTTTAGTAGAGACAGGATTTCACCATGTTAGTCAGGCTGGTCTTGAACTCCTAACCTCAAATGATCTGCCCGCCTTGGCCTCCCAAAGTGCTGGGATTACAGGCATGAGGCACCGCGCCTGGCCCAAAAGCTCTACTCTCTAATCACGTTTTGGTCGTTCTGGTGACCAGTCCCCATCCTGAAGCTACCTAGGGGCCCCCAGTCATCAGTAATCATATTAGCATAGAAAAGACACTCTCATCACTCTGGAGATTCCATGGGTTTTAGGAGCTGCATGCCAGGAAAGGAGTGGAGCAAAGACCTGTATATGTATTTCTTATTGTATCATACTACTCAACAATAAAAATGAACATGCAACAGGCTGGGCATGGTGACTCACACCTGTAATCCTAGCACTGGGAGGCTGAGGCGGGAGGATCACTTAGAGCTAGGAGTTCAAGACCACCCTGAGCAACATAAGGAGACCCCATCTCTATAAAAAATATATATATATACAAAAAATAGCCTGACATGGTGGTGTAATCCCAGCTACTTGGGAGGCTGAGGCGAGAGAATCACTTGAGCTCAGGAGATCAAGGCTGCAGTGAGCTGTTATTGAGCCACTGCACTCCAGCCTAGGTGACAGAGTGAGACTCCATCTCAAAAAAAAAAAAAAGAAAGAAAGATAGGATAGATGTATCTCAAAAATTTATCTAAATGAAAGAAGCTTCACATAAAAGACTACATGTTGTGCTTTTCCATTAATATAAAAATTTCTAGGAAGGCCAGAACTGTAGAGGTAGAAAGCAGATCAGTAGCAGCTGGGCGTGGTGGCTAATGCCTATAATCCCAGCACTTTGGGAGGCCAAGGTGGGCAGATAACATGAGGCCAGGAGTTTGAGACCAGCCTGGCCAACATGGTGAAACCTCGTCTCTACTAAAAATAGCAAAATTAGCTGGGCGTGGTGGCAGGCACCTATAGTCCTAGTTACTCAGGAGGCTGAGGCATAAGAATTGCTTGAACCCGGGAGGCGGAGGTTTCAGTGAGCTGAGATCGCGCCACTGCACTCCAGCCTGGGCGACAGAGCAAGGCTCTGTCTCCAAAAATAAAAAATAAAAAAAAAACAAAGCAAGTAGATTGATCAGTAGTTGCCCAGGGTTGGATGTGGGAACAGAGATTGACTGCAAAAGAGCACAAATAATCTTTTTGGGATGCTGAACATTAAGTTGTGAGTTGTGGGATGTTTACATAACTATACAAATTTACTTTTTTTTTTTTTTTTTTGAGACAGAGTCTCACTGTCACCCAGGCTGGAGTGCAGTGGTGGGATCTTGGCTCACTGCAGCCTCCACCTTCCGGGATCAAGATATTAGAGGCCAGGCGTGTAGGCCTGGCCTACACACATTTACTTTTAAAAATAAATAGCCAAACTATACCTACAGTGGGTTAATTTTATAGTTTGTAAATTATACCTCAATAAAGCTGTTAATAAACAAACCACAGAAATGACAGCAGGATGAAAAAACCAGTGTCCTAGCCGGGCACGGTGGCTCACACCTGTAATCTCAGCACTTTAGGAGTCCAAGGCGGGCGGATCACGAGGTCAGGAGATCGAGACCATTCTGGCCAACATGGTGAAACCCTGTCTCTACTAAAAATACAAAAATTAGCCAGGTGTGATGGCGCACGCCTGTAGTCCCAGATACTCGGGAGGCTGAGGCAGGAGAATCACTTGAACCCAGGAGGTGGAGGTTGCAGTGAGCCGAGGGCACGCCACTGCACTCCAGCCTGGCAACACAGAGAGACTCTGTCTCAAAAAAAAAAAAAAAAAAAAAAAAAAAAAAAAAAAAAAAGAAAGAAAGAAAAAGAAAAAAGAAAAGAAAAGAAAAGAAAAGAAAAAACAGTGTCCTGAAATCTGAATGTCTTCCTGGCCTTTGGATCCAGTCAGGACTGATCCACGTGCCTCTCCAAACTCACCCTCTCATCTCTCCAGCTAACCCAGGTCCCCACATAGACCTAGCACCCCCAGAGGAGGAAGGAGCCACCCTGCACTCCCCTTGTCCTTTAACACTCATTGTCATTCCTTGTTCAGAGTCTCCACTGCTGGACCTTCAACACCGAAGGGCAGGGTGTGCACCTGCACTGTTTGCCACTGAATCTTGCACGGGACCTAGTACACGGGACATGTCTAAATGCTTGCTGAGTCAAGGAATGAGACTGGCTTAACCCAAGTCTCATTTAAGGAATAGAGGTGGCCGTGGAGTGCGTCTGTGGAGAAGGCTGGAGGAGACTGGGGTAGAACTCCTTCCATGTTACCTTTCAGAATCAGAGCCCGACAGGGGTGCAAGGGAGGGCCTCTAGCCCTGAGCACAGAAATTCGTCTTTATCTGGAGGAGCAACTCTCTCCCAGGCAACATCCTGCCTTATTACAAAGAGTCCCCCTCTGCAGGCCCTCCAGGCCCACCCCAGCTGGCTCATGTTGCCTTTCCCCACCAGAGAGCCTAGGCTGGGCATGTCTTTGGGTCTGGACAGTAATACAACATGGGGCAGAGGGTCCTGGCATCATCAAGCCCTGATTTCTCCTCATGCCTTCTCCCAGGAATCGGAATATCTCTGCATCTTTGCCTCTCAGAAGATCCTTGCCATTCCTGCTCGGAGCCTTTCTCTCAAGTTTCCACCCTCCTTCCTTATTCTCCTGGCTTCCTTGGAAATGGGTTTGCCCTCTAGCTTTGAGTGGGGATGGACAGGCAAGCAGAAGGGGCTAAGCCTAGGTATAGTATCTCAGCAGAGTGGGAGGAGCTGGAAGTCTGTGGCAGTCAGGGAGAGCTAGATGGGGCTAATTTGGAAGGCCGGGGGCTGAAGAAGCAAGTTGATCCACACACCCAAGCCAACCTTGACTCACAGGGAAGTGACTTCAAACAGCTTTCATAACTCCATCTGGATGTTGGCCACCTTTCCTCTCCTAGCTCTTTGGTTTCAGGCCACGTGCTCCCTCCAATTGTCCCTTCTCTCATTTATAACATTAGAGAGAACAGGGCCTGGATGAAGAATAACAAGATCATCCGGCTGTTAAGAGCACCGAATCTGGAGTTGGAGCAAGTGTTCATGTTGGCTCTGCTAATTTGCTGCATGAGCCTGACAGGTCACTATATTCCTCTCTGGCCTCAGCTTTCTTCTGTCTTTAGTGAGGGGATTGGAATAGGTAAGGTGCAAGACCCTTTCTAGTGCTAAAATTAAGGGGCCCGGCACAGTGGCACACACCTGGAATTCCAACACTTTGGGAGACAGAGGCGGGCCAATCACTTGAGCTCAGGAATTCAAGACCAGCCTGGGGAGGCTGGGCACAGTGGCTCACGCTTGTAATCCCAGCACTTTGGGAGGCTGAGGCGGGCGGATCACAAGGTCGGGAGATCAACACCATCCTGGCTAACACGGCGAAACCCTGCCTCTACTAAAAAAACAAAAACAAAAAATTAGCCGGGCGTGGTGGCTGGCGTCTGTGGTCCCAGCTACTCAGGAGGCTGAGGCAGGAGAATGGCATGAACCTGGGAGGCAGAGCTTGCAGTGAGCCGAGATCGCACCCCTGCACTCCAGTCTGGGTGACAGAGCAAGACTCCATCTCAAAAAAAAAAAAACACCCAGGCTGGGCAACATGGCGAAACCTCATCTCTACAAAAACAACAAAAAACCAAAAATTAGCCAGGTGTGGTGGTGTGTGCCTGCAGTCCCAGCTACTCGGGAGGCTGAGGTGGGAGGATCGCTTGATCCTGGGAGGTTGAGGCTGTAGTGAGCCAAGACTGCACCACTGCATTCCAGCTTGGGTGACAGAGTAAGACCCTGTCTCAAAAAAAAAAAAAAAAATTAGGTGCTAAAATTATAATTCCTTAAGAAGTCTAAGTATTGGGTATTGTGGAGAAAAGCTATATAAAGGTATGGCTGTAGACTAAGGACTAGAGTCGAATGAGACTCTTTCTGAGAGTCCTTTCTGAGAATGGGCTTGACATTCCCAGGTACAGCTTTGCCTTCTTCTCATCACTTCCAGGATTGCTCACCTACTTGGGGCCAAGGGCCCCCCAGGAAGCCCTTCTTCATGCTGTTTTATTTCACTCTGTAGGGATGACCTGCATTTGCACTGGCTTTGGAACCAAACAGACCTGACTTTGAGTCCCAGATTTTGCCACTTAGTAGAACGTGGATGGGAAGATATAAACAGCATCTCCCTCACTACGTTTTTCTAAGGATTACATAACTGTTCAACAAATGTCAGTGACTATAGTTACTTCACAGACGGATAGCTCAAAGCCCAGAATAAGGAGTAAGAAAACTGGGCAGAGCTGGATTGAGACTCCTGGGATCTCCTCTCCGTTCACTCATCCCTACTCCTTTGTTAAACTGCCCTCTCCACTTTCCTAAAATTTAAGGGCAAAGCAAGTTGTCCCAGGCACCTCTTAATGCTTGTCAGAAATCCCCCCTACTTCAGATGAAGCAAATTTCTTCCAGTCAGCATCCTTAACTCTATACCACCACCTTGTGGTCACCAGCACAAACTTTCCCTGGCCACTTCCAGAGGACCAAGGTTGGGAGAGGAAGAACCATGAGTAGCTGCCATCCCAGTCCTTGCTAAGTGCCTTCATGTGCCTTACTCCATTTAATCCTTATTACAGGTGGTGAAACTGCTACTCAAAGACATGGAATAATTTGCCAGCCTCTCAGGTGGCGCCAGGATTTCTACCTCAGACCTCAGAGATCCTGCTTCCTACTGCACTCTCCTGATAGCTTCCTGGGAAGCTGGCTGGCACGGCACTTCAGATTCAGGGACTGCCTGATACTGTGAAGTCACAAACCCAGTTAACTGCAGAGCCAGAGCCTTTTTTTCTTTTTTTCGAGACAGTCTCTCTGTCGCCCAGGCTGGAGTGCAGTGGTGCCATCTCGTCTCACTGCAACCTCTGCCTCCCAGGTTCAAGCAATTCTTGTGCCTCAGCCTCCTGAGTAGCTGGGATTACAGGCGCCCACCACCTGTTCGGCTAGTTTTTGTAATTTCAGTAGAGACGGGGTTTCACCATGTTGGTCAGGCTGGTCTTGAACTCCTGACCTCGGGTGATCCACCTGCCTTGGCCTCCTGAAGTGTTGGGTTTACAGGCGTGAGCCATGGTGCCCAGCAGAACCAGAGCTTTTCTTGACTCCCTTGTTTGGTTCTGGGCTCTTAGCTAAGCCCCAGGTAAGCCTGCCAGTTTCAGGGAAGGACTCCTGGAGATGGCTGTATCTGAAACAGAATTCACCAGACAGGGTTTTAGACTTGATTTACAGAGAACCCTTTAGGTGGTGAATTGTTTTCACCTGTTATTTCTAGTGCCTGCTATTCAGCCACATCCTCAGCAACTTGCAGCACCCAAACTGCCACAAAACAAGCAAGTAACTGTGCCCTGCTTCCCTAGCTCTAATCGGATGCTCCCACACCACTTGGCTGTTCAGTTCCTAGGTCCCCTGAGACCCAGTCCCATCAGGGCTGGACTTGGCAGGCAGGAATCCCCTGGCATTCACTCAAGCTGGCAACAAAGGAGAAGCTGGCATGAAACTTAAATTCCACCTTGGCTCTCAGCCCTAAATCCACCGTGCCTGTCTGGGAGTGTCATGGCATGCGTCTTGGAGCCAGAGAACAAAAGATGGCAAGTGCTGCAGGCCCAGACAGGCAAGGACCACAGCCCATATATCCTGCACCACTGTGCTGCCTTCCAACAATTTTGTCTTCAAGAACAGCACCTAGACACGCATTAGGAGGGAAAATTACACTTCCACCAGCACAGGCATGTTCGCCCCTTCCCAGCTGGTAATTGAGTTTCGTCGTCAGAGCTATCACCTAGATCAGGTAAGAAAATGGGTGAAAAGTACGCCAAGTGCCATTACTGGTCAATTTTACTTAAAACAGTTTTCTCAAACCTGGAGAAAGCAAACCATGCACCACCTTGGCTCCTCAACTAGGCTTCCTAAACTACCAAAGAGGCTCTTTAAGCACCTCAACCTTGGGGGAAAACAAAGAAAACAAATCCTCTTCTGCTCTGAACCTGGCCTAGGAGCCCTGCTCCTCTGGACCAGCCCCTGACCTGCTTTTGGGTGGGCTACTACTCTCCTACCCAGTGTAAGGTATGTAAGATGAAGGAGCGTGGGAGAGAGAGAGGGCCCAGGCCTAGTTTCTGCTATTCCATCTGGACCATTCTATTATAGGACTCAAAGACAGATACAGAGAGAACTTTGGAATAAGGCCTGGGATAAAATTTTGGTGTTATCACTAAAGAGCTGCTACTTAACCTTCTTTTGTTCTGTTTCATCACCTGTAAAATTGGGTACACCATCTACCTCCATGGGATGCTGGGTTATGGGATAATATACTTAACATACCTTAAAAAAAAAAAAAAGCAAGATTCCCTTTGGCATGCATATAGAATGGGGGAGAATACAAATTAGTTTGGCCCCAGCAACCTGAACCTTCTTCTTCTAGCATAACTCTGGGATCATGACCTCAGAAAAACTTTGCATATACCTTTCCATAGACAAATGTAGTAAACACAACTCAAACCCAAGGCTGAAATGCTATTGGCCGTGACTAATCTGAGGTATGCCTTGGAGAACTGTCTCCACAGTTCAGGCCTTTCTAGACCAGTCCTAAAAAATCTCAAGCACACAAAGTATATTCTTAAATATGGTTTAATACTCTTCTCCATTTCTGTACATCACAACACCAAGATTTTGCTGCTTAGTATCTCTCTGCAGAGGCTATAGAGAATGCAAAGGCTACGGTTTTCACCCCCTCTTATATGTGTTTGTATGTGTAAGTGTAATACATATCAATATATATTGATACACACATCAATATATAATGCAATATATATCACCGAAGAGAACACATTGATTAAAGAAATACAAAAATTTGGCATCATTTCCAAACTTAAATAGTAAAAATAAAAACTACAAAAGGAGCTGCATACCCTAAATGTATCATGTGAAACAACAAGCATATTCAAAAATGTAAATTTACATCCAATTTCTCTGGTCTTGTCATATCACATCAGACCCATTTACAATGGCAAAACCCTAAGGTACTGCTGTGAAGAGAGCATGTTTGCTCGCTCTTGGGTGTTCTGCAAACAAATAGCAGAGCCCAAAGCAAAAAAGCCTGTTCCGGTGAAGTCTCCCACGTTGGTGAACACCAAATAATGGACTCTTCTCACAGGGGGTTGAGACATCAGGTTACACATTGACAGACAGTATTTGGACCTCAGAGTACAGTGTGAGAACCAGAAACTTTACATTTAAGACATACTCCCTTCATTCAAGTGAAACAGGATTATTGGAACGATAGGCAGGTCTGTAACCTGGGAACAAGGAGCTGGTTCAGACCAATAAAGCTACGAGTGACTGAATCAAGTCAGTAAAGAACAGCAGTCAGGCACTAAAGTGTTAAAAGTACCCAATTTGAAAACCAAATGCACCCCACTACCCTAGTCAGTGTGGAGGTGATACCAATTGACTTTTAAAACCTTTGGTCCTTCAAAGTCCATTTGGTATACTTTTTTCCATCGCTACCACTGGGCACGTACTATACACTTTGTTCAACTGTCACCACCCTGGGCACGCCATGACCTTGCATATCAGCTGGGTTCAAGTCTGACTTACAGCCCAGCTGTGAAGCATAAGCTTCAGGGTTTCAGGCCAACTTTTGGATCCAACATGGTCTTAAATCCATGGTGCCAGAAGCTGTGTCCCATCCCTTCCCACCCGCCCCTAATTTCTCATGTGAGAAGTGCTTGTAAGTCCCACATTTGAAACAGATGCTCCAACCCCACCAGGAGGTCAGGAGTTTATAATTACATGCAGTCATACATGTCTGTCGTTCCTGTGAAAAACCTTGCAGTTCATTTTAATAAATCAAAACATTCACATAATCTCATGCCATCCAACACAAGGAAAACACATCCACCTCCCTTTTAACAAGGATTGACCCAAGCAAAATAAAATCCTCTTTAAATTTCTTCGCTTCCACTTAAATTGCATGTTTTATTTCTCCCAATCCCAGCAATAGCACAGAAGCCCCATCATATCCATCCCAAACCGGTTTCGAGTAGGTTAAGGTTATAGGGACCCTTGTCAGAACATTGATACAAAGGGCTCCCAAACGCCGGGCACAAATGTGTCTGCAAACAGATGGAAGTAAACAGTGCACTGGCCCAAATGCTTCATGAGTCAGTTTGATTTTGCAATGCAATTTGCATCCTTGAAACTGCCAGTCTGGAGGGGGACGGGGTAGCGTGAGGGAGTGAAGTTGAAAGTGCCTCCTATTAGCTCACCCTTTCAACATTAAACAGAGACCAAGAGAGAAATGGTTCCAACATTTCACCACATATATTTCTTCTTACGCAGTCTAAGCTGAGAATGCCATGTAAATGGGTCACTGCGAAATGCAGCAATTTAATTTTTCTCCAATCAAAATAAGAAACAAACCAGTATGATCTCACTTCTATTAACTTTTGAAGGTTTACAGCAGTTAAAGTATTTTTGCTTCTATGTATGAAGGTTAAAAAAATCATTTTTTTTCATAAAATACAAGAGCAACCAATTTCACCATCCAGTAAAAGTAAAAACTGGGATTCTTTTTTAAATTAGTCCAAAGTGGCGTTTAGGAACTTAGTTGTAGGCTGCTGCGCTGACACCATGACAAACCAAAGTGTAGGGCTGGGTCTGGTTTTGTTTCGGTTTTCTTTTCAATATCCAATGCTCATGGATTAAGTTCTGGAAATGTTCCAATTGTAAGGCAGGGATCTGTTTGGATTCCACCATGGGTATGCTCCTTGGGTTGGATGCTGGAGGGTGAGGCACGTTTTGCCGGACCCATGTCGACTACCTAGTAGTCATCAAGGTCAAAAAATTCATCGTCTCCTCCTTGGTATTCCATTCCCTGGAAATCTACTCGGTACCGCAAGATACCTGGGGAAACAAACCAAAAGGTAAATTACCTGTGTTCATGGGATGGGCATGTGTGTAGGTGGCTGGTAAGGGAATAAGGGAAGCCCTATTCTCTTGCAGAATTGCAGAAAGCAAAGAGGTAATAATAAACATGGGTCCAAATTAGGAACCTGCACCTGCTGCGTCAATCACCTATCCCAGCAGATAATAAGCACCTCACCGGAAGCAGGGCTAGGGCTAGCCAGGAGGGACCTTGACCTGAGACCCTGGTTTTAAGTTTGGTTTGCTGATTTGCTACTCACCTCCAATTCCACCAAATCCTTTCACAAACTGAGACCCTTCTTGTGATTTATCTGTGACAATTTCCAACGTAGCTCCAAATTTTTTATAGTTGTTAGCAAACCATTCCAACAGGGGCATGCTCTCGATAAGCTCATGTTCCTGTCCGGTCTACAGGGATGACCATGAGATACAAAAATGGGGGATTAGGATATATGAAGGCTAATTAGTCCCTCTCACAGCCCCTTGCCCACCTATCACTCTCATCCTCCCATTTATAGGCATGTCTGTGTGTAAAGCTCTGTAAGTCATCTCTGGTTTTGATAACCTAATGGATATCAGCAGAGAAATTCGGATTATTTCAAACAACACTTCTCCTCAGGCTCTACCCTCAGCTATGAAATACCAACACAAAAACTCAGTGGGTATTCAGCTTATGATTCCTACTGTTGACTCTAGAAGTCAGGCTGTTGTAGTGTCTCTAAGCAGCACCCATTCAATGGCTCAGAAGAGACATTCCAGGACTGCTTTTGGGAGTGGCCTCGTAGAGAACAAAGCTCTCCAAACCAGAATTTGAGGAAGCTATCATTTAAACCTATCTCATACGGGAGGGTCATACTTTCAACTGTTGTGATGCACTTAGAGCAAACCAGAGAAGCCACTGCAGTGGAAGAGCTGATCAAGTGAAGAAAGCAGCACAGGTTTCACAGTGCAGGAGAGGCATTATGTAAATTACATTTTCCTCCCTATTAAATTTCAAGGATAATGAAATGTTTTCCTGATTGCTTAACTACTTAAAAACAAAGACAAAAACAAACAAACAAACAAAAACCAGGCCAGGCATGGTGGGTCACGTCTGTAATCTCACCACTCTGGAAAACCAATGTAGGAGGATCACTTGGGCCCAGGAGTTCAAGACCAGCCTGGTGAACACAGCAAGACCCCATTTCTATAAAAAAAATTAGGCTGCCTGGCATGGTGGCTCACGCCTGTAATCCCAGCATTTTGGGAGGCTAAGGCAGGTGGATCACCTGAGGTCAGGAGTTCGAGACCAGCCTGGCCAACATGATGAAACCCAGTCTCTACTAAAAATACAAAAATTAGTCAGGCGTGGTGGCGGGCGCCTGTAGTCCCATCTACTCGGGAGGCTGAGGCAGGAGAATTGCTTGAACTCGGGAGGTGGAGGTTGCAGTGAGCCGAGATCACACCACTGCACTCCAGCCTGGGTGACAAGAGCAAACTCCACCTCAAAAAAAAAAAAAAAAAAAAAAGGGAATGAGGGCTTGTGCCTGTACTCCTGGCTACTCAGTAGACTGAGGCAGAAGGATTGCCTGAGCCCAGGGGTTCGAGGTTATAGTGAGCTATGATTGTGCCACTGAATCCAGCCTGGGTGACAGACCAGGACCCTATCTCAAAGAAAAAAAAAAAAAGACCGGTCATGGTGGCTCACACCTGTAATCCCACCACTTGGGAGGCCGAGGTAAGTGGATTGCTTGAGCTCAGGAGTTTGAGACCAGCCCAGGGCAACATGGTGAAAACGCCTCTCTACAAAAAATTCAAAAATTAGTTGGGCGTGGTGGTGTATGCCTGTAGTCCCAGCTACCAGAGAGGCTGAGGCAAGAGGATCACTTGAGCCCAGGAGGTGGAGGTTGCAGCGAGCCGAGATCATGCCACTGCACTCCAGCTTGGGCAACAGAGCAAGACCTTGTCTCAAAAAAAAAAAAAAAAAAAAAAAAAAAAAAAGCTGCAGCTCCTTCCCTGAAATCAGATTCGTATGTGGCAGATAGATGACCACCTCCCACAGCACCCCCAATTAGTATAAGGTTTGGTTTCCCAAAGCTCACCCTCTACACAGCCAGTACTCTAACACACGGATTTACGCTTGCACGTATCATCAAACCAAGAAAATAATCACATACCTCTTTGTCTGTGAAATGAGATTTATCCTTTTCTTGCTCTGGAGTTAGATAGAGAATTTTCTCCTCTGTAGTATTAGGAGGAAAAAATGTGTTAACCTGGCTCTCATATACTAATCTGTGTAAGCTCCATAAGATGAGGTTAGATGAGAAAAGGGCTCAGGGACTCAATCTCTCAACATTTTTTCCATAAACATGTTAGCATACACTGAGTGTCTACTAGGTACAATGCTTCAACCATAAGGAACATCAGAGATGTTCAAGATATAGTCCTGGTCCTCAGCAGATGTAACAATCTTAAGCAGACGTTAAACAGTTCAAGCAGAAAAATCTATGCAGGAATGTGCTACAGACTGAAGGACTGGGGAACAATGGGTAGATCTACCTTCTGATTGCTCCTGAAATCAGCCATCCCTCCCAAATCTCCACCCCAGGCTTCCTGGCTCAGTAACAAATAGCAACCTTATTTTCTAATTCTCATACCTTCTGTGCCTTGGCAATGAAGAACATATCTCATTATATCCAGATTTTCATAGACTATTAGAATTTCTACAGCTCCCATTTCCAAAGCCTTTAGTGTATCTTCAACGCCAAAACAGTACTTGCCCGTGTCCTGGCTGATTTCATCAAAGTATCGTCCTACGATTAGGGATCAGTCAACAGGATATATATTAAAGTTTCCCTAGTAGATACAAACACACCTATTCGACCTAATGACTAAAGAAGATAAAAAATAATGCTTTTACTGAGGCAAAAGAGTTAATAAAAATACTAAATATTCCTTTTTACATTTTTGGTACCTTGTCTCATACATACAATCACGTACATACACACACACACATACACACACACACACACACACACACACACACGAAAACATTTCACAGAATAAGTAGTTGCATTTCACCGATACCTATTAATTTCTTCTCTTGAATGAATTTCACGTTGGAGAGGACTTCAGTAGATAACTCAATAGCTTGGTTGAATCCATTTTCACCACCATAGGATATATCAACTAATTTTAAAACTTTTGATTGTAACCTCTAACACACAAAAAAAATATTATTAGTACTTACTGGTACTTATTTAAAATATTATTAAAACACCTTTACTCAAACCCACTAACTCTTAATGGTATGCAAAGCTCAGCATTATGATCACTGAAGTCTAAATATGGGGAAGGAGCCCAATTTAATCAAAAGCTGCTCTTAAAGTGAACAGCACTGCCAATTATATCACACATTTTATTAGACCTACTATAGGACAACTCATTAAGTGCAAACAAAAATAAGTTATTGTGGAGGAAAGGGGGGACCACTGGCTCCTGCCAAATAAGGTAGTAGAGGTTAAGACGGGCTGGGGAGGGTGGCTCACACCTATAATCCCAGCACTTTGGGAAGCTAGGAGAGGCAGACAGCTTGAGTCCAGGAATTCTGAGACCAGCCTAGGCAACATGGTGAAACCCTGTCTCTACCAAAAAGTACAAAAATTAGTTGGGCATGGTGACACATCCCTGTAGTCCCAGCTACTTGGGAGGCTGAGCTGGGAGGATCACTTAAGCCTGGGAGATCGAGGCTGCAGTGAGCCATGATTGCCACTGCACTCCAGCCTAGGCAAGATAGCCAGACCCAGTCTCAAAAAAAAAAAAAAAAAAAAAAAAAAAAATATATATATATATATATATATATATATATATATTTTTTTTTTTTTTTAAAGGCAATTTCTTTGGTGGACCTTCTACCATAAGGCTACTTCCTCCAGATCTTGAAAGTGTATTATGGCTGAGCCCATGTTATAAAATGTGCTTTAAATGCTTTAGGCTGAATCAGCTGTCATACTGCTGAGAGCTTTGCTGCTATGTATCTCCAAGAATAAATCAGAAAAAGAAAATAAGGAACAGGTTTTAGTTTCTTTGAAATCAAACTCCATTCTACAGCCAATTCTGACAACCCAACTAAACAAGGAACCTCCACAGGATCCATAAGAAGCCCACCTAAAAATGGTTGATTTCAGAAGAGAAGGGGTTCAGAAAAGCACAGGGGAATGTTTCCTGATAAACATCTGTAAACCTGCTGTTTAACTCAGAGGCAAGTTTTTAACCCAAGGAATTTTAAAAAGATGTGTCTGTTCCAGTGCTCACACAGAGGACTCACCTACTCCTACCTAGGGTCTTACATAATAAAGCATCTACTTCTTACTTACCTGATCAAACATATCAGATTGACTTAGTTCAGTTTTAAAGTCAGCGGATCCAGCTAAAACTAGACCAGCCACATTCACTTTGTCCCCAGAAATAAACAGCTGCACAGCAGTCTCTGCTACTTTCCGAACATAGTTATGTCGCTTTTCCATTCTTAAACGGGCAAAACGCAAGGCTGACTGACCTCCTCTACCTTTGACACAAAAGTAGCAAGAGAAAAAGGCAATTATTAAGAACTACAAGATGTCTTCAAATTAAAAATAAAATAATCATGTCATCATCTAAGAAAAGGACAAAGAAAAATCACCATTCCCTTAACTAAACGTTCAGCATAAACTGCTACTTGTTTTCAGAGAGCGACTACTAAGTCTATGTCAAGAGAGGAGCTGTAAGTACCAATGAGGCACCAGTCATTACAGGAGGCTTCTCTCCCCATCATCTGGATTCACTCCCCTCACATCATACTGTTTTCTCTCTCTCTCTTTTTTGAGACAGAGTCTCACTCTGTCGCCCAGACTGGAGTGCAGTGGCGCAATCTTGGCTCAATGCAACCTCCGTCTCCCGGGTTCAAGCAATTCTCCTGCCTCAGCCTCACAAGTAGCTGGGATTACAGGCGCCCGTCACATTTTTGTATTTTTAGTAGAGACAGGGCCGGGCTGGTCTCGAACTTCTGACTTCGTGATCCACCCGGCTCGGCCTCCCAAAGTGCTGGGATTACAGGCGTGAGCCACCGCACCCGGCCCACCATACTGTTTTCTTATTGCTAGACACAAAGTAAGTGGGTTCATGTTCTCCTCCTGTATTACCGTGTTTCTTTGGGAGATCCACAGTGAATTTGTGCAGGACTTCTCTTGTGTTTCCTTGGAGTGTGCCAAAAAGTGCACCACTACCATCTATTACAATGAATCCAAACTTGCTATCATCTGAAAGTAGTGCTGTAAGAGCCTGAAAAGCAAACACAAGTACCACACGGTGAATCCCAAAGCTTTGCTAAGGTCAAAAAAACTCTGAAAGGATATATACAAGCCCTTTCACTCCACTCACCATGCTATTAGCACTGTGGGAAAACCTTCTACGGAATAATTTATAGACTTCAGTTATAAACATGTAACTCTTATGGACAAATTTGAACCCAATAAGGAAATAACGAATGATATCTATGTGAAGCTTTTCAACACATTTGACATGGGCATGTAAATATAAAACCAGAAAGATATCTGTATGCCCATGTTTATAGCAATATTACATACAGCAGTTAATACTACTCAATCTCAAAAAGGAAGAAAATTTTGAAACACACTACAACAGGGATGAAACTTGAATACATGCTAAGTGAAATAACCCTGTCAAAAAAGGACAAATACTGTATGACTCCACTTATATGAGGTTCCTGGAGTAATCAAAATCAGAGACAAAAAGTCAAATGGTGGTTGCCAGGGGCTGGAAAAAAGGGGGAACAAGGAATTATTGCTCAATGGATACAGTTTCAGTTTTATAATATAGAGTTCTAAGCTGGGTATGATGGCTCACACATGTAATCCCAGCACTATGGGAGGCTGTGGCAGGCAGATGGCTTGAGCTCAGGAGTTTGAGACTGGCCTGGGCAACATAGCGAAACACTGTCTCTACAAAAAAATACAAAAATTAGGTGGCTGTGGTGACACGTGCCTGTAGTCCCTACCAGCTACTTGGAAAGGCTTTAGTCTGGGAGGTGTAGGTTGCAGTGAGCCAAGATTGTGCCAGTGTACTCCAGCCTGGGTGATCCAGAGACCTTGTCTCAAAAAACAAAAAAACTTTAACTTGTTCCTTTTTTTTTTTTTTTTGAGACAGGGTCTCACTTTGCTGGCCAGGCTGGAGTGCAGTAGCCATCATAGCTCACTGCAGCCTCGAAGTCTTGGACTCAAATGATCCTTCTGCCTTAGCCTCCCAAAGTGCCGGGGTTACAGGCATGAGCCAGCATGTCTTTAAAGGTATTGCAGCTAATGATTCTGAGTTTTATGAGGAAAACCTTCCTTCTATGTTAACTTTATATCCCTTTATGCCTTCCCAAAGAGAAAATATTGAAACAGTCCTGGGACATACATAGATAAGAGTTCTCACAGTGGAATCGGAATACTACACACTTAGTTGATCTCTAATTGCCAGGGGACAATCTCTTTGGAAGTAAGAAATTGTTACCCATTCCATTTTATTTTTATAAACTGATCCTCCTCTTTGGCCTCCCAAAGTGCTGGGATTACATAGGTGTGAGCCACAACACCTGGCCTTACCATTCCATTTTAAGAAAATAGCCCCTTCAATAATTGACTAGAAAGCAGATGGATCAACTAAGAATCCATCTTTAACAAACCATGCTAGATAGTTGGCATTAAGACATGAATATTGTGGCCGGGCGTGGTGGCTCATGCCTGCAATGGCACTTTGAGAGGCCAAGGTGGGTGGATCACTCGAGGTCAGGAGTTTCAGACCAGCCTAGCCAACATGGTGAAATCTCATCTACTAAAAATACAAAAATTAGTTGGGCGTGGTGGTGCACACTTGTAATCCCAGCTACTCAGGAGGCTGAGGCAGGACAATCACTTGAATTCGGGAGGTGGAAGTTGCAAGGAGCCGAGATCGTGCCATTGCACTCCAGCCTGGGCAACAGAGCAAAACTCAATCTCAGAAAAAAGAAAAAGAAAAAGAAAAAAGACATGAATATGAATATTGCACGTTAATAATATAGCCTTATCAAAATGACCCGTTAGGTAGATTGAAGTTTTTAATAAATCTGCTTATCAGGGAATAGGCATATCCCTTATTAGAATATATAATTACCCTGATAAACAGGATATAACCCTCTCAGTTAAAGCTAAAATGTACAAAGTTAGCAAGATTAAACAGTATCTTAGAAAAGGAGTTAAGGTTTGGAAAAAAGCCAACAAGGCTAACTCAGTAAGTGAGCAAAAGCCAGACAACATGGGTACCTGGCACTGTTTAAATCAACAAGATTCAAAATCGGCTTTCATCCAACCAGATACAGGTAAGTGGTTTCAGTGGCTGAGAGGCTCCCTGAAAAACCCTCTGCTGTAAGTAGAGTGTGGTAGTGAAGAGAAAAACAGTCTGGATTGTCTATGCAGTCGACCAAGATCCAACTATAAATGGACTTCCCATCAAGTTAGCAAAAATCATCCACTGTAAACTGTCGACAAATGTCAGTTCTAATTCCACTGTAGAGGTTTTTCCCTAGGTTGATGAAAGGCAAGAGAATGAACTAAGGAGCCAGCTGTGAATTCTTGATTGTTCTACTGTTGACTGATTTAGGTCACTCTAATGAGGTTTCCTTTCCACTGTTCAAGTTCATCCTATGGCAGCTTTGTCACTCAAAAGTTTCAGGGGAAAGGGGGGAAAATGAGTTCTTACAGTTCTGCTACTAAAAATTTTACAATTGTTATGTGAAAACTGAGTGCAATAACTCAAAGAGTATAACTGGACTGCTTGTAACACAATGGATATACGCTTGAGGAAATGGGTACCCTATTTTCCATAGTGTGATAGCTCACATTGCATGCCTGTATCAAAACATCTCATGTACCCCATATACACCTACTATGTACCCACAAAAATCAAAACACACACACACACACACACTTTGGGAGGCTGAAGCGAGCAGATCACTTGAGGCCAGGAGTTTGGGACAGGCCTGGCCAACATGGCAAAACTCTGTCTCTACTAAAAAAACACAAAAAATTAGCCAGGCATGGTGGTGCACACCTGTAATCCCAGTTATTCAGGAGGCTTGAGGCACAAGAATCGCTTGAACCATGGAGATGGAGGTTGCAGTGGGCCAAGATTGCACCACTGCACTCTAGCCTGGGCGACAGTGTGAGACTCTGTCTCAAAACATGCTGAATGACTAGTGTCATAATAAATGTAAATTGCCTTACTTTTTGAAAACAGACAGCTTTGTAAAATGGTACAACGGTTTGGAAAACAGTCTAGCAACTTCTTAAAAAGTTAAACATAATTACTATATAACCTACACGATTCCACAAATCTAAGAAACATGAAAATGTATGGTCACATAGAAACTTGTCCATGAATGTTCACAGCAGCATTATTCAGAACAGCCAAACAGTGCAAACCACTCAAATGTAAAACTGATGAAACGAGAAGCTATATAAAATATGAAATATGGCATATAGGTATACAATGGAATACTACTTGGTAATCAAAAGGGATGAAATGTACTGATGAATGCTACCACATGGAACCTTAAAAGTATAAAGTAAAAGAAGCCAGTCACAAAAGGCCACAAACTATATGATTCCATTATATAAAATGTCCAGGCTGGGCGGGGTTGCTCATGCCTGTAATCCTAGTACTTTGGGAGGCTAAGGTGGGTGGATCACGAGGTCAGGAGTCTGAGACCAGCCTGACCAATGTGTTTAAACACCATCTCTACTAAAAATACAAAAAAATTAGCTGGGTGTGGTGGCATGTGCCTGCAATCCCAGCTACTCAGGAGGCTGAGACAGGAGAATCCCTTGAATCTGGGAGGCGGAGCTTGCAGTGAGCCGAGATCATACCACTGCACTCCAGCCTGGGAGACAGAGCGAGACTCCGTCTAAAAAAAAAATAAAAAAATAAAAATAAAAAAATAAAAATAAAAGAAGTACAGCACAAGCATATCTATGGAAAGAAAATATAGTGGTTGCCTAGAATGAGACAGGTAAGTGGGAGGGATGGGGGACTGACTGCTAATGGGTACGGGGAAAGAATTCTGGAGCGATGAAAATGTTCTGGGTTTGACTTCTTACCTCTGTATGGAATTTGTTGTCACACAAATACAATGACGTATTAATTGGTTTGAAAGGTTCAAAGTCAATGTTGACTTTCTTTTCCTTTCCTTCTTCTGTTACAATTGTTCCACAGTATACAACCAGACCATTTGGAGGTACTGCAAAGAACACAAACAATTTTTCTACTTTACCCCATATCTAGTTTTTCGTCAATTAATAGAAAATGTTCCCATAGCCTATTTTCCCTGCCTGATCCTTTAAGTCATAATTTAAATAAAGCAGAAAAAGCTTGAAATCTCTCAGGCAGAACTCTCTCCCTAATTTTAAAACTTCTTCTGAGACGTTTCAGTACGATTTATTCTTTAAAGTAAACAGGCTGGACGTGGTGGTGGCTCACGCCTGTAATCCCAGCACTCTGGGAGGCCGAGGTAGGCGGATCACCTGACGTCAGGAATTCAAGACCAACCTGGCCAACATGGTGAAACCCCATCTCTACGAAAAATACAAAAAGTAGCCAGGCGTGGTGATGGGCACCTGTAGTCCCAGCTACTCGAGAGGCTGAGACGGAAGAATCACTTCAACCTGGGAGGCTTGTGGTGAGCTGAGATCGGATTACTGCACTTCAGTCTCTGGGTGACAGAGCAAGACTCTGTCTCATCCCAAAAAAAAAAAAAAAAAAAAAAATTGAGACAACGCCTCACTCTGTCACTCAGGCTAGTGTGCAGCAGCGAGATCGTGGCTCACTGCAACTCCCACCTCCCGGGTCCAGTTGATTCTCTCGCCTCAGCCTCCAGAGTAGATGGGACTACAGGTGTGTGCCACCAGGCCTGGCTAACTTTTGTATTTTTTGTAGAGACAGGGTTTCACACCATGTTGTCCAGGCTGGTCTCGAACTCCTGACCTCAAGTGATCCACCTGCCTCAGCTTCCCAAAGTGCTGGGATTACAGGCATGAGCCACTGTGCCTGGCCTACTTAACTTTCAATAAACAAAAAACAAAACAAAACAAAAAAGCTAACCACCAAGGCCAAAGAGACACTGATGACAGCCGACTTAAGGGAACATTAGTGAACAAAGCACCATAGCAGCATCACAGTATAAAACATAACCAAAATGTGTAGAGAAGGAAAAGGAGCAAACTCCAGATTACCTTTGTTATAAAGTTTGAGTCTTTGTTGTACAGATGTAATGGCTCCCAGGACTGAAAGGCGGTTTACTCGTGACTTAATGTTAGATGCAGTTCCAAACTCATCCGCTAACATTTTTGCCACTCGTGAAATCTGGTCTTTGGGAGGAATGATCAATGATATCATGCTGGTGCCATTGCTGTGGAAGAAAGAATAACTCATTAGGGATTTAAATATCATGTAAGTAAACTCATGTTTCTCTCTGGTAAAAGCAAGCTACAGGGAGATGCCCCAAAGTTATGGAAACAGGTCACTCTCAAAGGAGTAATGTAGGGACTATATTAGTCTTGTTTATGAACGTATACACAGAGTTAGGAACAGTGTTCAGAATCTAGTGCTCAATTTGATTGAATAGTGAGGTAAGTTATGTAAAGAATACACTTGGAGAGATACTTGAGAAACACCTCATTTCCTAAAGAAAGAAGCTATCTATGATAAATAAGGAGTGTCAACAGGCTGGAATTTGGTAGTGAATCTGTCCGTGGGAGAGCCTTCAAATGTGGTGGTTGAGTGGGAGACGCCATGACAGGATGATGCAATGAGTCTTTCCAAAGTCTAGGCATATTTGTAATCAAGAATTTAGTATTCTAATGATGGGAAAGGAGAACTGTGGAAGTCACAGAAATGTCCCAGTTATGAAATCTCTCTCTCTCGGCCGGGCACGATGGCTCACGCTTATAATCCCAGCACTTTGGGAGGCCGAGGCGGGCGGATCACAAGGTCAGGAGTTCGAGGCAAGCCTGGCCAACAGAGTGAAACCTCGTCTCAATTAAAAAAAAAAAAAATTCGCTGGGCATGGTGGCAAGTGCCTGTAATCCCAGCTATTCAGGTGGCTGAGGCACGAGAATCACTTGAATCCGGGAGGCGGAGGTTGCAGTGAGCCGAGATCATGTCACTGCACTCCAGCCTGGGCGACAGAGCTAGACTTAGTCTCGAGAAAAAAAAAAAAAAATCTCTCTCTCACAAACTCATTCTCTTTAAATGGCAACATATTAATTGCATTTGAGTTTGATTAAAAGGAGGAATGACTGACAGCCTGATAAATTCTGGGTGCCCAACCAAACTCAAGTTTTTAGAACTAAAAAACGGGACCAAAATCTGACCTATGGAAGATTTTGGTTTTTTAACTTTTTAATAATAACAATGCTGATGTGTGTGAGATGTTGTCTCATTGCGGTTTTGATTTGGATTTCTCTGATTAATGATGTTGAGCATTTTTTTCATATGTTTATGGGGCACTTGTTAAATGCGTATCTCAAAATGTCAGAAAGATATCAAACTAATGATCCAATATCATACTTGGAAAACCAGAAACATAAGAGCAAACTAATTCCAAACCTAGCAAAAGAAAAGAACTAAAATCAGAGCAGAACTGAACAAAATTAAGACCCCAAAATCCAGGGAAATAATCAACTTAACCAGAAGTTGGTTTTTTGAAAGCATAAACAAGATTGATAAACCACTGTCTACATTAACAAAGAAAAAACGACAGAAGATCCAAATAAGTACAGTCAGAGATGACAAAGGTGACATTACAACTGATCTCACAGAAGTAGAATGATTCTGAGAGACCCTTATGAACACCTCCATACACATAAACTAGAAAATCTAAAGGAAATGGGTAAATACCATCAAGGCCCTGCCACATGGGAGGTCCCTTCTGAGCAGTTACCAACCCATTTTTAAGCCCCCTTTAAATTTCAACACCAATGCCAGTAACATATCTTTTTTGTCTACAACTTCCAAAGACACTTATCATCACTACCAGTCAAGAAATATCTCATCGGAAAATTCCTACTTCTATGCAAAGCAAACACAGTGGCTCACACCTGTAATCCCAGCACTTTGGGAGGCTAAGGTAGGAGGATCACTTGAGTCCAGGAGTTTGAGAACAGCCTGGGCAACATAATGAGGCCCCCATCTGTACAAAAAATAAATAATCAGCTGGGTGTCACGTGATGCAGGCCTGTAGCCCTAGCTATTCAGGAGGCTGAGGCAGGAATATCACTCAAGCCCAGGAGTTAGAAACTGCAGTGAGCTATGATTTGCCACTGCACTCCAGCCTGGGCAACAGTATAAGACTGTCTCAAAAAAGGAAGGAAGGAAACAAAGTGTTGGTGAGGATGTGGAGAAATTGGAACCCTTGTGCATTGCCAGTGGGAATATAAAATGGTACAGCCATGTGGGATAAGTGTGGTAGCTCTTCCAAAAAAAAAAATTTTTTTTTAACACCTAATTACCATATGATCTAGCCATTCTACTTTCAATTACATACCCAAGAGTGAGAGCGGGGACTTACACACCAATGTTCATAGCAGCATTATTCACAATAGCCTAGAGGTGGAAGCAACCCAAACATCCACTGGTGGATGAACAAATAAAAAAAAGTGGTGTGTGTGCACAATGAAATATTATTCAGTCTTAAAGGAAGGAAATTCTGACACACAAAATGGATGAACCTTGAACACATTATGCTAAGAAAAATAAGCCAGACAGAAAAGGACAAATACTGTATGATTCTGCTTACATGAGGTAACCTAGAATATTAAAGTTCATAGAGACAGAGAGTAGAAATGCAGTTGCCAGCAACTGGAGTAAGGTGGAACTAGGCAGTTGTTTAATAGTTGTTTTAGTTTTACAAGACGAAAAGTCCTAGAGACTGGCTGCACAACAGTGTGAATGTACTTAATACTGCTGAACTATACACTTGTAAATGGTTAAGATGGTAAACTTCATGTTATGTATTTTTTACAACGAAAAAAATTCTTAAAAATCAACTACTTAGTCCATTTATAACTTATTTATTTATTTTTTTTAGATGGAGTCTTGCTCTTGTTGCCCAGGCTGGAGTGCAGTGGCACCATCTCAGTTCACTGCAACCTCAGCCTCCTAGGTTCAAGCGATTCTCCTGCCTCAGCCTCCCAAGTAGCTGGGATTACAGGCTTGTGCCACCAGGCCCAGTTAATTTTCTTTGTATTTTTAGTAGAGACTGGGTTTCACCATGTTGGCCAGGCTGGTCTCGAACTCCCGGCCTCAGGTGATCCCCCTGCCTCAGCCTCCCAAAGTGCTGGGATTACAGGCGTGAGCCACCGCGCCCAGCCTGTAAGTTAAAATTTTTTAGAGCATGCACTTCCCCAAAACAGTAGTTCAGTTCTCAATTTTTTGCAGATGAAAATCACCTGGGGAGTTCATTCTAGGTGATTCCTTTTCAAAAAGGATTCCTGTAAGTTTCATTTCTTTTCTCATCCTGATTTTTCTTAGTTTAGTCACAACATGGATAAACGACTATTTAAAATATTAGATGATCTACATCAAGTGGATTTCAAAATTAAAAACTTTTAGGCTGCTCTACAGAGTAGCCATTCTCTTGTTTTTTGTTTTTTTGGTTTTTTTTACTTCTCTAATCAACTTGCTTTCATTCTCAAAAAAACCCAAAAACCGACCTTTGGACTTCAAAGGATAGCATTAGGAAAGTAAAAAGACCCACAGAATGGGAGAAAATATATGCAAATCATATTATCTCTTAAGATTTATGTAAAGAATATAAAGAATATGTAAAAACTCATAATTCATCAACAAAAAACCCAAATAAAAAATGGGCAAAGGGTGTGAGGAGACATTTCTACAAAGACATAGCATGTGAAGAAATCGAAATCTTCATTCAATGCTGTTGGGAATGTTAAGTGGTACAATACTTCCAGAAAACAGTCTGGCAGTCCTTAGGAGTTTAAACACAGAGTTACCATATGACCCAACCACTCTACTCTTAGTTAGATACCCAAGAGAACTGACAAAATATGTAACACACAAAAATTTGTGCTTCAATGTTCATGGAGGCATTATTCATAATAGTAAAAAAAAAAACAAAACAAACGAAAAAAAGAAACAACCCATATGTCCAACTGATAAATGAATAATCAAAATGTGGTACATTCATATGCTAAAAACTATTCAGCAATAAAATAAATGACATATTGCATTAACTTACACTACATTGGCCAGGTGTGGTGGCTCATGCCTGTAATCCCAGCATTTTGGGAGGCTGAGGCAGGAGGATCACAAGGTCAGGAGATCGAGATCATCCTGGCTAACATGGTGAAACCCCATCTCTACTAAAAATACAAAAAATTAGCCGGGCGCAGTGGCAGGCGCCTGTAGTCTCAGCTATTCAGGAGGCTGAGTCAGGAGAATGGTGTGAACCCGGGAGGCAGAGCTTGCAGTTAGCCAAGATAGCGCCACTGCAGTCTGGTTGGGGCGAAAGAGCAAGACTCCATCTCAAAACAAACAAACAAACAAACAAACAAAAAAACCCTTACACTACATCAAGTAAAAACTGTCACAAAAGAACACATATTGTAGACAGGGCACAGTGGCTCACGCCTGTAATCCCAGCATTTCGGGGGGCCAAGGTGGGCGGATCACGAGGTCAAGAGACCGAGACCATCCTGACCAACATGGTGAAACCCCGTCTCTACTAAAAATACAAAAATTAGCCGGGCGTGGTGGTGTGTGCCTGTAATCTCAGCTACTCAGGAGGGTGAGGCAGGAGAATCGCTTGAACCCGGGAGGCGGAGGTTGCAATGAGCCGAGATAGAGCCACTGCACTGCAGCCTGGATGACAGAGCTAGACTCCGTCTCAAGGAAAAAACAAAAAAATTAGCCGAGCGTGGTGGCATGTGCCTGTAGTCCCAGCTACTGGGGAGGCTGAGGCAGGAGAATCGCTTGAACCCGGGAGGTGGGGGATGCAGTGAGCCGAGACCACGCCACTGCACTCCAGCCTGACAACAGAGTGAAACTGTCTCAAAACAAAAAAAACACCACATATTGTATAGTTCCATTTACACAAAATGTTCACAATAGGCATTCCAGAGAGACAAAGGTAGATTAGTGGTTGCCAGGGGCTGAGGAGAGGGAGGAATGCAGAGTGATTGTTAAAGGGTACAGGGATTTTTAGGTTGATGGAAATACTGTTTTTCTTTTTTTAAGGAAAATATTTTAAAATTAGTGGTTGCACAACTCTGGAAAAACAGTGAAATAATGCACTTTAAAGGGGAAAGGCTGGGCGAGGTGGCTCACACTGGTAATCCCAGCACTTTGGGAGGCTTGAGGCAGAACTGCTTGCGCCTAGGAGTTTTGAGACCAGCCTGTGAAATGCAGTGAGACCCTGGCTGGGCATGGTGGCTCACACCTGCAATCCCAGCACTCTGGGAGGCCGAGGCAGGCAGATCACTTGAGGCCAGGGGTTCAAGACCAGCCTAGCCACTATGGTGAAACCTCACCTCTACTAAAAATACAAAAAGTTGCTGGGTGTGCTAGGCGTGGTGGCTCATGCCTGTAATCCCAGCTACTCTGGAGGCTGAGGCACGAAAACTGCTTGAACCTGGGAGGCAGAGGTTGCGGTGCAGTGAGCCGAGATCGTGCCACTGCACTCCAGCTTGGGTGACAGAGTGAGACTCTGTCTCAAAAAAAAAAAAAAAAGTTGGGCATGGTGGCACACGCCTGTAATTCCAGCTACTTGGGAGTCTGAGGCACGAGAATCGCTCGAACCTGGGAGATGGAGGTTGCAGTGAGCCCAAATCGTGCCACTACACTCCAGACTGGGTGACAGACCGAGACTGTCACAAAACAACAAACCAAAAACCAAAAAAATATAGTGAGACCTGTCTCTACAAAAATTAGGCAAGTATGGTGGTATGTGCCTGTAATCTCAGCTACTTGGGAGACTGAGGTGGGAGAATTACCTAAGCCCTAGAGGTTGAGGCTGCAGTGAGCCGTGATCACACCACTGCACTTCAGCCTGGAAACCAGAGTGAAACTGTGTCTCTTAAAAAAAAAAAAAATTTCTTTCCGTTTTTTGTTTTTTTTTTTGAGACAGAGTCTTGCTCTGTCACCAGGCTGCAGTGCAGTGGCGCGATCTCGGCTCACTGTAGCCTCTGCCTCCTGGGTTCAAGCAATTCTCCTGCCTCAGCCTCCCCAGTAGCTGGGACTACAGGCACACGCCATCACACCCGGCTAATTTTTGTATTTTTAGTAGAGATGGGGTTTCACCATGTTGGCCAGGATGGTCTTGATCTCCTGACTTCATGATCCGCCCGCCTTGGCCTCCCAAAGTGCTGGGATTACAGGCATGAGCCACCGTGCCCGGCCAGGATATTTCTTTCTTTCTTTTCTTCCTTCCTTTCCCTTTTTTTTTCTTTTTTACATTTTTGGAAGTTAATTTTATTATATGAAGATGGTATACAAAATACATTCATCATGACTAAAAATAATAGGACCCAGGATATTTCTTTTAATGTCTCTTGGTCTCAACCTGACAGTTTCCCCCATAAAAGCCAAAGCATGTTTTCCCGAGAAGTAGTAATTTGTGTTTTTACTAAATTATCAATAAATTCTAATTTTATCATGTTAAGAAAAACCAGCTTACTATTAATAATTTTTTTTTTTTTTGAGATGAAGTCTCACACTGTCACCCGGGCTGGAGTGCAGTGGGGCGATCTTGGCTTGCTGCAGCCTCCACCTCCTGGGTTCAAGCGATTCTCCTGCCTCAGCCTCCCAAGTAGCTGGGAGTACAGGCGTGCGCCACCACGCCTGGCTAATTTTTGTATTTTTAGTAGAGATAAGGTTTCACTATGTTGGCCAGGCTGGTCTCGAACTCCTGACCTCGTGATCCGCCTGCCTCAGCCTCCCAAAGTGATGGGATTACAGGCGTGAGCCACCATGTCTGGCCTATTAATAATTTTATGAGAACAAGCAGCAGTATAAACAGAATCAAATCTACAACATATAGGAAACTAGAAATCCCAAATCTGCCCTGACCTGATCTAAAGGCTGGCTTTAGTACAATAGCTACCAGTATAAATTGAGCTGACTTACATCTTGAAGGCAAAGGCTGATCTGATATGAACCGAAGCACACTAAAAAATGCAGTATCACCTGGCCAGGCGCGGTAGCTCATACCTGTAATCCCAGCACTGTGGGAGGCCGAGGCGGGTGGATCACCTGAGGTCAGGAGTTCGAGACCAGCCTGGCCAAGATGGTGAAACCCCATCTCTACTAAAAATACAAAAATTAGCTGGGTGTGGTGGCACACGCCTATAATCCCAGCTACTTTGAAGGCTGAGGCAGGAGAATCGCTTGAACTTGGGAGACAGAGGTTGCAGTGAGCAGAGATCACGCCACTCACTTCAGTCTGGGCAACAGAGTGAGACTCTGTTTAAAAAAAAAAAAAAAAAAGAAATGTGTTATCACTTTATAAACTGTTTCTATCTGATATTTCACGAGACTGTAAGAAAGTTACTTCCTGAGATCCTTATAGATTATTGGATCTATACCCTTAAAGGGTATATAAGTTTAATATTGTAGTTAGACTGCCAGAACCATCTAAACTTTCCCCTAATTACTGAGAGTGCATCATCTCACAGTAGCCCAATATGCCAGCTTTAATAAAATCTCACCTATCCAGAGTCCAGTGGAAGCTGGCAAGAAAAAGAAATCAGAAAGCTGGTTACAGAGTCAAATTAAATGGGCTTACGTGTTAAGTGACTAGTAAGAACAGAAGCAGCACTGTGAGGGGAACGAAAATAAACCCCCTATATTAGCTTTTAACTACAGGTGTTTAAAATATGAAAATATCTCAAATTGGGTCCTAGAAAGCTTATTTTCATAAAGCAAAATTTCATAAACGTGTACTATAGTGTCTTCGGTATTTGCATTGGGAAGGGATCTCATTAACAGGACCTCTTGCCCTGGAAGTTTTCTCCTAGTGGTTAATTCCACAGGTTTTCCAGGCAGAAAATGGTTTTCTTCCCGCCTACCCCCTGCCCCCCAGGATGGAGTCTTGCTCTGTTGCTCAGGCTGGAGTACAGTGGCATGATCTTGGCTGACTGCAACCTCCGCCTCCCAGGTTTAAGCAATTCTCCTGCCTCAGCCTCTGGAGTAGCTGGGATTACAGGCATGCACCATCATGCCCAACAGCTATTGTTTTTTTTTTGAGATGGAGTCTCGCTCTGCTGCCCAGGCTGGAGTGCAGTGGTGCCATCTCAGCTCACTGCAAGCTCTGCCTCCTGGGTTCAAGCAATTCTTCTGCCTCAGCCTCCTGAGGAGCTGAGACTACAGGCGCATGCAACCACACCCAGCTAATTTTTTGTATTTTTAGTAGAGATGGGGTTTCACCATGTTAGCCAGGATGTTCTCGATCTCCCGACCTTGTGATCCGCCCACCTCAGCCTCCCAAAGTACTGGGATTACAGGCATGAGCCACCATGCCTGACCTTCTAATTTTTGTATTTTTAGTAGAGATGTGGTTTCACCATGTTGGTCGGGCTGGTCTGGAACTCCTGAGCTCATGATCCACCTGCCTTGGCCTCCCAAAGTGCTAGGATTACAGGTGTGAGCCACTGTACCCGGCCCAGAAAACAGTTTTCTTTCTAACTAGATGAGCTGGCTGTCCAGTCCTCCCACTATCAAAAATAGCTACTCTCAGATTGGCAGCCAAAGTTACATATCCAAAAATCAGAATTCTGTTTGGGTGTCTACCTTGAAGGCTGGTTCATAAACTTCTGTGCTATTTTCCCCAATAAATTACAAGCTAATCAAAGACAGTACACAGGACAGTATGGTGTGTGCTCTGCTGCCACCCCTTGGATAGGGGAGCAAGCATTCTGGCCAAACCACGGAATCAAGGAAATTTATGATACACTGCTTCAGTTATCATCACAAACACTTGCTAGGCTTCTAAACTGTAATTTCCAAAAAACCTTTTTGATAATTCCTTCTGGAGTTATGTCAAACTCTACATACATGCCAATGGAGAGAAAAGATACTTGCTTTGGAAGAGACTGGAAACACTGGGCAACTAAACAGAACTTCCATCACAATCTAGACTGTAGGTGCCACCTACCTGACACAGGGGTCCACTCATGCACAGGGAGAATACGAAGAGATAAAAGATGGGGAAAACACTTGAGTACCAATTTTACTGGCTTATGCTTGGTAAGCCAATTCTCAAGGGGCCTACAACCCTAGGGGTTTGTAGGAAGTTCTTTCTTTTCTTTTTTTTTTTGAGAGGGGGTTTCCCTTTTGTTCCCCAGGCAGGAGTGCAGTGGCACGATGTCACCTCACTGCAACCTCCGCCTCCTGGGTTCAAGCCATTCTCCTGCCTCAGCCTCCTGAGTAGCTGGGGTTTCAGGTATGTGCCACTACGCCTGACTAATTTTGTATTTTTAGTAGAGACGGGGTTTCTCTATGTTGGTCAGGCTGGTCTCGAACTCCCGACCTCAGGTGATCCGCCCGCCTCAGCCTCCCAAAGTGCTAGGATTACAGGCGTGAGCCACCATGCCCGGCTGGAAGTTTTTTCTTAAAAGGTGTTGGTTTTTTAAAAAGCCGACATGCTCTGACTTACAGAGAATAGTTTCCTAAGATGCAGTCGGCAGGGAATGGAATGAAAACGGATGGCAAAGGTAAAGTCTCAGAGCTGAGGAAGAACAGGCAACAAACCCCAAAGATTTGGAACGTTTAAGGCTAAAGAGGGGAGAAATTTGGGACAAATTAACTGAGAGAACTCAAAATGCCTTACAGCAACCCTTCAAATAAGATAATGATGTGGAGGGCAAAGCAATGACCTTAAGATAAGCAGCTACTTACTTTCCACTGCTGATAGTTTAAGAAGATAAACATTCATTAAGCAACCCTACTGTATAGCCCAGTTGGGCAACCTTACATTCCATATCCATGTAACATTCCAGAGGACCAAGGAGCAAATACACCTAAGAATGTAATCTTGTTATAGGATTCCACTTTAAAAAATGGCTCAAAAGTGTAGCTTGCCTAAGAATTGTTTTTTGTTTGGTAGATTTCTACAAAGTTGATAAATGAAACAAAACTTGAAACTTGGTCTTGGCTTCTTATTCCTTTTGAATTAGGTGCAAAAAATTACCTTTCACTAGTTTCCCTGCATGCCCCCTCCCCCTACCTTCTATGGGGGAAACATTAAGTTTCTGAATTTACCTTTAAAATAAGACACCTGACTAGGGAGGGGAAATGCAGATTATTAAATGGATGGCTTTCACTTTAAAAATTTAAAGGGTACTTTAATAACTTCTGATGTTTTGTATGTTAGGTTTAATACAAGCAGACTGGGCCAGGCATGGTGGCTCATGTCTGTAATCCCAGGACTTTGGGAAGCCGAGACAGGTGGATCACCTGTGGTCAGGAGTTTGAGACCAGCCTGGCCAACATGAGGAAACCCATCTCTACTAAAAATACAAAAACTAGCTGGGCGTGGTAGTGCATGCTTGTAATCCCAGCAGGAGAATCGGCTTGAGCCTGGGAGGCAGAGGTTGCAGTGAGCCAAGATCCCGCCATTGCACTACAGCCTGGGTGACAGAGCGAGACTCCATCTCAAAAAACAAAAACAAAACCAACAAAAACCAAAACCAAACAAACAAACAAACAAAAAAAACAAGCAGATTAACGTTTTTCCAGTAAAGTTTCCAAACAAGATAAACATTCATTTACCCTCACTCCTGCAAGTCAATCAAAGTTGTTAGACCAGTTTGTGTAAACACCCAAAATAAAATTAAGGAAGCTGAATACTTCCATGTCTTTTAAAGTGAACACCCTTCAGGGGAAAATGAAAAATAAAGCTCTCACTAAGGAGATGCTGGCTACACAGGCAAACTACAACCTTCTTTAACTGTAATAGTTTTCCTTCGTTTTTCTACTATCCCTATACTCCTCTTCCGAAATCAAAGAACTAGTGAATCATGGGGTACAGCAATGTGTCACATGCAGGTTGTAAAAACTGGGCAAAACAAGAGACAACATACAGCAATGTATCCCTCAAAGCTCCCAGGGGCCTCTGCACTCAGATTCTCTTCTTGTTCTCATTGGTTTTAGGGGCACTTTGGCTTATCAAAGCTTTCATCAATGCTTCGCCCAGAGGGTTAACGTCTGAAAAATCAAACAGGTGAAAAAAAGGAATTGTAACAGAACTAAACCAAATAAATCCCAAACAAAACTCAAGTAGAAAGATAATTTTTTTAGAGATGGGGTCTTGCTCTGTCACCCAGACTGGAGTGCAGTGGCACAATCACAGCTCACTGTAACCTGGAAACTCCTGGGTTCAAGTGATCCTCCCACCCTAGCCTGGGACTACAGGTACGCACCACCACGCTCAGCTAATTTTTCTTTTTATTTTCGAGATAGGATCTCACAAGGCTGCCCAGGCTGGTCACGAACTCTTGGGCCCAAACACTCCTCCCACCTCAGACTCACTGAGCAGCTAAGGTTATAGGCGCAAGCGACCGTGCCCGCCTGACCCACAAGGATCTTAATCAATGTTCACCATCATCAACAATGCTCAAGAACACTTCAGTTTGCATACCTCCCAGCCCTGAATCCTTTTAGAGCTTTCTAAAGAAGCAAAATAAAAGAATACATGCTCAGACACAAAAGATCCCTTCTTCCTCCATCCTGACTCAATAGTTTCTGAATAGGGAGAGTGAGGGTGGTGATGATTTTGGTTGAGACAGTCTCAATTTTGAAATATGAAAGATTTTTTTTTTCTCTGAGACAGAGTCTCGCTCTGCCACCCAGGCTACAGTGCAGTGGTGTGATCTCGGCTCACTGCAGCTTCTGCCTGCTGGATTCAAGTGATTCTTCTGCCTCAGCCTCCCAAGTAGCTGGGATACAGGCGCCCACTACCACGCCCAGCTAATTGTTGTATTTTTAGTAGTGATGGGGTTTTGCCATGTTGGCCAGGCTGGTCTCGAACCCCTGATCTCAAATTATCCACCCACCTCAGTCTCCCAAAGTGTTGGGATTACAGGCTTTAGCCACCGCACCCAGCTGATTCTTTTCTTTGAGACAGAGTCTCACTCTTGTCTCCTAGGCTGGAGTGCAGTGGCGCCATCTCTGATCTTTGCAACCTCTGCCTCCCCAGTTCAAGCAATTCTCCTGCCTCAGCCTCCCAAGTAGCTAGGGTTACAGGCACGCGCCACAATGCCTGGCTATTTTTAGTAGAGGCAGGGTTTCACCATGTTGGCCAGGCTGGTCTCGAACTCCTGACCTCAAGTGATCTGTCTGCCTTGGCCTCCCAAAGAATTGGGATTACAGGTGTGAGCGACTGTGCCCGGCCTCAAATACGCAAGATTCTAATGCAGAACTAGGGTTGAGAATCACTGCATCTGGCTTGCTTTCTTCACAGGGTCATCTCTAGGTCTGCTGAAGGTAACAAGCCTCCACAACCTCACCTCCACCCAAAGAAGAAGAACCCAGAGCAGTTGCTTGCTGCATTTACCCTATGCTATGGTTTGAAGGTGTCCCCCCAAATTCATGTGTTGGAAACTTAATCCCCACTGCAATAGTATTGAAAGGTGGGGCATATGGAATGTGTTTAGGTTATGAGGGCTCTGCCCTCATGAATAGATTCATGCTGCTATTTAAAATAAGGTGCTTATAAGACCTGAGAGCTACAGTCACACGCGCACACAAAAAAGATAAAATAAGGTGCTTATAAGTAGTGGGCCATCTCTCTTTTGTTCTCTTGCCATGAGAGGAACAGTGTTCCTCCCCAACAAAGGATGCAGCGTTCAAGGTGCCATCTTAAAAGCAGAGAGCAGGCCCTTACCAGAACACCAATCTGTGGTATTCTGTTATAGCAGCACAAAAACAAAAATCAAAAAACCCCCAAAACCTAAGACAACCTAGCTATAATACAACCATAATGAATTGTGACAGCTCAGAGATACTCAACTTTACCAGCCCGAACACTCACTCCCCCTCAAGTACTCTGCCATCCAAGTCATCACTTGTAAATCACGTTAACTACTTTCAGGTTAGGACCAGGAACGTTTTAGACACTGCTTACTATACTCCCTAACCGGGATGTACAGTACATGCTCCCCAAGAAGCTTTCATCCCAGGGTTTGATGGCTGGGTTGTGCCTAGGCTATGGATGGCCAAATTTTTCACCACTTCCCTTTTCAAGCTCCCATCTGTGCCTGCCTCACAAAGCTCAATTTAAATCTCAGCCAGAGGCCAGGTGCAGTGGTTCACACCTGTAATCCCAGCACTTTGGGAGGCCAAGGTGGGCGGATCACGAGGTCAGGAGATTGAGATCACCCTGGCTAACAGGGTGAAACCCCATCTCTACTAAAAATGCAAAAAAATTAGCCGGGCGTGGTGGCGGGCGCCTATAGTCCCAGCTACCTGGGAGGCTGAGGCAGGAGAATGGTGTGAACCGGGAGGCGGAGCTTGCAGTGAGCCGAGATCGAGCCACTGCACTCCAACTTGGGCGACAGAGCGAGACTCCGCCTCAAAAAAATAAAATAAAATAAATAAATAAATAAATCTCAGCCAGATCATTTCTGGGAAAGTCACTAAGCCAGCAGTATTACATGGATCACCACCTGAAAATCAATCAGTTCCTCTTCAATTTCTACTCCATTTCCAAAACTGTCATTGTTTTATTCACTGTGTGTTTTCCATTTTTCTTCTCCCAAATTTGCAAAACTAAGTTTAAACTTTTAAACTAAGATGGTCTTTTTGATATGGGGTTAATATGGGAACAGAATAGGAGGAGCCCAGATTCAGGCTCACGTCCAGCTCTATCACTTAATGGCCGTGTGACCGAAGGCAAACCACACAAATCCCTGTGGGTCTGTTTCTACTTACTTCACAAGATCATGAGGATTCTACGAGATCATATATGTCAAGTGCCTAGCTTGGAGAGCAGATAGTAACTGATCACTAAATGGTAATGAGATGGAGCTCTAGTTCTTGACTATCGCCTCCCCTCCACCAGTAGTACCAGTTGGAAAGAAGTAGCACAGCCCAACTAGAAATGGGGAGGGGAGAGAGGTAATATCAGATGGGGTTGAAGTCTTATTTGAATCCTGTTAGGTCCTGAAGTATGAGCTGATTTTTTGTAGCAGATGATGGTCACCTTTACGGGATTACAGGACTTGCCAAATCTTCCACAGAACAAAAGAGCTATACCAAAAATAATATGGCCAGAACACTGGAAACTCTGTAATTTATCATAAGGGAGAACCATAGAAATTCATTCCTTTCTAAAACTTGTGTGGCATGAGTTCAGTATTCTGATATAACCTATGGCCAGTCTTCACAGGGACCTGATACTCAACTTCTCTTTTCTCTTCCACCAAGTATCAAACAATGAAACACATTGTTTACAGTAAGTGTATATAAGCTTCTTTTTTTTTTTTTGAGACGGAGTCTCACTCTGTAACCCAGGCTGGAGTACAGTGGCGCCATTTCGACTCACTGCAACCTCCGCCTCCCGGGTTCAAGCAATTCTCTTGCCTCAGCCTCCCAAGTAGCTGGGATTACAGACACGGACCACCACGCCTGGCTAATTTTTGCATTTTTAGTACGGAAAGGGTTTCACCATGTTGGCCAGACTGGTCTCGAACTCCTGACCTCTCCATCCACCTCAGCCTCCCAAAGTGCTGGGATTACAGGCGTGAGCCACCGGGCCCAGCCCAAGTGTATATAAGCATCCTGAGGGCAAAAATCATTTTAGCACATAGTGGTGCTCAAACATTTGAAAAATGAATAAATGGCCAATTCCTACCATCATCTCTATATACTCTTTTTTAAGCAAACACCAGAGATTTATTCTAAACTACCAAATAAAATACCAATAAAAAAATCTGGCCGGGCACAGTGGCTCACGCCTGTAATCCCAGCACTTTGAGAGGCCGAGGCAGGCGGATCACGAGGTCAAGAGATCGAGACCATCCTGGCCAACATGGTGAAACCCTGTCTCTACTAAAAATACAAAACTTAGCTGGATGTGGTGGCACGCACCTGTAGTACCAGTTACTTGGGAGTCTGAGGCAGAAGAATCGCTTAAACCTGGGAGGCAGTGGTTGCGGTGAGCCAAGATCGCACCACTGCACTCCAGCCTGGAGACAGAGCAAGACTCCACCTCAAAAACAAAACAAAACAAAAACCAACAACAAATTGTCAGTCCTTGGAGAGGAACTAATGTGCCTTAAATTGACTAACTGTCCCCATCTTTCACTGCACCTAAAAGTTCAAACCATCATACTATATTAGGCGTTTACCTTAAGAAAACCAGCACTAAACAAAACCAACCCTTATGAAGTGTCATTTTAATTTTGTTGATCCTCACATTAATGCCACCCCACTCCCTCTGCTACTACCATCTATGAGGCATGTTAGGAGGTGGATGGGGCTGCCTTTTATAAAAGGTTTAGTTAGACTATCAAATTAGGAGGGATGATTCTGTTACCCTTCAAAGGGACTAGGAAAGTTACCTGAAATTAGTTTATGCAATTGACCTTAGAGTCAGATGCTATTACCAAATGGGAGAAATACCAAGACCGGAACTTACTGAGACATTACAGCAACCTCCACCCTAGGGTACAGAATAACTCAGATGTCCAAACATTTTCAGAATAAAGTTCACAAAGGTTCATTTTAGCTTTCTGTCCCCCAGAGAACAAAGATTTACTCAGTCATCTAAAACAAAAATGTACACATCTGGTAGAGTGTGTACACTTTTTCTACAATGATAGGCATTATTAGTCTTAAAAAGAAAAATTAAAAGATCTTCACAAACCCAGTGGAATATTCCACCAGGAAGCAGCTTTGAAGCTGGAAAATTTCTCTAGTGTTCTTACAACAGTGCAAAGCAAGAGACTGCAATCACAACCAGTGTTCGGGATTCATTACTTCACTACTTAGATCTTTCTAATATACGAATGAGCTCCTGGGGAGGGATTTTGCAACAAGTTATTTCTCTCTCCACTGATGCTCGTCAAGAATAAACATGTTCAGTATCCAAGTTCTTCCTAGGGTGGAAATAGCATGTCTGTTTTCTTTTAAATCTTTGCACCTGAGTCTCAGCACACCTGCTCCTCCTACTAAATTACAAATCTCCATGGACAAGAGTCTTCCTTTCAGAAGGGAATGGGAGACGTCTCTATTCAGCAAAAGAAATACTTGCCAAAGGGCAAGGTAGTGTTGTACAAATTAGCACCACAGGCTTTGAAATCAGAAAAGTGAGTACAGAATCTGGCACTGACCCTTACTAAAGGCTGTGATATTAGGCAGCTATTTACTCCCTGTATGTACTTTAATTTCTTCATCCATGAAATGGCAATAATAGCTTTCCTCACAGAGCTGTTATAAGGTTATAAGGGGGGGGGTCAAATGTATGCTTACTCATCCTCAGAAAACTAGTTTCTTTTTTTTTTTTTTTTTTGAGACAGAGTCTCCCTCTATAGCCCAGGCTGGTATTGGCTCACTGCAACTTCCGCCTCTTGGGTTCAAGCGATTCTCTTGCCTCAGCCTCCCGAGTAGCTGGGATTACAGGCATGTGCCAACACACCCAACTAATTTTTTTATTTTTAGTAGAGACAGGTTTTCACCATGTTGGCCAGGCTGGTCTTGAACTCCTTACCTCAGTGATCTACCTGCCTAGACCTCCCAAAGTACTGGGATTACAGGCATGAGCAACCATACCCAGCCAATGTTACCTTTTTTAAAGAAGAAGAAGAAAGCATTAGTTCCCCCATGAAGCAGATGGGGAAACTGAAGCCCATGGATGAATAATTGGCTTTTTTTTTTGAGACAGAGACTGGCTATGTTGCCCAGGCTGGAGTGCAGTGGCACGATCTCGGCTCACTGCAACCTCCTTTTAATAAAAGATGAATTTCGGCCAGGCGCGGTGGCTCACGCCTGTAATCCCAGCACTTTGGGAGGCCGAGGCGGGCGGATCACCTGAGGTCAGGAGTTCGAGACCAGCTTTGCCAACATGGCAAAACTCTGTCTCTACTAAAAAATGCAAAAATTAGCCGGCTGTGGTGGCGGGTGCCTGTAATCTCAGATACTTGGGAGGCTGAGGCAGGAGAATCGCTTGAACCTGGGAGGTGGAGGTTGCAGTGAGCTGAGATCACGCCACTGCACTCCAGCCTGGGCAAGAGAGCAAGACCGTCTCAAAAAAAAAAAAAGAAAAAATTAGCCAGGCTTGGTGGGACACACCTGTAATCCCAGCTACTCGGGAGGCTGAGCTGAACCTGGGAGGTGGAGGTTGCAGTAAGCTGAGATCGCACCACTGCACTCAAGCCTGGGCGGGAAAGCGAGACTCCGCCTCAAAAAAAAAAAAAAAAAAAAAAAAAAGACCTTAATCATCTGCTTATACTAAATCCCCTTCAACATGTACTGTGTTATTCTGTACTCACTAATATGGAGTTGAAAATGGTTTATATTATCATTCCATGGTTGTGTGGCAGATCATGTTTTCATTTTATTACATATTTCTTCCAAAATGTCTAGTGCCCAACTCACAGCAGATGTTTGGTGAAGCCCATTAGCTTACTGGTTAATAGTAAAAGTGCATTTCTGGCTTCATATTCATATACCCAGATGTGTATTTTGGAGGAAAATCTAGTTTATAAGGTCACAGACACAGCAGGAAAACAAAAAGAACCTTTTATTTTGACTATGATCATTCTTCTAAAGGAGATCTTAGAAGAACAAATGAAAATGTGAAAACAAGAGTACAAACTCAACATGCAGAGCTATCTGTATGATAAGAACCAGTTGCCAGGCACCTGAAAATGTCAAGTCCTCTGAACCTGAAAGGATTGTGAGAAGAGTAAAGAGAGTGGGCAAGGATGTGTGTCAAATGGCATAAGATAAAACCGTATCAGAGGGAGCTTCATCATACTCTCTGAGGACAGTACCCAGTGAGAAACCTCAGACTCTCAATTTCTAACCTGCCGGGGAAAAAAAGCCTGAACCTTCCTAATTCCTTCTCCCCCTCACTAAGATAGTAGGCTGCTGAAGAATTAAAAGACACCTACAGAATGTATCCTAGGAGAAGGTTCTATTCTGAGAGCCCTAGAGAATAGGCTGGACTGAGAAGTAATTTCTACTGTCCAGCCTCTTAGTTGAACAGATCCAGCAGTGGGAAGGCAAATTTCTCCTTCCTACTCTTCAAATAGGATCGAAGACCATTTATAGCCCTGCTGCAAAGCTGACACTAACTTTTTTAACAATGAAGTACCATCCCAGGACAGGGGGTGGTGCTGTACTGGGCCGATCCTCAATCTCAAGTTCAAAGAAAACGAGCCCTGTGAAGAAAGGGTCCAACTGGTGTGGAGGATGGGAGAGACCTATAACCTACACAGCACTCTGCCTTAAATGATACTCTAATTATGTACTCTTGCTTACCTTGCAATATGTCCAGAGTAAGCCTTCCTTCCCTGGAAGCATAAGTATATCTGCTATTACAATAGGAGGTCTGTCAAGACTTGAAATTCAAAGGGAGTAATTGTTCATTAGGTTCACAGTGCATAGAACACCATGCCAGATACAACGGCTGTTAGGACTAGTTCTGAGTTGAAGCAGGCAGCCTACATACTTGGAGGAAACTAAGGACCACCACCACATCCTTTCTAACATATATACTCTGTCCTCTTCCCTTTACTACCTCTTTTCTCTCTCATCTATTTCTCCTCTTTCTCATAGTTCAGACCTGTGGCATCTGTATCCTGATCTTTTAATAATACAGTTCTCCATTAGGGTATCTCTACAGAATCAATGTTTGTATATACAAAAGGAAAGAGCTAACATTACAGAGCACTCTCTATGTGGCAAATGTGGTGTTAAGTATTTTAACCCATATTATCTCAACTGTTACCACCTAATCCAAGATTAATGTCCATAGTTACACATGTGGAAACCAAAATTTGGAAAGAGTGAGAAGTCTGTAGTTGTTTGTTCTATATTCATCTCTTCTCACAAAACTTAAAATAGTCTAGTTCTTGACTTTTTTCTCATGTGGTCTTTATTTATTATTATTGTTATTATTATTTTTTTTGAGATGGAATCTTGCTCTGTCGCCCAGGCTGGAGTGCAGTGGCGCAATCTCGGCTCACTGCAAGCTCCGCCTCCCGGGTTCAAGCCATTCTCCTGCCTCAGCCTCCCGAGTAGCTGGGACTACAGGTGCCCGCCACCATGCCTGGCTAGTATTTTTAGTAGAGACAGGGTTTCACTGTGTTAGCCAGGATGGTCTCGATCTCCTGACCTTGTGACCTGCCCACCTTGGCCTCCCAAAGTGCTGGGATTACAGGCGTGAGCCACCGCACCAGGCCCCTATTATTATTATTATTTTTTTTTTTTCTGAGACTGAGTTTTGCTCTTGTTGCCCAGGCTGGAGTGCAATGGCGCAATCTCGGCTCACCGCAACCTCCACCTCCCAGGTTCAAGCGATTCTCCTGCCTCAGCCTCCCTAGTAGCTGAGATTACAGGCATGCACCACCATGCCTGGCTAATTTTGTATTTTTAGTAGACAGGGTTTCTCCATGTTGGTCAGGCTGGTCTCAAACTCCTGACCTCAGGTGATCCACCTGCCTTGGCCTCCCAAAGTGCTAGGATTACAGGCGTGAGCCACCACGCCCGGCCTGGGCCCCTATTATTTTTGAGACAGAGTTTCACTCTGTTGCCCAGGCTGGAGTGCAGTGGCGGAATCCCGGCTCACTGCAACCTACGCCTCCAAGGTTCAAGCATTTCTCCTGCCTCAGCCTCCCGAGTAGCTGGGATTACAGGTGCAAGCCACCACACCCAGCTCATTTTTGTATTTTTAGTAGAGACAGGGTTTCACCATGTTGGCTAGGCTGGTCTTGAACTCCTGACCTCAAGTGATCCACCCACCTTGGCCTCCCAAAGTGCTGGGATTACAGGTGTGAGTCAACGTGCCCAGTCCTCATGTGGCCTATTAATTTGTCTAACCAACAGTTTGGGGGAAGGGAGGCATGGAAAGAGCCAGAATAGAGGACAAAAAAAGTCTTCTTTATGAGCCTGAACTTTAAATGGTTCAGGTATTTGTATCAAAGACCACAATGTATCATTTTAGCTACAACCAGCCCTTCAACGATAGTGAGGGAAAAAAAAAAAGAATGTGAAATTCAGTGCTTTGAGAATATTATTTCCACCACCATTTAGGTGAATATTCTATTAACCAACAATGTTTACTTGGGGAAGGTACTCAAACACATCCAACATACCTTAATTTATTCAAAGTATATAAATTAAGCAATCTGTTCATATTAATTATCTCTAAGATTTAAAACATTAACCTATTCAATGATCTCGCCAAAACACTGTTAAATCTATATAATGTGAGGAATTCAGTGGGGATTCTTTAAAAATGGTTATATTTGGGGGCAGGAACAACCAATTTTATTTCATTTAGAATTAAGATATCAACAAGTTATTTTTAAGTAAACAGTTTTTAAAATGTCCAAACACTACAGCAGAAGTTTGCAAGCTCACTGACCTTCAAACAAGGGTTATGGTTATGAGGGTTATCTGACCAAGTGTTCATTGGATAAGAAACACATAAGGTTTCCTAGTGAAGATAAGTGAAGACATTTTAACACCCACAGACACAACCTAACCCAAATTAACACTGTCCATTCCTTTGTCACATTCACCACTGTCCCTGGCTAGCACAGGCTCTAGTTATGATTTTATTAACATTACCTTAAAACTATAAGGTGTCCAACATTATTTCTGAGGCCACCTCTTGCCTGCTCAGAAAACACCAAGGGAAAAAACAACCAATAATTCTCCCCCTTTTTCCAACATACGTTGACCTGTTTTAGTTCCTTATTCAAGATACCCTCAACCACAGTATTGGTTTATGTATACATTTGTCCTTCATAAGCCAACTGTGGAGCATATACCAGGAGCAATCATGAACAGGGAAGAACTACCATCAACTTTAAGTGGGGCCTATGTCTACCAAAATAATTAACTGGTTATTTTACTAGCACACACAAACTAACATTCGACCAGGCTTATCTGAAACCAAATAAGCATGTTCTACCCAAATCAAAAATCAAGTTTATGTGTGACACTCCTTTCAACTCAGAAGATTAAGTATGATGCTGGTTACAAAACAGAATGCTATGAAGTTCCCCATTTTAGTAATGTGGCCTCTATAAATGCTCTTCTACACACGTGTAACATAAAATAGAATCTGTTATAGCTCAGACTACATTTTAAGGAAATCTAGTTTTGTATTTTCTGAAAATAAAATATACCCATTATAGCACATTGGTTTAAGTTCTGAACTCTGCTACATTTTTGCTGTGACATCTTGGACAAATTATCTCTTAGCCTCAGGTGCCTTGTCTACCAAATGGTGGCAATACTTGTGAGGATTAAATGACTTAATAATGTACTGTAGCACAGTCTATAATATAGTATGTGCTTAATAAATTATTTTGCCAACATACTTCCCTTTATTCAGATGTAGTTAGTGAGCCCATTTTGCAGGTGGTTCCTTTTTCAAGCTACATTAAATTTGGGTCATATATCAAGAGATAACCACATAGGATTATCTTAATTTCAAAATCACTCTTATTCTAGCATATTTTAATAACTACTGTTAAAAACAAATCCATGATTCCTATGCCTAGAATTCTACACTGCTAAGGGGAGGAAAGGGCTTTTTCATTTCCAAAACAATACTGTTACTCAACCACTAAGTCTCACTACCTTGTCCTAATAACCATGCCTGAAAACCTCAGTTTCCTCCTGAAAACCAGAGTATCCCCAAAACATCAGCAAATACAGATTCATTTTGCCATCCACTTAAGTCTTTAAAGCCCATTACAATTCTTCTAAAGATATTTTATCACTAGGTAAAGTAGGAATAACATTTTCCACTGTACCCTATCTATGAAAATCTAGAGTCTGACTTTAACACAAGTTGGCAATGAAAATATTCCCACCTCCAAAAACTGGTATATACTGGGGAATCTTCTGACTCCCTTACCAATACTCAGAGATGGCCAAGATTTTAAATTTCCATGGGATCAAGATGCAACCAAATCCTGATTAAAAGCAAAGTAGGACATGATTATTAACCACAATGTGTAGCGGAAGGTCCTCCAGCTATTTTAGACAGCTTAATCATGTCTGAAATATCCAAACTCAACAACTTGAAATACAAGTTGTGTCTTATAACTTCATTTTTAGCATGCTTTAAACTTTACTGAACTTTGCTAAACAAAGAGGTAAAGCCTTCAAAAGCCTTAAAGAGGCGCTTAAAAGTTTCTAGTGGCTAGGTAACATGGGTAGAACAAATTTAAGAATGAGTTTCCTTCATTAAGCAGTAGAAAGGAATGCTGTTACTTATTAAGCAATGTCATCTTCAATGTTACTTCATTCAAACAGGCAAATTATAGTCATGATTTAATTTTTTGGACTGTTTCAGAGAATATAACGTATGCAAATTAAAATGTGTAAACCTGCCTGCTACTGAAAGCAGTAAGAACAAATCCAGAGGTCACATCCACCTATATACAATACTGCAACAACAGCAATCTATAAAATGCAATACTGGATTGAAGGCTTCAAGTAACAAAACAAGATCCTACTGAAACAAAAGAACCTGGCTAATTCTTGGTAGTGCAACATAATGGGTCGTGACCTATGTTACCCTTTCTGTACAGTATTCTCACATTTTGGGAATAACTGGTCACTCTATCATACGGCACAAGTTCCTGTAAGATCATTAAGAAGGTCTGGATATTCTATTGAATTCAAAGAAAAACCTAAGGACTAACAAGCCGCTGTCTTCGATTCATATTAAACTAACGTTTCTCCAGTAAACCGAAGGAGTGAGCACAAGCCCGTCACTGAATGGGGCCAAACTTTTAGAAGCCTCATTCCAAACAGAACTGTCCCTAATTTATTAAGAACAAAACACTAGTAAAACCAACCTGTGAATTGGGCCTTCAGTACAATTAAGCACATCCTGTTTCATATAACAGTAATAATGAAGAGCTTGGAGGGGCTGTCATTCTAAAATTGCAAATCTACCCATAAATGACAATCCTGGGCTGGAAACCAGAATGTCAAATTCTTGTGCTGAAATCAACTTTTCACATGGCCTGAGGCAGGCCATTCTACTATTCTAAGAATGCTCAGACATACAAGTATGTAATAATGTTCCAAACACTTTTTTTTGGGGGGGGGGGCACTTCCTGTAAGTAAAAAGTTTCTATGACTGGGAAAGGAACAAAATAAAGTAATAAAAGAAACAGGAATACCCCTGGCACACCTTCCTCAAACGAACAACGTTAAAAAAAAAAGAAAACACACACACACAGCTAATTTTAATCTAGCCTACTCTCCCCCCAATGGACACACCTACAGTTTCTTATCAAAATGTACAAGACTCAAAGCCCATTTAATTCAATTATGAATCTCACTCAACAAGCATCAAGCACATCAGGCGCCTCTCTACAGCGATATCCCCACAAGTTTCAGAGAAATGCCAGCAGGGACTCTGTAGTTATGATTCCTATCAAACGGCCCCCTAACCCGTATTTCTCCTGGACATACACATGCAGATTCATTAACCAAAACCTACCCAGCACCCCTCACATCGCGCGTACGTTGGCATTTTCAGTTTATAGGTGGGTCCTGGAACAGCTAAAACCAGGAAGCTCCGGGGTAATTAGAGGACTTGGGAGAAGTCATCTTGGGACAGGTGGAAGACCCAGAGAAATCAGGAATCAGAAAGAAGCTGTCCCTGGCCACCTCTGCTTCCCGTCCCATCCAAACTTCACCCACCCGGGTCTCAGAAGCCCAGAAGGGAGAGGCCATTTTAATGAGGCCTGGCTGAGAAATGAAGGGAGAAGAGGAAATCAGGGAAGGGCCCTGGGAAAGGAAGGCCGAACACTTTGCCACAATAGCACCCGAGTCGGGTGGCAGCACCTGGAGCCCGAAGAGGGAGGACCTGGACTTAAGGGCCCGGGAGAGGTGCAAAAGTAGCGGTGGCCTACCACGAGGGGGGCCGAGTGATCTAAACCGGGGAGCGCGGGCCCCTTACCCCCATGCGGGGAAAGGACCCCTTCTCGGGCCAACCGCGCCGACCCTCGCCCCTGGGTCAGGGGCTACTACCCAGAGATCCAGAAGGCGGGAGTTGGCTAGTGCCTGGTTCTCCTCATCCGGCCATGCGGCGCGGGGGCGTCCATCCTGAGGGGTCCGGGAACCAAGAGGGCACGGAGGGTGCCGGACGCGGCGCTCACCCGCGGGCCGCCTCCAAGCTCTTAATGAGCTTCTTGATCTTCCAGATCTCCACGTTCCTGTCGGCAGCACTGGGGTCGTCCGCCATCTTCTCGCCTCCTCCTCCCTAGAGCGGCCCGGCGGGGCCCGGAGACACCAAGACCACAGAGTTAGCGCCGCCGCTGGGGCAGAGCGGCCCCCTTCCTCGCCATCCCCCAGAGGCCCTCTCCTCCCGTCCGGTGCAGCTCGCCACAAAGGTCACCGGCCTTTCCCTCCCTGTGCCTTACCTAAGGGCCCAGTCCTGGGCGGCAGCGGCTGCTCCTCCCCGGCGGCGGCTCCGCGGCGGCGGCGGCTCTGACGTAGGACACCGGCTCCCTCTCTCCAGGCAGCTGCATGTGTTGCAATCCGCTCACATGGGGCCTGTGACATCACTTCCTCCGCCAGGGGCGGAGTGGAAGGCGGCAGGCGGAAGGGAGGGGGCCGGTGCGAGTGAGGAGAAGCTGGGCGTCCGCCGCGACTTCTCATTGGCTCTCTGCCCCGCAGCCTACAATGAGCCCGCCGATTGGCTGCAGCTGGGTCCGCGCCGCCTTGTGAGGTAAGGCTGGGGGGTGGGAGGTGCCACCTTTCTTCCGGCCCGGCAAGGCGAGAGGAGGAAGCGGGCGGAAGCCGGTGGCTCTCGCGAGTTTACTGAGAGCCCCCGTCAGGCTCGAATGGGGGTGGTTCTTAAAGAGAGAGGACCGGGGTCGTCGTCTTTTCAGTCCATTCTCCTTGAATAGGGTGGACATCTGAGGCTTTGCGACTCGAAGCTAGGCACTTGGGCCCGACGCGCGGTTTGAACGGTGCTTGAGAAGCCGCGAAGAAGCGCCTCGCGCTCAGCGGCTTCTTCGCTGACGAAGTGCTGCGGTCTGCGTGCGTCATGGCTGCACGGAATAGTGTGGAGGAGTCCTGGCCAGTAGGTCTGGATGAGGAACCTGCCTCCGGGCGGTCCGGGACCCTCACCTGCAGGGGCGAAAGAGGCCTGTTTTCTCTCGCCCCAGAGCTAGGACGGGCTCACTTTGGACTTAGAACTTTATGGGGTGGAAGACAGCGGGGGCTGCCTGAGCTTGGAGACCTGAGGTATCTGGTCCCATGTATGATTTGGCCTGAGCCGTTGAGAATGGGGGTGGAGAGAGTTGAAACAAAATGGGCATCCACATACGGTTAGAACTTTATCTTTTTGAGTTAGGATTTTTAGGTGGCTACTTTGTCCCCCCTCACCTCGTCTGGGTTCAAATATTGAGCCCAGACCGTGTGCTGGACCCTGTTTTCCTGGGGATACAGAGGTGAACCAAACAGATGACAGTACTTACCCTTATGGAGCTTATAGTCGATTGGGTTTTTAAGTTTGTGATTTTATACTTTTTGTAATAAAATAATTACACAAATGCTTAAGTACTTCAGGGTGCTCTGAGAGTGTATGGCGGGGACCCAGCTCTGAAATGAGACCCAAAGGATGATTAAGAGTTTGTCAGGAGGAAACAGAATACAGTTGAGAACTACAGAAACGCCAGTGTGCTGGCACAAGGTCAGGGACGGGGAGAGTGGTTTGAGGGAGCAGCAGGGGAAGAGGTCATGTAGGGTCTTTTAAGCCAGATTCAGAAGTTTGGTTTCTTTCAAGAACAGTGGGTAGTTTAAAGGGTTTAGAGCCCTGGTGTGGACTGGAGAGAGTACAGGAGAAGCCCAGAGACCATTTTGGCTGCTTCATTATCATGTGAGAGATGATTTTCGCTTACATTAGGGTGGTGACAGTGCAGATAGAAGTGAATGAAGGGCCTGGTGCAGTGGCCCACGGCTGTAATCCCAGCACTTTGGGAGGCCAAAGGGGAGGATCGCTTGAGCCCAGGAGTTTGCGAGCAGCCTGGGCAACATGGCAAGATTCCGTCTCTACAAAATTACAAAATATTAGCCTGGTGTGGTGGCCCGCGCCTGTAGTCCCAGCTGCTTGGGAGGCTGAGGTGGGAGAAACCCTTGAGCCGAGGAATTCGAGGCTGCAGTGAGCTGAGATCACACCACTACACTCCAGCCTGGGTGACAGAGCGAGACCTTGTCTCGAGGAAAAAAAAAAAGTGAATAGGACTGGATGATGGATTGGTTGAGGAAAACCAAGAATGGTTCCCAGAGTACTGAAGTGGTGACATTTACTGAGGTGGGAAAGGTGAGGAGTAGGTGTTGGGGGATGATTGAGAATTTCATCTTGGGCCTGTTAAGTTTGAGATTGCTTATGAGACATGTAAGTAGGGATGTCCGTCATGCGCTTTCATTTGTATGGTTTTTGAATACTTTTTGCATGTGTTATAAACTGTGTCCACACTTTGAAGATGGGGGTATGACCTCCATTTCATACATGGGGAAACTGAGGCAAAGAAAAGTGAAAGGGATCTGCTCAGAGTCCACAGCTAGTTTATGGCTTCCCGACTCCATTTTTGGAGTCCAGTGTATTATACAGTGACCCCATTACCTGTATTTTCATAGGGTGGGGACACGGTCATACTTCTGTCCCCCAGGAAATGAATCTCAGGTTGGAACCTCTTCTTTGGGTTCCATTTTGTAGTTTTTGGCATATGTTTATTTGTTATATAATATTGTACTCCTGCTGTGTGTGTGTCATTCACTGTGTTTAGTAGTGAACGGAGGGGTCTTCTTAGTCATAAACACTGCTTACTGACTAGGAATCAACTGTGTCCAAGGTTTTCCTTCATTCCTCTTGCCCTGGTTCCTCCTTTCTATATTAGATTGCCCTACTCTACCCTTCCTGTTCTTTTTTTTTTTTTTTTTAAAGACGGAGTCTCCCTTTGTCGCCCAGGTTGGAGTGCAGTGGCACGATCTTGGCTCACTGCAACCTCCACATCCCGGGTTCAAGCGATTCTTCTGCGGCAGCCTCCTGAGTAGCTGGGACTACAGGCGGGTGCCACCATGCCCAGCTAATTTTTTGTATTTTTATTAGAGTCGGGGTTTCACCGTGTTAGCCAGGATGGTCTCGATCTCCTGACCTCGTGATCTGCCTGCCTCGGCCTCCCAAAGTGCTGGGATTACAGGCGTGAACCACCATGCCGGGCCAGTTTTTGTATTTTTTATTTTTTATTTTTTTTTTAGCAGAGACAGGGTTTCACCATGTTGGCCAGGCTGATCTTGAATTCCTGACCTCAGGTGATCCACCTGCCTCCGCTTCCCAAAGTGCTGGGATTACATGCGTGAGCCACCACACCTGGCCTCCTCTTCCTTTTGATGTTTGTGTTTACAGCATTGCTTCAGGTCCATGCTTGAAGGCTTTCTTCTGTGTGATTCAGGCTGAAGTAAGCATGACGACATCCCAAGTAGGATTGCTGTTTTCAGCCTCTGAATTCTTAAAACTTATTTCTTAGACAATTGCAGGCCCAGGTAGCCCCAAAAGCTCCTTGCCTAGTTGCTGCAAATTCACCATCTCTGCATTTAGAATTAGAAATCAGTGCATTAGAGGCAAAGGCTGGGATAACTATCTACGTGAAGAGGTTTGGGATGTATGAAGCACGGATGGTAGTGCCTGCATCAAGGCTTTTTAAATGGGACCATGACGATTCATTGTTGAGGAATGTTCTGTGATATAAAAGTGATACAGATTTTTCAAACTGCTAAATGGTGAGAACAAAATATATAACCTCTCTAGGCACACAGATTCTCTGAAAAATAAAGGAATTGTTCTTTATGATCTCAGAACTTCCTCCTCAGCTCAAACATTATGTAACAAAGTTAAATATTGGGATATAGGTGATGTTCCTACCTAATTAGGTGGGAGTAGGCAAGTAAGTTTTTGTTTCATTTTCTTTTTTTTTTTTGAGGCAGGGTCTCACTGTTGCCCAGGCTGGAGTACAGTGGTACGATAATAACTCACTGCAACCTTGACCCCAGGACTTAAGCGATCCTTCCACCTCAGCCTCCCTAGTAGCTGGGACCACAGGCGTGGGCCATGATGCCTGGCTAATTTTTGTATTTTTAGTAGAGATGGGGGTTTCACCATGTTGCCCAGGCTGATCTCGAACTCCTGACCCCACGTGACCCACCTGCCTCAGCCTCCCTAGTAGCTGGGACCACAGGCGCAGGCCATGATGCCTGGCTAATTTTTGTATGTTTAGTAGAGATAGGGGTTTCACCATGTTGCCCAGGCTGATCTCGAACTCCTGACCTCACGTGACCCACCTGCCTCAGCCTCCCAAAGTGTTGGGATTACAGGCCTGTTATAAGTTTTGATGTTGAAAGCACAAATAAGTCTTTGTGCTTAGAGAGAACTGGTCTCTACAAAAACAAGAAAAAAAAATCAGCCAGGCACAGCAGCATGTGCCCCTAGTGCCAGCTACTGAGGAGGCTGAGGCAGGAAGATCACCGGAGCCCAGGAGTTTGAGGTTACAGTGAGCTGTGATCACTGCACTCCAGCCTGGGTAACAGAGCAAGACCCTTTCTCAAAAAAAAAAAAAAAAAAAAGCTACAGAATGAGGTTATTTGTCACTAATGTGAAGATAAGTTTAAGAGTAACGAAGATAGACCACACACAGTGACTGATGCCTGTAATCCTAGGACCTTGGGAGGCCGAAGCAGGAGGATTGCTTGAACTCAGGAGTTGGAGTACAGCCTGAGCAACCTAGTGAGACCTCATCTATACTACAAATTAAAAAAAAATTTAGCTGGGCATGGTGGTGCACACCTAAGTCGTCCCTAGTAGTAGTCCCTAGCTACTCAGGAGGATCACTGGAGTTCAGGAAAAAAAAAAAAAAGAGTAGCCAAGATGAAGGCAGGGAAGGGATGGTTGTGGTAAGATTTGCTAAAGGGCTGCCTTTGACTCTTCTGGAAGTCAGTGTGCTTGTTAGAGGAAAGTTTTCTCTTTTTTTTTTTTTTTTGATACGTAGTCTCGCTCTGTCACCCAGGCTAGAGTCAGTGGCGCAATCTCAGTTAACTGCAACCTCCGCCTCCCGGGTTCAAGGGAGTGATTCTCCTGCCTCAGCCTCCTGAATCGCTAGGACTACAGGCGTGCACCACCATGCCCGGCTAATTTTTGTATTTTTAGTAGAGACGGGGTTTCACCATATTGGCCAGGCTGGTCTTGAACTCCTGACCTTGTGATCCACCTGCCTCAGCCTCCCAAAGTGCTGGGATTACAGGTGTGAGCCACTGCGTCCGGCCAGGATATCTTATAAGTTAAAGTAAATGAAGACCTAAGCTGTAGTAGTACAACATAAAATAAGATTTAAGGTTTTTATAAATTGACCTAGGACAAGTTGTTTATGGAGTGCAGTGTGTGTGAAAGGGACTTGGAATGGGCAAGTGTAAGATATCCTTTGTTCCCCTGTGGACACCTAGTGGTGAAATGTAATTCTTCAGTTGAAGAGGGGACTGCAGCTAAGGAATGACAGTTTCCTCTCTAGAGGATCAGACATCTCTACATGAATTTGTAGTGTTGTTAAATTAAGCACACACTGGCCATTAATGCTTTACTGTGTAATGATTTCCTCCTTTAAGAAAATAAGGCCCACGGAGAACTAAAAGTTAATGTTTTTCTCATTCTCTCAGTGTAAAAAAAGGTGTGTGTGTGTGTGTGTGTGTGTGTGTGTGTGTGTGTGTGAGTGAGTGACAGAATACCTGTTCTAGGGAGAGCTCATTAGCTGGGGTCTATCTCTAGCATATAAGAGAGTATTTATAGGGAGAGCCTGAATCCTGCCCTTGGCCCACCTGAAGAGGCAAGTGTTTAATGTTGCCAGTTGCCAGTGGTGCCTTGTTTGACTCAATAGAGACACTTGTAGAATAGCTAGACAAATGTTAATCTTTTAGTTCAATTCCATAAATATTTATTGCATGCCACTTTTTTGGTCCAGCACTGGGACAAGTGCTGAAAATTTTTAGATGTAATTCAGTCCTTATATTTATGGTCTTTTGTGGGGGTGCAGGGGAGACATAGGGTTGTTAAACAAGTAAGATAACAGATAAAATAAATAGTTGTTTCTTGGACTGAAGCAGAAATGAACAAGGTGAGCCTGGAACATCTTGTTATATCAGTAAGCAAAGAAAGTAACATGGACTACTGGGGTTTTGTCAAAACGACTTAAGGGCCAACAGGAAGAGGCTCTCAGGCCAAGGTTAGAACAATTTGAGTATCACTAAGAAAGGTTGCAATGAAGTGAAACATAAAAAGTCGAAATCCATGAGTTCATGATGACACCCAAGAAACCTAATTTCCCCACTTTTGATTATGGAATTAATTCTGAAAACTAGTAAATTAAGGAAAAGAGCTAAACATTTAACTGGTCTTCCCTTATATGTAGGTACATTGCAGTGTAACTTGGTACTTGTTAAAAGGGGAATTTTCTCACTATAGAGGTATTCCAATAAAAATGAAAAGACAGAAGTAAAATAATATACCTTTAATCAAATTAGAGATCTAGGTAATGATCATCAGTGGCTACTAACATGACAAAAGAGCCAACCGAAATTATGTTTGGAATTCATATAATATTTTAAATTCTGATGGAAATACACATCACCTGTTGTAGAAAAATGAAACAGGCTGGGCGAAAGGCTCATGCTTGTAATCCCAGTGCTTTGGGAGGCCAAGGTGGGAAGATCACTTGGCTCAAGGAGTTTGAGACCAGCCCGAACAATATACTTAGCAAGAGTGCCATTTCTACAAAAATCATTTTAAATTAGCTGTGTGTGTGGTGGCGAGCACCTGTATGTAGTCCTAGCTGCTTGGGAGGGTGAGGCAGGAGGATTGCTTGAGCTCAGGAGTTTGAGGTTACAGTGAGCTATGATAGCACCACCCACTCCAGCCTGGGGAACAGAGTGAGATCCTATGTCAAAAAAACTGAACTTGAATTGGATTAAATGGGACGAAGGAATACATTAAATTACATCACAGGGAAGCAATTAGTAAAATCTAGAATGTAGGAGACGCTACGGGACCAGTGGTCCAGTTTCTAAAATAAATTGCAAAGGGGAAAAAAGGCAGGGAAGCCTAAATTGAAAGGAACTTGGACATGTCAAACTATGTGGGTGTGACGCTTGGTTCCTGACTCAGATCAACTTTAAAGTTATGAGACTATTGGGAAAAGCATATTCTTGTTTGCTATAAAGATGTTAAAAGGTGTGAAAATTATATATATATATATATTTATTATTATTATTATTTTGTTTTGTTTGAGACGGAGTCTCGCACTCTTGCCCAGGCTGGAGTGCAGTGGCGCGATCTCAACTCAATGCAAGCTCCGCCTCCCGGGTTCACGCCATTCTCCTGCCTCAGCCTCCCGAGTAGCTGGGACTACAGGTGCCCGCCACCACGCCCGGCTAATTTTTTGTATTTTTAGTAGAGATGGGGTTTCACCGTGTTAGCCAGGATGGTCTTGATCTCCTGACCTTGTGATCCACCCACCTTGGCCTCCCAAAGTGCTGGGATTACAGGCGTGAGCCACAGAGCCTGGCCAACAATGATATGTTTTGTAGTATAATCCTTTTAGAAGTACATACTTTCGGCCGGGCGTGGTAGCTCACGCCTGTAATCCCAGCACTTTGGGAGGCCGAGGCGGGCGGATCATGAGGTCAGGAGATTGAGACCCTTCTGGCTAACACGATGAAACCCGTCTCTACTAAAAAATACAAAAAAAAAAAAAAAAAAATTAGCCGGGCATGGTGGCGGGCGCTTGTAGTCACAGCTACTCGGGAGGCTGAGGGAGGAGAATGGCGTGAACCCGGGAGGTGGAGCTTGCAGTGAGCTGAGATTGCGCCACTGCATTCCAGCCTGGGCAACAGAGCGAGACTCTGTCTCAAAAAAAAAAAAAAGTATATACTTTGAGTCAAATTATGAATTCTAGCATTTGCTTCAAAATAATCCAGAAGGTAGGGAAAAATGTAATAAAAGAGATGAAGGCCAGGCATGGTGGGAGGCTGAGGTGGATGGATCACTTGAGCTCAAGAGTTTGAGACCAGCCTGGCCAACATGGCAAAACCCTGTCTCTACTAAAAATACAGTTAACCAGGCGTGGTGGTACATGCCTGTAACCCCAGCTAATACTCAGGAGGCTGAGGCAGGAGAATCGCTTGAACCCAGGAGGCAGAGGTTGCAGTGAGCTGAGATTGTGCCACTGCACTCCAGTCTGGGTGACAGAGCAAGACTCCATCTCAAAAAAGAACAAAGAACAAAAAGATGAAGTTGCTAAATGGAACATTAAGTAATTAAAAAATAAGAGCGTAGGGAAGGGTGTGGTGGCTCATGCCTGTAATCCCAGCACTTTGGGAGGCCGAGACGTGTGGATCGCCTGAGCTCAGGAGTTTGACACCAGCCTGGGCAACACAGTAAAACCCCATCTCTACTAAAAATACAAAAAATTTGCCGGGCTTGGCAGCGTGTGCCTGCAGTCTCAGCTACTTGGGAGGCTGAGGCAGGAGAATCGCTTGAACCTGGGAGGCGGAGGATGCAGTGAGCCGAGATCGTGCCACTGCATTTCAGCCTGGGCAACAAAGTGAGACTCCAGCTCAAAAAGAAAAAAAAAAAAAAAGCGTAAGAATTTGAGTGAAATGATCTGTGTGAGCTGAGTGGGGAAGGTATACCAAGGAGGTGGATGGTAGACCAAGGATGCTAAATAAATGCACAGGATTGAGGGGATGGCAAATGGCAAAGGGGTGACTGGTATGGTACGACTTGAAGCCATTTAAGCTAGTAAACTTACCATATAATGGTTAACCCTCTTTGGGACAGACTCCAAGGAACCAGTGAAAGCGATGGACCATTTTCCTAAAAATAATCAATACTCACAATCTTGCACTTTATACTCAGTCCCTTATGGACTCCCCACCCCACAACCCCATCACCTTTGACCCTAATCTTCACTTTCTCAGTCAGGGGCTTCAACAATCTGTTTAAGAGCCTGTGAGTTTGGTGGAACATTTTACTTTCCCATTCTTGATTGCAGGGCTGATGCCTACCTTAAAGGCTGGTTTGATGTTCAGCTGCGGTCTTTAGTGTCAAGACAGATTACCTGACCTGCTGTAGCAGAAATGGCTCCTAATAGATTTAACTGTAGGAAATTGCTGATATTCAATTGTTTATCTACTCAAATGCCTGTTTCAGCAATTCTGTAATTGCTAAAGCACAGCTCCTGCATGCTGTTCAGAGTGCTGTAGGTCGCCCTATAGCTCCTTTATCTGTTCCCAGGGCTTTCACTCATTTTGTATTCTGATACTAGAGGTGGGGAAAAGGAGAAGACAAAGCCCTTACAAAGTGGACTTATGAGCCGGGCACAGTGGCTCATGCCTGTAATCCCAGCATTTAGGAGGCCAAGGCGGCTGATCACGAGGTCAGGAGTTCGAGACCAGCCTGACCAACATGGTGAAACCCCATCTCTACTAAAAATTCAAAACTTAGCCGGGTGTGGTGGCATGCACCTGTAATCCCAGCTACTCAGGAGGCTGAGGCAGGAAAATCGCTTGAATCCGGGAGATGGAGGCTGCAGTGAGCTGAGATCATGCCACTGCACTCCAGCCTGGGTGACAGAGAGAGACTCTGTCTCAAAACAAAAACAAAACAAAAAAACCTGGCCTTATGACTGGAGAATAGAGTTGCAATGGTATCTGAAATGGTGAAGGGTCTCTTGAATATTGGTTATTTCCAAAATTTGAATTGTTTCTTCATACCCAATCTTCTCATGCAGTTTGTAAGAACTTGCTTTTATTTCTGCTGCTCCATCTTGCTTGTAGTCACTACTATAAATGTTACGTGGATCAAAGAAATGGAATGTCTTGATTTCCCTGAGAATTGACACATTATGTACACATGTATGTAGTATTTCTACTGATAATGTATACCTCACTCAACACAAATAATCAGGCTGGGCACCGTGTCTCATGCTTGTCATCCCACCACTTTGGGAGGCTGAGGTGGGAAGATTGCTTGAGGTCAGGAGTGTGAGATCCTGTCTCTCCCCCCCTCAAAAAAAAAAAAAAAAAAAAAAAAATAGCCTGGCACGGTAGCTTGCACCTGTGGTCCCAACCACTCCATAGGCTGAGGTGAGAGGCTCACTTGAGCTCGAGAGGTGAGCCAGGTGTGGTGGTGTGCACCTGTAGTCCTAACTACTTGGGAGGCTAAGGCAGGAGGAGTGCTTGAGCCCAGGAGTTCGAGGTTGCAGTGAGCTATGAATGCACCACTGCACTATAGCCTGGGTGACAGCAAGACCCTGTCTCAAAAAACAACATAAAAAAAGGAGGCTGGGTGCGATGGATCACCTGAGGTCAGGAGCTTGAGACCAGCCTAGCCAACATGGCAAAACCCCGTGTCTACTGAAAGTACAAAAATTAGACCGGGCACAGTGACTCAAGCCTGTAATCCCAGCACTTTGGGAGGCCGAGGGGAGTGGATCACTTGAGGTCAGAAGTTCAAGACCAGCCTGGACAACGTGGTGAAATCCCGTCTCTACTAAAAATCCAAAATTAGCTGGGTGTGGTGGCAGGGTGCCTGTAATCCCAGCTACTAGGGAGGCTGAGGCAGGAGAATCGGCTTGAACCTGGGAGGTGGAGGTTGCAGTGAGCTGAGATCGCACCACTGCACTCCGGCCTGGGCGACAAGACTGTCTCAAAAAAAAAAAAAAAAAAATTAGCTGGGTGTGGTGGTGCGCACCTGTAGTACCAGCTACTCAAGAGGCTGAGGTGGGAGAATTGCTAGAACCCAGGAGGCAGAGGTTGAGGTTGCAGTGAGCTGAGATCACACCACTGCAATCCAGCCTGGGCAACAGAGCAAGACTCCATCTCAAAACAAAAACCAAAAGAACAAACAAAACACAAAAAACCAAAAACAGTAAGTTGGTGTAAGAGGGATACCGTAAGTTCTTCTTGGGACCTAAGCAAGTACTTACAATCACTAAAGGGAGGCTCTACTAAAGAATAAAACCAATCATTTCTTTTTGCCTTTTGTGATAGTTAATTTTATGTGTCAGTTTAGCCATTGATGCCATTTAACGGGTTAAACATTTGTCTCTCTCCAGAAGAGATTAGTATTGAATTGGAGATTGCTCTGCTTTGATGTGAGTGGACATCATCTAATCAGTTAAGGGCCTATATAGAACTGCCAGAGCTAAGACATCCATATTCTTCTAACCTCGGACTAGGACACCACTGTGTTCCTGGTCACTGAAATTTTACCCCAACAGCTTTCCCAGCAGTGGACTGTGGGTGGGACCTCGGTTCCATAATTGTGAGCCAGTTTCTTTCTTACAGTAAATCTTATTCTAGATATATATCCTATTGGCTGTAGGAAATCTCCATATACCTTCTTGCTATTTATGCTATTAGCTTTACTGATAGGTGACTGAAATACTGTGTCCACCCATACCCAAGCAACTTCTCCCTCCTAATAGAACTCAAATATATATTTTGCTTGGGCATTTGGCTCCTCTCTCTGATCCCAAGGATGAATCTTGACTAGCATTAAGCCAGTAGTTCTCAACTGGAGTACTTTGGAAATCCTGGAGGGCTTTTAAAGTTATCTTTAGGAGACAGTAGAGGCAGTGGGCAAGGGCCAACCAAAAATGCTAAAAGTTATTTTCCAACACACCATATAACAATCCTTCATAATCCTACAATGTTCCCATTGAGTGTTCATGTGGTTGGAAACCTGAGCCTAGAATTTTTCACGAATCCCAAGAATCTTTTACATGGGTGTTAACAAGCACTGAATCTTCCAAAAATGTTGTCTAAATCACTTCCTTCATACTTGCAAATTAAATTGATTTCTTATACTGATTTTTGGAAATACAGTAATCTCATTTCTACATATTACAAAACATTATAAAAGGAGCCATTGTGTCTGATATTCTAAGCCCATCTTGATAACAGACTCTTTTGAACATGGCATATGACATTCATCCATGAAACATAAGGGAAATGTGCTGGAAGACTTTTGGGAAATCTTAACATTGAATAAAGATGTAGTTGCCTTTCTGCTCAGGTTGTCAGCACATGATAATTATTAGAACTACATCAGAGAATTTGGGACAAGCCAGTACACTGAGGACAGAAAAGCAGAAATAGGGAAAGAAATCTGGGTTCCTTTTATTTTTGAGCCATAGAAATAGTATCTTAGGACTTATTTCTAGATGCAGTTTCTTTAATGTAAGCCAATTCTGGTTATTTCTACTTGGAGCTGAAAGCAACCTGAAAATAGCCACCTTGGTTTTCATGTTAGAGATCTAAAAACTTTCATGTTAGAGATCTAGAAACTTTCATGTTAGAGATCTAGAAACTTTCAAGATTCTAAATGTACCAAAGGTCTAAGGGGAGAAAATAAAATCCTTCAAACAAGATTTGCACATGCTGATACTGCTCATTATTTCATTATAACAGCCCTTCCAAATCTTGAATTTGCATTTTTAACCAGTGTTAGCAAATCCTGTATTTCCCTCTTTGGGAAATATGGGAAGCATGAGCCATGGCATATTCTTGAAGCTAAATCTCAGGGCATCACCCCTCACAAACAAGAGATCAAGATGCTTTCTGTATTTATTTAAAAAAAAAAAAATTCCAGAATGGGTAAGAGAACAATCATCAAGGATGTAGGTGCCAGACACAGGGCAGAAGGTAGCTAGAAAAGTATGCCTTAGGGAAGTTAAAGGTCTAGCCTCATTCCTACCTTGTTTTAATAGCTGTACCTAATATAAATAGCTAAGTTTCCCATTGTTCTAGATTCCTCTGCCCCATCTACAAACATGGCACAGCCAGCTTGACTTGCAAGGCCTCAGTTGAAGGACCCCATGTACATACAGGCCAGTACAGCAGTACTAGGCTAACTAGAAGGATCTCATCCCCATATGTGGTCTCATTTCAAGTCTATGGATGACTACCTTCATTGCTGTGTGCGAGATGGTTTCACCCCTTGAAAATATGGTCACTTCAGCATAAAATAGTTAAATCTTTATAATGATCAATTCATCCTACCTCCTTTTACATGCAGCTGAAAAATGACAGGCTAGGGACATAGAATATTGTGAACTTTATACTGTTAGAATCACTGTCCATTAAATGATCACTAGCTAATGGTCACTAAATTTACAAATTAAGGAAATTATATATAGAATACTGCAAAAACACAGTAAAAAGACTGAAGTTCGCCCATTTCTGCTCAGGAAGTCTCTTCACTCCTAAGCTTCATATGTTGTCCTTCTGGCTTCAAAATTTCTGCTATTATTACTGTTTTTCCTCCTTTTGATCTTCCTTTTGTTCCCCAGTGCCAGAACTTCCAGAGCCTTCTCGCTCAGATGCCATCTGTTAAGAAAACATTTGAGAGCCACTCAGATTTAACGTTAGAGCTAACCATTTGCTCTTTGTTGCACTCCAAGATGAGGGACCCACATATGTCCTCATCATTCATTTCTATTCCACTCCCCCTCCCCACTTTCTACCCTACTGGTGGTTTCTGGATTCCTTCCCTTTGACACTAACTCCAATGCCAAAGTAGAGTCAAGACGGCAGGAGACTATCTCCCAACTCTAATCTCACTCTAAATTCCACAAATGGCTATGGAGGGAGCCACCAGTGACAGTCATCAAGAACAGTTCCATCCAGATCAAGTTAGAATCAAAATCCACTTCAGCCCTTGTACCTTTTTGTATGCCATTTCGAACAGCTTCAGTGATGCCTGCTGAAGAGAGGATGCTGCCTGTCTAATATTTTCTCCTGTTTCGCTGTCTTTTCTAGCCAGGAGCTCCCTCATTTTGGAAATCTCTTCTTTCAGCTTGTTGCACTTAAAAAAAGAAAACAAAAATCCTTACTTTTCCAGGTCTCCTGTACCATTACAAGTAGAAGTACTATTTAGAAACATTTTAAAATAATTAAACCCCTATCAAAACCCACAGAAAAATAAACTTCACTGGCATTGGTAAAAATGTGTTCAACCTCTTGAGTTACTTTAAAATAGAACTCACCTCATCAGCAGGTAATTGGTCCTTGAATTCTTCCATCTTGGTTTCTGTGTCGTGAATGATTCCTTCAGCCATATTAACTGCTTCAACTCGTTCCTTAGAGAAATTAGAAGTTTAAACGAAGACTTTCCAATCAACCAAAGTTTGCTGAATGTCTATACTCAGACAATAAGCTATGTGTTACATACAGTTACAGATAAAAATAGAGTAAGAGGGAGAAATCAGAGTGGCATGAAAGAGTCTGGGATGGCTTTGAGAGAGATTTGGGCTAGATTTTGTAACATCAGAATTGTGACAGGGAAAACAGAAGAAATAATAAAGGCACTGCAAACATAAGGTATAAACAACGGGGAAGGAAGAATAGATTATCTTAGGTTTTCTCTTACCCACAACCTATGACATGTCCAAACTCTCCCACTTTCTTGTTCAAGCGATTCTCCTGCCTGAGCCTCCCAAGTAGCTGGGACTGCAGGCGTGCACCACCACGCCCGGCTTCAAACGATCTGCCCACCTTGGCAGTGGGCTTACAGTGCTGGGATTACAGGAGTGAGACACTGCGCCCAGCCCCAAACTCCCACTGTCAAGACTGAGCTTTACTAAGATTAAAGTTCAGAAGACAAGAAGTAATCACCTTCTTTCGCCGGTCTTCTTCAGCATATTTCTCTGCATTTTTAACCATATTTTCAATATCATCTTTGCTTAATCCACCAGAAGACTGGATTACAACTGTAGTAAACAGAAGGCATTTCATTAATTCCCAGGTAAAGTTATATGCCTCTTCTTCCTCCATTGCATTAAGAGTACTCCTGCTCATAGCAGCCAATCTTGATACAAATTATGAAGAGGAGAAATACCCTATAGTCCTATAAAGCAAAATGAAACCAAGGACCCAATATATACACAAACACCAACTGGCCTGTTTGCCCATCAAAACTTCAGCAATCCACAGGCTCAGTGCCTGTTTGTGGGGAATAAACATTACACTTGTACAAGTAAATCTGATAACTGAGGGGCAAAGAGGACTCATCATTCTAAGAGGGTCTATTCCCAAGACCTCCCTCACCTCACTCTTAGGGTCTGATAAACAAGGTGACTTACTCTGCTGCTCACGTCCTGTGCCTTTATCTTTAGCAGAAACATGTACTATCCCATTGGCATCAATGTCAAATGTAACTTCAATCTGAGGAACTCCACGAGGGGCTGGTGGAATTCCAATCTAAAATAAATAATATCCAGAGTAAGGTCCTCTTACAGAGGGGTCCAGTGCTATTATTTCCAAATCTATATGGTTTTCTAGTAAACAAGTCACTTGGTTCCTGGGAGAAACAAGTGATTTAATGTACAAAACACAAAGTTTATAAGCAACAGTAGTAGTTCGCTGCCTGAAATCAACTGGTTTTATACCAGTGAAGTTTAGCTATAGCAAGTAACCATAATGGCTGTATGTACCTGTGGACACACTAAATGACAGATAGCAAATCTCCTATTATTCACCTCACCAATAACCAATAAGCAATGCTGATCAGAAACCAGTAACAATATCAAATGTCTTTTAAATGAGTAATCAGGAGTTTATTTCTGAGGAAATTCCTAAGGCACAAGGAAAAAGCAAGGCTTTCAGGTAAAAACTGATGCCATGGGTATCTAGTTGCATCCCTTCTTCTCAAGACTACTCAGTATGTATGTGTATGCCAGCAGTTTATACTAATATTTTTATGGCTTAGAATATTATCTCACTTTACAGTGAAGGAGGCATAGTATTCAGGATTCACAATAACCTACCAAAGTAAACTGTCCAAGGAGTTTGTTGTCTCCAGCCATCTCTCTTTCACCCTGACACACTTTAATTTCCACTTGCGTTTGACCATCAGCGGCAGTAGAGAATACCTAGGGAAGAAGAAACCCTCCTGGGTTGTCAATGTGATTAACCTACTCCATTTCTATAGAAAAAATGAAAGCCAAAGGTTTACATTCCAAGACTGGAAGACTCCTAATTTACGGTATGTTCAGAACAAAGGCTGATGTCTTTATAGGGAATAGAAGTAGGATTAGTACAGCAAATGGGCATACAATAGCAACTGTTTCAGCTAAGCAAATGCATTGTACAAAGACGCAGCATTAGGACAGAAGTCCTCAAAAGGAACTAAAATGTTGAAACATGCTCATCTGGGGAAACGGGATCAGAGAAAGAAGATGTATCATGCTCAGTCACAGAAAGTCACCACATACTTTTCTTCAGAGTGATGTGTTGACAAATACATCACGGCACAAATATACCAACAACCATAGTTTTATGGAAAAACATCACAAGATTGGGTAAGTCAGGAAATAATTTTTTTTTTTTTTTTGAGACAAGACCTCACTTCATACTGTCGCCCAGGCTGGAGTGCAGTGGCATGACCTCAGCTCATTGCAACCTCTGCCTCCCATGCTCAAGTGATCCACCCACCTCAGCCTCCTGAGTAGCTGGGACTACAGGTACACAGCACCATGCCTGGCTAATTTAACTTTTTGGAGAGAGGGAGCTTCACCATGTTACCCAGGCTGGTCTCAAACTCCTCAGCTCAAGTAATCCTCTCGCCACAGCCTCCCAAAGTGCTGGGATTACAGGCATGAGCCACGGTGCCCAGCCAGAAATAATTCCTACTTCAAGAACAAGCCATGTCCAAGTAGCCCTGCTTGGTATCTCGGCACCCTCATACCACCCCCTTCATTCATCCATAAGATAAGAACACTCCCCTAAGTCTGGTCCAGACTACCCTTTTTACTGTCTTTGAGAACAGAAGACTACAGGAAATTCAGTCTCAAATGACTGAGATCCCTTTTAGCAAATTATGTTAATCCTGTGGAGGAGACTACTGATGTCCTTCTTATAATCATCACTACCAGCTAACATGTAAGAACTTTTCTGGTAACAAAAAAACAAAAAACAAAACACAGGATTCTCACCACCCACAGTTAACTGTTTAATATTCTAAACTGTAAAACAGATAAAAATGAAGTTTTCTAGAAAAAACTCATGAAAGTGGCTGCAATTACATCCGTCATAGAACCTAAAACCCATGTGACAAGGTAGGAAGTGATGGCTCTTACCTGGCTCTTCTTGGTTGGAATAGTGGTATTCCTATTAATAAGTTTGGTAAAGACACCTCCTAGAGTTTCAATACCCAGAGACAGGGGAGTGACATCAAGGAGCAGCACATCCGTGACATCGCCGGCCAACACACCTCCCTGAATGGCAGCTCCAATGGCCACAGCCTCATCAGGATTGACAGCTTTACTTGGGGCTCTGCCAAAAAGATCCTGTACAGTCTGCTGAACCTGAACATCAAGGAAAAAGAACCTGTCGGCCCACACTTGGGAACTACCTGAGCAGAACAAAAGGGAGCACGTGTCCTACGCTCCCAGCCAGATCTCAAGACAGGCTAACTCAAATCTGAGAATGTTTATTCAAATAACCATTTCGTACTTGGGTTCCTGCTAATGATCTTCTAACACTCATACACTTTATACCTATAGAAGTATCTCCTTCATGACCCTTGTAAATCTGGGAAGGATTCTCCTAAGTTTTATTATCTGCTTTCCTACACAACACATTAAATCATTTGAAACAGAGGATGCAAGGCAAGGGGACTTAGAAGTCCACATTCTCTTGTATATTATCAACTAAAGACCAAATTATCATAGGCAGCTGTAGCAATAATTTGCATTGCTAACATGGGGCATGGTCTTCCCTTGTGTTTATTAGTGATAAAGTTCCATTTGAATAGTATCGGGGATACTTTTTCTTCTTCTTTTTTTTTTTTTTGAGACGGAGTCTCGCTGTGTCGCTCAGGCTGGAGTGCGGTGGCGCAATCTCCACTCACCGCAAGCTCCACCTCCTGCGTTCACGCCATTCTCCTACCTCAGCCTCCCAAGTAGCTGGGACTACAGGCGCCCACCAAATTTTTTATATTTTTAGTAGAGACAGGGTTTCACCGTGTTAGCCAGGATGGTCTCGATCTCTTGACCTCGTGATCCGCCCGCCTTGGCCTCCCAAAGTGCTGGGATTACAGGCGTAAGCCACTGTACCCGGCCTCGGGGATTTCTTAATATATGAGGCATCCACCTGGTCCAGGACCTTTTTTTTCCAGGTTCATTTTTTTTTTTTTTGCATATTTCCTTAAGGCCATGTATTTCAATGGAAAAATTAAGAAAAAAAACAAGGTCACTATCTTAGGTCCAAGATAATCCTATTTAGGCTACCAAGAAGAACTGCATCTTCAACAGGTTTGTGCTCAGTCATTAGTTTTCCACACGTTCTTTCAGAATGATGTGTTGAATAAAATACATCATTGCACAAATCTTTGTCAAAGAGATGCACTAAGCTGCAAAGACACATGTACAAAGATGGTGGCCGGGGGCGGGGTATTACCAAGGTTTTATGTTCCCCTCTGACCTCAAACTTTGTTTCAATCCTAAAAATTCTATGACTGAGTTCGGGATCCTCCCTGCTACTGCCCCTAAAGAAATTCTGCCCCTCCCTAATTTTTCATACATACATACATACATATATATATATAAATTAGACTCATGTGATCTGCCCGCCTCAGCCTCCCGAAGTGTTGGGATTATAGGCGTGAACCACCATGCCCAGCCTATTTTTCAATTTTAACAAAACAAACAGAAAAGAATTCTTTAGTGAGTATATAATCTCATCTCCCTTTTAGGTCACCCCAGCAGAATGGGCCATATATTTGTGCCACCTGTCCCAAGAATACACTATGCGCCAGCCCTCTCTCTCCACGACAGAATTCCACTGGTCCATACCTTGGGCATCCTAGTCATGCCACCCACAAGAATCACTTCTCCTATGTCACTCTTGCTGACTTCTGCATCTTGCATAGCTTTTTGGCATGGAGCGATAGTCCTTCTGATTAGATCAGTGACAATCCCTTCAAATTGAGCACGGGTCAACTTCATATTCAAATGCTTGGGTCCAGAAGAATCCATTGTAAGATAGGGCAAATTGATGTCAGTCTGCAAAGGAAATGTTTAATTGCATGTCAGCGAGCAGGCCAAATGACGGTTACATTTATTATTTCAACTAAAATATGACCATGCCCTAGGACAGAAGACTTGCAAAACCAAAGGGAGGGTGAGATCTAATTTAAATGAATAGTCACCAAGAATACTTTTTTTTTTTTTGAGACAGAGTCTCATTCTATCGCCAGGCTGGAGTGCAGTGGCATGATCTTGGCTCACTGCAACCTCCGCCTCCCAGGTTCAAGCGATTCTCCTGCCTCAGCCTCCCAAGTAGCTGGGACTACAGGCATGTGCCACCATGCCCAGCTAATTTTTGTATTTTTAGTAGAGACAGGGTTTCAGCATGTTGGCCAGGATGGTCTCGATCTCTTGACCTCGTGATCCGCCTGCCTCAGCCTCCCAAAGTGCTGGGATTACAGGCGTGAGCCACCCCACCCGGCCAAGAATAGTTACTCTTTAAGATGCAATGTTTTGCCGGGTGCAGTGGCTCACGCCTGTAATCCCAGCACTTTGGGAGGGCGAGGCGGGTGGATCACGAGGTCAGGAGATCGAGACCATCCTGGCTAACATGGTGAAACCCCGTCTCTACTAAAAATACAAAAAAAATTAGCCGGGCGTGGTGGCACATGCCTGTAATCCCAGCTACTTGGGAGGCTGAGGCAGGAGAATCGCTTGAACCCGGGAGGTGGAGGTTGCGGTGAGCCGAGATTGTGCCACTGCACTCCAGCCTGGGCAACAAGAGTGAAACTCCGTCTCAAAAAAACAAAAAAACAATGTTTTATCTCCCCAGAGATAAGCACTATAGAATGTTTTAATAAAGTTTATAGTTATTAACAAGAATGCAGCAGATAAGCAGGAAAAAAATCCCCATTCAGAAGATAAAGAACTATTCTGCCACTACATATTCATTAGAACCACACTACTGATGTTTTCCTTCACCAAGTTTTAAAAATATCCCATGTAGGTGAAGAGAAATGTCAAAGTTATGTTCTGAACCAAATAACATGCCATTAACCCTGGGCTCTGTAAGTTCCAGGACGTTTACAAGTGATACGAAAGCTACAGACATGCTCTCATTAATGTATGAGGACTGACTTGTATGGCCATCACATCCATGGAGAGCAGCTGACAGTCACACCATGTAATATCCAGTATTTAATAAATCCCAAATCCCAGTACAACATGGGATCTTACAGTGTGTAACTGAGAGTGAGTCCTTAACCACCTTTCTTCAGGAGAAGTATCCTAAACATTTGAATACTTAATAAATAGAGTTAACACACCATCTGTAGAATAGTGATACCTAAATATTATTGACAATTTCTTTTTTGCAAAATGTTGATTAACCAAATCAGAACACAGAATTATCTAAATCAATGCTATCCAGTAGAATTTTCTGTGACAATGAAAATGCTCCTTATGCTGCTCAATTCAGCAACCACTAACATGACTACTGAGCACTTGAAATAAGACTAGTGTAACTGAGAAATGTAATTTTAAATGTTATTTAATTTTAATTAATTCAAAACCCATATTTGGCTATTATAGTAGCACGACTCTAAACACTAAAAGCTAATGGCAACCTGAAAATCTCCAGCACTAACTCTCAACCCTCTACAACCAGTCCAACATCTATCACAATGTTCTTTCCTTACCCTCCTCTCTCAAACCCAATCACTTGTGTCTTACTCTCACTCTCATCCAAGTCTTTTCTCAACACATGGTTACCAACAGCCCCCCTACACCCACTCAGGGTGCCTTCTGCCCTTCACAATTCTCCACTCTACTCCAGCCAAAGGGCTTTTCACAAATCGACACATGACCATGTTACTATCCTCAACTCCTCTGGGGTTTGTATTCACTTATCTAGGGAGAGACACCAAATCCCAAATCTATAAAGCCTCTAGCCCAAGGGTATCCAATCTTTTGGCTTCCTTGGGCCACACATAAAATACATTAACACTAACAATAGCTGATGAGCTTAAAACAAAAACAAAAAACAAAACCCTCAGTATTTTAAGAAAGTTTACAAATTTGTGTTGGGCCACATTCAAAGCCATTCTAGGCTGCAGGTTGGACAAGCCTGCTCTAGCCTCATTTTCCATGCCCACCAACAACCGACCCCAATCTTCACTCTGCCCTTTTGGCCACTCTGGCCCTTTCTCAGGTCTTCACCTGAGAGCCTTACTCTTAACCCATTACACATGCCCATTTATCTTTTTCTGATAAACTCATCTCTCAGATGCTATTCTTGTTATGCTGAACACCTCTCTCAGGTACCTTCTTAGATTATTTTTATTATTTTTATTTTTCATTTTTATTTTTTGAGACAGAGTCTCATTCAGTCACCCAGACTGGACTGCAGTGGTGCCATCTGGGCTCACTGCAACCTCTGCCTCCTGGGTTCAAGCGATTCTCCTGCCTCAGCCTACTGAGTAGCTGGGATTACAGGCACCTGCAACCACACTTGGCTAATTTTTGTATTTTTAGTAGAGACACGGTTTCACCGTGTTGGCGAGGCTGGTCTGGAACTCCTGACCTCAAGTGATTCACCGGCCTTGGCCTCCCAAAGTGCTGAGATTACAGATGTGAGCCACTGCGTGCGGCCCCTTCTTAGATTGCTTTTAAGAGACCTGCTCTGTCACCCAGGTTGGGGTGCAGTGGCATTCACAGCTCACTGCAGCCTCAAACACTTGGGCTCAAAAGATTCTTGTGCCTCAGTCTCCTGAGTAGCTGGGACTACAGGCACGCACCTGTGGTGTAGTGCACCACGCCCAGCTAGTTTTGTAGAGACGGGGGTTCTCACTATTTTGCCCAGGCTGGTCCCCAATTCCTGAGCTCAAGTGATATTCCTGCCCTGGCCACCCAAAGTGAGGCCCCTTCTTAAATTGTAACTGCATTTTTACCACTTGTTACATTAATAGTAACTTACATTTAGAGTATTCACAATTTCCTATGTTTTCCTAAGCATGTAATATTTATGAACTTGGTAATGCTCACAACTCTTAGGGGAAGAGTACCACTATTATCCTTGTTTTGTAGATAAGTAACAGTAATGTTAATTCATCCAAGATCACCAATTAATAAGCAATACAAGGGGGACTTGAACCCCAGCAGAATGCTTGCAGAACCACCCTTAACCTTTACTTTGTATCACTTCTAGTTTAACGTTTACTAATCTGTTCTAATTAATGTCCATCTTTCCAAACCACAATATAATCTGCATGAGGGTAATAAACGCTAAGAATTTATTCTATAGATTTAAAATCACCTATGCAAAACTGAATGTGTAAGGATGCTCAATACATCTTGCTATAATAAACACTGGAAAACAATCAAAATGTCTATCAATAGGATGCAGCCACACTAATTAAAACCAACCAATCTCTTCCAACACCTCGCATCCCCTACCCCAAATGTCAAATCCCTGGGAAGAATTATCTTCTGGCAGTGCCAGGTATTTCAACCTCAACCCTAACCAACGTTGCAATGTTCTGCCACTCCATGATAGCAGGGGCAAAGTAACATCAGCAAGACCATGGATGCGTGTGTATAACTATGTCACTCCTCACAGCCACTTAAAAAAAAAAATCCAGGTTTGAGGGGAAGGTTCATTAGCAGCAACCACAGTGACAACCATCATAAATACCTCTTCCCTTGTGGGTGATCAAAATAAAGGTGTCACCGCTCTGCTTTTCCTGCTGTCACCCAAGACACCGGAAATAGATCTGCTGCTTTCTATCTTCATGGGTCTCTAACACAGATCTAAAATGGTTTATATAATTCTATTCTTGGTGGTGAAGACAAGTTTCACCTCTCAGAACTGGAGCTAACCAAACTGACAAAGAGGCTGTGTAAATCTGATGCTCACAGACGGAAACTTGCACAAGCTTCAGCTCTTTTTCTAGACTGGTGATTCAAATTATTGTCATTTTTTGACACAGGGTCTCATTTGTCACCCAGGCTGGAGTGAAATGGTGTGATCACGGCTCACTGCAGCCTCAACCTCCTGGGCTCAAACAATCCTCTTAGCCTCTGGAGTGGCTGGGACCACAGTTGTATAGACTATGACCAGCTAATTTTTCAAATTATTAAGTGAGAGACAATTAGCCGGGCTCAGTGGCTCACGCCCATTATCCCAGCACTTTGGGAGGCCGAGGCAGGTCAATCACCTGAGGTCAGGAGTCCAAGGACCAACCTGGCCAACATGGCAGAACCCTGTCTGTACTATAAATACAAAAATTAGCCAGGCATGGTGGTGCACACCTGTAATCCCAGCTACTTGGGAGGTCGAGGCAGGAGAAATCACTTGAACCCAGGAGGCAGAGGTTGCGGTGAGCCAAGATCACGCCATTGCACTGTAGCCTGGGCAACAGGAGCAAAACTCTGTCTCAAAAAAAAAAAAAAAAAAAAAAAAAAGACACTCAGAGACTCTCCAATTCACAAGGAGAGAGGTTATTTAATATTGTCAGTTAAGACAGCAGTTTTTCCAAGCTAGTAATTCTAGTTTTAAACACTGCCAGAGCAGGTTTTAAAATAAATGTCTTTAACTGAAAGGCAAACAAGTACACCCAGCACATCATTCACACATTATTTAGCTCCAGTATATGTAACTGATTTGAGTGGCTAAAAAAATTTCAGCTCATAAAGAAACTAAAGACCTTACTGTCCCTGTGCTCATGGCAAAGGTCTCTAGAAACCAGAAAACTGAAAAAACAAACAAACAAAAAAAACTCAACTGACATTAGGCCAATTAGAAAATACTATTTATTTTAAATAAGCTCCGGCTGAAAATATCCATCAAGACTGCTCGAATTTTCCGTGTCTCACCTGCACAGATGAGGAGAGTTCACATTTAGCCTTTTCAGCAGCTTCCCGTACCCTCTGAAGTGCCATGTTGTCTTTAGTCAAATCAACCCCTGTCTATAAAGTGAAGACATTGAACACCAAACACCAGCATTAGTGAGGTGATAAATAAACTGCAGTAATAAGGTGGAACAACACAAAATGGAGTCATACCTTTATATATAAGCATGAATTACTTTTTATTACCCTTAATGTGTAGGGAAAAAAAATATTCTGAAAAGAGTATCTGTGTCTAGAATAAGGGGGTTGAACTGAACTCGTAAACAAAGCAAAGAGCAATCTGAACAAAGAATTTCTCAATATCCCAACGTCTACATATTAACCACATTGGTAACTCACCTCTCTCTTGAACTCCTTCACAATGTGCCGTAGCAAGGCCTGGTCAAAGTCTTCCCCACCTAAGAAGGTATCCCCATTTGTGGATTTCACCTCAAATACTCCTTTCTGAATTTCCAGGATAGAAATATCAAAAGTTCCACCACCTAAATCATATACAGCAATGCTGTAAATGATTTGTGAAAAAAAAAAGAAAAGAAATCCTTAAGAACAAAACCTATCACCAGGATATAAATTTCAATAACCAAATACAGATAATCTAAGCTATTTCCCTGAGATATGTACTAGTTAAATTACCATGGCCCAAAAGAAAAGAAAAGAATGGTTTTGAAATGAAAAAACAAAGACAATACAGACTTAAAATCAGTAAAAGCACTGTAAAAGGCTCAATTACTAAAAAATTAAGTGACACTTTAGTTTCACACATCCAGGTGAGAAATTTACTGCACAAACTTACACTTTGTCTTCTGATTTGTCTAGACCATAGGCAAGAGCAGCAGCTGTGGGCTCATTAATCACCCGAAGCACATTCAGTCCAGATATCTGGCCAGCATCTTTAGTGGCCTAGAGAAAACAAAGAGAAAAACATTTTTGTACCCTTCCATCCCAGGCACCTTACTTTTTGTGAATAAGAATGCTAATTGACCTCACCTGTCTCTGCGAGTCATTGAAATAAGCTGGGACTGTGATCACAGCATTTTTTGCTGTGTGCCCCAAGTAATTTTCTGGAAAAGAATGAAATTCAATCATGGAATTCTGTCAGAACAGAATTATTAATATAGCCCAACAACCTGTGTCATCCTTTTGCAGCCACAGACAACATTCTTCAGTCTTTTGGTAAGTGACCTAATATGTCCTTGCAGGAAACACTCCAAGTAAATACACTGGTTAAAAACCCAAGATCAGGCCGGGCACGGTGGCTCACACTCGTAATCCCAGCACTTTGGGAGGCTGAGGCGGGCAGATCACCTAAGGTTGAGAGTTTTGAGACCAGCCTAACCAATATGGAGAAACCCCATCTCTACTAAAAATACAAAATTATTCAGGCATGGTGGCGCATGCCTGTCATTTCAGCTACTCAGGAGGCTGAGGCGGGAGAATTGTTTGAACCTGGGAGGCGGAGGTTGCAGTGAGACAAGATCGCACCACTGCACTCTAGCTTGGGCGACAGAGCGAGACTCTTGTCTCAAAACAAACAAACAAACCCAAGATCGGCCGGCCAGGCACGGTGGCTCATGCCTGTAATCCCAGCACTCTGAGAGGCTGAGGCGGATGAATCACCTGATTTGTCGGGAGTTGGAGACCAGCCTGACCAACATGAAGAAACCCCCATCTCTTTACTAAAAACACAAAAGTGGCTAGGCATGATGGCGCATGCCTGTAATCCCAGCTACGTTGGGGGGGAGGGAGAGGGCAGGATAATCGCTTGAACCCGGGAGGCGGAGGCTTTGGTGAGCCGAGATTGTGCCACTGCACTCCAGCCTGGGCAACAAGAGTGAAACTCTGTCTCAAAAAACAACAACAAAAAAACCCCAAAAAACAGAAACCCCTAAGATCACTCTTTCAACATTTTAGTGAAGGTTCACTAAACTACAATGACCTTTAGACTTACAACAGCCACTTCAAATAGGAAGTTCTAATTTATACCTAACAGGGACAAAAGCTTAATGTGTAGTCTTGTGGCTTTCAATATAGAACATTACCCCCTACTGGAAAAAAAGAAACAAGCCAGCCACCATTAGTGAGATTTGAAGATTAATTCAATCTGCAGGGAAAGCATGAAGTATAACACAGTTTTGCCATTCCTAGTTTTTCTATACAAAAGGGACCACAGATTCATCTACAGGAGCTGGAGCACAGGGAGCTAGTGATCTCACAGGAATCATTGTTCTTAGAACTTTCCCAGATGTGAACTAAACCCACTCACCTGCAGTCTCTTTCATCTTCATCAACACAAATGCTCCAATCTGACTCGGAGAATACAATTTCCCATGAGCCTCAACCCAGGCATCACCATTGGAGGCACGGACAATTTTAAAGGGAACATTTTTACTGTAAGACACAAAAATTCTATTAGAGAAAACTACCTGAACAACTTACCATGACAAAATTACCACATACCATGAACATCCATCTTCCACCCCAAGAGACTCATTCATGGCCAACAAATGACAGTTTGTGAAATTCTTTAGAAAGCAATCACTAACATGGTTTATGAGAATTACAAGGCAAAATGAAATAAATAAATAAAAAGAAAGCAATCACTAACATATAAAAACATTATGATGAAACCTCAACATTCTTTATTTAGCGCCCCAGGCAGAAGATTTTTGCAGCCACTTTAGAATAATTTGATGAAACCGTTACTGTATGATCCAGCAATTCTACTCTCTAAGACAAATGGAAATATTTATGTCCACACAAAAACTTGTACACAAATGTTTATGGCAGCATTATTTCTAATAGCCAAAAAGCAGAAACAGCTCAAATGTCCATCACTTGACAAATGGATAAACAAAATGTGCTGTATGTCCATACAGTATAGTATTATTTGGCCATAAAAAGGAATGCAGTACTGACACATGCTACAACATGGATGAACCTTGAAAACATGCTAAGTGAAAGAAGCCAGTCATAGAGGTCCACGCAACTCCATGCATACAGAATTCATATTCTACTCAAGCTCAATAAAGCTGTTTAAATTTTTAAAAATATTTAGTTTATATATATATAGACAGAGACACACACAGTCTTGCCTTGTTGGCCTAGATGGTCTTAAACTCAGCCTCAGACAGTCTTTCCACCTCTGCCTCCTAAAGTGCTAGGATTACAGACATGAGCCACTGCTCTAGGCCTAAAACATTTTGTATACAACAGGAAACTCTACCTATGCTTCTAGTTTTTTTTTTTTTTGAGACAGGGTTTCACTGCTATTACTCAGACTGGAGTGCAATGGCATGATCTCAGCTCACTGGAACCTCCGCCCCTCAACGCTCAAGCCTCACTAGTAGCTGGGACTATAGGCGCGCACCACCGAGCTTGGCTCTTTTTTGTATTTTTTGCAGAGGTGGCTTTTCCCCAAGTTGTCCAGGCTGGTCTCGAACTCCTGAGCTCACCTCAGCCTCCCAAAGTGTTAGGATTACAGGTGTGAGTCACCCCACCGAGCCTCTAGTATGTCTATTTTAGAAAAAGGCAGGCTGGGCATGGTGGCTCACGCCTGTAATCCCAATAATTTGGGAGGCTGGGGTGGAAGGGTCAGTTGAGTCCAGGAGTTCAACACCAACTTGGGCAACATAGTGAGCCCCGTTTCTATTGGGAGGGGGGAAGAAAAAAGAAAAATCAAGTCTTTTTCTGTACTGGATCAACACATGATAGAACCTATGCCATTTCTGCCTTATGTATTCAACACTGAACTATGTGGTTTAGGAATGCTTTGCAAATTTTCATGTATCATGTCAATACATAGCAAAGACCTAATCTGTAAAGACAAAAATGAATTTTTTTCTTTTGAGACAGAGTCTCAGCAGCCCAGGCTGGAGTGCAGTGGCAGTGATCTCGGCTCACCGCAACCACCGTCTCCCGGGTTCAAGTGATTCTCCCGTCTCAGCCTCCTGAGTAGCCGGGATTACAGGCACCCACCATCATGCACAGCTAATTTTTGTATTTTAGTAGAGACAGGGTTTCACCATGTTGGCCAGGCTGGTCTTGAACTCCTGACTTCAGGTGATCCACCCACCTCGGCCTCCCAAAGTGCTAGGATTACAGGTGTGAGCCACTGCACTGGCCAAAAATGAATTTTTTAAAGGGATTACCCTTTTGGCAGTGGTACAGATTTCCCCTAGGGACAATAAGTAAAATTACTAAAGTAAGGTGCTCCAGGGATCCTCATCAACATGCTGAGGCTCTTCTGTGTGGCCCTTGCAAATAACTGCTTTTTGCAAAAAACTTTTGCTGTTACTCACATGTCTTTCTGTACTTCAGGATCATCATATCGCCGGCCAATGAGACGCTTGGTAGCATAAAATGTATTGTTTGGGTTGGTGACAGCCTGTCGCTTGGCCGGCATTCCAACAAGTCGCTCACCATCTGCTGTAAAGGCCACAACTGAAGGGGTGGTTCTGGCACCTTCGGCATTCTCCAGCACCTAAACTCCCAAAATGTGATAGAGAGTAAGTTTGTAGTTATCACTGGTATGTTTTTTGAGATGGAGTCTCACTCTGTCGCTAAGGCTGGAGTACAATGGCACAATCTTGGCTCACTGCAACCTCCGCATCCTGGGTTCAAGCGATTCTTCTGTCTCAGCCTCCCTAGTAGCTGGTACTATAGGCGTGCACCACCACACCAAGCTAATTTTTCGGCATTTTTTAGTAGAGACGGGGGTTTCACCATTTTGGCCAGGCTGGTCTCGAACTCCTGACCTCAGGTGATCTGCCCGCCTCAGCCTCCCGAAGTGTTGCGATACAGGCATGAGCCAATACGCCCAGCCTATTACTGGTATGTTTGCAGCAATCATTTAAGACACAGAAACAGCTCCCAAATTGCGAAACAAATGCACATCAACAATACTACCGGGCATGCTTTACTGCTGATAGTTAATGAACAGTAGATATTTAGTTAAGGTATCTTTAGCCCTTTACTTTCAAACTACTATTTTTTTTTTTTTTTTGAGAGGGAGTCTCGCTCTTGTCACCCAGACTGGAGTGCAGTGGCGCGATCTCGGCTCACTGCAAACTCCCTGTCCTGGGTTCAATTCTCCTACTTCAGCCTCCTGAGTAGCTGGGATTACAGGTGCCTGCCACCACACCCAACTAATTTTGTGTGTGTGTGTGTGTGTGTGTACTTTTAGTAGAGATGGGGTTTTGCCAAGTTGGCCAGGCTGGTCTCGAACTCCTGACCTCAGGCGATCCGCCCACCTTGGCCTCCCAAAATGCTGGGATTACAGGCTTGAGGCACTGCGCCTGGCTTTTTTTTTTTTTTTTGAGACAGAGTCTCACTGTCACCTAGGCTGGAGTGCAGTGGCACTGTCACGGCTCACTGCAGCATTGACCTGCCAGCCTCAGCTGATCCTCCCACCTTAGCCTCCAGAGTAGCTGGGACTACAGGGGCACACCACTATGCCCGGCTAATTTTTTGTAGAGACAGTGTTTTGCTATGTTGCCTAGGGTGATCTTCAACTCCCACACTCAAGTGGCCTCCCCAAGTGTTGGGATTACAGGCATGACCCACCAGGCCTGGCCCTGATTTACATTTTAAAAACTGCTTTGGTTGCTTAAGACTCTTGTCAGGTGAACCTTTGTAGTGCTGATAATTGTATGTATCTAACTTCCCAGAAAAGGATTTAAATGTGGTATAGAGGTAGGACTACTAATTTACTATTAAGAGGGGTGGGAATGGCTTGCACTGTTTGGTTACTCTGGTAACCACCAAAGTGCTGCATTTTCTAAATTGAAACAAAGTTGGGTGTGCAGAGACAGACTAGAAGTGGAGCTTCATCTCTGAAGTAATGCATGTTGTTCATTGGAGCAGGCTATTTCTTTTGAAGCCTCCTTACTCTGTACATGCAACCTTTATTCCCACCGGGTTCTTAGCAAGATTTAGAACACCTGGAATTCTTGACTCTTGCTTCTTCCATTCATGGCCTCTTTTGCTTTCATACTTCCTTTCCCCCCAATCTCCTCTTCTGAAATAACCTGAACTGTCTATGGTCTTCTTATCCCACTTGTTTGGCACCAAGAGATTATTCCTTCTCTTGGCCCTAATTTGGGCTTCTTGGCATTTTTCCTATATGCCTGATATCTGTGGCCAACCCCCCAAAAAACTTAGAAGTAGATATAATTCTCCATGTGGAAGTAAAGATTCTTGTCCCAACATTGGGTATGAAAAACCTGATCTATAGTCTCTTCTTTTTTTTTTTTTGAGACAAAGTCTCGCTCTGTCACCCAGGCTGGAGTACAGTGATGTGATCTTGGCTCACTGCAACCTCCACCTCCTGGGTTCAAGCGATTCTCCTGCCTCAGCCTCCCGAGTAGCGGGGACTACAGGTGTGTGCCACTACGCCCAGCTAATTTTTGTATTTTTAGTAGAGACAGGTTTCACCATGTTGGCCAGAATGGTCTCGATCTCTTGACCTTGTGATCCACCCGCCTTGGCCTCCCAAAGTGCTAGGATTTCAGGTGTGAGCCACTGTACCCGGCCAATTTTTTGCATTTTTAGTAGAGACGGGGTTTCACCATTTTGGCCGGGCTGGTCTTGAACTTGGGACCTCAGGTAATCCACCCCCCTTGGCCTCCCAAAGTGCTGGGACTGCAGGCGTGAGCCATTATGCCCGGTCAGCCCTGATCTATAGTTATGTTTTTGCTGTTTTAGTTGGAAGTACTTCGAGGCCAGGCTTAGTGGTTCACATCTGTAATCCCAGCACTTTGGAGGCCAACGTGGGCGGATCACTTGAGCTCAAGACCAGCCTGGCCAACACAGTGGAACTGTCTCTACTGAAAATACAAAAAATTAGCCAGGAATGGTGGTTCATGCCTGTAATCCCAGCTATGTGGCCAAGGCAGGAGAACTGTTTGAACCCAGGAGGCAGAGGTTGCAGTGAGCGGAGACCGTGCCACTGCACTCCACCATGGGCTATAGAGACTGTCTCCAAAAAAAAAAAAAAAAAAAAAAAAAAAGCGCAAATCAGGTTCTCAAATTCCTTAACTAAGGAAAAGAGCACAGAATTCTGGACAGATTCTGGATAAGGTACTAGTTATCAATCATGCTCACCTTTGCTTGTTTACCTTCCATAACTGCCACGCAGGAGTTGGTAGTACCCAAATCAATACCAACAACTGCTCCCTTGATTGCTTCTGATCTGTAAGACATTTAGAACAGTGTCACAGCTATTGTTATCTTGATAGACCAAAGTCACTGGAAGATAATATTTAATTGGAAAATTAACAGTGGTATACTACATAATCTCTAAATAAATACAGATAAATAATTACAGAGAAGAATAATCACAAATGTAGAAAACACTGCTTTGAAGTTTAATATGTATTCCCTCTCAAAGGAAATGATATTATACTTACGCATAATCCCGCCTTGAAACAAGTCTAAAAGCCTCATGACTAAGGCCATTCCAGCTATCCTAAAAAAGAAAAAACTGACTCAGTCACCAACCAGTGTGTATCCTGGGAGGAAAAAGAGAAAACTTGGGCTCACTTAGTATATAAAATACATTAAGCTACTAAAACAGTAAATATTAAAGTTTCCCAAATAAGTAAGACGAAAAAAGGTAAATAAAAGATGGCCTTAGAATCACATTACAGTAGGATTTCTCAACCGTGGCGCTATTAATTTTGGGCGAAATTTTTGTGGTGGGGGCTGTTCTGTGCATTGTAGGATATACAGCAGCATCCCTGGCCTCGACACCCTAGAAACCAATAAGCACCCCAGTAAGTAAGTGACAACCTAAAATATCCACAGACATTGCCAGATGTCCCCTGGGGGAAAACACTTCCCCTTACCTTGCCGTGCAATTAGTTTAAAAGAACTAGAGTTACTAAGGGTCTTTGAAAGAAAAAAGAAAAGTAGTGGCGTTTCACTAGGATAAAAGACCTTTATTACAACTTAACCTCAGGCTCCTTCCAAGCCTTCCTTAATGCCCACATACAATTCCTGTTCTCTAAAGCATTTGTCTTTTATTTTAGAAAACAAGTAACCACTCCATAGCCTTTTCTCCGCCCCACGATCTGCTTTTTTTTCTGAAGTAACAAACGAGTACAATCTTACACCACAGATTTTGAGAAAATGTTGCTAAGCACGAAAACTGGAGTTCCGACTCAGAGCTTTCTTATTTTATTTCACCGTATCAACGGGATCCTTACACACTCTGTATTCTGTAGAGGAGCCAAAAATAAAACTGAAAATAGTGGCTTTCCCAATAGACTGCATCCCTCACCCCCAAGGCCAAACCTTTCCATTCAGCCACAGAACAGGCCATGAGGACCACTACCTGGTAATTTTGAAATGACACTCTAGATCGCGAGGGGTGTGACTCAGCAGGGCCCAAGCCGGAGGCAAAACCTTGGGCAAAATCTTGACCCGGCAGCGCTAACTATGGAAGGCCCGTTACCTTCCTTCCCGCCTGACCTATACTGGAGAATTCAAACCCTAAAGGGCGCGCGGCCTGCCGCAGCGAAGCCCGAGGCCCAAGGCCCGAGGCCGTGACCCCATTCGGGAAGGTCCCAGTTCCTCACCTGGTGGCGGGCGGCCGTAGGGCCCCGGGAGGCTGCGGCGCCCACGAGACGGGCTGCTGCAGCTCGGCTGGCACTTATCATGGCGGATAAATGGAGGAGTACGAGGCAGCAAACAAGCGCTCCGACGGCAAAGAGCTGCGCGATGCGGTGGCGGCAGCGCTTCTGGAAACCTCCAACCACGTGGGGTGAGGGGCGGGGGTTGGTCACTGCGGCCCAGAGGCCCGCTCTTCCGCTGAGGCGCCGCCCGCGCCGCCTGACCAGAGGATACTCGACTGCCGCTCCCGGAGCCAGGGCGTACAGGTAATATGCTCCGCAGCATGATGGTTGGAGAAAGCCTGCCCTCCTGTCCCGGCTGCGGCGGCTCTGAGCTCAGAAAGAGTCCAGGGGAGGAAGAGGGATATGAAGGCCGTATCTCGGACAGCCCCGGTCCTCGGCGACAGGAAAGACTCAAGGTCACACGGGATAAATTGCGAACCGATTACAGTCTTCTTGCGTCAGTTGCGCGGGAGGAGGAGCCTGTTGGCGCAACAGACATCCAGCTAAGAACCTAGAGCGCATGTGCGCAAGGAGTGGCGGAAAACATGGGTGGAGACTAACTGCGGCGCTCACTGGGTGCCCGAGTGCACGCCAGCGTTCCCTGGGGCGAGCCCGGGCGCGTGCACACCCCCCGGGCGTGGACGTGTTCCCAGCTCCCGCTCCTGGAGGACGGCGCCATCTTGTCTTGTGGCTTTGTGAAGTGAGGACGTCAGTACTTTTGTTGTTTGGTCCCGCCCGTTGTTCACAACTTGAAAGACACTTGGATATGCAGACAGACGTTAAACAATTTCGTGTTGCGTTTTATCACAGGGGTCTTGGGTTTCCAACTACGAAGCGTTTGATTCACACAGAACATTAGGCCAATTAGCCTGCACAAAGGGAAAAAAAAATAGCTGAGCTTGGCCGGGCGCTCACGCCTGTAATCCCAGCACTTTTGGGAGGCCGAAGCGAGCGGATCGCGAGGTTAGGAGATCGAGACCATCCTGGCTAACACGGTGAAACCCCGTCTCTACTGAAAATACGAAAAAGTAGCCGGGCGTGGTGGCAGGCGCTTGTAGTCCCAGCTACTCGGGAGGCTGAGGCAGGAGAACGGCGTGAACCCGGGAGGCGGAGCTTGCAGTGGGCCGAGATCGCGCCACTGCACTCCAGCCTGGGCGACAGAGCGAGACTCCGTCTCAAGAAAAAAAAGAAAAATAGCTGAGCTTCAGGCTCTTCCTCTCCCCACTGTGCTGGGCCTGACTTGAGACTCCTCTGGCCCTTTTTAAACCTTGTGCTGGTGGCAGGATGTCAACTACTTCACTACCCTGTGACCAGTTTTTAGGTTTTTGTTTTTTTTTTTGAGGCAGTCTTTGTCGCCAGGCTTGAGTGCAGTGGCGCCATCTCGGCTCACTGCAACCTCTGACTCCCTGGTTCAAGCTATTCTCCTGCCTCAGCCTCCCAAGTAGATGGGATTACAGGCGCGCGCCACCACGCCCAGCTAATTTTTATATTTTTGGTAGACACCGGGTTTCACCATGTTGGCCAGGATGGTCTCGATCTCCTGACCTCGTGATCTGCCTGCCTCGGCCTCCCAAAGTGCTGGGATTACAGGCGTGAGCCACCGCGCCCAACCCAGTTTTAGATTTTTAAGAAGAGGAATTAATTGATTCAACAGATATGTTTTGGCATGCCTACCGTGTGTCAGTCACTCTCCCAGGTGGTAGGAATACAGCGAAAGCAAAACACGAACGAATGGCTGATGACAGATTGAACTTGATTTTGGAGATGAAGCAATTTGTCCTGGAAGCCCGCTTTCAAAAAAAGAGAAATGTTTCAGACCCCCTATCTCTTCAGGAAGATCTGTATTATTAAGTAGTCACCCCTGGGTGAGGAACTGTGAAGGAAATGTTGGGGAAAGTTGGGGAGGGAAAGAAGCTAACTGAAGAGTTTACATTCTGAGGAGGATGGCAGTGGGAGTAAGAAAATAAACAAAAGTCTAACGTAACATGGGTTATAGATTATATAGATTCTAAAAGTTTTTAAAAAGCCTCCCACACACTCTTAACTGTCAGCTATTACTATATTATCCTCACTAGTTACTTAACACTTCATTTCTCTTGTTTTTAGTTCTCTCAGAAGGCAGGGGTGGCCAGGCGGTGGCTCACGCCTGTAATCCCAGCACTTTGGGAGGCCGAGGTGGGAGGATCACTTGAACCCAGGAGTTCGAGATCAGCCTGAGCGACAGAGTGAGACTCCATCTTTAGCCTCTGTCGCCCAGGCTGCAGTGTAGTGGTGCAGTCTCAGCTTACTGCAGCCTCCACCTCTCTGGGCTCAGATGATTCCAGTGCCGCCTCAGCGCCCCCCTCCCCCGAGTAGCTGGGATTACAGACATGCGGCACTACGCCTGGCTAATTTTTGTATTTTTCGTAGAGACGGGGTTTCGCCTTGTTGCCCAGGCTGGTCTCCAACTCCTGAACTCAAGGGATCCGCCCGCCTCGGCATCCCAAATGCTGGAATTACAGGCGTGAGCCACTGCGGCCGGCCAATTTTTTTTTTTTTTTTTTTTAAATTGGCTGGGCATGGTAGCAAGCACCTGTAGTCCCACCTACTTGGGAGGCTGGAGTGGGAGGATCACTTGAGTTCAGGAATTTGAGAACAGCCTGGGCAACATGGCAAAACCCCATTTCTACAAAAAATTAGCCGGGCATGGTGGTGCACCTGTAGTCCCAGCTACCAGCTACTCGGGAGGCTGAGGTGGAAGAATCACCTGAGCCAAGAGAGGTCGAGGCTGCAGTGAGTCGTGATTATGATTGTGCCATTTCACTCCAGTCTGGGTGACACAGCGAGACATTAAAAAAAACAAAAAACAAAAAAACAGAAAGAAAGGAGAAAGGAAGGAAGGAGGGAGGGAAGGAGGGAAAGAAGGAAGGAGAAAAGGAAATAAGGAAAGGAAGGAAAGAGAAAGAGAGAAAAGAAAGATGCGGCCGGGCGTGGTGGCTCACGCCTGTAATCCCAGCACTTTGGGATGCTGAGGCGGGTGGATCACCTGATGTCAGGAGTCCGAGACCAGCCTGGCTAACATGGTGAAATCCTCGTCTCTACTAAAAATACGAAAATTAACCAGGCGTGGTAGTGGGCACCTGTAACCCCAGCTACTCGGGAGGCTGAGGCAGGAGAATTGCCTGAACCCAGGAGGCGGAGGTTGCAGTGAGTGGAGATTGCACCACTGCACTCCAGGTGACAGAGCCAGACTCCGCCCCCCCCCCCCCCCAAAAAAAAAAGAGAGAGAAAGGAAGAAAAATGAGAAGGCAGGCTTTCTTAAAGGCTATCCAAACAGGCTCATGATTCCTGTTTGTAGAGATTTAGATTCTAAAACAATATACCGATGCAAAGAAGACAGAGGAGTGACAAATAATATTGAACATTGAAATGCAATAAAAAACATTATGTTCTTACGTTGTACATGACGGGGCGGAGAAGGGCAGGTGGAAATAATTGGAGAAACTGCATACTTCTCACTTCTCTGTTGTATTAACTGGTTCTCCTAAGAGTTTTTCTTTTCTTCTTCTTTTTTTTTTTTTTTTTTTGTATTTTTAGTACAGATGGGGTTTCACCATATTGGCCAGGCTGGTCTCGAACTCCTGACCTCAAGAGATCCGCCTTCCTCGGCCTCCCAAAATACTGGGATTATGGGCGTGAGCCACCGCGCCGGCCGAGAGTTCGCTTTCCTTTTTCTTGCTCTATACGTTAAAAAGCCACGAAGTGTTAATCAAAAGAATCCTGGAATTAGGCCGGGCGCGGTGGCTTACGCCTGTAATCTCAGCACTTTGGGAGGCCGAGGCGGGTGGATCACGAGGTCAGGAGATCGAGACCACGGTGAAACCCCGTCTCTACTAAAAATACAAAAAATTAGCCTTGCGCGGTGGCGGGCACATGTAGTCCCAGCTACTCGGGAGGCTGAGGCAGGAGAATGGCGTGAACCCGGGAGGCGGAGCTTGCAGTGAGCCGAAATCCAGCCACTGCACTCCAGCCTGGGCGACAGAGCAAGACTCCGTCTAAAAAAAAAAAAAAAAAAGAATCCTGGAATCAAATGTTGTTATCTAAGGGTGTAGGAAACTACGATCCTATGGGTACATCCAGTGTGTTTGCTGTTTCTGGTGGTTTCTCAGGCGCCTTGCAAATACTCTCCACGACCACAAGGGGGATGTGGTAGCGCTAGATATTCAAAGCACAAGCTTTATCATATCTTCAGCGTGAAGGACAGGCTACTGGACTGCTTTGCAAATTAACATGGGCTACAGCCTGAAGGCTCAAGGAAATGAACCTGAATCTAAAAACATAAAGGTTCAGATGAGCAAGAATGGACAGATCCGTAGCTAAATGGTATAATTCTTCTACAGCACAGTGCTGTATTTCATTTCTGTTGTCATCTCAGTGCAAAATTGGGAAATGGAAGGAGCTAATGCATAATCTGCATGCAGATAAATGTTTACCAAACAGAGCAGGCGGCTGTCCAATACCTGTGTATGCCATACATATATATTATTCAGGAAATAATTATATATGTATAATTATTTTTTCTTTTATAGAGATAGGGTCTTGCTGTGTTGCCTAGGCTGGTCTCAAACTTCTGGCCTCAAGCAGTCCTCCTGGCTCAGCCTCCCAGAGTGCTGAGATTACAGGCGTGAGCTACAATGCCTGGCCTATATTTTTAATAATATTCTAACTGGCATGATTGTTACTTTAGCATATTTGAAGACAGGTAACTAGTTTCAACTTTTAAGTATTTAAATAACTCATTCATTAATAGGAATTGTCATTAGAATAGTAATCACCAATAGTTGTTGAGCGTTCATTTTAAGTGCCTTACAAATGCTTTATATACATTATTTACTGACATGTTCACAACAATAGTCTCAAGTAAATATTATTGGTATTACCATTTTGCAGATGTGGAAACTGAGGCCTAGAGTGGTTACATAGCAATTGAATGGTGAAACTAGAATTTGAAGCCAAACTCTCTTAACTCCAGAACCTGCACTACTAAACACTAGGCTCTGCTGTCTAATAACCAAGCTAGGTCTTATCTTTTACCTCTACTTTCACATATCCAGAAGGTGCGTTTTATAATACTGGCCTAATACATTATTAATAGCAGTTATTTTAGGCAGCAGAATTAAAAAGTTAGAAATACTTTAACCTTTTTTAGAATTATTTAGGTTCCAGGACAACTATAAAGTTCAATCTGTATTATAACTCATAGGATCAAGTTTATATTTTTAAAGTAAAGTCTCTTTAAACTGGTGACTCAGAAGACATTTTATTCAGTTTCCCCAGAGATGAATAGCATGCTGTGGCACTTTCCATCTTCAGGAAATAAAAATGTGGCATACTGCAGGGATTTGTCACCTTTGTTCTCCTTGGAATTTTTCATGTACCTTTGGCAGATTTCAGGAGACAGTTCCCACTTTTCTCTTTTGGCATTAGCTATACTCTATTGGAGTGCATTACACAGTGTCGCTCCACTCAAGTCTGGTTCAACAGAGCTTGCCCCAGCAAAGTGTAGGAAGAATTATGGCAGGTGATGTCCCTGGCCCCAGAAGTGGTGACAATTAGCAAGTTTCATTCTATGGTGAATGCCTAGTAACCCACCAACCTGCCCTCTTTCTGTTAGGAGAAAAGAGAAATACAGGATGACCCTAAAAGAAAAGTAAGGCAGCAATAAATCAAAATAAGATGTCACTTTGATTAGATAGGACATTTACATTCCAGTGACAATGTAGTCTCATTGCTCAAGGTAGAAAGCAGTCAGTTATGCTCACTCTGGATTTTCAATCAGGTTTGGAAAATAGTTGGCTATTGGATAGGCCAAGGCCTTGTGCAAGAAGTTCCTACTGGGAGTGGGGAGGGCTGACAAAACAAGAGATTTGCTCCTCATGAAGATCTATTTAATATTTAATTCTTAAAGATGTAGGAGCCTTTTCTGGATTTTTTAGTTTAGAGGGCCAAGTTTGTAATTTATTCTTGACCAGCATGATATAGTGTGAAAGGAACCCTGAACTAGCCGTTAAGCCTGAACTTGGGTTCTAGAAACCTGGAAAGAACCTTAGATAAAGAACAGAGAGAATCAGTGAATTGCCCAAGGTCACACAGACTGTTCCAGCTTCTGCTCTACAGCCTCCTTTTTTAACTTGCTATGCTTTTTAGAAATAACCCACATGACTTCAGGTTAAATGTTTAGTCAGTCCAGGACCTTTTTCAAATGCTTACAGACAATTCTGGCTCATCACCCTCTTCCTCCTATCCTGTCCTCACCCTTTCAGGCACATGATTAGTGAAATTACGTCAGTTGCCTTTTCAGTTCGCTTAGATTATATGCTCTCTCTATGCGAGGAGCTGTTGGTTTCTGCTATAGACTGAATGTGTGTGTCCCCCAAAATTTATGTGTTGAATCCCTAATTCCCAATATGATTATATTTGGAAATGGGCCTTTGGGAGGTGATTAAATCATGAAGATGGGCCCTCATGATGGAATTAGTGCCTTTATTTATTTATTTATTTATTTATTTATTGAGTCAGAGTCTCACTCTGTCACCCAGGCTGGAGTGCAGTGGCGATCGCAGCTCACTGCAAGCTCCGCCTCCCGGGTTCATGCCATTTTCCTGCCTCAGCCTCCCGAGTAACTGGGACTACAGGTGCCTGCCACCACGCCCGGCTAATTTTTTGTATTTTTAGTAGAGACGGGGTTTCACCATGTTAGCCAGGATGGTCTCTATCTCCTGACCTCGTGATCCACCCGCCTCAGCCTCCCAAAGTGCTGGGATTACAGGCGTGAGCCACTGCGCCCAGCCGGAATTAGTGCCTTTACAAGAGGAAACAGGAAAGATGATCTCCCCTTCCCCATGAAGAGAGCCCACACCAGAACCCACCATGCTGGCACCCTCATCTCAGACTTTCAGCCTCGGGAAGTGTAAGGAAGAACTGTCTATTGTTTAAGCCATCCAGTCTACAATATTTTGTTGTAGCAGCCTGAGCTGACCAAGACAGTTTCTCAGTTTCCCCATTCCTGTTCCTCAACTGTCAAGAGAGGAAATACCCAGGTTTCCTTAGGAGATGAGAGTTTAATGGAAGACTAGTTGGGAAAGTAAAGCCATTGTCTCAATACCCATACAGCCAGAATGCTGGAAGAACAGGGACTTCTTAGTCAGGCTCCATCAGGAGCTGTAGCGGCCAGTTACCTGTTTTCTTCTTAGAAATGGATTTCTGGTGTTCTCATCTGCACTGACTCTGCCTTTTTCTAGCTCAGCCTTTTTATGTTAGCTTCTCTAATTCTTGTGCTGCAATGGTACCCAAACTTCAGTAGCAGTCAGAATTACTAGGTGGTTCTTTAAGCATGCAGAGCACTGGTATCCCACCTCTGGACATTCAGGTCTGAGATGGGTCGTGGAATCTGCATGTTTAATAGAGGGGGATTCTGTCGGTGGGGTGGAGATTAAGGACCACGTCTTTTTAGAAATAGCCCAAACTCTGTGGTGTCTTCTTGTCTCCAAATTTTTTCATTACATGTCCCTATTAGAAAAATATTGGCGCACATCCTCCCATTATGTGTATGTTCATGTATTTATAAACTACATATGTGTATATAGTACTATTATTACAAATACATAAAAATAGAAAACAAAAATGAAAGAGATAAAATAGAAATAGATTTAAATACTTCTTTCCTGTACCCCAAAGTATCCCTGGGGCTGCTTGTACCACCCTTGCTGCCTTCCTCTGTGTGGCTTGATTACATCATCCCATATGGAAAGCCTTGTCGGGCAGAGTAAAGGCCCAGAAAAGTGCCAAGGTGTCACATGGGTCACTGGTTTACCTTACAGGCCCAGCCTTTAGTTTAAGTGCCAATTGCTTGTTTTATTCAACTAGTGGTTGAGGGGTTGGGTGAGAGGGCTTGTGTGTGTGTGTGCCATGACCTGAAGCAAGCCAGTTTACCTGGAAGGATCGCTTTGACGAGTTCTTCAAGGGAAAAGGGGATCTGCTTGCATAAGGGTCTCATGAACACCTCTCTTCCATAAAAAAATGAACTGTTTCTTTTCTTTTTTTTTTTTTTTTTGAGACAAAGTCTTGCTCTGTTGCCCAGGCTGGAGTACAGTGGCACGACCAAGACTCACTGCATCCTCCACCTTCCAGGCTCAAACAATTCTTGTGCCTCAGCCTCCCAAGTAGCTGGGACTACAGGCATGCGTCACCATGCCCAGCTAATTTTTGTGTTTTTAGTAGAGACGGGGTTTCACCATGTTGGCCAGTCTGGTCTCTAACTCCTGAGCTCAGGTGATTCACCCGTCTTGGCCTCCCAAAGTGCTGGGATTACAGGCATGAGCCACTGCACCCTGCCAGAATAAACTGTTTCTAAGCGTGCCAATGGGTAGAAGCCGTGAATGAGGCCATCCTGCCTGTGCTCTGCAACTTTGCATGGCTTCCCAAAGGAAGTCTGCTCTGTCCTAGGTTGTGTTGGGTGTGTGCATTGGTGTACATGTGTATGGTACTGGCCCACTTCTCTCTCATTCCATTACAGCATGAATCCCTGGCCTGAACTGGGGAAGTCACTTTCAGGATTAAAGGCAGCCAACAGAACATCAGCACCCAGAGCCCTGGAGAACAGCATCTGTGTTTGAGTGGTAAAGTGTCAACAGGCCGCTTAAGGAGGAGTGGTAACTGAGTCCCTGAACCCAAATACAATTCTTCCCTGGGGTCTGTCTGTGCATCTATCTGCTCTCGAGTATAGTCCCAGTTGCCAAAGACGTTTCACTTTTTCTGGTGTGTAATCTGTGGTTCATTGATATTGTCCTCTTGTTCTAGGACACCATTTTGTGAGTGGAGTATCATTTTCACGAGTTAGAGTGACCACACTGGCACTAGAGCTCAAAGTCAGAACTGGGAGAATCCCAGACACATTTCAGAAATCAAGTTACTAAGTAAATAGCAAAGAGCAATCTCCCTAAAAGGTTTATTTAGTTATCAAATACGGAAGGGGGTTTCCTACCTTCTTTTTTTCGAGTACTTTTCCTCCTGCTACGTAAAGACATTTACATTTTCAGCTTTCTTCGGTGGACCTAGGTATCTGAGTGCTGGTGTTCTTTGAGAGTACTCAAAGGCCAGAGAGAGTAGAATGTTCTTTGGAGAGCTCTGCAGAGGAGGGAGGCGTGGGGTGCTTCTCAGATTCAGGGCAGTCAGCAGCCATGTGTATATATCTATTTCCTTATTGGTAGGGAAATTTGAAAATAGATTATTTAGGGTTTTATTGTTTTTCATTTAGCTTTATACCATTGAAAATCTCTAGGACTGAAACATCATTTTTTTCTATCATTTTGTGTTCTGCTTATTTTGTTTACTATTGTCTAAAGATTTCTGCATGTCAACCTGGTCCCATATACTTGTCATTTTTAATGGCTAGCTATATAATCTTATTCCATAAGCTACATAAGTTTATTCCACTGAATGCTCTGTTCTTCCAAGTTTTTATTTATTTTTTATTTTTTCAGGGTATAGGGAGAGAGAGGCTGCATTTCTAAAATATCTCTGAGAACAAGCTGCTTTTCAGAATTCAAATCAACATGTGATCTTCTTCACTTTAGGGGTATATGCAGGAAGCCATTAGACACAACCAGGTATTGAATTGTCTTCCCTGAAGTCCGTGTCTGTGGGTCTGGCTGGGCCACTTGATGAGAAATCTCAGCAAGAGGTCTCAGACACCAAACTGGGGAAAAAATTAAACTGACAGAGTGCTTGATATTTCCAAGAAGTCACTTAGGTTCTGTGTATTACCGCAGCATTCAAAAGGGGGACATAGTTCAGTGCTGTGATTAAAGTGACTTTTGCCGTTAGCCTCTTTGTTCATGTAAGATATAATGGTGGGTTATAGCCATTTCATCATTTGGGGGTGTAATGGTTAGCTAAAGCTATTTTTCTCCAAAGGGCCAGTTATTTCTGCAGTTTTTCTCTAAAACTTCAGCTTTAGTGGGTAGGAGCCATAAATTCTGTGACATAGCTGCCTTCTTATCTGTCTTGGGAGTTATAGATTACAGATATAAGACAATTCATGTACCTCTGCATAATGAGGTGAGTTTTATAAATCATAAATCTTCACTTAACATGCAGGTGGTGTTGGGTGCCAGGTTTAGAAAAACTGATGTAGTTGCCAAGTTCATGAATGTCATAAATCATTCATGCTAAGGTAGCCCAGAATCATGCTGTCCTCTGAGGCAGACCAATTTCAAGGTTGTTGTTAAACACAAAAATGTGAGTCTCAGTGATTTTTTTTCAAAATGAACTGCACTTTTTTTGAAGATTAAAACCAAATTACCTTTCTTTTTTAAGTTGAAGTCAGTTTCCTAAGACCCTCCCTTCACCCTCAAAGAATCTATCAGTAATAATATCTTTCCTTCCCTGATCCCTGAATTCTATCAGAAACACATCACAAAATACATAACCTGTACATTTGCAATCCAGATCTTTAATGTGCTGAAAATGAGATTCAGACGTTTCAATAAATCTTGAGGCACATTTTTCGGAAAAAAACCCCTGGAGTTTTGGGGGTTATTTTCTTCTTGTTCCATATTTTACATGAAGTTGCCACAGATTAAAGATATGCTGATCTTAGTAAGCAAGGGTAGCTCTCTTCCACACTGCCTCTTTGGGGCAAAGACAGGGAAAGAGTAGGGTCTAAAGAGTTGTGATCCCAGCCAGGTGTGGTGGCTCACGCCTGTAATCCCATCACTTTGGGAGGCCAAGGCGGGCAGATCATGAGGTCAGGAGATCGAGACTATCCTGGCCAACATGGTGAAACCCCATCTCTACTAAAAATACAAAAACTAGCTGGGTGTGATGGTGCGTGCCTGTAATCCCAGCTACTTGGGAGGCTGAGGCATGAGAACCACTTGAACCCGGGAGGTGGAGTTTGTAGTGAGCCGAGATCTTGCCACTGCACTCCAGCCTGGTGACGGAGCGAGACTCAGTCTCAAAAAAATAAAAAATGAAAATAAAAAAAAGAGATGTGATCCCAGGCTGGGTGCGGTGGCTCACACCTGTAATCCCAGCACTTTGGGAAGCTGAGGCCAGAGGATGGCTTGAGCTCAGGAGTTTGAGTTGAAACCCTGTCTCTACAAAAAATACAAAAATTAGCTGGGTGTGGTGGTGCACACCTGTGGTCCCAGCTACTTGGAAGTGTGGGGTGGAAGGATTGGTTGAGCCCAGGAGGTTGAGGCTGCAGTGAGCCATGATCGTGCCACTGTACTCCCGCCTGGGTGACAGAATGAGACCCTGTCTCAAAAAAAAAAAAAAAGAGTGTGATTCCCGGGACCGTGTGCTGGAAGCTGTGCAGTATGGATGTAGACATGTGATGCCTGGGACGGCATGCTGAAGCTGTGCAGTATGGATGTACCCCTGTAAGGTCCCAGGCTTTATCCAGACTCCTGGGATGTGGATATTAAACCATAGTGTTTTCACTGAAAGGTGCTCACTTGGTAAATGAAGAAAGCTATGAGGCTGGCTATTATTGAGGAAGGAAAACCTGCCAGTGCTTTTGGTGAGAAGCCCTGAAAGAGAAAAAAAGAGAAGAAAATGATTTTGCTGGAGGCTAGTAGGTTTTCTAAGGGTAGATAAATGTCTGCATAAACTATCTCTTTGTGCGGTCTCCAGCAAAGGGCCATACGGCAGATAACGTGTGACTTCTTCCCTTTCGTGTACCACAGAAGTCCATTGGTGGTGAATATGTGAACAGCTACCCCTTCAAGGTGGGTTAAAAATGGTGAAAAATGGCAGGAGCCAGCCCTGCGTGGTGGTGGTATGTGCCTGCAGTTCCAGCTACTGAGGAGGCTGAGGCTGGAGGATCGATTGTGCCCAGGAATTTTAGTCCAGTCTGGGCAACATAGGGAGACTCTATCTCAAGAAAAGAAAGTGTAAGGGCCAATTCCAGGCAGAACATCTTTTTTTCATGGAATACAATCGAGTTTCCTTCTGTTGTGATAATCCCACTTACCCTGTGAATCCAAATTCTGAGGCTTGGATATAGCTCCTTAACAACTTGTGAATTTTTTTTTTTTTTTGAGACGGAGTCTTGCTGTGTTGCCCAGGCTGGAGTGGTACTATCTTGGCTCACTGTAAACTCCGCCTCCCGGGTTCACACCATTCTCCTGCCTTAGCCTCCCGAGTAGCTGGGACTACAGGCGCCCGCCACCACACCCGGCTAATTTTTTTGTATTTTTAGTAGAGACAGGGGTTTCACCATGTCAGCTGGGATGGTCTTGATCTCCTGACCTTGTGATCCACCTGCCTTGGCCTCCGAAAGTGCTGGGATTACAGGCGTGAGCCACCACGCCTGGCCAACAACTTGTGAATTTGCAGAATTACTAACATGATCTTTGTAATTTAATTAATCTCGTGAAAATATTGGAAGGCCGTTTCCTGCCAACTTCTTTTTCACCCCTCCTCTCCCTCCTCCACACTGCAAGCCCACCCTTTCTTTGTGTCTCCATGCTTTTTGTGTACTCTTCTCACTCTCTGGAATGCTCTTCTCTTTCTTTTCCAAATGTTGGGCCAGGCTCAGTGGCTCATGCCTGTGATCCCAGCACTTTGGAAGGCCGATGCAGGAGGATCACTTGAAGTCACGAGTTTGAGACCAGCCTGCGCAACATGGTGAAACCTCATCTTTATAAAAGATATGTACAAAAATTAGTTGGGCGTGGTGGTGCACACCTGTAGTCCCAGTTACTCAGGAGGATGAGGTGGGAGGATCACTTGAGCCCAGGAGGCAGAGGTTACAGTGAGCTGAGATCATACCACTGCAGCCTTGGCAACAGAGTGAGACCCTTCCTCAAAACAAAACAAAACAAAACAAAACAAAACAAAACAAAACAAAACAAACACAAATGGTGAGCTCCTATTCATCCTGTAAAGCCCACCACTTAAATCTCACCTTCTCTGTAAAAGCCTTCTCTGGCTTCTTGAGCTTGTCACTTGATCCTCTGTGCTTCTAGAGAACTTATCCACAGTTCCATCACAACATATCACAGAGGATTTAATTATTTGCTGGAATGGCCATTCCTCTGAATAGATAATGAGCATATTAAGGGCAGGAAGAGAGTTTTAGTAATCTTGGTATTGCTAGTCCTCATCATTTCTGACACAGAGTAGAAACTCAGTGACTAAATTTTCTTCTTTTTTTTTTTTTATTACCCTGTCCACCTGAGCAGTAACATGCAGCCTTGGGAGAGAACAAAGCTTTTTTTAAGTTGCATTTCATCATAACTTATGGATGCCAAGACTAACTCATAAAGCATTGACTTGAGTCCCCTGTAGGGATGCCTGCAGGCAGAGAGCAACCGAAACAAGGAGAAACTTTGTGCATTCTCAATGTGTCCTGGGATTTGCTGTAGATTCTGGGCAAATCTAGTTCTGTTCTTTATTCCTGTATATCACTAGGACTTTTATGTCTTTGTCTTTTCGCTGAAATCATTCTAATCTAGTTCTCATCCTTTCACACTTGAACTGTAGCAACTGCAGCAGGTATGACTCTCAGTTTATAAATTCATGTGTGTAGGAAGTATCACATTTATTTATATTCTTAAATAAAGGTAAACTCCAATTACATGCTCTGATCCCATCTGACTGTTGGGAAAGTTAATCTAGCTTATTTCTTGTCTTCAAGCTTGCGTTATGGTTCCAAGATCTTATATTTTGGATGAGATTGGAGGGAGCTTTGAGTTGTCCCATCATTTGTACCATCACTTGAGGCCCAGGTACTGACAGCCTGCTCTTCATCCTTGCCTCATCCTCTGGCCTGGGGTCCTATCTCCTAGATATACCATGAGGCCAGGCCTCTCTAGGGTCTTGCTCCCTTCTTAGGTGCTGTCATGCCAGGGATCAAGGCCTGGGTTCCCTTGTTCCAGGACCTACAAACATTCTCATTCCTGACCCCAAAGCATCTCTTTCTAGTCTGCTTGAAGTACCTTCCTGCATCATGCTGCTCTGAGGCCAATTTCCTTAAGTTCTAGGCTCTGTCTTGTTCTTCTACAGTGGTCTTTGATGGTCTTTTTATTTTTTACTTTTATTTTTATTTATTTTTGAGAGACAGTGTCTCACTCTATCACCCAGGCTGGAGTGCGGTAGCATGATCACAGTTCACTGCAGCCTTAACCTCCTGGGCTCAGGTGATCCCCCTGCCTCAGCCTGCCAAGTAGTTAGGATTACAGGCATGTACTACAATGGTTGGCTAATTAAAAAAACTTTTTGTAGGCTGGGTGCGGTGGTTCACACCTGTAATCCCAGCACTTTGGGAGGCGGAGGCAGGCAGATCACTTGAGGCCAGGAGTTTGAGACCAGCCTGGCCAACATGGCGAAACCCCGTCTCTACTAAAAATACAAAAAAAAAAAAAAAAAAAAAAAGCTGGATGTGACAGCGCCATGCCTGTAGTGCCAGCTACTTGGGAGGCTGAGGCAGGGGAATCGCTTGAACCTGGGAGGCGGAGGCTGCAGTGAGCAGAGATTGCACCACTACACTCCAGCCTTGGCGACAGAGTGAGGCCCTGTCTCAGAAAATTCTTTTTTTTTTTTTTTTTTGTAGAGACAGGGACTCACTCTGTCTGTCACCCAGGCTGGTCTCCAACTCCTGGGCTCAAGTGATCCTCCTGCCTTGGCCTGCCAAAGTGCTGGGATTATAGGTGTGGGCCACTGCACCTGGCCTTTTGATGGCCTTTTAAATCCCAAACCCATGTCACTGCAGCCATGTATTGGTTATGGTTTACCTTTTGGTGCATGTTTCTACTTTCCTCATTTAGATTTGTGAACCTTCTCGGGGCAGAGACTACCACTTTCTTGTATCCTGAGTCACCACAGGGCTTTTCATAGTGTGGGGGGCACTTATTAAATATTGATTAATTATGATAATGACGAGGACACAGGACTGTTTGTGAGCACACACAGCCCTGCCACACAGTGAGAATCAGGAAGATGAAGGGAAGAAGGGGCCAGGTTCATTATTGTCATATAATCATGAATATTTCACTGGTTTGTATCACCAAGGAGTAGCCTGTTTGTCCTGCTGCCAGCACAGGAGGAAGCATTTGCCCTGATAATGATGAACAAATTTCCTTGATCGAGTCCATGGGCCAGAGCTCCTCTGGGTGCTGGTCAGGCTGGCTTTGCCCTTCTTTGGCTTCTTCACAGGCTGTCTTGCCCGGCTCTCAACAATAGATTTCTCTGTCACGAATACAAACTAGCCAGGCCCTCTTGAACAAATCAACCTCCCCGACACCTGCTCAGAGCAATTAGCCTTCCAATGTGCTATGGTTAATAAACACGAATGGTTGTTATCTGCTTTTCCTTGGCTGGTCCTATGAGTGTCCTCACACAAATAGGCAGTTTGACCAGAGACCAGCTCCAACTCATACTTGGGTCAGAGAAATGGAACCCGGAACCCTCCTGCCTCAGCCTTCGGGGCTTCATGGATACTCCCTTACCTCAGCCTGCTGTGACCTCATGCCAGCCCCTCTCTGGCCTCCATTTGGATTCATCTGGTGATAAAAAATGAGCAGAGGAGATACCAGTATCATCTGGGTGGTGGGACTAGATGACCTTTAAATCCTGTGACTGCCCATCCTGCAAGTCTTTGATTCTATACTTTCCACTTGCTTGGTTTTTTTTGGAGACGGAGTCTCACTCTGTGGCCCATGCTGGAGTGCAGTGGTGCGATCTTGGCTTGCTGCAACCTCTGCTTCCCGGGTTCAAGCAATTCTCCTGTCTCAGCCTCCAGAGTAGCTGGGACTACAGGAGCTGGCCACCACGCCCATCTAATTTTTGTATTTTTAGTAGAGACAGGGTTTCGCCATGTTGGCCAGGCTGGTCTCGAATTCCTGACCTCAGGTGTTCTGCCCACCTCAGCCTCCCAAAGTGCTGAGATTACAGGCATGAGCCACTGCTCCTGGCCCACTTGCTTGTTCTTAATCAACATTTAAAATCCCCCAAAGGCCGGGAGCGGTGGCTCATGCCTGTAATCCCAGCACTTCAGGAGGCTGAGGAGGGCAGATCACCTGAGGTCAGGAGTTCGAGCCTGGCCAACATGGTAAAACCCCATCTCTACTAAAAATACAAAAATTAGCCGGGCGCGGTGGCACTCGCCTGTAATCTCAGCTACGTGGGAGGCTGAGGTAGGAGAATCGCTTAAACCTGGGAGGCGGAGGTTGCAGTGAGCCGAGATGGTGCCATTGCACTCCAGCCTGGGTGACAAGAGTGAAACTCTGTCTCAAAAAAAAAAAAACAAAAAAAAACCCAGAGTTGGGTGTGGTGGTGCACACCTGTAGTGCTGAGAAGAGGATCACTGGAGCCCAGGAGTTCAAGGCTGTAGTGTGCAATGATGGTGTGCCTGTGAATAGCCACCACACTCCAGCCTGGGTGACATAGTGAGATCCATTCTCTTAAAAAAGAAAAAAATCTCCCAGCTTCCTGCTGGTCCCTTCAACCTCCTTATATCGGCAACCCTTCCTTGATAGATTCACTGCAGCAACACGGGCCTTCTTTCGGGTCCTTGAAGTGTTGCTTCTGCACTTCCATAGGCCCTCACTTCTCCCTAGATCACTTTCTCCCCACCAGCCAGTTGTCTAACCCTATTTAGCCTTCAGGTCCCAACATAAATGTCACTTGTATAGGCAAGCTTCTCCAGCCCCCAGAATAGATTAGATTCCTAAGGCCTAGGCCAGTCCTGCATATTATCTTCCACAGCACTGTCTACACCTATAATACTTTTTTTTGTTTTTTGAGATGGAGTCTCACTCTGTCGCCCAGGCTGGAGTGCAGTGGTGCAATCTCGGCTCACTGCAGCCTCTGCTTTCCAGGTTCAAGTGATTCTCCTGCCTCAGTCTCCTGAGTAGCTGGGATTACAGGCACCTGCCACCATGCTCAGCTAATTTTTGTATTTTTAGTAGAGACGGGGTTTTGCCACGTTGGGCATGGTGGTCTCAAACTCCTGACCTCAGGTGATCTGCCCACCTTGGCTCCCAAAGTGTTGGGATTACAGGCGTAAGCCACTGTGCCTGGCCTATAAGCTACTTTTTAGTAAAAAATTATTTAGTATTTATCTTCTCTAGTGTTTTGATTCTTCATGTATGCAGGGACTATGTCTGTTTTGTTCAAATTTTTATTGCCAAAACCTGGCCCAACATCTGACACCTAGGAGCTGTTCAGTAAACATTCATCGATTGGCCGCCTGCTTGCCATCTCAATCATGAAGTTGCCCTGCTGTTCATTCATGTATTGGTTTAATGTTGTTTCTCTATTGTTTATATGTTTATGCTTGTCTGTTTAATGTTAACTGTCTTAAGTAGTACATTTCTAAGGGGCTAGAATCCATGTATAGAATTTTCTTTGTATGGTGTTTTGTATGTGGGTGTAAGCGTATGTATCTCATTCCCCAACTGTAGGGAAAGAATGAGGAGGTATTGAGAGGCCGAGGCAGGCAGATCACCTGAGGTCAGGAGTTCGAGACCAGCCTGGCCAACATGGTGAAACCCCGTCTCTACTAAAAATACAAAAATTAGCTGGACGCGGTGGCACGTGCCTGTAATCCCAGCCACTGGGGAGGCTGAGGCAGGGGAATCCCTTGAACCTGGGAGGCGGAGGTTGCAGTGAGCCAAGATTGTGCCACTGCACTCCGGCCTGGGCAACAGGGTGAGACTCTGGCTCAAAAAAAAAAAAAAAAAAAAGAGGTAAAATTGAGAAGATGGCAGCAAGTGTTACCATGGAGGAGACTCTGAAACTCAGTCGAGATGACTTCTGAGTCCTTATGGTATTCCTGAAGATGGGCAGGGTTGGGGGCAGGACTGAGGGAGTTTTATGATGTTGTTAAAAGTGGCTGTACTCAGAACTGTGCTATATACTGCAGAGTAACAGGAGGAGGGAAGAGAGAGTCTTCAGGAAATGAAGAAGAAAGAGGAGAAGTGGGCTGAGCTGGAAGCCTCATTTTCCACAAGGACACTGAAACATTGTTAAGCCAAGGAGAACTGTTAGCTCTGACAATAGCTCCTCTTCTTATGAGTCCTTTGGTGTTTTAATTATTTTTAAAATAAAGATTGAAGAACAACTTTTATAACTGCAACTGGAACAATGACAAGCAGTACTGATGGGGTATAATCATAACAGAAACTTTGTTTTCAGCTCCCACTGTTTCTTCTTTTCTTTTTTTTTTTTTCAAGACAGAGTCTTGCTCTGTTGCCGAGGCTGGAGTGCAGTGGTGTGATCTTGGCTCACTGCAATCTCTGCCTCCAGGGTTCAAGCAATTTTCTTGCCTCAGCCTCTTGAGTAGCTGGGATTACAGGTGCCTGCCACCATGCCCAGCTATTTTTTTTTTTTTTAGTAGAGACGGGATTTCGCTGTGTTGGCCAGGCTGGTCTCGAACTCCTAACCTCAAGCAATCTGCCCACCTCGGCCTGCCAAAGTGTTGAGATCACAGGCGTGAGCCACTGCGCCTGGCCCCACTGTTTCTTTAAACCTGCTTTGTAGTGATGGTCTTAAGTGTGCTCCTGGACAAATACTTTTCAGGATCCCTTGGAGGTGTTAGGAAGCCTTATAGCCACTGTACGCAGTACAGCATGATTTCAATTAGGCACTTAAAATGTTCAGCTTGGTATTATCAATGTTTCTGCTTGGTTTTCGAAGCTTAAGCTATTTGCTATTTGTCCTTCCTATCTGGGGCCTGCTGCAAATGAAAAGAAAGGGTGTAGTCTTTCTCTTCTGAAGTTTCTGATCCTTCTAGAATTAGAGCACAAGAAACTAAGAGGCGACAGAAAATATGGTACTTGTCTCATGTCAAAGCTGGCTTTGCACTCTCCTACCTCCCAGTGTGGCCAGTGTTTAAATCTAGCTTTCTCATAAAGCACTTTTGTGGGTTCTTCAGAGATCTGCGCACACACACACACACACACACACACACACTGCTGCTGCTGCTGCTGCTGCTGCTGCTGCTGCTGCTGCTGCTGCTGCTGCAGCAGTTCCCAGTGGCCTGGGCAAGTGGACTCCCCTCTTGTCAGTTGCTTTCGCCCTCTCCAGACCCTCATAATGTAACAGTCCATTTCCAGTTTCTCTTCTGCTCAGGCCTGTTTGCCCTCTGACATTCCTATTGGTCAGGATCTAAAATGCTCTCCAAAACATCCCCCTATGCATGTGCCCCACCTCAGGTCTGTGAGAAACAGGTTTTTGCCCACACAAGCTCTGAACAAATCCCAGCATCACAAAGCAGCTGCTAGCACATATGGTGGCTTCTACATTTTTTTGGGCTGGAGTCAGAAATTAGACCACTCTGTCCTGCTAACTGCAGGAGAAGACACATATCAAACTCTCCTAGGAGTCTCTTCCAAGCTCTTCTCATTAGGCTTGTAGTGAAACACAGGTATCCTCTTTCTTTTGGAGGGGGTACCCATAGCACACGAATACTTTGCACCGAATAAATCCTTTTCAGAAACATTCTCTTAATATCCAACAATTTCTTTTTCCCCTTGATAGGGGTGAAAATTTGAGAGTCCCATAAGTGATTGTCAACTGTTTCCTATGAAAATTTGCATCATTGCTGGCGCCTCACTTTGGTATGACATGGGTACTGCATATTGGAGCCTTACTGAAATTTCCAAATAACACAATGTCATCAAACAAGGGATTTCAGGAACCAAGTGGTTATTTTCTGAGTATAGGTAGGTAATATTATTGTTCTCCTGTCTTCTCTCAAGGAAGCTTAATTGTTCTCATCTCTAAAGTGGGCCCTCATCCTTTCCTTGCTCAGTAAGAGCAGTAAGAAATCTTGAGGATAAAGATGACTCTGCATGGACCACAGGCCCTTGGGAATAGTTAAGTAATCTACAGAGGAAGCCTCTTTCATAAAGAAGGCAAGTAGAGGTGAAGGGCATGATGGAAAGAAGAAAACGCTAATTTCATTAGTGTTTTTCTGATCCCACCCCTACCTCGGTTTGGAGCTGTCCTCTTGTTGTATGAAGGTCTCTATTATAGCCCCCAAAGCAATGCTTATGCACAGCACAGCCAGTGGCTACTGGGCTGCCTTCCCTAACTCCTGTCAGAGAGATCAACAATCCTTGGCTCAGTGTTTCCCTGGCGTATTTGTATCTGTGTCTATGGGTTTAAGGTGGGAGGGGTAGATGTCATCGCCTTTGACAAAATGGCTGAATATCTTTACTTTATCATGATGAAAAGACTTCTTGGTCTTCCAGTTCAGAGCCAGAGCCTGCCTTGCAAGGAATTCAAAGGCTCTGATCTGGAGCTGCTGTCAAGCCAGCAGATGGAGTCACAGTCCTCTGTGTGCTGCTGGGCCTACCTGGGCTGGTGTGCAATGTGATGCTGGGCCCAGCTCTGCAGCCAGAGGGGACAGGGAAATGAATAAAAATGATGGCACCTCATTGCCATAACTGTTGTTCTGACTGCACAGGAGTTTGATAAAATATGCTCCTGGGGAGGTTGCTTTCTTGTATCTCTCTGGAATCACTGCAGAAGCAACTGTAAGGAGTGAGTGCTCGGATTCCTGAGACAACTGTAGGGCATGGGGCAGGGAAGATGCAGAGATGACAGAACCAAGTCCTGGGCAGTGGAGGAATATGGCACAATTCGCTCACCCCTGCAAAACCTCATGGGGGAACAGGGATACAACCAGTGGCTCTTGGAGAAAGGGCAGCCCTAAGAGGAAAGTTTAGACAATGATGGTGAATTACCATCTGCTTGACTCTCCTCTGTCTGAATTGCAAGCACTGGAGTCCCTTTTACTAACATCTGTAGACTGCTTAGGAAATTTGCTTTGGGGCTAGTAGAATTTAAGTTTCCCCGATATTACTTTTTCCTATTCTCTAAGCACCCCCCCACACAGCTTGATAGATAGTAGCTCTTAATAAATCACACAGGCGTGAACGGTGCTCCCACTGAGAACTCTTCTCTGCCCCTCTCCAGCCTACAGGAGGTCTTCTGTGAAAGGAGCCCTCCCCACCTCCTCTCATAGCTTCAGAATGGAGGTGGGGCAGTGGGTGGATTCCTACTCTCTGTGACTATCCTCTCTGACCTCCTCTATTTAAATAGCCCAAATTCAGAAGTAGGAGTGGACCTGAGGACCCAGCAGGATAGTCCCTCTAGCCCACGGCCTAACCCCTGCAGATGCCCAGGAAACCAGGGGGCAAGTGGGCCCCCCTGGCTGGTCCTTTGCTCAATCCTGAAGGCATCTGTGAAGGGAGCGGGGGTGCTTGGGTTCTTAGCTGCAAAGCAGGTGGCATGGTCTCCTCTTCATTGGGAACCCAGAAGTGTCTGGCAAGTCTCTCTGCCACAGGCCTCCCTGGGGACCAGAGCTCTTTGAAGAGAAGAAAAGGTTCTAGGAACAAGAAAGCTGCTGCTCTTGATGAAAAAGTCAGGAGGGAAGAAAATGAGACCAACAAGGGCTGAAGAGAACTATCTGTGGGCTGAAGAGAATGTTAATGGCTCTGCTCCCGAGCTTCAAAGCCTGAGCTGGGTAGGAGTGCATGCACATGCCTCAGCTGTCACCTCCAGAATACTTACCAAGGACTGAGGCTTGCAAGCATTCCCAGCCTGATTTTCCCAGATCAAGCAGAGCATCTGCTAAGGCAGAAGAAAGAGAAGCCATTGGGAGATCCTAGGCCTGTTTCTGCTAGCTGGGGTTTAAACTTAACTCTTCCATATCAGTCAACAAATGGGGTTCCCAGAGGAATTTAGGTGGCAGGGAAATGACTGGTGGGGAAATGGCTCTCATGGAACAAAGCTGGCTTTCCTGTTTAGAAAATGGTAGCTGCTATGGACTGAACTGTGTGCCCCCAAAATTCGTATGTTGAAGCCCTAATGCCCAGATGGTATTTGGAGGTGGGACTTTGCGGAGGCAGTCAGATTAAAGTGAGGTCATGAAGATGGGTCCCTCAGGGTGGGATTAGTTCCCTTATAGGAAGAGACACCAGAGGGCTTGGTTTCTCTACTCTGCCTCCCCCTCTCCCCCTCTTACTGCCCCCATCTTGGACTTCTAGCCTCCTGAACTGTAAGAAAATAAATGTCTGTTGTTTAAGTCACCCAGTCTATGGTATTGTGTTACATCAGCCCTGGCCAACTAACGTGTAGCTGTATTGGATGCTGCTGGTACCCTGCCCAGATTCCCTTTACCTTTTCAGTGTATCCATCCCCCAGCTGTTATCTGGGACTCCAATAGCTCACAGATGTCCCCGCCTCCAGAAAATTGCTCCCAGTGTGTAGGAGACCCTTTGTACCCTCCTGTACCCATCCCCTTCAGGTTTCAGCCAAGAGGGTACAAAGACCAGCCCCTTCATTGCAAGAAAGGATCAATTCCTTGGTGCTGTTTATGCTCTTGAGTACCCCCCAGTGGAGTCAGGCTGAGGCTAAACACAAAGTTGCAGCCATATCCTTCTCTCCTACCCTTCCCTGCTTCCTTCATTCTCTTTCTTCTGAAGCCACATCTCAATAAATCGTGTGCCTTGAATCCTACCTCAGGCTCTGCTTCTGGGGAACCTGACCTAATACAGCCGCTCTCCCAAGTGGCAGAGTATTGAGCAACCCAAATGGCTGTAGAGAGCCCTGTGAGTATAGTGATGATTAATGCCCAATGACAACGAGCATTGGGAACAACAGCCCCTCTCTCTATGTTCAGAAAGCATAGAGGAGTAAAGGCCCACTGAAAAAGAAGTGGAGTGTGTTTTTCTAGCAATAGATGGCTCCTTCAATAGGCATCTGGCAGACAGCTGTGGTAGCAAGGGTATAAAAAGCCTTGTTAGCAGAGAGCCACAGGCTGAGGTTCCATAGGTTTAACCAGTAAAGGAAGCACATTGACTGGAAGAACCTTTGAGCCATGACTAGACAGTCAGCCGGGTAGGTCTGTGCTCTGCCTGGGAGCCAGCTGCGCCCTGAGCGCCACACTCCCCTGGGCAGGGTCCGGAGCTCTCTGGAAGAAGCCCAGCACCTGCCCAGGGAACCGGCTGCTCTGAGGAAAGGCGGCAGGTACTCAGGTCTTGTCATCCCTCTGCTATGTTTTGCTCAGCTTCTTGGCCTCTTCATGATGCTATTTTGTTCTTGGGGCTTTCTTTTTCAATCTTTTTGCAATTGTTCCCTTTAAATTTCCTCCTCCTTCCTTTCTACCCCCTGCTTTCTTCTCTGAGTCCAGGCTTCATTATTAGGGCCTGTGAGATTGGGTCTGGCTCCATTTTTTAATTTTAATTTTAATTTTTTGAGACAGTGTCTCGGTCTGTTGCCCAGGCTGGAGTGCAGTGGTGTGATTTTGGTTCACTGCAACCTCTGCCTCCCAGGTTAAAGCGATTCTCCTGCCTCAGCCTCCTGAGTAGCTCGGATTACAGGTGTGTGCCACCACGCCTGGCTAATTTTTGCATTTTTAGTAGAGATGGGGTTTCTCCATGTTGGCTAGGCTGGTCTTGAACTACTGACCTAAGATGATCCGCCCACCTTGGCCTCCCAAAGTGCTGGCATTATAGCCACAGCGCCTGGCCAAGGTCTGGCTCTATTTTGGAAGGATGAAGGTGGATTCTTACTTTCTTCCAGTAAAGCACCTCCAAGACGGTTCCTCATTGCTTCTGTCACCCCTTAGAGCTTAACTTCAATGCACCGTTATGTTGAAGACCTCCTTCCCACTAGTGGTGAGGATGGGAAGGGAGTTGGTGAGGGGGCAAAGAACCCTCTCTGGCAAGGCCACTGGGTGGTACCTTGATCCGTCTATTTTGATAGTGATCCCCAGAGAAAATGAGACAGAGAGCACAGTAAATGTTTATCGAGATGCTCCCAAAGATGTAGGGATACACCTCAAATATCTCTGACCTCAAAGCACTTAGTTGACTCACTATTTCTAGAATCAGAGTGGCTCCTGATTCTTACTCTCAAGAGATCTGGAATCTTGTGTTTTGATTTAGAGGTGAAAAGGAAAATTTTGGATAATTATTATCCATTTCCATAACTTTTCTCCCAACATATTTTGTGGGAGGGAATAAAATAGGGGTAGTGCCAGGAATGGTGGCTCATGCCTGTAATCCCATCACTTTGGGAAGCTAAGGCAGGTGGATCACTTGAGCTCAGTTCAAGACCAGCCTGGCCAACATGGTGAAACCCTGTCTCTACCAAAAATACAAAAAAATTAGCCAGGCGTGGTGGTGTGTGCCTGTGGTCCCAGTTACTTGGGAGGCTGAAGGATGAGAATGACTTGAACTCAGGAGGCAGAGGTTGCAGTGAGCTGTGATTGCGCCACTGCACTCCAGCCTGAGTGACAGAGCGAGACTGTGTCTCAAACAAACAGAAAGGTAGTATAAGGACCTTATCCCAGAGAGACAACTAACTAAAAGGTAGCTGTTTTCTTCCAAACATCTCCAGCAAAATGGTCGACTGGCTTTGGGAAGACTAGATCCATGACTTCAAATGATGCATCATGGCCAGGGCACCGTGGCTCACACCTGTAATCCCAGCACTTTGGAAGACTGAGGTGGGAGGATTGCTTGAGCCCAGGAGTTCAAAAGCAGCCTGGGCAACATAGCGAGATCCCATTTATACAAAAATAAATAAAAATTTCAAAACACCAGCTTATTAAAAAACACGCTGGGCACGGTGGCTCACATTTGTAATCCCAGCACTTTGGGAGGCCAAGGCAGGCAGATCATGAGGTGAGGAGTTTGAGACCAGCCTAGCCAACACGGTGAAACCCCGTCTCTACTAAAAATACAAAAATGCAGGGCGCGGTGGCTCATGCCTGTAATCTCAGCACTTTGGGAGGCCAAGGCGGGCGGATCATGAGGTCAGGAGATCAAGCCCATCTTGGCTAACACGGTGGATCCCTGTCTCTACTAAAAATACAAAAATTAGCTGGGCGTGGTGGCAGGCACCTGTAGTTCCAGCTACTCGGGAGGCTGAGGCAGGAGAATGGCATGAACCCGGGAGGCAGAGCTTGCAGTGAGCTGAGATTGGGCCACTGCACTCCAGCCTGGGTGACAGAGACTCCATCTAAAAAAAAAAAAAAAATTAGCCAGGTGTGGTAGCACACACCTGTAATCCTAGCTACTCAGGAGGCTGAGGCAGGAGAATTAATTGAACCTGGGAGGTGGAGGTTGCAGTGAGCTGAGATTGTGCCACTGCACTCCAGCCTGGGTGACAGAGCAAGACTCTGTCTCAGAAAAGAAAATTAACAAACAAACAAAAACACCCACACACAAAAACAAATGGTGCATGGGGTACAGACTATCCCTGTTCCTTGGCTTTGCTTGTTGCTGCCTTGCTTCAGGGTCAGACAGGCTCTTCACATATGGCAGCCAGGTGGCCACCAGCAGCTCCAAACCAGCGCTACCCTCAGAACTCACCATTCCATGGAGAGAGTATGTATTTTTTCCATAGCTCCTGCAGAAGCCCGGAGAGCACTGTGATTGGTCTGGTTTGAGTTCTACGTCCTTCTCTGAATCAGTTGCTGTGCCTAGAGGTGTGGAGTAATCTGATGGGCTAGGCCTGGGTCATGTCCTTACCCCTGAAGTCCAGGGGAGGATCTTGCCACTCCCAGGACCATGTGGTTTTGGAATAACTAAAGAGATTGATCCCCTAAGGAAGCAACACTTGGGGAGAAACTCGTGTCCATTACAGCATGCGTTGTCTTTTTGCCTTTTTGACTGTAGAGTACATCTAGCTCATTCAAATGAAATTGCTTAAGAAACACAAATGATGGGCTGAGCGCGGTGGCTCATGCCTGCAATCCTTCAGGAGTCAGAGGTGGGTGGATGACTTGAGTCAGGAGTTCAAGACCAGCCTGGCCAACATGGTGAAACCCCATCTCTACTAGAAATACAAAAATTAGCCAGGCATGGTGGCAGGCACCTGTAATCCCAGCTTCTCGGGAGGCTGAGGCACGAGAATCACTTGAACGCAGGAGGCGGAGGTTTCAGTGAACTGAGATAATGCCATTGCGACAGCCTGGGCGACAAGAGCAAAACTCCATCGCAAAAAAAAAAAAAAAAAAGAAAAAAAAAGGAAACACAAATGATAGGTTCAGCAGTCAATTATAAGAGGTACTTTCTAGACTCAGTTGTGAGGAAAGGGAAGGTCAGTATAAGAGAGGATCAAATCAGTCCAGCTCCTGGTCATAGGGTCCAGAAAACCAGCTGGGGGTATTGGAGAACCATGAGGAGGAGGCAGTCTTGCCATGAACCCATGGGTTGTGCCAGGAGCAGCAGCTTGCACATAGCAGCACTCAGATAATGTTTGTAGAATGGCTACTCCAAGAGTCAGAAGGTCAAAGAGAAAGCTGAGAGAAGCAGGAAGAACCAAGAACTGAAGGCAGACTCTTGTGCTAAGTCAGAGTCCGACTCTTGTGCTGAGTCAGAGTCCCACTCTTGCATCAAGCCATGTTCCTGCAATTTGCCAGATTGTACACAGCTGATACTCTAGGATTTTCCCACACTATATGAAACTCGTTTTGTTGCCTTCATTCTAAACAGCCGGTAAAGTATTTGGCTTTCTAATAGTTCACAATGGAGGACAGGGCAGGGACCCATTAGAAATGACAGGTGACGCTGGTCTTGTGGACAGAGTCTTCAGAAACAGGCAGTCTTCCTCTTGAGAGTGAATTATTTTATTTTTTGAGAAAAAGTCTCACTCTGTCACCCAAGCTGGAGTGCAGTGGCACCATCTTGGCTTACTGCAGCCTCTGACTCCCAGGCTCCAGCAGTCCTCTCACTTCAGCCTCCTGAGTAGCTGGGACTACAGGTGCGTGCCACCAGGACTGGCTAATTTTTGTATTTTTTGTAGAGACGGGGTCTTGCCATGTTTCCCAGGCTAGTCTTAAACTCCTGTGCTCAAGCAATCCTCCTGCCTCAGCCTCCCAAAGTGCTGGGATTACAAGTATGAGCCACCATGCCAGGCTGAGAGTGGATTTTAGACATTGTGACATTGTAACAAATTTTCAGTTATAGATAATTGTCATAGAGAAAGATTCCACGTGGGGCTCTTTAAGCAACATTTTCTTGAGCATGAGTGGGTTTTGGGAAATGAGTGCTGATTTACCCTTCCCGCTGTCCTCCCTCCCATCTCTCCGTGCATGGCCTTTGTGGCCAATAGGCAGGCAGGCATTAGTGTGTACTCCACGGAAGCATGTGGGTTCTCAGGCCGGGAGCTGGCATTCAGCGACCTGGCCTGAGCACAATGTGGAAATGAAAAGATAAAAACCTGAGATATGTGATGGGGGCTGCAGTTTGGAATAAATGGGTTCAGGCCCTCTGCCCAGTCAGCTGAATGCTCTGGCAGCTGCTGCATTTAATGGACGACTCCATTAACATCTCCCTTAAGGGAGGGCTGTTGGGGGTGGAGGAAAGAGTGTGTCGGGGGGTGTGTGTGTATATGTGTGTGTGTATGTGTTTGTGTATGTGTGTGTAGAAACTAAAAAGGCTTGGAGCTTTTCTCCATGATCTCTTGGAGTCTATTCACAGTTATAAATCTGTTGTGTTGGCGTTTTTGGTTTCCTGGGGGAGCTTTGTGGTTCCCTTTGTCTGTGTACCATGGCAGGCTTTGGCAGCTGAGGTGGAGCTGGGAAGGACAGCAATTTGGATAGGGTAGAAGGGGGGCTCAGACCACCTGCCTTCTCAGCCCCACAGGCTAGGGAAGATGAGAAGGAATACATCTTTTCCCCTTTGTTTTTTGTTTGTTTTGAGACTGCATCTCTGTCACCCAGGATGAAGCACAGTGGCACAATCAAGGCTCACTGCAGCCTCAAACTCCTGAACTCAAGTGATTCTCCCACCTCAGCCTCCTGAGTAGCTGGAACCACAGGTGCATACCACCATACATGGCTAATTTTTAAACTGTTGTAAAGATGAGGTCTTCCTGTGTTGCCCAGGCTGGTCTCAAACTCCTGGCCTCAAGCAGTCCTCCCACCTCGGTCTCCCCGAGATTACAGGAGTCAGCCCTTTCCCCCTTGTAATGAAGAAATTGTCAGTTCTGGAATTCAGAAGATAAAAACATGAAGGACTCTGGGGTGCCCTCAGAGCGATTCTGTGATGATGCTGGCAGATGAGGAGAGGGGAGGGAGGGAAGAGGCGGGCCCCAGGATCCAGAAGCGGTGTCATGAGTGACAAGATACTGGCCATTGCAGGAGAAGATGAGAGCCAGGTCTAAAGGGGGAACATGGGAAGCACAGACTCATCTGCCTGGTGTGCTTAGATTCAGGCCCTCTCTGGATGGACAGGAGGAGGAGGTGCCTCTTCCCATGGCTAATGAATGAGACTCAAAACCTGCCAGATAATCACGGTGCCTGAGTCTTCCTGAGTCCCTCAAACACAGAGAACACAAAGGGTAGTAACAGGAAACCAGGTTTCCACTGAGGGATTTTCAGTCCTAGATCTTCCCACTCTAGCCTTTTAGCTGCTGTCAGACCACATTAGGGCAGAATCTTGAACCCAACCACATGACAGCTGCTGGGAATTTCCCCCAGAGGAGAGTGTTGTGACACGAGCAGGCAGAGCAGCTCTGATCCAAGACTTTGCTCCTGGCATCCCTGAATACCCTGACTAGCTTACCTCTTCTTAAAAGTCACTTCCAGAGGCAAAGCTAGGTACTTGGGGGTGGTGTCTACCCACAAAACACACAGAACTGTATATGACTTGCCCAGAGACAAGTTCTTAGATAAAGGCTGTGATTTGCAGCCATAGTGGCCTGACTGACCCTGAGTCCTGGGTTGGCAGGGAGGCCAGGGTGGAGGGTACAGTGGACATGACCCTGGCTTAGAAGTGAAAAGTGTGGGGTTCAGGCCCTGATTCTACCGTGTGTAGCTGTGTGACCTTGAGATATTACTAAGTTCTATAAGTTTTAGTTACTCATCTCTAAAATGGAAATAATACTTTCCTCAGAGTGTTATCAAAAAGCGTATAAAATCACTTTGCAAAATGCTGTATTGATGGAAGGAATGATTTCCTTTATTCATTCTGTCTTCCAGATCCAAAGGCTGTTCTTGGGAATGTGTGACAGCTATTGGGTTCAAGGGAAGCATCTGGAAAGGTGTGTGTGTAGTGAGGGAAAGAAGAGAGGAAGGGGGAGTAAAAGATAGGGGAAGTGGTGTTCCCTGTAGTCATGAGGACATGACATGAGCTTCTCATTCACACAGTAAGAGTCAATAAGCACCTGGTGGAAGCCACTGGCTCGAAACATCCACGGGCCTGATGCTACTCCGATATAGGGAGGGTAAGCAGGGGCAGCCAGAAAATGGGGTTGTGAGCATGGGGAGAGAGTGAGGGGCAGACTCGTGATGAGGTGCTGGCTGTGACTCTTCAGGCCTCGATCTCAGATTCTGGCTCCTCTTTTTACGCATCTTGTCCGCCTTCATTCCCACTGCCAACCATTTGGCCCTGCGTTCTACTCCTAATTCTCCAGAGAGAATTTGACGCCCTCCCCTCACCAGGTTGCCCTGGTTCAGAGCTTGAACTCTCATTATAGGGTACATGGTTTGCATAGGATATAAACAGTAGCTCAAATTTTTGAGGGACTCCTATGCGCCAGGTACAGTGCTAGGTACATATCTCACTAATATAACCCTCCAAACAACCCTACTGCAGTAGCTTCTAATATTTTCCCTATTGTGTAGATAAGCAAACTGAGAGGCTAGATAACCATCAAGTGGTAGAGCTAGGATTTGAATCCAGGCCCACTGGCTTCAGAGCCAGAGCTTGTAAGCAGCTTCCTTACTGCTTCCGAGGTAGGACTGTGAGTGAAGCTGTACCTCTAAGCAAGTGAGTGCTCTCTTAGGAGCTGTGAATGGGTATGGTATGAAAAGGGCTCTGTTGCCATTTCAGGTTGATAAACACTGAGGGAAGGGGTACATGGCTCCTTGACATGTTCCAGTAGAGAAACTTTCTCCCTTTGTTGACTCTGGAGTTTCTTTCCCAACATTACCTAAGCAGAGAACTCATTTTTATTTTTTGCAACATGCCTACTAATCTACAATGGACTACAGGACTGCTGGTTTGGGAAATGCTCTCCTAGACTTACCCTCCACCCCACACCACTCAGCACCAGGGCAGCTAGGACTTCTGCAGAGCACCAAGTGTTTGGTGGCCAGTCAGCTCAGATGGCAACCACAGGCTGGTAATTAACCAGGGTCAGGCAGCAGCTGCCGTCCCCGGGCTGATGAAGAAGCCATCCAATAGAGTTGGGTGGTTTATTTCTTGCTTTCATTTCCCTCTGTCACTGCTCTTGTCTAGACCCTTTACAGATCAAGTCTGCACTGTCACAACAGTTTCCTGACAAGTGTCCCTGCCAGCTGGTTCTTCCCTCCAGTCCACCCTACACACCTGGCCAGATCTGTCTTCCTAACATGAGGCTTGGAGCTTGCCACTCTCCTGTCCCAAATGCATCAATTCAGCTTTCAGGACTGTCTTGGTTCCTTTTTCCCCCTGCACACCCTATACTGTGGATGCAGCTGAATCATTTCAGGCCCCTCTGTGCTCTGCACATTCTGCTTCCTCTGGCCAGTGCTTGAAGAGCTCCTTCCTGCCTCAGGAAGGGAGGGAGTTTCTTTCCCAACATTATCTAAGCAAAGAACTCCTTTTTATTTTTTGCAACATTCCCACTAATCTACAATGGACTACAGGACTGCTGGTTTGGGAAATGCTCTCCTGTCACAGTCCTGTGTTCTCACTCAGTCACTTACCTATTCAATAAGCATTTATTTTGTGCCTATGTGCCAGGTCCTGGGCTAGAATAATACACACTCCTTAACCTAAAGAAACTAATAAAAACAGATACATCTACAATGGAGTGATGTGTATTATGATAGAGTGATACTCAGGGTTTCGCAGGCAGGGACACTATCTCTGCCTAGGTCACAAAAGGCAAGTCAGGGCAGGCTTCCTGGAGAAGGGGATGTTGAAGCTTAAAGGACGAAATGGTGTTAGGCATTTGAAGGCATATGGTATGCCAGGAACTGTCCAAAGATGTGTTGGGTACCTGGATCTTTGCAATAGGCTAAGCAGGCAGGTTCTCCCCAACCTCTCTGTCCTCAGGGAGAATCTCAGGCTAATTCTGCTGACCTGCAGAAGCCAGGTGAGGGGACAACACTTGTTGTCATCAGGAGGTGGGGTCTAGGGGCTGAAAGGTGGAAAGGGGGACAATGCCTCACATGCTCCCTGCATCCTGTGGTTCAGGGACCAATCCTCCTCCTCCCCAACTCCCAAGTCTCCTCTAAGAGATACAGACATTCAAGCAGTTTGGTTGCCAGGGGCAACCCTAGAAGGCAGCTTTATTCCAAAGGCAGGCACTGAAGCCCCTACCCGGGGGCCTCATAGCCTGGCTCTGATAGACAAGGGGTAGGTGGTTCAATTCGGCCAGTCCCCTTTGGGAGGTGACAGGACAGAGTCTGAGTAGCGCATGTGGAAGATAACCCTTCCAGCCACTCAGCAGGGCCCTGAGAAAAGAAAGGTGACCCACAAAACAGTAGATGGCATTTTAATCCACACGAATACTTAATATGAGTAACATAACCTTGTTTTTTCTGAGACGCAGCCTAATTTATTTCAGGCCTCAGGCTTAGTAACTAACCGCTGACAACCTGCAGGTCTGGTGCATGTGTGTGTAGGTCTGCAGTGTTAATGAGACTGTAGAGGTGGTGAATTTCTCTTGTTCACAATTTTCCTGCTCTGTTGAGGCTGTCCACCAGTAAGTTGCTCCTTTTCCTGAGCTAGGACTTGTGATCTGGGAATATGAAGACTACCTAGAAGGCAGAGGGTACAGGCTCCTCTTGAGAGAGCATGCCTGGTGCAAATGACAGGCAGTTGGGTTTACCAACGCTCCCTGCTTCTTTCTCTCATTCCTGTTATTCTGCCTGCTTACATTGCCCTCTGCTCTCCCCACAATGAGAGAAGCTTGTGCTATGTGGAGTCAGAACACCTGGGTTTGTTTCTGCTCTGTGACTTGGATGATGTATTTAATCATCTTGAGCCTCAGTGTTTTTACCTGTGAAATGGAAACAGTAGCACCTGCCATACCCAATCACAGGGTTATTGCAAATATCAAATGAGATAATTGATGAGAAAGTGTTTTGTAAACCAAGTAATGAGGAGGAGGAGGAGGAGAAAGTTGTTGAGTGGTTACTGTGCTAATTGCTCTTCTCTTTATTTATGTTATCTCTTTCTTTTCTCTTCTTTTCTCCTTTTTTTTTTTTTTTTTTTTTTTTTGAGACAGAGCCTCACTCTGTCTCCTGGAGTGCAGTGGCATGATCTCGGCTCACTGCAGCCTCCACCTCCCAGGTTCCAGCAATTCTTCTGCTTCAACCTCCCAAGTAGCTGGGATTACAGGTGTGTGCCACCACACCCGGCCTATTTTTGTATTTTTAGTAGAGACGGGGTTTCACCATGTTAGCCAGGCTGGTCTCGAACCCTTGACCTCAGGTGATCCACCCGCCTTAGCTTCCCAAAGTGCTGGGATTACAGGAGTGAGCCACCATGCCCGGCTGAGCCTTATTTATGTATTTAAGACAGAGTCTTGCTCTGTCTCCCAGGCTGGAGTACAGTAGCACCATCTCAGCTCACTGCAACCCCTGCCTCCTGGGTTCAAGTGATTCTCATGCCTTAGCCTCCCGGGTAGCTGGGATTATAGGCATGCGCCACCACACCTGGCTAATTTTTTAATTTTTAGTAGAGACAGCGTTTCACCATGTTGGCCAGGCTGGTCTCAAACTCCTGATCTCGTGATCCGCCTGCGTCAGCCTCCCAAAGTGGTAGGATTACAGGCGTGAGCCACCATGCCTGGCCTATACAGCCTTTAAGAGCAGAATCTTCCTGCTTTCTAATTTCTTCCAGTTTATGTCAAATCACTGTCCTCTGGCCCAGCGTGTCCCAAACACATGAGCCTCCTTTATCATTTCAGGGCCTGCCATGGCAGGTCTAGTTTAGGGCCTTTGCGCTAGTTGTTCCCACAGCCTGGAAGCTGCTGCTCTGAGATCTTTGCCTGGCTGGCAACTTCTTATTCAAATTTTATCCTAAATCACAAATCTTTCCCGATCTCCCAATTTAAAATAGCTTCCTTGGGGGCAAAAACATAGACTGTACACATGTACTTGCTTTTGTATGAATACATTTCTCTGCAAGGATGCACAAGAAATTAACATTTTGTTGCTTATGGGGAAGGAAAGTGGATAGCTAGGAAACAGGGCAGGAAAAGAGACTTATCTGCATATCTTTTTTCTATTTTTAAAAAATGTAGATTCATTAAATATATTATCTATTCAAAAATTAATTAAAAAATAAATAAAAAGAGAAAATAAAGTAGGCCCCTGCTGAGCATCCAACCTTCCTTTCTTCCTTCCTTCCTTTTTTTTCTATCTCTATTTCTCTCTCTCTTTCTTTTTTAGAGACAGGGTCTTACCCTTTTGCCCAGGTTGGAGTGCAGTGGTGCGATCACAGTTCACTGTAACTTCATGATCCTCTGGCCTCAGCCTTCCAAGTAGCTAGGACCACAGCTGTGTGCCCACCAGGTTTGCCTGGGTATTTTAAAAAATATTTATTTTGCAGGAATAGGGGATCTCGCTATGTTACCCAGGATGGTCTCAAACTCCTGGCCTCAAGTAATCCTCCCAAAATGCTGTGATTACAGGAATGAACCACTGTGCCAGCCTCTTTATTTACTTTATAAATTTTGTTTACAAAACAGGTGGTAGGCAGATTCGGCCCATGACTATAGCTTGCTGATCTGATCCCTGCTCTATCATATCTTATTTGATATATATCCTGGCATTAATTATTGGTTTCCTCATTTCTTATCTGCCTCTCCCCACCCCCACATACTAGAATGCAAGCCCCATGAGAGTAGGGTGCCTCTCTGTCTCGTTACCACCATATGCCTACACCTGGAACCATTTCTGGCTCATAAAGACTCAATAAATAATTGTCAAATGAATATTTGAATGTATTATGTTTGTCTGGGCTGAAGAGAAGAGCAACTCTATTTGAAGGGAGATCAGATGAGATAAACTTCTGATGGCAGCCCCTCTGGGAAGAATAATTTCCAGTTTGATCATCCTCAAGACAGCCCAACCTGTAGTTCTTGCCTCAAGGAGGAGCTGCTCATGCCGACCTCCTGACAGCAGATATGAAACTGAGTAGTACCTGTCCTCCTAGGACACGTTCCAGAAGAGAGGAGAACCGATGGATTAATCACTTTTCAATTTAAGAAGAAAAAGTACTTTACACACACACACACACACACACACACACACACACACATACACACACACACACCCAGGAGAGACCTCAGAGCCCAGGGAAGCTGCTCAGTTGGCAAGTTGGGCTTTGCAGACTAATAATTGCCTTGCCTGAGGGTATGGAGGAACCGGAATTCTGACTACCAGAATGACATGGGGAACAGCCAGGACCTGGAGAGGCGGAGGAGGTGGGGGAAAGTGGGAGAACGGAGTTTGGCACATTCCAATTTAGGCAGCACGTTGCCCTGAACAAACAGCCTGAATCACCACGTGCTTATTAATTTAAAAACTGTTTCTGAATCAACACATTCTTTGCCTGTCCAGGGCTGGGCTTTTTGCAGCCATGTAGCACACTGGCCAAGAAAGTGTGGGGTCCTGAAGGAGAAATGGCACTAGAGGAATCACCCGAGCCACTGGGCACTGCCTCCCAAGGCTTGCAAGACAGCGCAGAGGGTTCCCAGGCTGCGCTACTTTTGTTCCCTTGGAAGAAAGTCAGTAGGCAGATGCCTCTTCTACCTCCCCCAACACTCTCTTCAACACCACACTCCCTCTCCAGCTCACTCAGAGGAAGCTGGGAAGGTTCCAGTGGCGCGCTCCTGAGAAGCAGTGGGAAGGGCCAAGGTTACGAGTTACCCAGGCATGGGGGCGAACCCTGGCTCCCTCACTTGCTAGTTGTGTATTCTCTCTGTCTCTCTCTCTCCGTCTCTCTCTCTTTCTCTCTCTCTCTCGGAGAGACAGAAATGAGGTCTCGCTATATTACCCAGGCTGAAGACTGGACTCCAACTCCTGACCTGGGCTCAAGTGATCCTCCTGCCTCAGTCTCCCAAGTAGCTGGGACTCCGGGCACACGCCACCGCGCGCTTGGCTGTAATCTTGATCAAATCATGTAAAATTCCTGAACCACAAGTTTTTTTTTTTCTACAGTAACACCCTGTGGAGTTATGAAAATTAAAATAAAATAATGTGCTTAAAGCACAGGGACCAGAGAAGCAGCCGGATAAAGAGAAGGTCTTGGGGAGGGAGGAGGGCAGGGTATTGGCCCTCCAGTGGCCAGCAAGGAAAATGATGCGGCCCATCTTTGGGTACTTGCAGCTGAGCCCACAGAGTCACATGTTTTATCCCCGCACAGTAGGGAATGTCCTTTGACTTTTCTGACCCAGGATCTAGCTTGGCAACGCCGGGTCCTCCGGTACTCAGGACCGTCACTTGGCTCTCACTGGCTGGTTCTCTTGGAGTTTTGAGAGAGCTCTGAGAGGTCCTTGAATCCTTTCTCCTTCCCTCTTGTAGTGATATCTCTCTCTCAGACAAACCCAGGGACTGCTGGCCATCAGCTGAACCCGAGGGGAGCGAGGCCACAGCCCATGAGATGTACCCCACACTTCCTCTGCCCCGCCCCCCAAGCAGGACTGTGTCTGTGTTTTTCAGGGTGTGCTGCTGGAGCCCTGGGAGGAGGGGGTTGGGCAGTCGCTGGCGCTGCCGCTGGTGGTCCCTGTGCTTGAAGTGCCGGTGGTATCGGAGTCCATGCACCCAAGGCCCAGCACCCAGCAACATTCTCTGGCCCAGCAGAGGGGTGAGAGATCAAAGGAGGGGGCGTGGGGCATGGATTGCTTCTGGGCAGACCCATGCCAATGTGACATGGGGTTTCCTGCCTGAGTGTTACTGTGTGGCTGTGCCTGCCACGCTCATCTGGGGTGTGTGTGTGTGTGTGTGTGTGTGTATGTGTGTGTGTGTATGGGTGGGTGTTGGGGGGTGTACAGACGCTCTGGGTATGTAGGGGGGTCAGCACTAGGGGGGCTTCTAGGATTTGTCTGTGGTCTCATCTCCGCCCTCCCTGCTCCTGGAGGGGGAGCTGTAACTCAGCCAGGAGGCCACCTAGCTGATTCCCCTCCCCCCACCCACCAGCCGCTCGCTCTGTCACAACAAGGAGCTTTGGCAGAAAGGGAGGGGAGCGTGGGTGCTGCGGAGAGAAAAACACCCCAAAGTTTCAGAAAAAATGGCAGGAGAGATGCCAGCACCCAGGAGCAGGAGCCTTCTGCTTCTCACAGCCTGCACTGCTGGGCTGGGGGGAGACCACGGTTTCCTTTCCTTCCTTTCTCCCTTCCTTCCCTCCCCGCCCCTTGCTGCGTGATATTCAGGAAAAGGAAACATTACAGTGAGGGGAGAAAGGGAACAAAGAGATGCTTTTCAGAGGGGTCATGGGATCTTTCCGTAGCCACCAGAAGACACAGTTCTGGGCTCTGCTTGCTCTGGGCTAAGTGGGTGTGTATGTGTATGTGTGTGTAGAAGAGAACAAAAAAGAGAGAGAATGTGTGTGTTAGTGTGTTAGTTTATGCATGCCTGTGAGTAAATGTGTGTCTGAGTGTGGATGTGAATTGGGCGTGCATGTGTGTGTTGGGAAACAGTAAAGATAAAAGCAGACAGAACAAAAAGAATCATATACAAGATTGGTTAGACAGCTGCCCTTAGATAGTCTACACATGAATACTTGAAAAATGTTTGTGCAATAGGTTGGCCATTACCCAATATTGCGCGGCATTAGAATAAACATGTATACAATGAAAAACCTCCAGATTGACACTTCTTCCTCATGCTTTTGAAATCAGGGTATTTCATTTGGGCAATGACTCCTTTTCTGCAGGGTAAAAACTTCATTTACTCGCAGGTAGCTGGAACACCATTAAATATTCTTAAGAAGTTAGTTAATATTACATGAAGCTTCACGGAGAAAATATAAATATCTATTTATAATGATATATTCACTGTGAATTGACGTCTTTATTGTAGTTGGAACACGTAGCATGAGATCTACGGTCTTAACAAAAATTTAAATACACAATGCAGTAATATTAACTATATTAACTATAGGTGCTATGGTGAACAGAGGTCTAGAACTTATTCATCTTGCATAACTGAAGTTTTATACCTGTTGAACAGCAACTCCCTATTTCCCCCATCCCTCAGCACTTGACAAGCACCATTCTCATTTCTGTTTCTATGAGTCTATTTCAGATAATTGGTGTAAGGAGAACAGTGCAGTTTGTGCTTCTGTGACTGTCTTATTTCACCTAGTATAATGTACCCCAAATTCATCCATGTTGTCATATATGACAGAATTTTCTTCTTTTTAAGGCCAAATAATATTTTATTGTATGTATATGCCATGTTTGCTGTATTTGCTTATCTATTGATGGGCATTAGTTTCCATATCATGTGTATTGTAAATAATGCAATAATCAGGAAAATGCAGACATCTCTTGGAGATCTTGATTTCAATTGTTTTGGATAAAAATACAGAAGTGGGATTGTTGGATTATATGACAGACATTTTTCCAAAGAAGACATACACATTGCCAAAAGGTACATGAGAAGATGCTTAACAACACTAACTGTTAGAGAAATGCAAATCAAAACCATAGTGAGATGTCATCTCGTCTATTAGGATGGCTACTATAAAGGGAAACAAAAGGTAAGAGTTGGCAAATTCATTGGGAAGTAAAATGATTCAGCTGCTGTGGAAAATTGTACGAAGCTTACTCAAAAATTATGAATTTTTTTCCCCCAGAATGCTTAGCTCTTTTTGTAACTTTTATTTTAAGTTCAGGGGTACATGTGCAGGTTTGTTATATAGGTAAATCTAAGTCATGGGTCTTTGTGGTACAGATTATTTGATCACCCAGGTATTAAGCCTAGTACCCATTAGTTATTTTTCCTGATCCTCTCCCTCTCACACTCCACCATCCAGTAATCTCCAGTGTTCATTTTTTCCCTTTTTGTGTCCATGTGTTCTCATCATTTAGCTCCCGCTTATAAGAGGACATGTAGTGTTTGCTTTTCTGTTCCTGTGTTAGTTTGCTAAGAATTATGGTCTCCGGCTCCTCCTGCAAAGGACATGATCTCCTTCTTTTTTTATGCCTGCATAGTATTTCATGGTGTATATGAATTAACTTTCGAGTGGAGAAAAGAACTGGTAGATTTGTGAGATTAACAAATATTTCCATAGATTCAAGTTCATTTTCCCAGGGTTTTCTGAGCTTAATAACCTCAAAAGTACCTGAAATATAGTTTTTCTTCCTTTCACAGAGCTATTTATGTTATATATGAACTACAACTTAGAGTATTTAAAACTCAATAAATAGTGAAATTAAAAAAAAACAAAAAAACCTCATTTACTCAAAGCTCAGAATACAGTTTTGTGAGCATTTCACCAAAGTAAGGGCTAGAGTTTCTCTTAGCATTATTTGCTTACAAAATATTTGAGTTTGTAAACAAGATCCCAAGGGAAATATTTATCCCACTCAAGAAAACAAGTTACTTTTACCTCTTTGAAGTATCTATTTGCATTCCAACAATATGGTACTTATAAATCACTCCTTTCTAGCAACTTATTAAAGCAACTCTTAGAGGCAATACTTTTAAAAAATAGCAAGGCTGTATTTTTTTAAAAAAATTTAAAGGCCTGCAATGACTTTTAACAGCTTATCTGACTTAGTGATGTCTATTTGCTTATGATTATAATAACTTCTTACATTTAATGAATGCTCTTCATGCACCAGACACTGCATTAAATGCTTTACATACATGCTCTTATTTGGTCCTCCCAGCCAAGGAAGTACTGTTATTTTACAACTAAGGGGTAGAGAAGTAACTTAACCAGTGTCAGGTAGGTAATACATGTCAGGGCAGTACTTAAATCTGAGTTTTGAGTCCAAAGCCCCATGCCTTACCCTACATGCTCAGTTGCATTTCTTTATATTTCTTTCTTTTCTTTTTTCTTTTTTTTTTTTTTAGTCAGAGTCTCACTCTGTCATCCAGGCTGGAGTGCAGTGGCACGATCTCAGGTCACTGCAACCTCTGCTTTCTGAATTCAAGCAATTCTCAAGCCTCAGCCTCCGTGTAGCTGAGATTACAGGTGTGCACCACCATGCCCAGCTAATTTTTTTGTATTTTTAGTAGAGCCCCGGTTTCACCATGTTGACCAGGCTGTCTCGAACTCCTCACCTCAAGTGATCCACCCACCTTGGCCTCCCAAAGTGTTGGGATTACAGGCATGAGCCACCGCGCCTGGCCCATTTCTTTATATTTCACTGCCCAAAGATGTCCAAACATCAGCATGCAGGTGCCTACAGGTGCCTACAGAGGGCTGTCCCCACAAAAATCTTGGCTCCTGGTCCAGACCCACTGTTAGGGCCAGTGCCTGGGCATTATGGGTCAGTCCAGCTCTGAGATTTTAATTCCTGTTGTTGGAATGAGGGGAATAAATGGGCACTCAATCTCTTGGGATTTTTCAGCTCTCTCTGAGGCATCAGATTTTTTTCCTAGGGTCATCTCTGAGAGAAGTATGCCTGGAACATTGGCATGAGGAAATCAATCAATGCAAAGCATATAATGAGGTATGTATTCAGCACCATGAGGACCAACCCAGCGAGAATAAGCTCAGAAGGTTGTAGGAAGAGTGTAGGACTTGGAGAAAGAGCAATGACCCTGCACTCCGTCTAGAAGGGGTGAGGGAGAGGGGACAGGGAGGAAAAAGAAGGTGATGGGAAGAGGTTGAGGAGGAGCATGTGGGGTATGTGCAATTGGATGAGTAATGGAGAGCAGCTTTATTACTTTGACTTTTTGAAATAAGAACCAGCTTATGAAGGTGGGGAGGGAACAGCCTGGGAATAAATTAATTGAGAAAGGAAATTAAAGCCATCATTTCTGCTCTGCTGACGAGCAGATGTCAGCATGCCTCTAGCCTCTTGCTATATTCAGTGTTTTTCTAGAGATAAATGGTGGAGCTCAAAGAGGTTCCAACAGGGCCTGTGTTGAACACTTGAAGGCTCTAGAATATTTTGGTCATGAGAAAAGAGGGCTGAAAGTTGAGGACCAGGCTTCTAGGCTCTGAGGATTTTTTTTTTTTTACGTTAGCTATTTCACAATTACCAGTAGATTTAACTGCAAAACTGAAGGGAAATCAGGTAAGCATTTATAAAAGAGGAAATTAAGATGCTGGTATTCCTACCAAGATGACTCGAGGGAGAAAGAAAAGAGTTGGAAACACCTTTGCCAAGCCATTGAGAAGCTAGCATTGAGGGCAGAGAGTGCTTGAAGCAACCCAGCCTTAAGGCACTCTCTTAGAAGCAGCCAGGGCAGAGAGCAGCGGGGACAGGCAGTTCCAGCAATAGCTGGCTGAGGAGGATAGAGAGGGAGGCTGGCTCAGCAACCTAGCCTGGGAAAACAACCCCTGTGCTGAAATGCATTAGAAGTTCTCTACTCTGTATTCCAGTACTTTGGGAGGCCAAGGCAGGAGGATCGCTTGAGCTTATGAGTTCAAGACCAGCCTGGGCAACATAGAGAAATATAGATAGACCTTCTCTCTACTAAAAATAAAAAAATTAGCCGGGTGTGTTGGCATGCACTTGTAGTCTCAGCTTCTTGGGAAACTGAGGTGGAAGGATTGCTTGAGCCCTGGAGATGGAGGCTGAAGTGAGCTATAATTGTGCCACTGCACTCCAGCCTGGGCAACAGAATGAGATCCTTTCTCAAAAAAAAAAAAAAGAAGTTATTTGTGAAGACTTACTCCCAGCAAGGGGAGACAGGCAGAGTGTGCACCAGAAACCAGGCATCTTCAACATGGATATTTTGGATCTTTTCTGCATCCAGACAAAGGAACTTATTTACTAACAGCTGGCAGATATGGGCAAAATCACAATTTGATGGGTTAACCAAGGTCTGTATTACGTGCATAGGGGCATCGCATGAAAGAAAAGTGAGTATCTCCAAACCCAGTGAGATGTTAACATTTATATGCCCCCTTCATAGGGGGGATGTGAGGGGAGATATAGGCAACTTAGGGGACTGTAAATGATTTTGGGGAAAGATGAATGGGCCCTCAGAAGAACAGGTGACATCATGAGATGGTCTGGGTATGAAGTGGGCCTCTAGTTTCCTCTCCTGGTTAATCTTCCCTAGTTGATGAGATTTCTGGGGACGGGACTCATGACAATGGAGTTCTTCTTGGAGAATCTGTCCTTAGGCAGATGAAGTTCAGAGAAAGCCTCTCCCTGCATTTGCTGTTTCCCAGGTGTCCTCACTTTGAGGCCCAAAGCAGCATATTTTGGGGTGGCATTTTCTGAACTCCTTTAGAGCTAATCTGTCAGAAGGCAGGTGGAGCCTGGGTCAGACGAATCTGAGCATGCCCAAGTTACATAAAAGTTATGTGTCAACAAGCACATCCTGCTCCACTTTTTTTTTCTTTTTTCTTTTTAGAGACAGGGTCTTGCTCTGTCACCCAGGCTGGAGTGCGGTGGCACGATCATGGCGCACTGCAGCCTCAACTTCCTGCCCACCCTACTTTTTTAGTATAACAGCTGAAAGATATGGAACGTGGAATTGATGAAGGGTGACTCATTAAAATTATAATAGCAATTAGGAACAAGCAGAAAAAGACCATAGGCAAGGACAGTTTCATGGCCAAGATCATATGTTTTCCCACATTTTATATTTGGCGAGCGCGTAGGAGGGATCAACACATCCAGATTACTCTCCAGCTACAACTTCGGTTTCAACAAAACCCTGAATCTGACACCCTCGGCCCAGGCCCTCTTTCTCTTTCCTGAGCACTAAGGCTCCTGTTGGTGCTCTTGGCATTAGTGGCTTCAAGGCGAGGGTGAATGGGTTTGTGTTAGTGACTTTGTGGATGAAAGGACACTTGAATTTTCCTTGCCCAGCCTCGGCACTGCCTCAGACATTAAAGGCTATGAAATCTGCGCTGGTGTTTTGGTGAGGGACTGGAGTAGTCTCAAACCACTTTTTATACCCTATGTGAGAAGGAACTGTCAACCTAAATAACGATCAGAGAGGCTCTCTAAAAGAAAAGGTCTTTATTTTGGAATAGAGCATTGTAATGGGAATATGAAAATGCATGCCATAGTAAACTGTTTGAGTGAAGGAAGGCAAAGTCTTTCTTTTTTTTTTTTTTTAGATGGAGTCTCGCTCTGTCACCCAGGCTGGCGTGCAATGGTGTAATCTCAGGTCACTGCAACTTCTGCCTCCTATGTTCAAGTGATTTTCCTGCCTCAGCCTCCCGAGTAGCTGGGATTACAGGCATGCGTGACCACGCCAGATAATGTTTTGTATTTTTAGTATAGACGGGGTTTCTCCATGTTGGTCAGGCTGGTCTTGAACTCTCAACCTCAGGTGATCCGCCTGCCGTGGCCTCCCAAAGTGTTGGGATTACAGGTGTGAGCCACCGTGCCCGGCCCTTTTTTTTTTTTTTTTTTTTTTTTTGATACACGGTCTGGCTCTGTTGCCCAGGCTGGAGTGCAGTGATACGATCTCGGCTCACTGCAGCCTCTGCCTCCCAGGCTCAAGCAATCCTCCCACCTCAGCCTCTCGAGTAGCTGGGACTATAGGCGTGTACCACCATGCCTGGCTAATTTTTATATTTTATGTAGAGATGGGGTTTCATCATGTTGCCCAGGCTGGTTTCAAACTTCTGAACTCAAGCAATCTGCACGCCTCGATCTCCCAAAGTGCTGGGATTACAGATGTGAGCCACTGTGCCCAACCTGATAAAGGCTTTTAAAGGAAAAATTAAGAAGATTCCATAATTATTTAAAAATAATTATCCTTGGCTTTAAAGATCAATATTAAGGGTGATGCCAGTCTGAGCTTGGACAGGCAGTTGCTGGGCAGATGTCCTTGCAGAAGTATTTTTTTATGAAATGTTGTGAAGGCCTTCATGCAAGGTTGTGGGTTTTACGTCTTTTGTGATTTTTTTTTTTTTTAAATCAGGCATACAAGCATGAAAACCCTCTCTTCATGGCCTGCCCTGATTCTATTTGTCAGGGTTTTCTTTTTTTCTTTTTCTTTTTTTTTTTGAGATGGAGTCTCGCTCTGTTGCCCAGGCTGGAGAGTAGTGGTGCAATCTCAGCTCACTGCAGCCTCTGCCTCCCAGGTTCAAGCAATTCTCCTGCCTCAGCCTCCCAAGTAGCTGGGACTACAGGTGTGTGCCACCATGCCTGGCTAATTTTTTGTATTTTTAGTAGAGACGGGGTTTCACTGGGTTAGCCAGGATGGTCTCAATCTCCTGACCTCGTGATCCGCCCACCTCAGCCTCCCAAAGTGCTGGGATTACAGGTGTGACCCACTGCGCCCAGCCAGGGTTTTCTTAACATTAGTGACTTTATTTTAATCTTGACAACTTTCACAGAACTTAATTGTAGTCCCTTAATCCATAGTTGCCTCTGATTCTGAACTGCCCAGAGAAAAAGGACGTTAGTTGGTTGGTTCCCTGGGTTTTTTTCCTTCCAGTCATTTATTCACAACTGGTGTCACACACTGGAGATGTAAGAACAGAAAAAATCGTGGTACCTGTCCTTCAAGAACCACAGTCTTGTAGGGGTGACAGGGATAGAAACCACAATACAGGCCTGGGTGCAGTGGCTTATGCCTGTAATCCCAGCACTTTGGGAGGTTTAGGTGGGTGGATCACCTGAGGTCAGGAGTTCGAGACCAGCCTGGCCAACATGGTGAAACCCCGTTTCTACTAAAAATACAAAAATTAGCCGGGCTTGTTGGTGCGTGCCTGTAATCCCAGCTACCTGGGAGGCTGAGGCAGGAGAATAGCCTGAACCCGGAAGGCGGAGGTTGCAGTGAGCTGAGATCATGCCATTGTACTCCAGCCTGGGTGACAAGAGTGAAACTCTGTCTCCCATCCCCCACCCCTAAAAAAGAGGTCACAGAGTAGAATTTGGTGGAGGCAATTGTTCCAGGGTCCCAAGTCCAGTAGGGCTTAATAGCTATCTCCTATCCTGGTCCTCAAATGAGGAATTCTTTTCTCTCTTCTTCCCTTCCTTTCTTCCACAAAGATGTAGTGAGTGCTGTGAGTTAGGTCTGAGTTAGGTCCTGCGAATACATAAATGAACAAATACCATTCCATGCTTAGAGGAGATCATGGACTAGTTATGTTCTTCCCAGACTCCATGCTAGGGTATTCACTGGTCCATTTCACTATCATGATGAAATGAGAAAAAGCAAGAGACAATGTAGTGAGTCTTTAAATAAAATTAAATGTATTCAATATAAGATCTTTTCTCTTTAGTTTGAAGTTATATTCTTATGTACATTCTTTCCTCAAAACATGTTGATAGTAGATGGTAGTCATCACTGATTTGTTTGTTTATTTCCTTGCTCGCCAAAATGAAAATTAAGCAATCTTTTGTCACACCACAAAAAGTACGTGTGTGTGTATTAAGTGTTGTTACTGGTTAAAGATTCATTTCCTCATTTCAAAAGTGGGATTAAGGCGGGGCACGGCTGTAATCCCAACACTTTGGGAGGCCGAGGCAGGTGGATTACTTGAGGTCAGCAGTTTGAGACCAGCCTGGGCAACACGGTGAAATGGTGAAACCCCATCTCTACTAAAACTACAAAAAAATTAGCCGGGCGTGGTGGCACATGCCTGTAGTCCCAGCTACTTGGGAGGCTGAGGCAGGAGAATTACTTGAGCCTAGGAGGCGGAAGATGCAGTGAGCCGAGATGGCGCCACTACACAATAGCCTGGGAAACAGAGCGAGACTCTGTCTCAAACAAAACAAAACAAAAAAACAACAACAAACAAAACCAAAGTTGGACTAAGAGTGACCCTTTCTCATCTAATAAAGTGGACCTTATACAGGGAACATGGATTTACCAGACATGACAAATGCAGGCTCTCATGCCACTCCCCACTCTCCTTAGACTCAGAAGGGAGGAAATGGGAGAGCCCCAGGCCTCAAGAGAGGCAGGATTAACTCTTTTCTTGTTATCCCTGCACAAGACACCAAGAGCAGCAGCCTCTTGAGACCCTGTAGGAGGCAGTGCGGGAAGTCCTGGACAGGAACCAGTGCAAGTGCCAGAAACTTTTGGGAACAGTGGAGCTACAGATCAGCTTGAAGAACTCTGACCCTCAGAAGGATGAACGCTTCTTGGGCACTGTCATCTGAAGTCCACTCGCCGCCCCAGGTTCTCCACGTGTGTCCTGGGGGACCAGCAGCACAGGGTTGAGGCCAAGCCTGTGGGTATCTCCTACGTGGACATCGAGGTGCTGAAGAAACTCGACAGGAACAAGAAGCTGCTCAACAAGTATGATGCCTTTCTGGCCTCAGGGTCTCTGATCAAGCAGATCCCACAAATCCTGGGCCCAGGCCTAAATAAGGAAGGCAGGTTCCCTTCCCTGCTGATGTACAGTGAAGACATGGTGGCCAAAGTTGATGAGGGGAAGTCCACAATCAAGTTCCAGGTGAAGAAGGGGCTCTGTCTGGCATGGCTCTTGGTCGTGTCAAGATGACAGATGATGAGCTTGTGTACAACGTCCATCTGGCTGTCAACTTCCTGGTATCATTGCTCAGGAAGAATTGGCAGAACATCTGGGCTTTACACATCAAGAACACCATAGGCAAGCCCCAGTGCCTGTATTAAGGCACATTCTAATAAATCTTAGTGCCACAAAGAGAGAGACAGAGAGAGAAAGAGAGAGAGAGAGAGAGATAAACAAAGAGAGAGAGAGAGAGAGAGATAAACAAAGAGAGATTCGGGATTCAGCAATCTCCTTTCTAGACAAGGGCTGCTCCCCCTGACACCACAGAGGAGATGGCTGATGTTCCAGGAGTCTACAGGCCCAAGAGACCTGGGTTCATCCCATCTCGTTGGAGAAGGACAGCAATTCTACAGAGGGACCCAGCGGGAAAAGCTGGTGAAACACAAATAGGCTGCCCCAGGGAGGAGCCTCTGGCTCTTTTATAGGGTAACTGAATATGGTCACCAGCTTTTATCAAAATTAGCCAGGTACTCAGAGTTTCCAACGGCCCAGGCACAAATAATCCACAAACCAATCACTTCAAATTATATCCCTGAAATAGTCACACGCATGCTCTCAACATACCATTAGCACCTAAACTCAAACTATGACACACCCACAAGTCTGCATCACCCTGCTTATAACTTAAAGCTTGTGGGTTTAAACTAATTTAGGAGTCAGTCTGGGGACCAAAGGGGGAAAGTCTTATAATGAGGTGGCGATTTGCTTAGGGAGGGGAATGCAATGCATGCGTGACATCCAGAGGCTGGGAACTAATCGTCTCATAGGAGAGGTAAGTGTGTAAGCAGGCTGGGTGCAGTGGCTCACGCCTGTAATCCCAGCACTTTGGGAGGCTTAAGGTCAGGAGTTCGAGACCAGCCTGGCCAACATGGTTAAACTCCTGAGATCAGGAATTCAAGACCAGCCTGGCCAACATGGTAAAACCTCATCTCTGCTAAAAATACAAAATTAGCTGCACATGGTGGCACACACCTGTAGTCCGGGCTACTCCAGAGGCTGAGACAGGAGAATGGCTTGAACCCAGGAGGCAGAGGCTGCAGTGAGCCAAGATCGTACCACTGCACTCCAACCTGGTGACAGAGCGAGACCCCGTCCTGGAAAAAAAAAAAAAGAAAGGACCATGGTGTAGGGGTAGGGTGGTGAGTTTAGCATGGGTAGAGGTGATGGGCATCTGGTGGAAGTACCTGAAAGGTACTAGAAAGGGAGGTTGGAGCCTGATTGTGAAGGGCCAGACCAGGAGTAGGTTCTCAGGAAGCAGAGCTGAAGAGAGGGCTGCCGACCAGTGACCTAGGGAAGCTGGGAGAGTCTTTCCCAAGGAGCTGACCCTTGGGGTGCGTTTCTTTTCTCATCTCTGCCTTAAGGCTCTCTTGTCTCTTTTCTTTCCCCCGCCCCACATTCCTATGCATGCCAGGCCCAAAACATCCTCACAGGCTGCTGCTCTAATTACTTCATCCCATTTTAATTCTGCTGAGTTAGGAGCCTGTGAACTCAAGAGGAAATTCATGCAAAATACCCAACAAATTGAATGTGCTGGTGTTTTAGAACGCCAGGTCTGACCCTATCTGCCCCCTTCATCCTCTCTTCCTGTGGCCCTGCTCCTGACCAATCTCAGCTTGAGAAATCAAAGGTAGAATGTGCTGGTGAGAAGAGAGGGTGGCATTGATTGAGAAAGATGTTGAGTTTCACTGAATTGTTTGAGCCATTGCTTGGGATGAGGACAGGGTGGAGGCTTTCTGATGGGAGGCTTCTGTGGGAACCTTTTTGGAACTGATGGAGTCCATCTCTAGAGCTCCAAAATACCACGTGTGTTTGTGAGTTGTAATGTTTCCTTGTCCCTCAAGATACTTACAAGTTAGGAGAGATTTCTTATTCCAGCTGTTTGTCCACGGAGATGATAAATCATTTAAAACAAATGGATGGCTGTTTTCTTTCTTTCTTATTTTTTTTGAGTCGGAGTCTCGCTCTGTCGCCCAGGCTAGAGTTCAGTGGCGCGATCTCAGCTCACTGCAACCTCCACCTCCCAGGTTCAAGCAATTCTCTAGCCTCAGCCTCCCAAGTAGCTGGGACTACAGGCACATGCCACCACGTCTGGCTAATTTTTGTATTTTTAGTAGAGATCGGGTTTCACCATGTCGGCCAGGCTGGTCTCGAACTCCTGACCTCAAGTGATTGGCCCACCTTGGCTCCAGAATGTGCTGGGATTACAGGCATGAGCCACCATGCCTCGTGGATGGCTATTTTAAAATCAGTGATTCTCGAGTTTGAGACAGTCTGGGCAGCAAGGCAAAATCCTGTCTCTATTAAAAAATACAAAAATTAGCTGGGTGTGGTGCTGAACTCCTGTAGTCCCAGCAACTCAGGAGGCTGAAGTGGGAGGATGGCTTGAGTCCAGGAGACAGAGGTTGCAGTGAGCTGAGATTGCATGACTACACTCCAGCCTGAGCAATAGAGCCAAAACCTGTCTCAAAAACGAAACAAAGCAAAAAAATAAGTGATTCTCAAATTTTTCGGTCTCAGGACTCCATTATACTCTGAAAAATGACTGAGGTCTCCAAGAGCTTTTGTTTATGTGGTTATTGCTATTGATATTTACTGTATTCAAAATGAAAACTGGGATCCTTTTGTAGTTCATAAGCATGATGATTGGGTTTTCATGCTTGTGTGTGAGATGTGCTTCCCTCAAACCTTGTTATGATGGTGGCACATTACCCATCTGATGTGAAAAAAAAAAAAAGAAAGAAAGCCTGAGAAGTTGAAAGAATATTTATTAATCCATTTAAATTTAAAATACCAAAAATAAACCATAATGTGTTAACATAACTAACACATTTTGGTGAAAAAAGTACATTTTCCCCCTAAAATAGTGATAAAATTGGCATGTTTTACATTTTTACAAATCTCTAATAACTGGCTTAATAGAAAATACCTGGATTCTCTTATCTTATTCTCTTATTACAATTAATCCATTTCTTTTTTTCTTTTCTTTTCTTTTTTTTTTTGAGATAGTCTTTCTCTGTCACCCAGGCTGGAATGCAGTGGTGTGGTGTGATCTTAGCTCACTGCAACCTCTGCCTCCCTGGTTCAAGCCATTCTCTTGCCTCAGCCTCCCAAGTAGCTGGGATTACAGGTGTGCACCACCACACCTGACTCATTTTTGTATTTTTAGTAGAGACAGGGTTTCACCATGTTGGCCAGGCTGGTCTCAAACTCCTGACCTCAAGTGATTCACCCACCTCAGCCTCCAAAGTACTGGGATTACAGGTCTGAGCCACCATATCTGGCCTAATCAGTTTCAATATGTTGTTTTGGTTGAACTGGCCTCAAGTGATCTGCCTGCCTCGACCTCCCAAATTGCTGGGATTACAGGCATGAGCCACCGTGCCTGGCCAATGCTGTTATTTCCTAAATATCTCTTTAATCCATAACATGAAACAAATCTGGCCTCACTGAGTTAGAAAAGTGAGGAATATTTTAGTCTTCAGATAATTGTGGATATTTTTCTTGGACACTACACCAAAAGTTGACACACAGCAGTTTTTTCTTCTTTTCTTTTTTACTCACCACTATATTAATGAGGAAACATAGTAGTTTCGTAAAGGTATGTGGAATCTAAAATCATGTCAATCAATTCCTATTCTATTACATTAAAATCCATTGGTTTATCTTGAACTTTGAAGAGATTTTGTAACATTGTGTATTAGTCATTTGGAAAATATAGGTCCACTGAGTTATACATAGCTTCTAAATGCTGATGCATTTCATTATACAATACTTTAAAATCACATTCATTATATCACTATCAATCTCATCAAAGAAGTCTTTAGGAATTCGGAAGTTTTCAAGTTCATGGTGACAGATATAAGTGTTCCAAAATTCTAATTTTTCACTTGAAAGCTTGAATTTTATTATTGGCAACAAATACTGTCAGTTGTTTCCCTTGAAGTAATAAGCTTACTTTGTTCATTTTTGGGGAACTATCTGCCAAACACTCAAATTTGAATAATCATAGTTTGTCTCTCCATTATATTTTCAAGTAAAAATAATTCTCCTTGCTGGGTGCCATGGCTCACACCTGTAACCCCAACACTTTGGGAGGCCGAGACAGTAGAATCACTTGAGCCCAGGAGTTAGAGACCAGCCTGGAAACAGAGTGAGACCCTGTCTCTACAAAAAATATACAAAGTTAGCCAGGTGTTATGGTGTGTGCCTGTAGTATCAACTACTCAGGAGGCTAAGGTGGGAGGATCGCTTGAGAATGGGAGGTCGAGGGTGTAGTGAGCCAAGATCACACCACTGGACTCCAGCCTGGGTGACAGAGTGAGAACCTGTCTCAAAACAAAAACAAAACAAGAAAAACCTCAAAAAACAAAACAAAACAAAAACAACCAAACACACACACACACGCACACACACAAAAACAGAACAAAACAAAATGGTGCTCCATGAAAAAAGAGGCTAATTCTGCTTGAAACTCAAACAATTGCAGAAGTGCTTTTCCTGGAGACTATCACTGTACTTGGGATACAGCAGAAATGCTTTATGTGTACTTCCTATTTCGTCAGAATATATATATATATTTGAGACGGAGTTTCCCTCTTGTCGCCCAGGCTGGAGTGCAATGGTGAGATCTTGGCTCACTGCAACTTCCTCCTCCCGGGTTCAAGCGATTCTCCTGCCTCAGCCTCCTGAGTAGCTGGGATTACAGGCATGAGCCACCACACCCGGCTGATATTGTATTTTTAGTAGAAACAGGGTTTCTCCATATTGGTCAGGCTGTTCTCGAACTCCCAACCTCAGGTGATCTGCCTGCCTTGGCCTCTCAAAGTGCTGGGATTACAGGCATGAGACACTGCGCCCAGCAGAATATTTTTTAAAAAGTACCCAAGGATTGAGATTTAGTAGAAATTAATAATCTTTACCATTTGATGAAGAACATTCCTAAGTAAACGTGAAATTTTTTTAGTGCATGTGCATGGCAGTGAAGTGTACTATGAATACTAGCACAGGTTAGCACAACTGCTTCGATTTGTTTTGAGGTGCAGTCTGTTTTACCCACCATTGCTTTTGCACCATCAGTGCAAATGTCAACACAATGAAAAAGGCAAATCGTATCTTACACTATTATGAAAATAGTTTTAGCAGGGCACACTGGGTCACGCCTGTAAATCCCAGCACTTTGGGAGGCCGAGGTGGGAGGATGATGACTTGAGCCTGGGAGTTTAAGAACAGCCTGGGCAACATGGCAAAACTTATCTCTACAAAAAATACAAAAATTAGTTGGGTATGGTGGTGCACACCTGTGGTTCCAGGTACTCAGGAGACTGAGGTAGGAGGATCACTTGAGCCTGGGGAGGCAGAGGTTGCAGTGAGCCAAGATCGCACCACTGCACTCCAGTCTGGGCAGCAGGAGGGAAAGCCTGTCAGAAAAAAACAAAAAACAAAAACAGAAAAGGAAAGAAAATAGTTTTAACTTCACAGACCCTTGAGAGGGTCTTGGGGGCCCCCTCAGGGTTGCATGGAGCACACTTTCAGATCCACTGCCCTAAATGACGTGTCTGAGTTCCTGAGAGTTGGTCCTAGGCCTCTTTTCTTCTCACTCTACTCTCTCCTTAAGTGAGCTCATCTACTGCCTTTGAACTACCTCTGAGAAAATGACCCACACATTTGTCATCTCCAGCCGTGACCTCTCCCTGGAGCTCCAGACTGTGTATCCAGCTGCCGGCTCAATTTTGGCAGTTGGGTGTCCCAAAGGCAATATGTCTAAGACTTTACTTCTGGTCTTCCATCCATTTATATAAGCCCAAATCCTTATTGTCACCATGTTCCTCCTCACCCCGTATCTAATCAATCATTAAGTCCTGTAAATGCTGTTATTTCCTCTTCCTTTCTCTCTCTTTCTCTCTCTCTCTTCCTTCCTCTTTTGCTTCCTTCCTTCCTTTCTTTTCTTTCTTTCTTTCCTTTTTTCTTTCCTCCCTTCCTTCTCTCTCTTTCTCTCTTTCTTTCTTTTGAGACAGAGTCTCACTCTGTCACTCAGGCACAATCTTGGCTCACTGCAATGTCCCGGGTTCAAGGGATTCTTCTGTCTTAGCCTCCTGAGTAGCTGGAATTACAGGTGTGCACCACCATGCCCAGCTAATTTTTGTATTTTTAGTAGAGACGGGGTTTCACCATGTTGGCCAGGCTGGTCTCGAACTCCTGACCTCAAGTGATCTGCCCACCCCAGCCTCCCAAAGTGCTAGGATTACAGGCGTGAGCCACTGCACCCGGCCAATGCTGTTATTTCCTTAATATCTCTTTAATCCATAACTTCTGTCTCTACCACCATCACCACTACCAAAGCAAGATACCATTACCTCTTGCTGCATTACCACAACAGGCCTCCTTCAATCTGTTCTCCTCATTATAACCAGAGCAATCTTTTCAAAATGCAAATCTGATTATGCCAAAACCTTGTTTAAACCCTTCAACAACCTCCTATTGCTCTCAAAATAAAGGTCCAAATCTTTAACATGGTCTGTTTCCCCAGTCTAGGTCAGATTCTTAAAGTTCTCATAGAATCATGCCCCCTTCTTTCATAATAGTCATCGTCGTTTGTATTTGTATATTCATTAGTAGGATTATTTGATTATTATCTCTCTCTGATGAGACTATAAGTTCTGTGAAAGCAGAGACAACCACATAGTAGACATTTTATAAATATTTGCTGAGTCAATGATTCAATGAGGCCTAGGACAACTCCTTTGAGCATGGAGTAACCACTGAGAAATAATTCTTCTGCCCTCGGCCCTCGAGTTGGAGAAGACCTATTTTCATTCTTATCGTCTCATAGCATTTCAAAGAAAAATGCTGCTTTGTCCAGGCATTCCATCATAGTGTCTTCCTAAGCATGAGGCACATTTATCTTCCTTTTGACATAGGCGCCCTCTTTGCTCCCCATCACTCATCCTGCCAGTGGTTCTTGAAGTGGGTTAGCAATACTGGTTCTTCAGGATTATAAGAGAGGGGACTGGGGCTGGGCGTGGTGGCTCACGCCTTAATCCTAGCACTTTGGGAGGATCATGCTGGAGAATCGCTTGAACCCGGGAGGCAGAGGTTGCAGTGAGCCAAGATCGTGCCATTGCACTCCAGCCTGGGTGACAGAGGGAGAATCTGTCTCAAAAAAAAAGAGAGAGAGAGAAAGAGAGAGGGGACTCTTTCTCTCCTACTAGGTGGTTGGCTAGGAGGCCCATTTCTGCAATAGAGAACAAAATGTATTAAGAGAGAACAAAGGAAGAACAAAGGGAACAAGAGAGAACAAAATAAGGCCTTTCCTATAGAAGGGAAGGGAAGGGAAACCAATGTTTATCAAGCAACTACTGTGTGCCAGGCACTTTGAGACTTTTGTTGTCCCCTTTCATCTTTTTTTGGAGTTCCAGTGGGCTTTTAATCTTTACAACAACCCTATGAGGTAGGAGTTATGGTCCCATTTGTATAGATGAGAAAACAACGGGCCCAGAGAGGTTAAGTAACTTGCCTAAAGATACACAATATAGTGTATTAGTCCTGTTTACCTACCTACCCTAAGACCCCTTCTAAGGGACTTTGTACTGGCAAAGATTTTGCAGCAGGCCATATTACATACCATATGACATCATCCCTACCCCAGTAGTTTATATCACTACTTACCTACCCCTGCCTCTTCTGCCCTAGGTGATTAGACCACAGGGAGGTTCTAACCTTAGCCATGTTGGTCCATGGGCTAGCCAGTCACCTCTGACTTATTGCCTGGTACAGAAAGACAACTGGCCAATAGGATTCCCTCTTAGTAACCTCAACCTGAAGCAGAGTTCCCCAGCAGGGAGCACAGACTGGGAGAGATGCAGACACACCCAGTGTGGCAGAATCACATTGAGGGTGGGCAGAGCCTGAGAAGGAAGAGCCGTGACCTTATTTTCACTCCTTAAGAGCCCCTGAGGAGTCTTTTTTTTTCATTTTATTTTTTTTGAGATGGAGTCTTATTCTGCCACCAGGATGGAGGGCAGTGGCCCTCCACTTCCCGGGTTTAAGCGATTCCCCTGCCTCAGCCTCCCGAGTAGCTGGGACTACAGGCACGTGCCACCACACCTGGCTAATTTTTGTATTTTAGTAGGGACAGGGTTTCACTATGTTGGCCAGGCTGGTCTTGATCTCCTGACCTCGTGATCCGCCCGCCTCGGCCCCCCAAAGTGCTGGGATTACAGGCATGAGCCACCATGCCCAGCCCCCTGAGGAGTCTTGAATCCAGATTCCTCCTCAGCTTCAGCACCTGCCCCTGGGGTTTCCTGACAGGCCAGAAGTGGTTCTGCATGTATTTTTATACTAAGCTTCTGTGCCTGAGCTAACTCAAGGGGTCTCTTTTTCCATAAGAGTCTACCTCAAATGGGTACAGAGTGACAGGGTCAGGATTGAAACCCAAGCCTGTCTGTTTCCCTAGCTTATCCTCCTTTCACTATTCCACAGAGGGTGAGCCCTTGAGCGGTGTCAAGCGCCCACTGCCTGGGAATGAGCACAGCCAGCTTTGCAGCAAGGCACTAATTTAAAGAAGAGTGTGAGGAATCCTCACTTTCTGAACACTCTGAGGTGGGCCAAAGACTAACAGCGCCTGGCCTTGCTTTGGGAAGCTTTCCTGAGAAGTACAAGCCATGCCATCTAGAAACCTTCCCACTGTGGGCCACAGTTCAGTGTGTGACATCATGTATGAAATCACTAATCATCAGTGACATTACTCGATGATGCCACTTCCATAATGACCCTAAATCTTGGTCAGCTCAGGATGGGAAACCACAGACAGCCTGGGAATTAGGCAGACCAGGATTCCAGTCCTCTTCCTGACTGTTTGTCCTTGGGAAAGGCAGCACTGCTTTTCCTGTCTTTCCTCTCAGTGTCCTTGTCGGTAAAAACTGGGAGCCAGGCAGGGTGGCACGCACCTGTGTCCCCAGCTACTCAGGAGGCTGAGGCAGGAGGATCACTTGAGCTCAGGAGTTCAAGACCAGCCTGGGTGACATAGCAAGACCTTGTCTCAAAAAAAAAAAAAAAAAAGAAAGGGGGGATATTTCCTATCTCAGAACAAAAATCACAGGAGATAAATATGCAAGATCCTGCACTGAGGGGAGTTGGTGTTTAATGGGCACAGAGTTTCAGTTGGAGAAGATGAAGAAGTTCTGGAGAGGGATTGTGGTGATGGTTGTATAACAGTATGAGTGCACCTAATGCCACAGAACTGGACACTTTAAAATGGCTAAAATGGTCGATTTTAAAGGAAATAAATACACACATATATATTTCCTTTTTGTTTTGAGAGGGAGTCTCACTCTGTTGCCCAGGCTGGAATGCACTAGCACGATGTTGGCTCACTGCAACCTCTGCGTCCCGGGTTCAAGTGATTCTCCTGCCTCAGCCTCCCAAGTAGCTGGGATTACAGGCACCCACCACCATGCCTGGCTAATTTTTTTATTTTAGTAGAGATGGGGTTTCACCATGTTGGCCAGGCTGGTCTCGAACTCCTGACTCAGGTGATCCACCCGCCTTGGGCTCCCGAAGTGCTGGGATTACAAGTGTGAGCCACTGTGCCCGGCCTATGTTACCTATATTTTACTACAACGACAACAATAAAAAGACTTTACCTTGGGCCCCTCATGTAGCAGGTACCTTAGAAATGCTGATTTTTCATCTTTATCCCATGTAGCAGAAGCCAAGGTCCAGTTAATCCCGGTGCCCTTAACCCAAGGCAACCCTCTGGCCTCTCCTTCAAGACTCTGAGACGTAGAGCCCACCACAGCCCCCTGCCCCAGAGAGCTGGAAGCCCATCAGAGCAATGAAGTAAAGTCTCCAGACCTGGGAGATCAGGACACTCCTATGAACTGGCACTTTCAAGGAAAGAGCCCAGGACCTGGGACTGCTGTGGCTGAGAAGAGCTGGGCCCAAGACTTGACCAGGTCCGTCCCCAAGCCCCAGGACGCCAGGCCCGTGGGGCAGTGTCCAGGGTTCTGTCTGCTGAGACCCTCCCTCGCTGGAGAAAGGAGCACTTGGTGGGCTTCTCATCAGGAAAGAGGAGATGGTTGAGCTGCATCTCTACTGAAAACTCCAGAGTTCATCTGGGAGGGCTCCTTTTTCTCCAGCCATCAGTTTTCTGACTAGCAATGCTCATTGTGTGCTGTGTAGGGCTGGCCTGGTTCCTCTTCCTTATAGCAGCCCCCTGCCTCCTCCAAAGCCAGTGCCTGTGTTAATACGATAATGCCATGACAGTGGCCAGGAGATGGTTTTACCTAACTGATTAGGCCCTCTGGAGTGGCATCTGGGGCACAGGCTTAATTCTCCCTGGCAAGGAGGCAGCCAGGGCCCAGGGCTGGAGAGCACAAGGCACTGGCTGGGAAATTGCATCTGGGAGAGCACTGAGGGGGAAAATTGGAAGTATCAGAACTTCCCAGGTTGCTATTCCACAGAGGCCAAACATTGTTAGCAGCAGCACTAATTATGATCCAGGAGAGTCAGGCCTGGCTGCCTAGCCTGCCAAGGCAGTCCTTGAGAGCGGCCTTGGGAGCCAGTAGGGCAGAGGCAGAGATGCAGGCAGGCTGGGGCTCTCAGCAACAGGGTGAATTTGGGAGAGGAAAAACTGCAGAGCCTTTCAGACCCATGTGGAAGGGGAGCTGGATAGACTGAGTTGCTGGGTGCCTTCATGTCCTTTAGAAGGCTTAGAACTATGATAGGAAGGGTGGAAATTAGATGCTTTAATGATTTCTACCTGCCAGGAATTAAGAATCGTCTGTATTTGTCTCCACTTCCTCTCTTCCCATCCCTGCTTGTCCTCAGTGCTCCAAGGCAAATTCTCTTGTCAATGTCACCAGTGATTTCCATGTTGCTAATTTCAGCTGTCATTTCTGAGTCCCCATTTTACTCATCCTGGCAGTGGCATTTGACATGGATGGTTTCTTCATAAAACACTCTCTTCCTTTGGCCTCCATGACACGCCCAGTTCTCCTACCTCCATCATCTCCTGGGCTGGCTCCTCACCTCCCCATCACTGGATGCCTCAGGGCTGTCCTTACGCCTCTGTTCTTCTTCATCCATCCTCACTCCCTAACTAATTCCATCTTCTCTGGACTTTAAAGCCAGCTATGTTGATAGGTCGTGGTCATATCCAGCGGCTACTTGCCATCCCCATGTGAGTCTCTCTTATAGTCCTCTCAAACTCAGCAGTCCCTCAGTCTTCCCCAGGGCAATAAATGCAAATCTGTTCTACCAGAGCCCCAATCTTGGAGTCATTCCTGGTTCTTCTCTTCCTTTCATGTCCCCTTATCCAATCCCTTGGGAAATGCTATCAAGTTCTACCCTTTAAATTATCTCCAGAATCTGGTCACTTATACCCAGTTACACCACTATCACCCTCATCAGAACCACCCGCTGTCACTGTTTGCCTGAGAAATTACAATAGCCTTTGAATTAGGTACAATACAGGCCATCGTGGTGGCTCATGCCTGTAATTCCAGCCAAGACAGGCAGATCACTTGAGGCCAGGAGTTCAAAACTGGCTTGGGCAACATGACAAAATCCCATCTCTACTAAAAAATACAAAAATTAGTCAGGCATGGGGGCGCGTGCCTGTGATCCCAGCTACTTGGGAGGCTGAGGCATGAGACTCGGTTGAACCCAGGAGGCAGAGGTTGCAGTGAGCCGAGATCACACCAGCCTGGGTAAGAGAGTGAGACTCTCCCTCAAAAAAAGAATTAGGGGCCGAGCACAGTGGCTCATGCCTGTAATCCCAGCACTTTGGGAGGTCAAGGTGGGCGGATCACAATATCAGGAGATCGAGACCATTTTCTATTAAAATTGTATATATTATTTGAGCTGTACAATGCAATGTTTTGGTATCTGTATGCATTGTGAAATGATTACCACAATCAAACTAATGAACATATCCATCACCTCACGCATTTACCTTTTTTAGTTCATGTTCTTTTTTTTTTTTTTGAGACTGAGTCTCGCTCTATCACCCGGCTGGAGGGCAGTGGCACGATCTTGGCTCACCGCAACCTCCACCTCCCGGGTTCAAGCAATTCCCCTGCCTCAGCCTCCGGAGTAGCTGCGATTACAGGCGCCTGCCGCCACGCCCGGCTAATTTTTGTATTTTTAGTAAAGATGGGGTTTCACCACCCTGGCCAGGCTGGTCTTGAACTCCTGACCTCGTGATCCGCCTGCCTTGGCCTCCCAGAGTGCTGGGATTACAGGCATAGTCCACCACGCCCGGCCTGCTCACATCCTTTTTGCTGGCATTTTGTCACATGGCTGCGCTTAGTTGCAAGGGAGGTTGGGAAATGTAGTCCTTTTTCTGAGCAGCCATGTCGCCCGCTAAAATGTGGAAGGAAAGGATGAATTTGAGGGGAAAACTCCTTGCTCTGCCATAGTCTCCTAAGTGGTTTTCTTCTTTCTGCTCTGCCCCCTACAGGTTGTTCTAAACACAGCAGCCAGAGTAATCCCGTTAAATCAGAACGTGTCACTTTTCTGTGTAGAACCTTCTAAAGACCTCCCCCCTCACTCAGAAAGAAATCTAAAATCCTTACCATGGTCTACAAGGCCCTACATAATCTGAGCACCAATTTCTCTCTGATTTCATATCCTACATCTTTCATCCTTACTCACTCCACTCCAGCCTCACTCACTCCACGCCTTGCAAAATACCCCCACCTCAGAGCTTTTGAAGCTGCTATACCCTCTGCCTGGAACATTCTTTCCCCAGATAGCTGAAAATGTGTCTCCTTCACTTCCTTTAGGATCCTGCTCAAATGCCACCCACTCAAAGAGGCTTTTCTTGGGCCCCATTCCCACCATCCCCATCCCCCTTACCATCCTTTGTTTTTCTCTGAGGCAATTAACATCACCTGAAATATTATATGTTTACTTACATTATATGTGTTTTTCCCACTAGAACATATGATCTAGGGTCCACATACAGCAGGTGTGCTCTACATGCTTGTGGAGTGAATGAACAGATGAAGACAGCAGTGCATGGGAACAAAGGCAGCAGAAGGCTGCTTCTTCCTTAGTCATTTCAGGAGGACCCATGTCTTGATTCCTGTTGTGGGTCCAATTTGGAAACAGACTCCTTAGTTTCTTGCTTCTAGGAGCTCCCTTGAGTTCAATTTATGAAATATTCATTAGACATCTAGTGCGTTTGTTACCTAGTATGGCAGATGTAGAAGGAAAATAAGCTATAGAGCACTATTGGCCCTTGGGAAACATATGGATTGGTTAGGAGCCTAGATTTTGTCCTTTTCTTTCTTTGCAAGTGTGACCATTCAGGTGTTGTGTAAAAGGCCAGGGAAAGAGTGGCTTCACTCTTTATGGAGGCACGATAAACTGGTATGGCCTGGGTAGGAAAGAGGGGAGGAGGCCGGGCGCAGTGGCTCACGTCTGTAATCCCAGCACTTTGGGAGGCCAAGGTGGGTGGATCACCTGAGGTTGGGAGTTCGAGATCAGCCTGACCAACATGGAGAAACCCCATCTCTACTAAAAATACAAAGTTAGCTGGGTGTGGTGGCGCATGCCTGTAATCCCTGCTACTCAGGAGGCTGAGGTAGGAGAATCGTTTGAACCAAAGAGGTGGAGGTTGCGGTGAGCTGAGACCGTGCCATTGCACTCCAGCCTGGGCGAGGGCAAAACTCCGTCTCAAAAAAAAAAAAAAAAAAAAAAAAAGGAAAGGGGGTGGGGTCTGAAGAGAGGCTGCCCCATTACAGGTTATAGTGTTTTTTTTCTCCCTCTTATTCCCTATGGAATAGGGCTTCGTTCCTTGCTGGTCTGCTTAAGAAACAGTTTGAGGCCGGGCACGGTGGCTCAGGCCTGTAATCCCAGCACTCTGGGAGGCCAAGGTGGGTGTTCACCTGAGGTCAGACATGGTGAAACCCTGAATCTACTAAAAATACAAAAATTAGCCAGGTGTGGTAGCAAGTGCCTGTAATACCAGCTACTTGGGAGGCTGAGGCAGGAGAATTGCTTGAACCAGGGAGGCAGAGGTCTCAGTGAGCCGAGATTGCGCCACTGTACTGCAGCCTGGGTGACAGAGCAAGACTCTGTCTCAAAAAAAGAAAGAAAGAGAGAGAGAAGGGAAAGAAAGAAAGAAGGAAAGAAAGAAAGAAAGAGAAAGAAAAAGAAAGGAAGGAAGGAAGAAAGGAAGGAGGGAGGGAGAGACAGAAAAAAGAAGAAAGAAAGAAAGAAAAGAAAGAAAGAAAAAAGAAACAGTTTGAACCAGTTCTCATTTGATGGAGGAGGGGGAAAGATAGACGGGGGTGGGGGTTGGGGTTGGGGGCTTGCGGGGGTGGGAAGGGGCCTGGCCAGAGGGCTGCAGAGGGCTGGTGGAAGAGAAGGAAAGGAGGGCTAGGCTTTAGGGGGCCCCAGCTGGAGGGAAAGGTAGCTGAGAAAAGCTGAGGCTGAGTAGGAGATAAATGACCTGAAAAGATTGCTCCATTATCCTTCCTTGCTCTGGGCAAAATGCAAAAGGTCATGCTTGGTTATTTTCCCCCCAACTCCCTCCTCACAGGGCCACTTAGACACTGCTCTGACATTTACAGCCGCAGAGGATCAGAGGCCTCTTCTGAGGCCTGGCTCGAGATTTCCACATTGGGAAAGTTCCAGTTTCTTTTTTTCTTTGGATGAGGCTGCTTGCTGCATCCCTCATAATTCTTCCTTCTCTTGACATTCCCCTTCAGTCCGAGAGGGAGAGCCAAGAGCAGTGGTTCTCAAACTTGAAAGTGGATAAGAACCACTAGAAGGCTTGTTAAAACAAGTTTGGGCTGGGTGCAGTGGCTCACACCTGTAATCCCAACACTTTGGGAAGCTGAGGTGGGTAGATCACTTGAACCTAGGAGTTCGAGACCAGCCTGGGCAACATGGCAAAACCCCATCTCTACTAAAAATACCAAAAGATTACCCACACTTGGTGGCGTGTGCCTATGGTTACAGCTGCTCTGGAGGCTGAGGTGGGAGGATCACCTGAGCCCAGAAGGTCGAGGCTGCAGTGAGCTGTGTTCATGCCATTGCACTTTGGCCTGGGCAACAGAGTGAGACTGTCTCAAAAACAAACAAACAAAAAAACAAGTTTGCCTGATGCCACACCCAGAGCTGATTCAGTAGGTCTGGGGTAGGCCTGAGAGCTTACATTTCTAGCAAGTTCCCAGCTGATGCGGATGCCAATACTGCTGGTCCCAACCACGTTGGGAGAATCACTGACCTAAAGCAACTTGTTTGGGTCAAAAGATGTCCCTCATGATCTTCAGTCCTTTTCTCCAGCTCCCCAACCAAGGGGAAGTAGGCTTGAGTTATCACAAGAGTCATCCAAATTCAATGTCAAGGACTTCTTGACCATCAGGTTTATAGGACAAGGCAGTCCACAAAATCCCCCTCCCTCTAAATCTTTGAGAATCTCTTCCATTCTCATACACCTGGGTGAGTGAAGATCTGTTCTCCCCTGCCACAAACCCCACTGCCTGGACAGGGAATTCCCGGGACTTGAGAATGGCAGCAAGTGTGGCAGGTGGAAGATGGGAGGACAACAGATGCCGAGTAAGCAGAGGGAACCCCTCCCCTCCTACATGCTATTTCTTTGAGATTAAAATATTTGTTTCTTCCTGGGCTCTGGTCAAGCCCATATCTGGGAAAGCATTTATGCTTAATGTCCTCAACCCATTAGCAACCCGGCATGGGGCTCTACTAATCAGGGTCCTTAATGGCAGCACCGTGAAGAGTGAGGCTGTAAGTGACTGCACCTGCTTCCCAGCCTCAGCTGGAGAGGAAGTGTCTAGACAAGACCAGAGACTAGGTAGGCTCAGCGGTGGCCTGAGAATGATTCATGCCGGCTTAGGAGGCTGATCTGACCTAATGATAACCTGTCCTCCCACCTCCAGTTTGGTAGGGGTGCAGAGGAGGCTCCCTGGTTACCTTGGCTGAAGTAGCAAGACCCCCCAGTCCTACTCAGCCTCCTCTTCTCTCCTCAAATTACAGAACATTGGCCTCCTTTAGAGCATGTTCTTCTCCCAGCATCCAGCATTTATTGAGCACCTCTATGTGCAAAGGACTCCTTCCCGCACCAACTGCTTTTCATTTCAAAATCCACAAGCTCGTACTTGAGTCTGTCACCAAATAGGGGGTGAGGGCCTTTGACCTGGAATCTAGGGGATACCTAGGGATCCTCTAGTGCTCAGACTGTGTGGGCTGCACCTTCTGCAGCCACTCTTGATGAGTTGGGTTCTTTGGCTTTGATCTACAGAGGGAGTATTTGGAGAGCCCTTATTTAAGAGTAACCAGATATTCTAAGGATCAAGGCCAGTCTCGAAGTATTTGCCTCTTGCTTCTCTTGACATGATGTGTTTGGTCCTTGCTGCAGACTAAGTGTCCCCAACTAAATGTGTATGTTAAAACCCCACCCCTCAATGTGATGATATTAGGAGGTGGGGACTTTCGGAGGTAATTAGGATTAGATGAGGTCATTGGGGCCCTCATGAATGAGATTAGTGCCCTCATTCATGAACGGGGCTAGGCATGGTGGCTCATACCTGTAATACCAGCATTTCAGGAGCCCAGCGCAGGAGGATTGCTTGAGGCCAGGCGTTGGAGGCTGCAGTGAGCTATTTGTGCTACTACACTCAGCCAGGGTGACAGAGCAAGACCTGGTCTCTAAAACCAGAGTCCTGAGAGAGCTTGCTGCTTCTTGCTTGCCTCCTCTCTCTGTGCTCAGCCAGCTGAGGATACAATTAGAAGCTGGCCATCTGAAGGAAGAAGAAGGCCCCACCCAGAAGTTGATTCCGATCTTGGATTTCCAGTCTCCAGAACTGTGAGAAATTAATTTCTGGTCAGGTACAGTGGCTCACGCCTGTAATCCCAACACTTTGGGAGGCCAAGGCAGGCAGATCACTTGAGGCTAGGAGTTCAAGACCAGCATGGCCAACATGGTGAAACCCTGTCTCTATTAAAAATACAAAAATTAGCTGGGCATGGTGGTGCACACCTGTAATCCCAGCTACTTGGGAGGCTGAGGCAAGAGAATTGCTTGAACCTGGAAGGCAGAGGTTGCAGTGAGCCAAGATGGCGCCACTGCACTCCAGCTTGGGCCACAGAGTGAGACTCTCTCTCAAAAAAAAAAAAAAAGAAAAAGAAAAAGAAAAAAAAATCTGTTGTTTATAAGCCACTCCATTTACAGTATTTTGTTATAGAAGCCTGAACTGACTAAGGCAGTTCCACTAGACAACTCAAACCACTGCAGCTCTCCCAGATTCTGGAAAGGAAAGATATCCCACTCCACCCCCACTCAATGAAACACTTGAGACAGGAGGTGAGTTTCTGCTTCAGAAGGACATGGAGTCATGCTTTAAAAAGGACTATAGAAAAAACAAACAGGCTGGGTGCAGTGGCTCATGCCTGTAACCCTAACACTTTGGGAGGCCAAGAAAGGCCGATCACTTGAGCCCAGGAGTTTCAGACCAGCCTGGCTAATGTGCTGAAACCCCGTCTCTACTAAAAATACAAAAATTAGCCAGGCGTGGGTGTGCGTGCCTACAATCCCAGCTATTCAGGAGGCTAAGGCAGGAGAATTGCTTGAACCTAGAAGGTGGAGGTTGCAGTGAGCTGAGATTACACCACTGCACTCCAGGCTGGGCAGCAGAGCGAGACTCCATTTCAAAAAAAAGAAAAAACAAACAGATTGGGTGCAGTGCCTCATACTCTTGATCCCAGCACTTTGGGAGGCCGAGGTGGGCAGATTGCTTGTGCTCAGGAGTTTGAGATCAGCCTGGGCAACATGGCAAAAACCCATCTCTACAAAAAACACAAAAAAATTAGCCAGGTGTGGTGGTGCACACCTGTGGTCCCAGCTACTTGGGAAGCTGAAGCATGAGGCTCACTTGAGCCCAGGAGGCGGAGGTTGCAAACAACATAAGAGAAACAACATAAGAGAAACCATCAAGTGCCAGTGACTGGTTCTTGTTCATTCTCCCCTCGTTTATGGGAACTTCAGAGCCTGGAAGAGGTAGAGCACCTCTAAGGGGGACACCACACAAAGCCACCACACTAAGCCACCACTGTCATCAGAGCCACAGGGCTGGACAGTGCTGACTTTTCTCCTACTCGGAGGGGAAAGCCTATATGGACACCTGTATTCCAGGCCACCAACAAGCCCGATGGTTGTCCAAGAGCTCAGGGCCTCCTCTCTCCTGCCTTTTCTATTCTGGTTCCTCAGCCTCAGGTCTGAGCCATGGGAAACCCTCTCCAATCTGCTGCAACAGAACATCACAAACTGCTCCTGTTGTGGTCTGGGCTGCCAGTTCCCTAGCCTGCTGTTGCTACTGGAAGAAGACTATGACATCAGTAATCTCTCCCCATGCCAGTCCCTTTGTAGGTGGAAGGTGCCCATTTGAAAAGAATCACATCTAAAGCAGACAATTCAAAGCAATAGGGACAATGAAGGAAGCAAGAAGTGCCAACTGGGTGAAGCCGTGTTTCAGCCAGGCCCCATTATGCCTACACTTTTCTCAAGGCCCAGCCTCCCCACATGGCCGGTTCAGGCCCATCTGCCCAGCTCTCTTCCCCTTGCCTGCTCCTGGGCCCTGTCAAAATGCCAGCTCTTCCCTTCTCTGTCCCCTCTGCCTTCCAGGCTCCACCTGGCCCATCCCCAAGATGTCCAAACCTCCCAGCTGGAGGCTGGATTAGCAGCAGGCAGGGTAAGCCCGGCTGGGGCTAGAACAGTAGGTCTGAGCTGATGAACCTGTGTTCCAGAGCCAAGGGTAGATGGGAACACTAAGCAATTGAAATGTCACCTGCTTCCTGCTCCCCCCTCCCTACCAGGACATGATCTCCCTAAAGGCAGACTTTGGAGATGGAAGACCTGTGCTTGACTCGGATCTGTCCCTTTCTAGCAGCTAGCTTTGTACAAGTTAGACCCTCTAAGTCTCCACTTCCTCCTTTGTAAAATGAGGGCAGTAATTGGGGTAATTTGAGAAGGAATGGTAAATTGGTAGCTGAGGTACAGCTCTTAGCTTTTAGTTATCCTTCTCATGCCCTGCCCTTTCTGTCACCCTGGGCACTGGTCATGCAGGAGATGCTCTCTTGGCTGCTAGGGGGGTTGGGATGCCCCAGGAGGCAGCCCGCACCTTGCCAAGGAGCAGCCGGAGCCCTGAAACCTCCAGGAAGGGGTGGAAAAGCCTCTATCTGTGCTGTCTTTCCACAGAACCAAGGGAGAGGGTGGCCAAGAACTTAGGTGAGAAGAGGCACTGTGGGTGGCGGGGTGGGGTGGGGGCTCATTTCCATAGTTTTGTCCCAGAAGAATGTGCTGGGTATTTTTCCTGCTTTGCCCTGGCCAGGTTTGAAGGAGGAATCCCTGCTGGAGATTGATGTCACAGGCTTGCCTTCCCCTCCCCAGCTTCATCCTTGTGATTTAAAGAAATTATTTGGACATAGAAGTTAATGGAAGTAGGTTGCTAGTGTGTGGGCGAATCCATCACTGTCTCCCAGCATTCCAAGAGTGGATCTGTCTTTCAGGGTGAGATATCCTAGAGCGACTTTCCAAGGTCTGAGAAATAGAGTCTACCTTGGGAGGACAGGGCCGGGGGCATTGTGGACAGGGATTTTAGAAAGCTGGGGTGACTGCACGCTACTTCTAGGGCCTGGCTGGAGGACTTTCTTTACTTATGGGGGAAGGGAGGGAGACGGTATTGGCACGGATGGGGATGCTGCTTCTCTACCTCCGTCCCCAGCTGTCTTCTGCCCCAGGAAGTGGATAGGAAATAGACGGACACATCCCCGCAGTCCACTGCTCAGGATGAGGAGGGCTGATTTTGCAGCTGTCAGTGGCAGTGATGAAAGAGGTGGAGGTGAGGGGAGGAGGGGGTGCTGTTTGATGGAGCAGTGCTGTCGGGGGAAGAGGACTAGCTCCCCTTCCTTCCATTCCCCCATTCTCTCAGCTCAGCACTTCCTGGAGGTAGCATTCTGGGAGGGAGCTGCTTTGAAAGCACAAAGAACTAGTGCTGGAAGGCTGAGGGGTGGGGAGGTGTGAGGAGGAGAAGATAAGTATTCAGGAGGGGGCAGACTGCCCCTCAAGCCCCACACACAGCCAGGCCTTCTCCACAGCCTAAGTATGTGATGTGTGTGTGTATGTGTGTGTGTCCACGCCTACATGTAGTGCGAGCATGGACTTGCAGCTATGAAGTGTTGACAGGGAGAGTGACTAGGGACAATGCAGAAGCTGTTCTCCACCGGGCAGATGGCTCCTCTCAGGTACTTGCTCGGGTCTTCCTCTCTCCACTCCTTCAGTTCTCTCTCCACTCCTTCTCCTTGTTTTGTCTTTCTCCTCCTCAGTTTCTCAGCATCCCCTTTGCTTTCCCCCTCCCTCTCTTCTAGCTGTCATTCAGATGCAGCAAGATGGATTTAAATCAGACTGAAGATCCAATGTGGACTCTATATGGCAAATAAATAAATTAATTAATTTAAAAAAATCAGACTAACGAATAAACTGGGAAAGGGCAGCTGCAGATGGTCCAGGAGAGAGAATCCTGTAGGTTATGGAATGTTAGAACTAAACACCAGAGGAGTCTGCGGGTCTCTTCTGCACCTGTACACAGGAAGCTGGAGGTCCTTTGGGAAACATGTCTCATTGGCTCTGGGGGCAGTTGCTGGGGAGAAGCAGCATCTCCCCTCTTGTGCTTCCCATGGCTGGCTGATCCCCCGACAACACACTCATAGCCCTGAGATAATTGACTGTCTCAGCCCTTTCTTTCTTAGGCTCAGAGGAAGAGCCTGGTCTTTCTACACAGACCATGACTTTTCTCATGAAGCTGGGGACATCTGCAGGCTGGATGGCCTCCAGAGCTCTAGGCATGTGCCCAGAGGCCAGGCTGCCAGGCCCAGGTATGACAGCCTAGGCGTCCTCTCAGGTCGACTGCGCTTTAGACATTCTCCTCCTTGGTCCCTGATCCCCCTTGAGGAAGTCCAGCTCTGATTCAGGCTGTGGCAGTATCGGGGGGCAGCCTAAAGTGAGGACCCTTCTGGTAGGGCCTGCTCCTGCAGCGGCTGTCTTTGGGCATTGTGATTAGAATCTACTTTAATCATTCTTTCTCCCCGCCCCCCACACTGGTTTCAGCCAAACCAGACAGAAGGGGGCGCTCCTGAGTCATCCGAGAAGAGGATTCTGGGCTGATGCCTTAGCCCTGGCTCAGGGAACATCGGAAATTTTGTCTGTTCATCCATCAATCTGAAGGTGACTGGTGCGGTCACCTCGTTCTCTTTCTTCCTTTGCTTTCTTTCTTAAGAGATAGCGTCGGCCTTTCTTAAGAGATAGGGGGTGGTGGCTCACGCCTGTAATCTCAGCACTTTGGGAGGCCAAGGCGGGTGGATCACTGGAGGTCAGGATTTCCAGACCAGCCTGGCCAACGTGGCGAAACCCCGTCTCTACTAAAAGTACAAAATTAGCCAGGCATGATGGCAGGCACCTATAATCCCAGCTACTTGGGATGCTGAGGCTGGATAATCGCTTGAACCTGGCGGGCGGAGGGTGCAGTGAGCTGAGATCACGCCACTTCACTCCAGCCTGGGCGAAAGAGTGAAACTCCATCCCCCCACACCATAAAAAAAAAAGGGATAGTGTCTCACTATGTCATCCAAGCTTGCAGTGGCACGATTATGGCTCACTGCAGCCTCAAACTCCTGGGCTCAAGCCATCCTCTCACCTTAGCCTCCCTAATAACTAGGATTACAAATACGCACCATTACACCTGGTTAATTTTTACATTTTTATTTGTAGAGGTGGGGTCTATGTTGCTTAAGTGGTCTCGAGCTCCTGGTCTTGAGCAATCCTCCTGCCTCAGCCTCCCAAAGTGCTGGGATTACAGGCGTAAGTCACGGCACCCAGCCCCACTCACCTGCAGACTGACAGATGGACAATTTTTTTCTAGCAGGACCAGACAGAGACTTGGAGGAAACACTTTTATGACTTGTCCAGAGACTCCCTGGGCTGGAAGGAATCTGGCCTCTGCCTCTGGGAGATCAGCAAGTGGGGCAAGTCTTTGTCTGGGGCCACGGCCAAGGCTGGCTGGGTCCTAGGCTGGGGACAGTGTAACCCCTGACCATTTGCCAGCCCCCAGTAGCTCACCCTGGTCTGACTGTCTTGGCAGAGCTGAATGTCCCAATTTTCTTCAGAACTTTTTCCCAGGTTAATCTGTGTTGCTATTGCCCATGACCTGCTCACCACCTTCTTCATCATGAAAAAAAAAATGGCTTTCTCTCTTTCTCCCAGATCTCACAGTCCTCTGTGACTCTTCCTGGCCCCATCAGATGGGGATGGGCTGAGCCTAGAGTACTGAGCTGGTCGGCAGGGTGCAGCACATTCCTTACCTGGAGCTGACACTGTTAGGACTTTCTTCCCAGTTGTCTTCTTCGGGCTTCCTCCTCCCCACCCTGTCACCCCAAAGCCTCCCACACTTGGGAGTTTCTCCTTCCAGTAACAGGGCCTGCATGAGCACTGGCTTAGGGGGATGGGGTGGGGGGTACGATGCCTGTATCAGGTTACACAGCCCCAAAAGAAAAGGCTGGCTTTTTGGCTTCTAGCACCTCCAAATTCTCTCTGTCCAAAGGATGAGGAGCAGTCCTGGGTGTGGTGGCTGGTGTGGAGGATGGGACCTCTGGGCTGCCAACAAAGGCATTGCCAGCAGAGCTGAGGGCACAGGCCAAGTCTGGAGTCTGTGGACTTGTACTTGGGACATGCCCAAGTCATCCCTATGTCTACACCCTTCCATCTGACCAAGTCATCTGTTCCCCCAGAGCAAACTTGCCAACCCAAGACCACATGTGGCCCAGGACAGCTTTGAATGCAGCCCGATGCAAATTCATAAATTTTCTTAAAACATGATTTTTTTGCGATTTTTTTTTTTCTCACAGCTATCAGTGTTAGTGGGTTTTTTTGTTTTTTGGGGCGGGGTGGGGATGAAGTCTTGTTCTATTGCTCAGGCTAGAGTGCAGTGGCATGATCTTGGCTCACTGCAACCTCCCCGCCTCCCAGTTCAAGTGATCCTCGTCTCTCAACCTCCCGAGTAGCTGGGATTACAGGCTCGTGCCACCATGTCGGCTAATTTTTGTATTTTTGTAGAGACAGGGTTTCGCCATGTTGGCCAGGCTGGCCTTGAACATCTGACCTCAGGTGATCCACCTGCCTCAGCCTCCCAAAATGTTGGGATTACAGGCATGAGCCACTGCTCCTGGCCCATGTTAGTGTATTTTATGTGTGGCCCAACACAGTTCTTCTTCCAATGTAGCCCAGGGAAACCAAAAGATTAGACACCCCTGCCCTAGAGCCTGGCTCTGTAGAAACTCTCAGGACTTCAGGGGTCTACCTCATCCCACAGGGCCACAGGGTTGCCTTGGGGGTGGTGTGGGGTTGCCCTACCCTTTTAAAATGCCCTAAGGGTCCTGACAGCTACGGGTGGATACCCAGCCTCAGCTCCAGCCCAGCCCTACTGAGGCATTAACTCTGGAGCTCTCTAGGGCAGTAGGGGGTAGGGAAGAGGCCTTCTCTGATTGAAAATCTGAAGAGAAGAAAATTGCGTGGGCCTGTAGCCTTTTCTTTGCGTCTCTCAGCTCTTTCACCAAGGACGTTTTCCCTGAGGTTTCCTCTAAATTCTCCCAGCTGCAGATCACGGCACACACTGCAGACCCCTGAGACACCCACCTGTGAAACCAGTGTGGGAATGGACCAGTGAGGTGCACATCTGTGGGAAGGGCCAAGGATGAGGAAACTGTATCTGTTCAAAGCCCATCGCAAATCAGCTTCTTCATCCCTCTCAAAGGTCAAAAGCATGACAGGGCCCAGAGGAGTGTTGGTATTTTCAGAGGAGAAGGCAGTGAGGATTTGGGAGCAGTCCACCCTCCTCAGCCACATCTCAGATCTCCTTGCTGAAATAAGGCCTCAGCTGGACCAACAGAAGACAGGGAACTTAGGCACCTGGAAGAGGTGCAGACCTTATCCATCCTCCTGTGTGTCCCCCCACCCCAAGCCTGATACCAGGCCCTCTGTATAGGGGCAAAACTTTTTCCATTCTAAACGAACATTTACTCCTTTTCTCCAGGACACTGGGCATTAGCTGGACATCGGCCTGTTCAGGGGACCTCAGGCTTGAGACAGAAATGAGGAAGCACAGAGATCAAAGCCTCCTTCCCAGACAGGAGTGACTTTGAAGTTCACTGGCATTGCAATTAGGAATGACTTCCGCAGAGGGCAGGGATGGAGGAAAAAAAAAAGGAAAAAGGAATGGCTTCCCTGACTACAGCTCCAGAAACCTCGTTTTCATAGCCCCTACTACTTAGGGAACTGGGAGTTTGGGCCAGTTTGGTGGTGGCTCCCCAGTAGGTAATCTGAAGGCCTGGGGTGGGGGTAAGGAGGGGAGTATAGGGATCACTCCTATTAATTGACACTTCCCATGGCTAAGGTGCTGTTCAAGGCATTTTACGTGTTTTGTCTCATGAAATCTGCAAACTACTCATTGAATTAGGTCTAATCATGATTTCTATCTTACAGACAAGTAAACAGAGGCACACGCAATGATAATAAAAATCAGAATAGTAATAATAATGATAACATTTTAACAGCTTTTTAAAAAAATTTTTTAATTAAAAAGAGATGAGGTCTCACTATGTTGCCCAGGCTGATCTCAAACTCCAGGCCTCAAGCGATCCTCCCACCTTGGCCTCCCAATATGCTGGGATTATAGGTCTGAGCCACCATGCCCAGCCTTTAACAGCTTTTTTTTTCTTTTTTATTTAATTTATTATTATTTTTTAAATCAGGCAGGCTCCCAAGCCAGAGTAGGCTCAGAGAGACTCCCAAACCGCTTTAAAAAAAAAAAAAAATTGACACAGTGCCAGTCTTGGTGCAAGCACATGATGTATATGGTACTATTAAATCCTAAGAATTCATCATATTATCCCGATTTTCAGCTAAAGAAACAATCTGAGCAAGAAGTGACTTCACCAAGGTCATGGAGTCTTAGAAAATGACCAAGCCAGGAGCCAAACACTCTTCTCTCCAATTCCAACCAATCAGCAGCCTGTGCTGCTGATTCCTTGGCAAGATTGCCTCCCAAGGGGACCATGGTAGAGCAAGCAGTGGTGATGGAGGAGGGTCCCGTTGGCCTTTGAAAGCAGGAGAACCCTTGCCCGTGGGCTGGGCCAGGAGCTGCAGCATCTGGCATGCTGGGAAATTGTGGAGGAGCCCTCCTTTGCCCCCACTCCATCCCCACCTGACAGGGAAGGAAGCTTTGATGCTGTTTTCTCGCCCACAGGGGACTGGGGTTTGTAAAACAAACTCACAGCCTGCAGGAAAACAGATCCTGGAACAGCCCAAACAGAAAGGCAGGGGCTGCTTGCTGTGGCCCAAAGCCCCTGCCTCCCTGCTCAGTCTCAGATGTGTGCCTCCACCTTGGCATTCTGTCTGGGCTTCCTGTCAGTCCCCGCTCTCTCTCCATCCTCACTGTGAATCTTGCAGGGCTACAGTTGCCTTGGTAACATGATGGGAAGCTCTTGAGGTTTTCTGGAACCAGAGAAGGCTGTGGAGGGAGGACTCAGGCTCTGTTGGGCTGCTTGTCACAAAGGGAAGAAACCACTCCAGTGCTCCTGCCCCTGCCAGTCCTTCCTTGGGTCTGACCTCAACCTCTTCTGTTGCATCTGCAGGAGCTTTGTTTGGGTGGCCTATAGGGCTGGGCCTGAGAGGAGGGAGCTGTCACATACTGCTCTGTCCTTGGAGTTGACTGCCACTGTCACCAGAGCTAAATTCCTACTTGCTACCATGACCTGGCCCTGTAGCCCTAATTGGTTTTATGAAGTTCAATGCCTGTTTTTTATGAGACAGATAATTATGATGCGGGGAGGTCAGGTCCTCCTCTGCTGGACCTGGCGGGGTCTCCAGAATTGCTGATTCTCCAATCGGCTCCAGGCAGACTGATGGGATCAGGGTGAGCCGAGTGCAGCCAGGCTGTGGAAGGAGAGCGAGTCTCCACTTTCCAGTCTCTGACGGGATCAGGGAGGAAAACGTGCACCGCCTGCCCCGTGAAGAAGCCCATGCCTGTGAAGTGGGCACCTGTGATGCCGTCCCTCGTGGGTATGAGGGATAACAGGCAGTGGGGTGGGAGGGGCAGCTCTCTCAGGCTAGAGGAATCCAACATGGGGCTGCCTGCGGCTCCGCGAAGAAATCCTCAATCTTTGACACTACGGGCACCCCGTGAAGATGTTTTTTTCCTCCATCTCTCCTTCTAGTCTTCTTCCTTTCCTTTCTCCCACAGTCTCAGTTCGAAATATGGCCTATTTCTTCCCTATGTCTATGTCAGTTTCCGTAACTGGTATCTCTCCCTGCCCCCCAATCCGCCCCCACCCTCCCCAGGTGAGAGTTGACTTGCTGTGCCCTGGAGGGCAGTTCTAGGAGGGTGGAGATGGAGGGGAGGGCAGGGCAAGCTGTTCTGCTGACACTGGATGGCTCCCCTCCGATCCTCCTGGTCAGGAAGACCGCGGCAGGTAGAGGCTTCCATGCTTCGCTCCAGGCTGGGAGCAGCTGTCCACAATTGTGCCTCCCAGATGGGGTGAGAGGTTGGCCCCATCCCTAGAACAGGCCACACAGCTGTGTGCCCTGTGTGTTTGACCCACTCATGGCAGACACAGAACTGCACTTTCAGACTAAGCCAGTTGTTGGGTGTGGCTGTGGGACAGGATGACCTCAGGAAGACCCTTACACATTCCACAGATTACCAAGTTCCCAGCTTCCCTTGCTTTCTGACTCAGTGGCCAATTCCTCAGGAGTTGCCTTCTCTTTAGAGTAAGGCCAATCTTGCAGGAAAGAAGGGAGGAGTGAGACTGGGGCCCAGGTAAGAAGGGCCTGGGGTCCCTGACTGCAGAGGCCAGCTCCTCTCTATCCCTCCTCCATTTAATTAGCTAATGTCTGTAAAGGGCTGGGCAATGGAAAAGCCCTATACAAATGTTGAGCACAATTTCATTTCCAAGACTAGACAAGAATATATTTGCAGACTTGAGCAAAAGGTCACTGGGCCTGCCTGGGACAGAGGGAGGACTCCCTGCAGGCCCCAGAGGGAGGATGACCCTGAAAGACTGGGGCAGGAGAAGGAGAGGCCACAGTGGGGGCCGGCATGCCTGCCTCCTTGGTCTTTAAGCTGGGTCTCTTGGTACCATGCCTGCCTTGCACTGTCCCCGTTCCTTGTGAATCCCAGGGTCCTAGAAGCTTACCCCTCTCTGCAGGGACCACCCTCAGAGACTTTCCACCAGAAGATTATGCTAATATCCACAACAGCTGATGTTTATTGAGTATTCACTGCATGCCAGGCTGTGCTAGAGGCCAGAGTGCTCCGGCTTGGGGAGACGTGGCTGCCTCTCTGCAGCAGGTGAAGGAGCTTTTCCAGTGAGGGAGCCCCTGCATGCTGCAGACTCTGCCTGAAATCTCTCCGAAACCTTTGGGAGATTGGTATCACTTATCTTCTCTGACCAATGAGAACAGTTCCTGGTTTTGTGATCTCCCAAGTCCCTGGTGTGGATGTTCTGTGAGCTTCTGAATTCTCCTCTCCTTTCCCCACTGACAACTCACCTGGCCCTACACTCATTATGAAAGAATATTGAGGCCAATTAGCCTTGACAAGCTTCATGCCCAAGGGGCAGCTTTCAAGTTTCTGGTCCTCTAAGACCTGCTCAGGCCACCTATGTGTCTCTGCCCACTCAGAATTCTAGGAGCAGCTCCCCTCTCCATCTCTGGGCAGGACCTGGCTTTGAGTAAGGGCTAGAGTGAAGGAGACTGGGAGAGGGGAATAGCCAGCTTTAGCCTCACAGCCCCGTAGTCAAGGGGAGTCCTCTGGGAGGGCGAGAAGAATAGCAAAGCAGGGAATGGAAGGTTCAGGAAGAGGCAGGCGGGACAGGGAAGGGAAATGGAGAATGTGTTTCCAACATCCCCTGGGTTTCCTCTGTCCCTGTCTCCTTCCCCCACTGAAAGAGGAATGGAGCTGGCTGGCCTTTCTGGGAGGCATAGTCCTCTAGCCTCCCAACCCTACCAGCCTCCTCTCTGTCCCCAACTGCTCCTTCTCTGGCTTCTCTCCAGAGCCCAGGGCCTCCCTGTGTCATCAGTTCATTATCATTCTGATAAAAGTCATTAGTCCTTGAAAAAGCATGATTCCCCAGCTGAGGCCAGCCCCCGCTAACCTGGGGAGGAATACAGATGGATGGAGATGTGGGGGTGGGGACAGACAGAGGCACAAACACAATGACACTTGTTTCCAGGAGGTGTGTAAATGGACACAAACCCACTGGTGCACACGGCCACACACCTTTACACACAGGCCCAGGGATGTCTCACATGGTCACCAGAGAGCCCACAGGGCTACATCACTGGAGGCACACTCAGCTGCTTCCAGTCCCAGAGAATCACTCGACACTGAGACCCAGCACCCAGCAGCCTCAGCCTCCTGGAAACACAGAAGCTGGGCTCCGCAGACTCTGGGGGCGGGGGCAGGGAGTGGAATATGGAGGCCAAGGTTAGAGATCTCCGAGTTCCATTAGCCACAAGAAGCGTGTCCGGAATCTAAAAGTGCAGGGACAAGGGCGCTGCAGAGCCGGTTCCTGACAGTGTGTCCCCATTTCCCACCCCTTCCACCACTGGGAAGCTCCTCCCTGTCAGCAAAGCCATTTAGGGATTAGAGCAGCTCCCTCAGTAAAAGCTGCTTATTCAAAAGGTGCTTTCAGTTCATTTGCATTCACTTCATGGATATTATAATGCGTGGAGGAGCTTCCTCCTCAGTCCCTCTTTGCTGTCCCCAGATTGAGTCCCTGGCCCATGCAAGGTATCAGTTTGGGCTGGGCCAAGCTTTCCAGTGACCTGGGGATCTTGTCAGGGAGTGGGAGGTGATAAACACTGACCATTAACCCCTGGTCCTCAGAAGGCAGCTCCGGGGACAGCTAGGAGGGGTCACAACTGGAGTTTTCCCAAGGGAGAGGAAGGAGGCCAAGGTCTGGAGAGGCCTCTCAATTCCCCCGGGGTCATAAGCCTGGTCTCCTAGGGAAGGAGGAATCTGCCCAGCTGCTGTCTGCAGATGGGGCTGCCACAGGGGAGCAGGCAGAGTCAGCCTCAGCTTTGAAGACCTTCTCTTTGGCAGCCACCCCACCCCGGCTCCATGCATTCAGTTCATTCAAAGAGTATTTAACTAACACCATGATGTGTGAAGCTTGATGCTAAGTAACTGGAATACAGTGTTGACCAGGCAATGTGGCCCCTGCCTTCACAGAGCTTCCACTCCAGGAGTGAAAACCCACAAAAAATGAAGACACAAGACAATATGGAATAATATGAATTATACCTAGTACCATAACAAACAGGGCGCTAAGATAGAAAGTAATAGGTCAGGGCCGGGGGACCGTCTTCAGATGGGGTGATCAGTAAATGGTGGACACATAACACACCTGCAGTTGAGGCTTCAGGGAGCCAGCTTCGCACGACTGCACTCCAGCCGGGGCAACTCTGTCTCCTAAAAAAGAAAAAAAAAAAAAGGAAGAAAGAAAAATTTCTTTCTTTCTGTGTGTGTGTGTGTGTGTGTGTGGTTTTTTTTTTTTTTTTTGAGACAGAGTTTTGATCTGTCACTCAGGCTGGAATGCAGTGGCACAATCTCGGCTCACTGCAACCTCCTCCTCTGGGTTTTAGGAGATTCTCCTGCCTCAGCCTCCCAAGTAGCTGGGATTACAGGCATATGGCACCATGCCTCGATAATTTTTGTATTTTTAGTAGAGACAGGGTTTCACCAGGTGATCCGCCTGCCTCGGTCTCCCAAAGTGCTGGGATTACAGGCATGAGCCACAATGCCTGGCCAAGAATTTCTTTCTTGATTTGTCCTTTTATCACCTCAAAGGTGCATCATGGGATTTCCCATCCCAGCTCAGGGGAAAGGCATGGCTGTGCCTCTTCATCCCCAGATCAGCCTATGGCGAGGCTGCCGTCTTTTGGACACTCCAGTGAACGTGCCCACCTGCCTGCTCTGGCACATCTGACAAGGCTGGAAAGAAGTTGCCATTTTCGGGGAGGGGTCAGTTTCAATGCCTTCCCACCAATTGGTCCGGAGCATGTCCACAGTTCTGTACACTGGGGAGCATCCAGTTCAGGCTTGGCTGAGTCAGGCAGATCCAGAGCTGCCCACCCCTCTCCCCAGGCCAGGGCTCCAGAGACCCTAGAGCCATTTCCAGCTTCCCTGCTGCTCCTCTCACCATCAATCAGGGGCTGGGATGTCAGAATCAGGACTGGGGGAAGCCACTCACATCCTGAACCACCCCCCAGGGACATAGGAATATGAGGCGAGGATCCTGAGCTCGAACATTTACAGGTAGCATTCAGGATTGAAAACTGATTTATAGTCTGAAGGCAGGCAGGAGGGAGCGGGAGGAAGGTGGGAGCTCTGTGTACAGTGCAGCCTTGTGGGGCGGCGGTAATTATATATTACGTTGAACTGTCCTTGCAGCACGGTGAAGGGCAGTGGGAATGAGACTCTAAATCACGCTTCCGTGATGCTCCCCATAGCTCACCTCCCTGTATGTGGCCCCAGAGGCCAGGGCTGACACTTCTCCCTTCTCCCCAGCCCCAGCACCACCGCCTGCCCCCACCCCCACACACACAGAGCCCAGTGGCAGGGCCAGCCTGACTGACTGGGGGAGAGCAGGAAGATGGGATGTGAGCAACTCTGGCAGCTTCCAGGGGCTGCTCATCCTGCAGGCCTCATTGTTTATTGCCCCCGCAGCCGCCAGCACTTCCCACTCTCTACCCCGCTTCTTCCACTGGGGCCTGTATGTGCGCTGTGTTGTTTGAAAAAGACATCCCTGTCCTTCCTTCATTCATTCTCCCCTGTAGCATCTCTCTTCTTTACACCACAGCCACACAGCCACCACCTTGGTTCGAGTGGGGCCTCATCACTTCTCACCTGGATTTCTGCCACCATCTCCTAACCAGTCTCCCTCTAGCGTGCCCCTACTCTTAGTCCATCATCCTTTACCTCGTTGCCATGGTAATCTCCCTAAACACACCTCTGACCATAATCTTGATCTCATTTGTCTGGGAAGTGGGGATTGTCCCTGCTGATACAATAGCTTTGTGCTCGTGAGCTATTATTATTATTATTATTATTATTATATATTTTTGAGACAGAGTCTCGCTCTGTAGCCCAGGCTGGAGTGCAGTGGCACGATCTCAGCTCACTGCAACCTCTGCCTTCTGGGTTCAAGCAATTCTTCTGCCTCAGCCTCCTGAGGCGCTGGGACTACAGACGTGCGCCACAACACCCGGCTAATTGTTGTATTTTTAGTAGAGACGGGGTTTAGCTATGTTGGTCAGGCTGGTCTCAAACACCTGTCCTCAAGTGATCCACCTGTCTCAGCCTCCCAAAGTGCTGGGATTACAGGCGTGAGCCATCATGCTTGACTGTAAGCTATTATTACTGTAATTAGACATCTCTGAGCCTCAGTTTACTTGCCTGTAAGTAAGGAGTGGGGAGAGGTGGTCAGATGTTGGTTCCTGAAAGGAACCAACACGTTCCAGCTTCTTTAAGAAGTCTACCCGGGCTCTTGGCGGGCTGGTGCCTGCTGGCTCACCTCCCGCCCTGTGCTTTCAGTCCAGGAGGAACCCTGGTACTCATCTGTCCTGAGGGGCCATTTCCATGACTAGACCCTGATCCTTACGGTCAGTCACCTGGACTTCCCACCAATCTCCTGCCCCTCCATCTAGGCTTTGAGTTCCTGGTTCAGAGGGACATATTAGTGCTTAGTGGTGATGAGAAACGGGTCAGACAGGTCAGGGCTTGAAGTCTAGCCCATGACGGTGCACAAGGTTTTGGAGTGGCGTACTGATTGAGAGCGAGGACTCAGCCGCCAGACTGCTTGCTTGAGTTCGGATCTTGGCTGGGCTACTCTTTAGTTTGGCTAACCTCTCTGTGCAGTTTCCCTGTTTCTAAAATGAGGATAATAATTGTACCCACCTCATAGAATTGTTGTACAGATTAAATGAGTGAACATATGTGATTGTTCTTGCTGATACAATAGCTTTGTGCTTTTGAGCTATTATTATTGTAATTAGACTTCTCTGAGCCTCAGTTTACTTGTCTGTAACACATCTCCATAATACCTTTCCTTCCTGCTTCAGGGTTATTGTGAAGATCAAATGACACATTCCCTTTGGAAACTCTTAAAGGCTTTACAAAGGTAAGATTATTATTATTTATTATCAGATACTTGTTCCTTGGGGTTCTCCGCCACATTCCCTTTAGAAACAAAGCAGTTTCCTTCACCCTTCTCTTGCCCCAGTCTCAAGGCAGAAAACCGTGGTGTCTTGGAAACAGGAGCAGCCATGGGGTCTCCCTCCACCTAGGAAAAGGGGCGCATAAAGCTGTGCACACAGACACATCTCTGACAGAGATTATTTCAAAGGAGGCTGCTAATTAAACCAAGAACAGAGAGCTTGTCAACATTTTACACAATTATCCCCTTCACTGCAGAGGTGAACCCAGGTTTTGTGGAGCCCAAAGCTTATACAATTTGGGGGGCCCTCTTTAAGAAAAAAAATACAAGATGATGAATATGAAATTAAGTGCAGGGTTTCGAAGGGGCCTGTGCAAATGAGGAGCACTGCCACCCAAGCTTCATTAGCTTCACAGAAAATCCACCTCTGCCACCAGGCCAGGTATGCATTTGACAAGGACTTGTTGGTTAGTTGCTTATGGCCAAAACAAACCGTTTTTTACCAACCACAGGCAGGCCAGGATCTCTAGAGGGCAGGAGCGCACAGCCTGCACCCAGACTCCAGAAGTCACCCTGTTACCAGGCTGTGGCTCCTCCACTGCCTTCACCTCAGTCTAATTGTTCCTTTTTCAAGACCCACCACCTATTTATTTTTGCTTTCAACACATTTGCATGTGATTTACATAGCATTAATATTCAGTCTCATGTTGGGAACTCTTCCTCTGCCCCGGCTTAAGCTAGATTCCTGGGACTTGGTTACCAAGTGAGATGCAACTTTCTCTCTTCTCAAAATGTAGAGGGAAAGAAATATACATCTAATTTGGGGGAGGGTGGGAGAAGGGACAGTGATGACATTTGTCTTGAAGTCAGTTTCTAGTCTCTGGCCCTCCTAGTCTATGTCTTCCTCCATATATCCCCACTGTCCCTACCCACAACCCACAACCCAATTCCACCCCAGTTTTCCTCTGATTATGAAATTGGAAGCTCACCTTCTCAAGGACACACATTCCTACCCAAATTCTGGGCTTACTGGGGCTCAAGGGTGCAGCCTCTGAAGTGAAGAGGCACATGGCATCGAGGTGCCAGCAGACAAGAGCACACAGGGATTCTTCCTCAGGTCCCCCTCTGGGAGAATCAGCCCCTTCCAGTCCCCCTGCACTGTTTGGAGGCCCAGTTTATGTGATCCCCCGACTGACGGAAACAGATGGCAGGTGGGAGTATGTGTGAGTGTGAGTGAGTGTGTGTGTGTGCATGCACGTGAGCTGTACATACATAAAAGAAATGTGCACACATGTGTGAGACAGAGAATGCCCACGTGCACATGAGTACACCCCCCCCCCCACCGCCACAAGACAGGCAGAGGAGGAGGAGGTGAGGATGTGGGAAGGAAATTCTCGGTTTAAAAAAACCACATTGTGGTTCTAAATGTCATCAAAGGTGAAACTTGCTTCCTTAGCCCTGCCCTATAAAGGGAGGCAAAAAGAAGTCAGCAAGGCAAGAAAAGGTCTCAGGGCAGGGATGGGGCAGTTCTAGTGTCAACAGTGACATCACTCTCCCAGACCCCTCCGCTGAGTGGTGAGTCACCAGAGCCCACTCAATACCACAGTCTTTATGCAGTCATGAGCCGGCTCATGCTTCCATCTCCATGTGGCCTAGGCCTCACCCCCATGGTCCCCTGGGCCTGAGCTACCCCAGCCCTGGGGCTTTGCTCTCTTTTAAGCCTCTATCAGAGAAGGCAGGGGTCCCTTCTCTGGGTAAGGCAATCAGAGACATAAATGAGAGACAAGAGAAAGAGAGACTCTTCTGTATGTGAGGGGGGTTTGGGAACAGAAGTTGAAAAGTTGCAAAACCAGTCTGAGGAAGAGGCAGAAAAAAGAGAATGGAAAAGAGAGAGTGAGAAGAGAAAGAAGAAAGAGGGAACTGGGGTTGAAGAAAAGAGCCGGGTGTGGTGGCTTACGCCTATAATCCCAGCACTTTGGGAGGCCGAGGTGGGTGGATCACGAGGTCAGGGGTTTGAGACCAGCCTGGCCAACATGGAGAAACCCCATCTCTACTAAAAATACAAAAATTAGCTGGGGGTGGTGGCGGGCACCTGTAATCCCAGCTACTCAGGAGACTGAAGCAGGAGAATTGCTTGTACCCGGGAGGCAGAGGCTGCAGTGAGCCAAGATCGCGCCACTGCACTCCAGCCTGTGTGACAGAGTGAGACTGTCTTGGGGGGGAAAAGAAAGAAGAAGAAGAAGAAGAAAAGAAGCAGGGTGAGGTAAAGCTGACAGCTGTGAATTCTCACTTCTCAGGATTTTAGGATTGCTACTCCATTTTCCTGGCCCTCTGATCTTTTATGGGTCCCCCAGGTCTAGTGATGTAGAAGGAAGTCCAATACTGTAACCAGCACCTCTGGGAGAGGACTCCCAGTGTCTATGGTATCATCACCACCTACCCTGACACATCTCAGCTTGGTCCCACCCTCCTTGTCAGAGATAGGGGTTGGAGGGTTTAGACATCGGTGGGGGAAGCAGTTGTGGTGGCTCACGTCTGTAATCCCAGCACTTTAGGAGGCCAAGGTGGGAGGATTACTTGAGGCCAGGAATTCAAGACCAGCCTGGGCAACATAGTGAGACCCCATCTCTATAAAAAACAAAAAAAGAAAAGACAAGAAATTGGGGCTGGGAGCAAAAAGTGAGAGGCACAAAAGGGAAGGCAGTACCCACTGGGGCAGCTCTGGTTTCTCTCTCAGGACCTCAGTTTTTTCCCAAGACCTTGGCACCTGCCCAACCATTGTTCCTTCTGGCCTGGCCCTCATGCTCAGTGGCAGCCTGAGCGTCATCCCTTGTCACTGATGGGAATCAGAACAGGGGCCCCTTTATCTGACAGTGAGAGCGACTCTGCCCAGTCTCCGTGACTCGAATTTCCCAAGATGCTGCTTATTCCTGATGTAAACTGAGCTGCTCCAAGGAAATCAAAGCCTATATCTGAGTCAACAAGACAGCACCAGAGTGGCAAGACTAGGCCCTCATGAGATCACAGATGGCTTCTGTTAGAGACCCCTGTCTGGGGATTTCTTCTCCTACTCACTGTGGTTGCCTGTCTCTACAAACAAAAGACTGCTCTTCAATTCCCTCTTCTTGACTCCCCATCACCAACATAGTGATAACAATAATAGCAACCATTTACTGGGTGCCCAATATATGCCAGAAAACTTGGTAAGTTTCTTTCTCTGTCTCTTTCTTCCTATTGAGACAAAGTCTCACTTGTTGGCCAGGCTGGAGTGCAATGGTGAGATCATAGCTCACTGCAACCTCAAACTCCCACCTCAGCCTACCGAGTAGCTGGGACCAAAGGTATTTGATACGGCACACAGCTGATTTTTAAATTTTTAGTGGAGGCAAGGTCTTGCAATGTTCCCACGCTGGTCTTGAACTCCTAGCCTCAAGTGATTCTCCCACCTCAGCCTTCCGAAGTGTTGGGATTACAGGCACGAGCCACAACACCTGGCTGGTAAGTTTCTTATGTACATTATTTCATTGAATGCTGCAACAACATTATGGAATAATCACCATTGTGGAGCGTGGAGGAGGAAACCAAGGACTCCAGAAGTTGCCTAAGATTTCACAGCTTGAGATGGAGCTGAAATGTGAACCCAGATCTGTCTAAATTCAAATCCTCGGCTTTCCACTTTGCTTATTTTTATCTTCCCTGCCTCAACAATACATCCTCCTTTTGGGTTTTGAGGTGCAATTCAAATCTTTTATCTCCCGGAAGTATTCATCCACTCCTCCCTACCTCAGCTCTTGCTCTCACCTGCACCATCCTTAGGAGGCCCCTATGCTGTCCCTCCTGCTGGCTCAGGTTAGATATGGAGTTCCTCCTGTGGTCCCTGGGGCTGAGGTGGTGAAAAAAATAGTGGTCAGGCCCTCAGTTCCCACTCTCCAGGGAGGAGGAGGGGAAGGTGAATGTGGCTGGCATTTCGCACTAGGAACAACCACACGCAGTTGTTGGAGAGGTTTAGGGGCCTGTGGTGCCTTGGGTTCTGGTTCCCATCAGGAGACAACTGGCCAGGCTCCAGAGCCCCACAAATGGGAGTAAAAGAATGTGGAAAACTACCGGGTCCTCCAGGAAGCTTGGAGTGGGGCAAAGGTGGAACAAGAGCTCCGTTTCCGCCAGGACCTGTGTCCCTAAGAAGGCTGATGCTGTTATTTACCCACAGGGAAGTCACAATTTCTAATGCTTGAGACAGAGGCAGCCTTCATTTCTAAACCTGTGTCCCTCAGGGAAGGGGACCTGTTTCAGACCTTGGAAGCCTCCCAGGCACCTCCTGATGAGCTTGGTAGAAACAGTGTGCAGCTATGGCTTTCAGGCCGTCCCAGAGCCACTTCCCACCAGACACCGTTTCCAGGCCCATGGCCAAGGGCATGTTCTGGAACTACACCGGAAGACTCTACAGACCAGATATCCCTCAGAGACTCTGTCAGCAAGTGAGGGAGAGATCTGCAAAGAGAAAGAAGAGCAGGGCAAAGACAACTGGATGTGCTGGCCCAGGAAGAGGAGCAGCCACACAGGGACAGAGAGTGGAAACCTGGAGATGAAGCAACGCAGCAGAGAACAGCCACCCTCCCTTCCCTGGGGTCTGGGCACTAGCGAGGCAAGGTGGCATTAGGCATGATTTAGGGCAACCCATCTTTTAAATATATGGGAGTTGGCCAGGCACAATGGCTTACAGCTGCAATCCCAGCACTTTGGGAGGCCGAGGCAGATGGATCACCTGAGGTCAGGAGTTTGAGACCAGCCTGGCCAACATAGTGAAACCCCGTCTCCACCAAAAATACAAAAATTAGGTGGGCATGGTGGTGCACGCCTGTAATCCCAGCTACTTGGGAGGCCGAGGCAGGAGAATCGCTTGAACTTGGGAGGCAGAGGTTACAGTGAGCCAAGATTGCACCCTTGCACTCTGGCCTGGAAGACAGAGCAAGACTCCATCTCAAAAAAAAAAAAAAAAAAAGAAAGAAAATAGGCCAGGCGAGGTGGCTCAAGCCTGTAATCCCAGCAATTTGGGAGGCCGAGGCAGGCAGATCACCTGAGGTCAGGAGTTCGAGACCAGCCTGGACAACATGGTGAAACCCTGTCTCTACTAAAAATACAAAAATTAGCCGGGTGTGGTGGCACATGCCTGTAATCCCAGCTACTCAGGAGGCTGAGGCAGGAGAATAACTTGAACTCAGGAGGCAGAGGTTGCTGTGAGCCAAGATTGCGCCATTGCACTCCAGCCTCGGAGACAGAGGGTGACTCCATCTCAAAAAAAATAAAAATAAAAAAATTAAAAAGTAAATAAAATAAAATAAAAATAAATAAATATAAGGGAGTTGAGGCTCAGAGGGTGGACAGGAACTGCCCTAGATCATGCCACTCCTGAGTGAGTCTCCCATTCAGTGTTCTGGGAGCAATGAGAAGAAGGGGTGCTGGCTCCGCTGTCTTCTGGGAAGCAAGGGGACTTGAAGGGGAGGGGTCACAGTTTCTCCACCCCCACCAGACTGCACCTCCCGAAGGACCTCAGAGGCTTCTATCTCTCATCTATGAAATGTGCGGGGCCCTCAGTTCCTTGTTAATAAAAGTGAGGATGAGAACACCTGCTTTCCTTCCGTGTAGGGCTCCTGTGAGGCTCTGCTGGAAATAATGCATGGAGAAGAGCTTTGTAAGTGCAGGGTGTTATTAAGTTTGTGATTAGGCCAGGTCAGCGAGGGCTGCAGGAATAATGGGAGGATTAATGCCCAGGACGTGGCAAGGAGGAGGCTAAACTCTGCCCCATCCTCCTCCCTCGGTCACCTGCCCTGAGAAAAAGCATTTGGTGTTTCCAAATTGACTGAAATAAGAAATGTGTGGTGGCAGCAGCCTTCTCTCACTCAGCCTTCATTTGCCCAAGGCAGAGAGATTTTAATTTTCGAGCCATAATGAGAAAAAGAAACTCAGGATTAAAGAATATTCCAGTGAAGCAGTCAAAATAGCTGCCCAGACTCTGAATCAAGCCGAGAAATATAAATTAAAAACTCCATCTCCCTCTAGCATCAGCTGGGCTTGAAGATGCCAGGCTGAGTGGCTGGCAAGGGTTCTTGCAACCCAGGTCCTGGGGTCAGCTGGCGGGCAGGCCCCACCCCAGGGTGCTGATGGGACAGGGAACCAGAGACGCACCCACCCACTCACAGGAGAGATTTACCTCCACCAAGGCTGGCTCCCCCAAGCTACAAGCCTCCTGAGTCAGGTCAGGCCCTGAATGTTGAGCTCAGGAAGTGGGGGGTGACTCCCTGGCCCCCACTGTTTAGTCTCCTAAGGCACAGAGATGCTGCTGTCTGCTCTTGTTTGCTCTTCTCCCAAATGCTGGCTCACATGCTGCAAACCTCTTTTTGTTTCCCCGAACTCAGGCCAGTGGTCCTGGGAGTGGGAAGGAGCTGCCTGAGAAGGGGGGCACCTGAGCCTTCAGCCCGGATTCTTCTGAGCTTCAGTCTGTTCCCAAGGGAATGCCCTTCCAAATGCACTTGCACTCAGGATGGTGGGAATGACAAGGAGCCCTGAGAAAGGTGTGTGAGCCCCAGGGCCAGGCCATACCGTTCCCTGCCCACTTGAAGCCTCACATCCCATGGCTCCCCAAAACTGAACATCTCTTGCCCCACCCAGCCCTACTATCTTCTTGATTGCCTTTGACCATCTCCTTTCTCCTTCTCCTTTTCTCATCTACTTATCCAAGAAATATTGACTGTGTGGCCTACTGTGTGCCAGGATCTGTGCAGGGTTTAGTGGCTACAGAAATAAACCAAACCCAATTCCTGTTGACAGGCAGAAAAGAAAGACAGGTGGCCTGAGGATTATAATATAGCACAGAACACACTGGGCAGTGGAGTTGGGTGGGTGACCAAAAACTCTGGAGTCAGACTGATCTGGTTCAAGAACTGTCTCCATCTCCTACTTCTTACAGTAAGACCTCAGGCAAATTGTCTAGCCTTGATAAGATGCAGTTTATTCATCTGTAAATTGGGGATGATAATGCTTTATAGGATTGCTGTGAAGATGAAATGACATAATCTTGGTAAACTAGTTGGAACAGTGGCCAGCATATGGCAAACACTCGTTAAAGGCCAGTTGGTATTATTGTAAGTGTCTTAATGACAACACTGACATTCATTACTCTGTATTGGGTGCTCACTCTGAGCCAGCCAGGGTGCCATGCCTACAGCAGTGACTCAACTGTGGTCCTTGTCCTGAAGAGTTCACAATCTATTAGAGGTGACAGATATGTAAACGGATGACTGAAAAAGTGCAATCACTGCCATTATCACTCGAAAAACCGTCATTTTTTGAGCCCTGATCATGTGCCAAGTACAATGCAAAGTTTTAAAGATACATTACCTTTAACTCCTTGCTAACCCTGTGAGGGATCTATCATCTCCATTTTACAGAGGTCCCATAATCATTAGTAACTTGTTCAAGATCAGGCCATTTGCAGAATGAAGTATTGACTCAAAGGAGAGCAATTAGCTAGACCTGAAAAGGGATCAGATCTGAGAAGGCTTCAAAGAAGAGGTGATCCTGTTTTTTTACAGACAGGGTCTTGCTCTGTCACCCAGGCTGGAGTGCAATGGCAAGATCATGGCTCACTGCAGCCTCAGACTCCTGGGCTCAAGTGATTCTCCCAAGTAGCCGAGACTATAGGCATGTGCCACTGTGCCTGACTAATATTTAAATTTTTGTAGAGAGAGTGTCTCACTTTGTTGCCCAGGCTGGTCTGGAACTCCTGGGCTCAAGCAATTCTCCCGCTTCTGCCTCCCGAAGTGCTGGGATTACAGGCAGGAACCACCACATCTGGCCAAACCGGTGATCTTTGATCAGGATTTTGAAGAATGAGTAGTTTTCCAGAAGCCAAGACTGGGGAGGAATGGCATAGCACCACACTTCTGTGGGCCTGCGGGAGCACTGGAGCTTCAAGCAGCATCCACAGGAGTTCCCAGGCCTAGAGGTCCTTATGTCCCTAACAGCCATTCGGTCGTGTGCCTCAACACCACATTATAGCCTAAATCAAAGGAGGGTGATTATTTTAGACAGATTCTAGTCAACAGCTTGAACCCGGAGGATTTCAGCTGAATCATGGAGCTGAAATAACTGCATGGAGTTGAAGTCCCTCATCCCCCCTGTCCAGGTGCCCAGCAAGTCAGGGGGTGTGGGTTGGGCTCCCTAGGAAGCTGGGAGGCCACAGACTGGGCTGGAGTCAGGGAGACAGTCTCAGTGACCTTGGGAACACTCCACCAGATTTGGGGCAGAAAAAAATGAAATCTGTTCCTGCATTTCAGTCCTTTCGCTTCCGCTTTCTGCCTGTTCACTCCCCTCATTTCCTGCCCACAGTCACAGGGGAGGCGGCCATCTTGGCGCAGTGGCAGGTCTGGAGGCTGGAGCCAGGATGTGGCGCTGGAATCCATCTATCTGGCTGGTTCCACACCCAGGGAAACCTGGACTCATCATCATTAGCATTCTGTTTCCTTGCCCCGAGCAAGGAGGCGCAGGGCAACAGCATAGAGGGGGCACGCCTAGAGCAAAGCAGCCCTCAGAGCTCAGAGCCCGAGTCTCAGGGCCACCCATCCTCAGCCAGCGCAGGGAGGCACTTCCGCGAGGCGCTTCCGGCGTAGTGCAGGGTTGGAGGAAGACCTTGGGGGTAACTCTAGGACCATAACGTGGTGAGGCTTTGGTGCTTGCGACGGACAGATTGCAGATGGCTCTCCAAACACCTGTCCGTATAATGTGGTTTTGCAGGAAAGGGGATGGATAAGGTCCCTCCCTGAGGCGGACCTACCCTCCACCCGCTCCTTGAAGCAGCTCCAGCAGCCTCACAGGCCTAATTCATTCCTCACGTTAAGAAGCAGCCCTGGGAGAGAAGAGCCCCTACAGAGCAGGAAGCACGTGCATATTCCAATAAAGCACTCAAAGAGGTAATTATTTCTGGGCTGCCTATCCCAGCCCAGAGAACCAGCAGCCAAATTTCCAGAGCTGCTGTCGTTGCCTCTGGCTGTTGGCAAAATTAAACTTCTTGAGAAATCAGAATGAGCTGGCCCCCAGCGTGAGGGGTTGGAATTATTCCCCTGACCTGGGCCCTCTGTGTGGAGCTGGGTGTGGGTGGGGACAGGGGGAGATTATGGAGGAAGGGAGTGGGTTGTAGGCTTCCATGAGATAGCACATGCCTGTTCTGTGTACACATTGAAACACACATGGAGGCCAGGCATGGTGTAATTGCAGCACTTTGGTAGGCTGGGGTGGGAGGATTGCTTTAGCTCAGGAGTTCAAGACCAGCCTGGGCAACATAGCAAGATCTCATCTCTACAAATAATTTAAAAATTAGCCAGGCATGGTGACGCATGCTTATGGTCCCAGCCACTTGGGAGGCTGAGGTGGGGGGAATCGCTGGAGCCTGGGTGGTTGAGGCGGTAGTGAGCCGTGATCATGCCACTGCACTCCAGCCTGGTGACAGAGGGAAACCCTGTCTCAAAACAAAGAAAAAGAAAAAAGAAACGTGTGGAGTGGGTACTAAGTCTGCCTGTCACACACTGGGATGTTATGCACAGTAATGGCAGGGCCCACTGCCACTCCTCCAGCACCCAGGACAGCGCCTGGCACATAGTAGATGCTCAGTAGATACTGATTACTGAGTGAATGTGCTAGATCTCATGATAAATGCGGTGAGACTCTTCCCTAGCCTTTCATCCAGCACGGGTTCCATGCAGGTACCTTGAGAAACACATCAATACCCTACCTCCTCATCCTTCCCATGGAATGATGCTATGGGACTCTTAGTAAATGCCCCACAAAGTGAGAGATGGGCTCCTTGAGACATGTAGGGGTGGCAGTGCCCTGATTGGGCACCCCACAAAAGGGAGGCACCATCTGATGCCTCAAACCACAACTTCCTCTTCCACCCACGTCAGAAATATTTGCCTGCCTTGCTTCCACCCTCTTCTCAGGCAAATACCACTCACCCCTCCTATCTCCAGCTGCCATCTCCATCCTCATGATGTGTCTCTCTTACTGTACCAGGCACCTCTTGTGCACCACAACCAGCTCCACGCTGGCTTCAACCTGTTCATGCGTGATCTGGCAGTGCCACACCCGCAGGCCCCTGAATTTACGCCCCTGCTCTTTGCCCCAGGGCTTCTCTGTTGGCAGGAAACTGCCTGGCTTTCCTGCTTGGGCAGCCCAGTGGTGCAGGGCAGTTAATTCCTTGGGGGAAACTCTTGGCAAGGGGGGGCAGGAACCACTGGATAAATGCTTCTCTCTTTCTTGCCCTGGGTGGACAGTTGCGAATTCTTCATGAAGCTTTTCAGAATGCTCCCTGGTTGCTTGAAGCTGTGACCAACTCAAAAACTCTTCTCCTTTGGGCTCTCTTCTGTCGTCACCTGCTCCCTGGATCACAGCCTTTGATCAGGGTCAACTTTCAGGGGAGGTTGGCTTAAATCTCCCTGACTTCCCTCTGCCCTCTCTGCCTCATCCACCCCGGTTTCCTTTTAGTTCTTCAGCTCTTTCCCACACCAGGCCTTGCCAACAAGCTTTCCATATTCCCTGGAGTGCCTTTCTCTCTGCTTGGGAAATCTCTCAGCTGAGACTTGCATGACCGGAAGGAAGCAGTCACAAGAACATCGGGGAGAAAAAGAGTTCCAGGCAGAGGGAACAGCCAAGGCAAGAGCACTGAGGTAGGAGTGAAGTTGGCATGCTCAGGGCAGAGCAGGAGGGCCTTTGTGGCTTCAGCAGAGTGAGAGAAAGAGGGGCATAGAGTGCAGTTGGAGAGACCATGTGCAGTTTTGTGGGCCACAGTAGGCCGTCTGGATTGTATTGTATTGTATTGTATTGTATTGTATTGTATTGTATTGTATTGTATTTTTTGAGACGGAGTCTCGCTCTGTCACCTAGGCTGGAGTGCAGTGGTGTGATCTCAGCTCACTGCAGCCTCCCCGCCCCCCAGTTCAAGAGATTCTTGTCCCTCAGCCTCCCGAGTAGCTGGGATTACAGTTGCCCGCCACCACGCCCAGCTAATTTTTGTACTTTTGTAGAGACGGGGTTTCGCCCTGTTGGCCAGGCTGGTCTGGAACTCCTGACCTCAGGTGATCTGCCTACCTCAGCCTCCCAAAGTGCAGGGATTACAGGTGTGAGCCACTGCACCCGGCCGTAAGTCTGCATTTTAAATACATCAGGTAATAAGCTCCATGAAGGCGGGGATTCTGCTTGTCTGATTCACTGCTGGTGCCCTGTATGTAGCAGGCACTTAGTGAATGTTTGTGAAATGAATGGATGAACAGCTTACCTTTATCTGTATCCATGTCCTAGCCACCCCTCCCCCACACAAGGTGACAGAGTAGTCTTCAACGATCACAGCTTTCAGGAGGGAGAGAAGCAGGTTGTAGGAGGAGGCTGGTTGTGTTTTCTCCTAAGAGAATCCTTTGGGAGTGAGAGCCGCGCTGGCTCTGGGTGCTGACTCCTCTCCTCTCCTGTTTTCTCCCACTTTCAATTCTGATCCCGTTGCTCAATTCTCTGCTCCCGCTAGGCTCTGCTCCTGACACCATTAGTCACCTCCCTCTGTTCTCAGCTTCCTTAATGAGCATCTGTCTTGCCTTCAGTCTGAAACAGGCCTGCCCCTGCCTGCTGCTTCCTGGGAAAACCAAGGTCTGGGGCGGGAGTGCAAGGCTCAGAGAAGGCTCCCAATCTTTCTCCCTGCTCCTCACCATGCTCTGAGCAAGAGGTAGTGGGTGGGGGCAGAAAAAAGGATTACCTCTGGGCAAAGGAAGAGGTAAGTGGAAGACTGCTGAAGTTCAGGGGAAGGTTATAAAAGAGCCCTGGCTTCCCTGCTACGAAGAGTCCATGGAGGACAGAGTTGCACACTTTTCATTAACAAGACAAGGAATCGGCTGAGATGGCAGCAGAAGGAACAGAAGCAAAGCAGGGTCCAAAGAACCCATCCTTGGGGGCAGCTGAGGCCACAGGGCCTCTCCTCAGCTGAAGGCCTTTCTTGGGTTGGCCAGTCTCAGCCCTACTACTATTCTCCATGTGTGGAGGCAGGGAGGTGACAGAATAACCTCTTAAGGGCTCTGCCAAACACCAGAGAACACTTGATTGAGATTCCTTGACTGTTGTTCTCTCTGAGGCAGCCCTGGGCAAGCAAGGGGCTCAGCAAGGGGCCAAGGTGATAGGGGGCTTCCATGCTGCTGTGCTATAGTAAGAGGTTGTTCCACCAGGGGCCTGCAGAAAAAAGGTGGCTCCTTCAGAGGGTAAGCTGAGGAGAGGCTAATGAAAAGACTAGTGACAGGCGACTGGGGCTGCAGGAAACTACGAGGGCCGGGAGGCACCCAGGGCCTGGCTGCAGAAGAAAGCCCTTAGCACCTGGAGGCTGGAAGGGGTAAGAGGAGGCATGGTGGGTTTTTTGGTTCGTTCGTTTGTTTGTTTGTTTTAAGACAGAGTCTCACTCTGTCACCCAGGCTGGAGTGCAGTGGTGCGATCTCGGCTCACTACAACCTCCGCCTCCTGGGTTCAAGTGAGTCTTCCGCCTCAGCCTCCCGAGTAGCTGGGACTACAGGTGTGCATCACCACACCTGGCTAGTTTTTGTATTTTTAGTGCAGATGGGGTTTTACCATGTTGGCCAGGCTGGTCTCGAACTCCTGACCTCAAGTGATCTGCCCGCCTTGGCCTCCCAAAATGCTGGGATTACAAGTGTGAGCCACTGTGCCTGGGCGTGGTATTGGCAGAACTTGGTGACAGCTGTGGCTGGGGGAGAGCTGTTGCCCTGTGGGAGCTGTGGCCTTCTACAGAGGAAGGCAGCTGCTGCCAACACCCAGGCCCAGCAGTGGGGCTGAGGGTGTGGAATGAGTGCCCTGACCTCTTTCTCATCCCATCAGCTAGTCTCCTGCCAGTGGCTTCCATTGGCCAAACCCAACAGGAAGCTGAGGGCAAGAAGCCAGGGCAGTAAGTCCACAGAGGTCAGCTTCCTGTGGCTCTGAGCAGGGCAGGGAAGAATGGAGAGTGAATCTAGAACCTTCTTGTCTCCTCCTCCTGATGTCACATTCTTGTAAGCCCACTCCTCCCTGGTTCCTGAAGAGCCTACAAGTCCCTTTGCAACCTGTGCTCAGAACTCATTCCACCTCTCAGACTGAGCTGGGCCAGGTCTGGACAAGGCTCAGGGAGGCTCCAACCACAAGGAGAAGATTTCGGTTGCCCTGAGTCTACCTCTGCCCCCGCTGTACAGCATCAGGATCCCAGATGGTCCCATTTTCCTCGTGCCAGGCTTTAGGAACAGGCAGGCTTGGTAATTACACTTTCCTAACAAACCCCCGCCCCCGTTTGACTCTCTTTCAATTGCATGAAGCAGGAGGTTTCTCCCTACTTCTCCCCTGCGTGAGCACTGGCCTCTGCCTCTGATCTTCTGAAATTCCATGTGGTGTGAGGGGCCTGGGGAAGCCGGGGGAACGCCTGACCCTCTTGGCATCCTGGAGATTGAGAATGGGCTTACTGTCCATGCTTGCCATATCCCAGGAAAAGCCAAGTCCCTCCCTCCTCCCACTTTGGAACTATTAAATTATTCAGTTTCATGGGTTCACTTCTCAACACTGGCCTGGGGTTCCCACCTAGAACCTTTTTTTTTTTCTTGAGATGGAGTCTCGCTCTGTTGCGCAGTCTGGAGTACAACGGCGTGATCTCAGCTCACTGCAGCCACTTAGAACCTTAACAGCCCCTTCTTCCACACCAGCTCACATCTCACCCTAACAGTCCTGAAGGCCCCTAAGGGAGGAATTTGAAGTAGACTCTGGGCTCTGAGGCCTAGGGATCCAGTCACAAGGGTACACCTATCAGTTCAGGTAACTGCTCCATCCTCCCGCTCTCCCCAGCCTGCAGCACCAACTGGGCCCTAGGTTTTCCCAGTGCACACGTCCTGTAATGGAGAGCCACTGTTTTGGCCTGCTCAGTATCCATTTGCCTTGGCATCAGCTTTGGAGATTTGGCTTGGGGCAACTGTTTCAGCTGCTGTAATCTTGGTGGACTGTCAATGAAGGCTACCTCCATTCCCTGGCTAAGGGATTGGCATGTGACCCAAGCTAGGCCAATCAGATGCTCTCTCCTCCTTGAATCCTTTTTTTTTTTTAAATAGAGATGGGGCTGGGCGTGGTGGCTCATGCCTGTAATCCCAGCACTTTGGGAGGCCAAGACAGGAAGATCACCTGAGGTTAGGAGTTTGAGACCAGTCTGGCCAACATGGTGAAACCACATATCTACTAAAAATACAAAAATTAGCCAGGCGTGGTGGCAAGCGCCTGTAATCCCAGCTACTAGGGAGGATGAGGCAGGAGAATTACTTGAGCCTGGGAGGCAGAGGCTGCGGTGAGCAGAGACTGCACTCCAGCCTTGGCAACAAAGTGAGACTCTGGTTAAAAATAAATAAATAAATAAATAAATTAATTAATTAAGTAAGTAAAATAGAGATGGACTTTCGTTCTGTTGCCCAGGCTGATCTCAAATTCCTGGGCTCAAGGGACCCTCTCACCTCAGCCTCCCAAAGTGCTGGCATTACAGACATAAACCACTGTGCCTGGCCACCTCCTTGAATCTGAAATGGAATGACATGAAAATGGGACCCAGTGTAGTGGCTCACACCTGTCATCTCAGCACTTTGGGAGGACTAGGCAGGAGGATTGCTTGAGGCCAAGAGTTCAAGACCAGCCTGGGCAACATAGCAAGACCTGTCTCTATGAAAGAAAGAAAGAAAGAAAGAGAGAGAGAGAGAGAGAGAGAGAGAGAGGAAGGAAGGAAGGAGAGAAAGAAAGAAAGAAAAGAAAGAAAGAGAAAGAAAGAAAGGAGAAAGAGAAGGAAGGAAGGAAAGAAAGAAAGAGAAAGAAAGAAGGAAGGAAGGAAGGAAAGAAAGAAAGAAGGAAGGATGGAATTAATGTATCCCCAAGGCGGCACCATAAAGGGATTGTTCCATAGCCCTTGATTTCAATGTCCTGCTTCCTCCTATTTCTGGGACAGCCTCTTTAGCATTTTCTTTGATTCTGTGAGCCACCCTCATTTCTTTCTAATACGATCATTTTTTGCTTAAGTTAGCTAGAGTTTTTCTGTTGCTGGAAACCAAAGCCTCCTCACCCATACAAATTTCACCTTCTTAGAGGAGCAGAGGGATATGCCCCTGTGGTGGGCTCATATTTGGAGTCTCTGGCAGGGGTTCAAATCTCACCTGGTCCTGGAATGAGAGGAAAGAGAGCCCTGCTGCTAGTGGGTGCTGTCACACCTCGCCTCAGGCCAGTCTTTGTGGCCAGTTTTGCCAGGATCCACTCCCAGCCTAACCTCCAGGTCTCAACACTGAGCCCACAGCCTGAAATAGCTAAGTTTACCCCCATGACTCCCTATCACAAGTGCTACAAATGGCTCAGGCTGGTGTCATGGTTATTTTCCACAAATAGCCATCTCATTCCTGTGCTGTGCCCTTGCTCGTGGTGTTCTGGGACACCTTATCTCAGGGTAAGCTGGGCCCCCCGTGCCCTCTGCCCCGGCCCCTCCCGTGCCTTCAGACCTTAGGCCACATCCTGCCTCTTCTGAACCAACACTTCACTGGGTTCCCTCTGATGTGGGATGGGCAGAGCAAGTGATTTGTGTGGTTGAGCTCTGTTTCCTTTGTAGACTTTAGTCTTTGAGGACTTGACTACAAGCTCCAAGTGCCTTGTTACTTTTCTTGCTTGGACCTCAGTGTCAAGCAGGAGGCTGGGCACACAGTGAATGATCATGTTGATTTCTCCACCCATAGTTTGAAAATTGTTCCCACCCTGTGATTCATATTCTTCATTCATTCATTTACACATTTATCAAGCACCTACTAAGTGTGGGTTCTGCCCTAAGTGCTGGAGGTACACACTGAATAAAACATAGCCGAGGAATTCAGTCTCATGGTGAAGATTTATTGAGAATTAATTGTAGCAGAATGACCTATTGAGGAAATAACCATGTCTAGTTTTTCTCAGCTGCAGGCTCACCTAAAAAGAATGAAAGGCATTTCATCCCTGGGGCGAGGGGCAGGAGAGAACCAGGCTTCATGTCCTTGAAGTGTGGACTTTCTTGACCCCCATGAGGATTGGTGTAGTTCAGAGTAGAAAAGAGAAGCTGCAAGCAGCAGGATACCCAGAAGACAACTTCCAAACAGACGTTTTAAACAAAGATTAGGATTGGAGGCTTAATGCTTCCCAGATTAAAGTGGGATGGTCTCAACTCAGGAGGGTTAGTTGGAACTCTCAAGATCAGAAAGGGAATGAAGGTATGAATTCCATCGATGGCAGAAACCTGCACTCATGAGGATGCATCCTCTGAGATGGGAGGACCTAGGAGGAAGAATATTTGGGTGACCACATGTGTGATAATAATAATAGACAGCATTTAGTGCATACTTACTGTGCGCCAGGAGGCACTGTGTTAAGCATGTTGTACGTATTCACTTATTTCTCACAAGAACCCTGTGAAGTAGGTACTATCATTGTTTCCATTTGACAGATAAGGCAAAGAAAGATTAAGTGAACTTCCTAAGGTTATGGATCCAAGAATCAAACCCAGGCGATCAGATTTCACTGAGGGCCATGTATGCCTATGAGGGCTGAGCACAAAGGGCTATAGTTTTGGGAGCCTTTGTTCTCAAAGGACACCATGACTGAACTTGTCACAGAGGAGGTGGGGCTGCAGCCCCCACCTGCAGATGTGCTTCACAACCAGGCCGGGCATACATATTAGCTGTGGCAACTGGCCACAGCCGATGGCCAGTACTGAAGGACATGGTAATCTTGGTAAGAAGGGGCTTGTATCAGTTAACCATAGTCCCAGTAATGAGTGCGGTAGAACAATCACAAAATTTCAGCAGCATACAACAGTGTTTATTTAGTGCATGTGTTTGGGGACCAGCTGGGGTTCATTGCTATAGGCCAGCTTTGGCTGGCATGGGTTGGCACCACTCTATGTGTCCCTCATCCTCCTTTCATGACCAGCAGGCCAGCCAGGGGACATTCATGGAGATGGCAGAAGTACCCCAGCAACAGTCCCAGTGTGCACGCCCATTTTAAACCTCTGCTCATGTCACATCTGCTAAAATACTGCTGCTCATGGCAAGTCACATGGCTGAGCCGAGGCAAGGTATGGAGAAATCCACCCTGCTCACAGTTACTGGGTAAAGAATGTGGATAGATAACCCTATTACCCAGGAGGGGGTGAAGAGATGGAAGCAAAATCTAGCATTCCACAAAACTTAAACTGGATTTAATTTTGATTTCAAGAGAGAATGAAATGCTACGTTATGTTGTGGAGCAGTTCATGCTTGTTATAAAATCTATCTTCGGGGACCACAAATTTTACCATGAGAATATTTAAATTTTAGTTTTTATTTTAGTGAAAATCTTAAAATAACTTTTAGCAAGAACATATTTTGGGTGGTCTAGAACAGCGGTCCCCAACTTTTTTGGCATCAGGGACTGGTTTCGTGGAAGACAATTTTTCCACAGACGGAGGGAGGTTTTAGGATGAAACTGTACTCAGGCATTAGATTCTCATAAGGAGCGCACAACCTAGACCCCTCGCCTGTGCAGTTCACGATAGGGTTCGCGCTCCTATGAGACTCTAAGGCCGGTTGGAGCGTGGCTCACGCCTGTAATCCCAGCACTTTGGGAGGCCGAGGTGGGTGGATCACAAGGTCAGGAGTTCAAGACCAGTCTGACCAACATGGTGAAACCCCCTCTCTGCTAAAAATACAAAAAATTAGCTGGTTGTGGTGGCGGGTGCCTATAATCCCAGCTACTTGGGAGGCTGAGGCAGGAGAGTTGCTTGAACCTGGGAGGTGGAGGTTGCAGTGAGCCGAGATTGCATGCCACTGCACCCCAGCCTGGTCAGCAGAGCAAAACTCCATCTCAAAAAAAAAAAAAAAAAAAAAAAAAAGGAGAAAGAAGAATCGAATGCCACTGTGACCTGACAGGAGGCAGAGCTCAGGCTGTAATGCTTACTTGCCCACCACTCACCTCCTGCTGTGCAGCCCAGTTCCTAACAGGCCAGGGACTGGTACCGGTCCGCAGCCTAGTGGTTAGAGACCCCTGGCCTAGAAGACTATGGTAGTTTGGTAGTTGCCTTACAGTTTTCAGAGCCCCAGTGATCTGCTACAGTGCCAGCATTTAACTTTTTTTTTTTTTTTTTTTTTTTTGGAGACAGGGTCTCCCAGGCTGGAGTGCAGTGGTATGATCATAGCTCACTGCAGCCTCTAACTCCTGGGCTCAAATGATTCTCCCACCTCAGCCTCCTGAGTAGCTGGGACTATAGGTGCATCACCATGCCCCTCTATTTTCTTTTAAAAAAATTTTTTTTTTTTTTTTTTTTTTTTTTTAGAGACAGTGTCTCTCTGTGTTTCACAGGCTGGTCTCGAACTCCTGGGCTCAAGCAATCCTCCCTCATCAGCCTCCCAAAGTGCTGGGATTACAGGTGTAAGCCACCATGCCCAGCCTAGCATTTAACTTTTCAGTGCAGCTTTCTCAAACCAAGACCTGTATTCTCAGGGAGCCATGCATTTCCAAGGTTGGAAAACTTTGGTGAGAATGATACACAGCAGACAATATATAGAAAAGGCCCAGAGACAGAGGCATTTAAAGGTGAGGGGGCCTAGGACAGCTATGGGGTCTCTGGGCAGGGTTTATGGTGCTCTGCAGAGAAGCACTGGTAGCATTTGAATAGGTCTTGAAGGATGGCAGAGTGGGGTCCTGGGGATCTCCAGGTTCCTTCTTCTCTGAGTGGACATATCAGATACTTGTCTCTAGGGCTTCTGGACCACAGCCTTGTCCTTCACCTCACATCTATGCTACTGGCTATAGCATTTGAAGGAGAGGCTGAGGAGTATAATGGCTGAACTTTCTGGCTTTGGAGCCAAGTCAACCAGGGTTCAAATCTTGACTTCAGGACGGACGTGATGTCTCACCCCTGTAATCCCAGCACTTTGGGAGGCTGAGGCAAGCTGATCTCTTGAGCTCAGGAGTTTTGAGACCAGCCTGGCCAACATGGTGAAACCCCATCTCTACAAAAAATACAAAAAATTAGCTGGGCACGGTGGTGTGTGCCTGTGGTACTTGGGAGGCTGAGGTGGGAGGATCACTTGAGCCTTGGAAGTGGAGGTTGCAGTGAGCCAAGATGATGCCACTGTACTCCAGCCTAGGTGACAGAGCCAGACCCTGTCAAAAAAAAAAAAAAAAATCTTGGCTTTGACATTTACTAGCTCTGAGCCCTTAGGCAGGTTGCTTGATTTCTTGGAGCCCGTTTCCTCATCTGAAGATGGGAATTATAACACTCTCCTGGGGTGTTTTAAGAATTAGAACTTGGCCAGGCACAGTGGCTCACGCCTGTAATCCCGGCACTTTGGGAGGCCAAGGCGGGCAGATCACTTGAGCTCAGGAGTTCGAGACCAGCCTGGGCAACATGGCGAAACCCCATCTCTTCAAAAAATACAAATATTAGTCAGGCATGGTGGGGCGTGCCTGTAGTCCCAGCTACTTGGAAGGCTGAGCCTGGGAGGTGGACGTTGTCATGAGCCACGATCGCGCCGCTGCACTCCAGCCTGGGTGACAGAGGGAGACCCTATCTCAAAAAAAAAAAAAAAAAAAAGATTAGAACTTGCCAGTGAAGCCTGAGATTTTCTTCCTGGAGCATGTTTGACTTCTGATTTCATTTCCTTAATGGTTATAGGATTATCCTGATTCCTGTGTCAAGGTGAGTCAGTTTTGCTAAGTTATGTATTCAACCAATTTGTCTATTTCGAATATACCCTTCAGTTTTATTGGCACAAAATTATTCACAATATCCTCTTATTTTATTTTTAATGCCTGTAACATCCATAGCAATACCTTTCTTTTCATTCCTGACTTTGAATATTTTTGCCTTCTTTCAACTTTTTCTTCATCATTATCACCAGGGATTTATCAATTTTCACACAATTGGCTTGTGGCTAGCTTAGCTGATCCTCTCTGCTGCATGTTAGTTTTCTGTTTCTTCAATTTCTGTTCTCCACTTTGTCATTTCCTTCCCTCTACTTTGAGTTTATTTGCTGTGTCTTTTTTTCTAATTTATTAAGATAAATTCTTAGCTCATTAATTTTCAATCTTTTTTCTTTTCTAAGACGTGCATTTAAGGTTATACGTTTCCTTTTGGAGGCTTAAATGAAAAACAAAAATACATTTAAATGCCTGCTCCCAAATAGGCACTCAGTAAATATCTTATCTTCACCATCAACATCATTATGCCGCATCATATGAGATGGGACCCCAGCACAGTTTGCAGCTCTCTTGCTCTCTGATGCGATATGTATTCACTGAGTGTTCGCCAGGGGACTCTCTGAGGACTCATTCTGGGCCTCAGGTAACTTCTCTTTTTGGGTCTTCGGGAGGCTTCCTCCACAGGGTAAGGCAGGGCACAGACAGGAGCATGTGCTTTTGGCCCCATCATCCTTGGGGACCTTAGGCCTTGTTCTCTTGGGATGGTTGGCAAGTCCATGGGAAGTATGAATTCTAACCTGCAAGCCTTTGGCAAATTAAATTTTCTAAAAATGTTCACAATAATATCTCCCATCCTACATGCTCTTCTAGAACTTTGTTCTTCCCCCATCAAGAGATAGGGTTTAATTCTCCTCCCCTTGAGTCTGGTGGGCTTATGTCTCCTTTGTAACTAATAAATTGCAGCAGAAGTAATGCTGAGAGGCTGGGTGCTGTGGCTCATTCCTGTAATCCCAGCACTTTGGGAGGCCGAGGCCAGCAGATCACCTGAGTTCAGGAGTTCAAGACCAGCCTGGGCAACATGGCAAAACCCCAACTCTACTAAAAATACACAAATTAGCTGGGTGTGGTGGCACGCGCCTGTAATCCCAGCTACTCAGGAGGCTGAGGCAGGAGAATTGCTTGAACCCGGGAGGGAGAGGTTGCAGCGAGCCGAGATCACCACTGCACTCCAGCCTAGGCAACAGAGCAAGACTCTGTCTCAAAAAAAAAAAAAAAAAAGTAATGCTGAGAAACTTCTGAGGCTTGGAGCAAAAAAGGTGATGCAGCTTCCTCTTTGGTAGCTGAAAAACTCATGATTAGATACTGAATTGCCACATGGGAAGTCTGACTATTCTACAGCCGCCATATTGTGAGGAAGCCAAACCATCCAGAGAGGCCACATGTAGGCACTCTGGCCTGCAGTCCTAATCTTCCAGTCAACCCAGCCCAGGAACCAGACATGTTAGTGACTGAACCTTCAGTGATTCCAGCCCCAGTTGTTGAGAGACCCACATCCTTTGAATCTTGCCAGCTGAGGCCCCAGATGTTATAGAACAGAGACAACCCACCCTCCACTGTACCCTGTCTAAATTCTTGACCCAGGGAATCATGAGCACAAAAAAATGATTGTTCTAAGCTCTCAGCTATCAAATATTTTGCTACACAGCAATAAATAATTGGAATGATGCTAATTGTATTGTTTGGTACCCTACTCCTCCACCAGAATCCTTCAACCCCCATCACATTTCATAGTCTCTGGACTTCGCACTTAGAGACCCAAACAAAGTTTGAAGATGCAAAGCACAGTAAAGATCTTTTGCAGGAGAACTGTGGGAGCAAAGATGGCAATGGAAATTTCTCTGATCCTATCGACTTTCTGGACTGAATGCTCCTAAGACCCTTGTTCCCAACATTTCCAAGTGCTAAGACCTCCTTTGTCTCATCAAAAAGCCTGGGTGTCCCTCATATGATATTGGCTGTACTTTCAGTACAGCCAATAGATAGCTATTATTTATTGGGACCTTACACAAGTACCAGGCACTGTGCTAAGTATTTTACATATATTATCCTCATAAGAAACCTGTGGTTGTTTTTATTCCCATTTTGCAGATGTGAAGTGAGGTAGTCAGATTACCCTGGCAGTCTGTTCTGCATATCAAATGCAAAGCTCACAGAGTCTGTAGGATGGTATCCTGATATGACACTGCATAGTGATGATGATGGTGATATTTATTGAGGGCCTATTACAGGCGCATACCACCACTCCTGGCTAATTGTTGTATTTTTAGCAGAGACGGGGTTTCGCCATGTTGGCCAGGCTGGTCTCGAACTCCTGACCTCAAGTGATCCCCCTGCCTCAGCCTCCCAAAGTGCTGGGATTATAGGCATGAGCCACCACGCCTGGCTGCCATTTTCTTTTCGCATTTTGATGGCACCTCTAGCAATGGCCACATTGCTTGCTCTTGGGTTCCCACTTTCAAGCAGTTCATTTCCTATACAGCAGCCTCCATGGCTCAGGAATTGATTATGATTACCACCATTTCCTATTTTGCTCTTCCAGCCTTAGGGCTGAGAGTGAATTCCTTTAAATACTCCTCTTTGGATAACCTCATCTCCTTCTTTTTGCTCCTCTACTTCTTCCAACATGTTTGTTACCAATTCTTCAAATTAAATTCCATCTACTTGAAATACCTAGAGGAATTTCTGATTTTTTTTTTTTTTTTTTTTTTTTTTTTTTGAGACAGGGTCTCACTCTGACACCCAGGCTGGAGTGCAGTGGCACAATCTCAGCTCACTGCAACCTCCTCCACCTCCTGGGCTCAAGTGATTCTCCCACCTCAGCCTCCTAAGTAGCTGCGACCACAGGGGTATGCCACCATGCCCAGCTAATTTTTGTATTTTTTGTAGAGTTGGAGTTTCGCCATGTTTCCCAGGCTGGTCTCGAACTCCTGGGCTCAAGCTATCTGCCTGCCTCAGCTTCCCAAAGTGCTGGGATTACAGGCATGAGCCACTGCACCTGGCCTTCTGATTTTTTCTAACTGTCTATTGGCTAATTTACTTGGCATTACAGAACTTAGCATAATCTGCCATTCAACTCTCTAACCTCCATCTCCAATTCATTCTCCCTTTGCACCTGTTGTTCCTAATATGTACTTAGAATGCTTGTCCCCCAACACTTTGTAAAGCTGGCTCCTTCCCATGTCTCAGTCTCAGGTCTTGGTGTAAATGACAGCTTTGCAGAACAAACTTCCCCGTTATCTAGTGTAAACCTACTCTGTACCTAGGTACTCTTATCACACTACTCTTTTTTTTTTTTTTTGAGACGGAGTTTTTCTCTTGTTGCCCAGGCTGGAGTGCAATTGCATGATCTCGACTCACCGCAACCTCTGTCTCCTAGGTTCAAGCGAGTCTCCTGCCTCAGCCTCCTGAGTAGCTGGGATTACAGGCATGTGCCACCACACCTGGCTAATTTTGTATTTTTAGCAGAGATGGGGTTTCTCCATGTTGGTCAGGCTGGTCTCGAACTCCCAACCTCAGGTGATCTGCCTGCCTAGGCCTCCCAAAGTGCTAGGATAACAGACGTGAGCCACCATGCCTGGCCCACACTACTCTTTTATTGTCTTCACAACACTTACTACTTACCTTATCTAGCTCATTTATTCCTTAACTTGCTTACTGTCTGCTTCCAAGGCTAACAGAAACTCCGAAACAACAGGAAGCATGTCTGTATTGCTTATTACTGTATTCAGTGTCTGGCACAGAGTTGATGCTTAATACATATTTTTGAGTAAATGAATGATGGAATGAGTCATATAAGCTCTCCACCTTCCAGGCCTGAGATGGGTCCTGGCACCTACTGAGATTTTTGACATTGGAGGCTCCCATGGGAGGATTCCTCTGCCTCCCCTGAGGCAGGACCACCAAGGTCCGTGGCCAGCAGCAGGGTCCTGAGCTCCACTTGTGCCTTCAGGCAGGCCCCTCCTGGGCAGTGGGAGGCCTCCTTGTGGCTCTGACTCTTCTCCTGGTACATCCTAGTCAGACTATTTATTTCCATGCTTCCAGCAGGCTGCAGGGCATTAATGATTAAAAGTGCAAGCCTGCCCAGAGCCAGTATCAATTAGACCACACGCCCACCATGCTGGAAGCTCATTAACTCCAACAAGCTAGGACCCACTCTCACAAAATTTTTCCCATCTGTGTACTGGATTTGATAGCTACAAAGAAAACCATCAAGACTGTGATAAAATTAATTTTACTGATCATCACATTTTTATCACATAATAACAAGCAGAAAGTTTGTTACATAAATATTTAACTCAAATCATTCCTGTAATAATAAGCAGAATAGAAAAAACACAATGAAATTCATACTGTAATGAATGAAACTGTAAAGAGCCATTATATTTTTATTCTATGACATTGTGAACAAAATAAATTATGCGGTTTTATGCTTTTTTTTTTTTTTGAGACAAGGTCTCACTCTGTCACCCAGGATGGAGTGCAGTGGTGTGATCATAGCTCACTGCAGCCTCCGACTCCTGAGCTCAAGGGATTGTCCTACCTCAGCCTCCCAAGTAGCTAGGACTACAGGTGCATGCCACCATGCAGACTAATTTAAAAAAATTTTTACTTGAAGAGATGAGTCTCAGTATGTCACCCAGGCTAGGGATCTTATTCTACACAAAACAAACAAAAATTAATTTTGCTGTTACAGAAGAGAGAAGCCAGCAGGGTAAAGACTGAGGCGTCCCTTTGCAAGCATGGGCGCTGCACCAACCAGGTTATTTGGTCCATCTGCCTGCCTTTAGGAAGACCCCTTTTGGGTTTTAACATCTCCTAGCTTGGAAGCATCCTCTGGATAACAGGCTGGCTGAAGCAGGCAGAGGAAACAAACAAACCGTAGAAACCTTTTTAAGAACATTAGAAGCATAATTCCCAACAGGACTTTGAGACGAGGCATTGAGAGAGAAAAGCTGATGTTGGGCTAACATCTGGGTTTGATCAAGCCAGGAAGGGCAGAAGAGTCCAGCAAAAAAAGCCTGCCCACTCTCAACTCACTAGCAATTACAGGCACTTCCCTAGTTCAGAAACCCCTTGCTGGGGAGCTAGATTGCTGGGGTGGGATATTCTGTAACCTCTTAGAGGTCCGCAGGCTGACTCATATGGAGTCTCATCCTTCCATTATTTCTTCTACCAGCCTGGACAACATGGTGAAACCCTGTCTCTACCAAAAACACAAAAATTAGGCAAATGCGGTGGCATGTGCCTGTAGTTGCAGCTACTTGGGAGGCTGAGGTGGGAGGATCTCTGGAGCCCAGGAAGTCGAGGCTACAGTGTGCCATGATCATTCCACTGCACTCCAGCCTGGGTGACAGAGCAAGACCCTGTCTCAAAATAAATAAAAATAAAATTTAAAAAATATATTTCCTCCTAATTCCCCTACTTCAGGCTAACTAAACCATCCACCTTTCCTATCTAAGCATTCTACTTTTCCTCTTCTATGCCTTTCTCTTGCTGTTCCTTTGCTAGAATGCCCTGCCTTCTTCTATAACCATCAAGATCCTCTAATTCTAGGTCATAACTCAAAAGCCGTTTCCTCCAAGAAGTCTTCTGTGATCTCCCCAACTGGAAAGTCTTGCTCTACCTTTGTATTCCTAATGCCCTAGATCATAAGACTCTGACCTCTTCCTTCCTTCCTTTTTTTTTTTTTAAATTATACTTTAAGTTTTACGGTACATGTGCACAACGTGCAGGTTTGTTACATATGTATGCATGTGCCATGTTGGTGTGCTGCACCCATTAACTCGTCATTAAGCATTAGGTATATCTCCTAATGCTATCCCTCCCCACTCCCCCCACCCCACAACAGTCCCCGGTGTATGATGTTCCCCTTCCTGTGTCCATGTGTTCTCATTGTTCAATTCCCACCTGTGAGTTAGAACATGCAGTATTTGTTTTTTTGTCCTTGCGATAGTTTGCTGAGAAAGATGGTTTCCAGCTTCATCCATGTCCCTACAAAGGACATGAACTCATCCTTTTTTATGGCTGCATAGTATTCCATGGTGTATATGTGCCACACTTTCTTATTCCAGTCTATCATTGTTGGACATTTGGGTTGGTTCCAAGTCTTTGCTATTGTGAATAGTGCCGCAATAAACATACATGTGCATGTGTCTTTATAGCAGCATGATTTATAATCCTTTGGGTATATACCCAGTAATGGGATGGCTGGGTCAAATGGTATTTCTAGTTCTAGATCCCTGAGGAATCGCCACACCGACTTCCACAATGGTTGAACTAGTTTACAGTCCCACCAACAGTGTAAAAGTATTCCTATTTCTCCACATCCTCTCCAGCATTTGTTGTTTCCTGACTTTTTAATGATCGCCATTCTAACTGGTGTGAGATGGTATCTCATTGTGGTTTTGATTTGTATTTCTCTGATGGCCTGTGATCATGAGCATTTTTTCATGTGTTTTTTGGCTGCATAAATGTCTTCTTCTGAGAAGTGTCTGTTCATATCCTTCGCCCACTTGTTGATGGGGTTGTTTGTTTTTTTCTTGTAAATTTGTTTGAGTTCATTGTAGATTCTGGATATTAGCCCTTTGTCAGATGAGTAGGTTGCAAAAATTTTCTCCCATTCTGTAGGTTGCCTGTTCACTCTGATGGTGGTTTCTTTTGCTGTGCAGAAGCTTTTTAGTTTAATTAGATCCCATTTGTCAATTTTGGCTTTCGTTGCCATTGCTTTTGGTGTTTTAGACATGAAGTCCTTGCCCATGCCTATGTCCTGAATGGTATTGCCTAGGTTTTCTTCTATGGTTTTTATGGTTTTAGGTCTAACATTTAAGTCTTTAATCCATCTTGAATTAATTTTTGTATAAGGTGTAAGGAAGGGATCCAGTTTCAGCTTTCTACATATGGCTAGCCAGTTTTCCCAGCACCATTTATTAAATAGGGAATCCTGTCCCCATTTCTTGTTTTTGTCAGGTTTGTCAAAGTTCAGATAGTTGTAGATATGCGGCATTATTTCTGAGGTCTCTGTTCTGTTCCATTGGTCTATATCTCTGTTTTGGTACCAGTACCATGCTGTTTTGGTTACTGTAGCCTTGTAGTATAGTTTGAAGTCAGGTAGCATGATGCCTCCAGCTTTGTTCTTTCGCCTTAGGATTGACTAGGGAATGCAGGCTCTTTTTTGGTTCCATATGAACTTTAAAGTAGTTTTTTCCAATTCTGTGAAGAAAGTCATTGGTAGCTTGATGGGGATGGCATTGAATCTATAAATTACCTTGGGCAGCATGGCCATTTTCACGATATTGATTCTTCCTACCCATGAGCATGGAATGCTCTTCCATTTGTTTGTATCCTCTTTTATTTCATTGAGCAGTCGTTTGTAGTTCTCCTTGAAGAGGTCCTTCACATCCCTTGTAAGTTGGATTCCTAGGTATTTTATTCTCTTTGAAGCAATTGTGAATGGGAATTCACTCATGATTTGGCTCTCCGTTTGTCTGTTATTGGTGTATAAGAATGCTTGTGATTTTTGCACATTGATTTTGTATCCTGAGACTTTGCTGAAGTTGCATATCAGCTTAAGGAGATTTTGGGCTGAGACGATGGGGTTTTCTAGATATACAATCATGTCATCTGCAAACAGGGACAATTTGACTTCCTCTTTTCTAATTGAATGCCCTTTATTTCCTTCTCCTGCCTGATTGCCCCGGCCAGAACTTCCAACAGTATGTTGAATAGGAGTGGTGAGAGAGGGCATCCCTGTCTTGTGCCAGTTTTCAAAGGGAATGCTTCCAGTTTTTGTCCATTCAGTGTGATATTGGCTGTGGGTTTGTCATAAATAGCTCTTATTATTTTGAGATACATCCCATCAATACCTAATTTATTGAGAGTTTTTAGCATGAAGCGTTGTTGAATTTTGTCAAAGGCCTTTTCTGCATCTATTGAGATAATCATGTGGTTTTTGTCTTCGGTTCTGTTTATATGCTGGATTACATTTATTGATTTTCGTATGTTGAACCAGCCTTGCATCCCAGGGATGAAGCCCACTTGATCATGGTGGATAAGCTTTTTGATGTGCTGCTGGATTCGGTTTGCCAGTATTTTATTGAGGATTTTTGCATCAATGTTCATCAAGGATATTGGTCTAAAATTCTCTTTTTTTGTTGTGTCTCTGCCAGGCTTTGGTATCAGGATGATGCTGGCCTCATAAAATGAGTTAGGGGGGATTCCCTCTTTTTCTATTGATTGGAATAGTTTCAGAAGGAATGGTACCAGTTCCTCCTTGTACCTCTGTTAGAATTCGGCTGTGAATCCATCTGGTCCTGGACTTTTTTCTGGTTGGTAAGCTATTAATTTTGCCTCAATTTCAGAGCCTGTTATTGGTCTATTCAGAGATTCAACTTCTTCCTGGTTTAGTCTTCGGAGGGTGTATGTGTCGAGGAATTTATCCATTTCTTCTAGATTTTCTAGTTTATTTGCATAGAGGTGTTTATAATATTCTCTGATGGTAGTTTGTATTTCTGTGGGATCGGTGGTGACATCCCCTTTGTCATTTTTTATTGCGTCTATTTGATTCTTCTCTCTTTTCTTCTTTAATAGTCTTGCTAGCGGTCTATCAATTTTGTTGATCTTTTCAAAAAACCAGCTCCTGGATTCATTGATTTTTTGAAGGGTTTTTTGTGTCTCTATTTCCTTCAGTTCTGCTCTGATCTTAGTTATTTCTTGCCTTCTGCTAGCTTTTGAATGTGTTTGCTCCTGCTTCTCTAGTTCTTTTAATTGTGATGTTAGGGTGTTAATTTTAGATCTTTCCTGCTTTCTCTTGTGGGCATTTAGTGCTATAAATTTCCCTCTACACACTGCTTTGAATGTGTCCCAGAGATTCTGGTATGTTGTGTCTTTGTTCTCGTTGGTTTTGAAGAACATCTTTATTTCTGCCTTCATTTCGTTATGTACCCAGTAGTCATTCAGGAGCAGGTTGTTCAGTTTCCATGTAGTCGAGTGGTTTTGAGTGAGTTTCTTAATCCTGAGTTCTAGTTTGATTGCACTGTGGTCTGAGAGACAGTTTGTTATAATTTCTGTTCCTTTACATTTGCTGAGGAGTGCTTTACTTCCAACTATGTGGTCAATTTTGGAATAGGTGTGGTGTGGTGCTGAAAAGAATGTGTATTCTGTTGATTTGGGGTGGAGAGTTCTGTAGATGTCTATTAGGTCCACTTGGTACAGAGCTGAGTTCAATTCCTGGATATCCTTGTTAACTTTCTGTCTTGTTGATCTGTCTAATGTTGACAGTGGGGTGTTAAAGTCTCCCCTTATTATTGTGTGGGAGTCTAAGTCTCTTTGTAGGTCACTAAGGACTTGCTTTATGAATCTGGGTGCTCCTGTATTGGGTGCATATATATTTAGGATAGTTAGTTCTTCTTGTTGAATTGATCCCTTTACCATTATGTAATGGCCTTCTTTGTCTCTTTTGATCTTTGTTGGTTTAAAGTCTGTTTTATCCGAGACTAGGATTGCAACCCCTGCCTTTTTTTGTTTTCCATTTGCTTGGTAGATCTTCCTCCATCCCTTTATTTTGAGCCTATGTGTGTCTCTGCACGTGAGATGGGTTTCCTGAATACAGCACACTGATGGGTCTTGACCCTTTGTCCAATTTGCCAGTCTGTGCCCTTTAATTGGAGCATTTAGCCCATTTACATTTAAAGTTAATATTGTTATGTGTGAATTTGATCCTGTCATTATGATGTTAGCTGGTTATTTTGCTCGTTAGTTGATGCAGTTTCTTCCTAGCCTTGATGGTCTTTACAATTTGGCATGTTTTTGCAGTGGTTGGTACCGGTTGTTCCTTTCCATGTTTAGTGCTTCCTTCAGGAGCTCTCTTAGGGCAGGCCCGGTGGTGACAAAATCTCTCAGCATTTGTTTGTCTGTAAAGTATTTTATTTCTCCTTCACTTATGAAGCTTAATTTGGCTGGATATGAAATTCTGGGTTGAAAATTCTTTTCTTTAAGAATGTTGAATATTGGCCCCCACTCTCTTCTGGCTTGTAGAGTTTCTGCGGAGAGATCAGCTGTTAGTCTGATGGGCTTTCCTTTGTGGGTAACCCGACCTTTCTCTCTGGCTGCCCTTAACATTTTTTCCTTCATTTCAACTTTGGTGAATCTGACAATTACGTGTCTTGGAGTTGCTCTTCTCGAGGAGTATCTTTGTGGTGTTCTCTGTATTTCCTGAGTTTGAATGTTGGCCTGCCTTGCTAGACTGGGGAAGTTCTCCTGGATAATATCCTGCAGAGTGTTTTCCAACTTGGTTCCATTCTCCCCATCACTTTCAGGCACATCAATTAGATGTAGATTTGGTCTTTTCATATAGTCCCATATTTCTTGGAGGCTTTGTTGGTTTCTTTTTATTCTTTTTTCTCTAAACTTCTCTTCACGCTTCATTTCATTCATTTCGTCTTCCATCGCTGATACCCTTTCTTCCAGTTGATCACATCAGTTACTGAGGATTGTGCATTCGTCACGTAGTTCTCGTGCCATGGTTTTCAGCTCCATCAGGTCCTTTAAGGACTTCTCTGCATTGGTTATTCTAGTTATCCATTCGTCTAATTTTTTTTCAAAGTTTTTAACTTCTTTGCCATTGGTTCGAACTTCCTCCTTTAGCTTGGAGTAGTTTGATCTTCTGAAGCCTTCCTCTCTCAACTCGTCAAAGTCATTCTCTGTCCAGCTTTGTTCCATGCTGGTGAGGAGCTGCGTTCCTTTGGAGGAGGAGAGGCGCTCTGATTTTTAGAGTTTCTGGTTTTTCTCCTCTGTTTTTTCCCCATCTTTGTGGTTTTATCTACCTTTGGTCTTTGATGATGGTGACGTACAGATGGGTTTTTGGTGTGGATGTCCTTTCTGTTTATTAGTTTTCCTTCTAACAGTCAGGACCCTCAGCTGCAGGTCTGTTGGAGTTTACTGGAGGTCCACTCCAGACCCTGTTTGCTTGGGTATCAGCAGCAGTGGCTGCAGAACAGTGGATATTGGTGAACCACAAATGCTGCTGCCTGATCGTTCCTCTGGAAGTTTTGTCTCAGAGGAGTACCCGGCCGTGTGAGGTGTCAGTCCGCCCCTACTGGGGGGTGCTTCCCAGTTAGGCTACTAGGGGGTCAGGGACCCACTTGAGGAGGCAGTCTGCCTGTCCTCAGATCTCCAGTTGTGTGCTGGGAGAACCACTACTCTCTTCAAAGCCATCAGACAGGGACATTTAAGTTTGCAGAGGTTACTGCTGCCTTTTTTTTGTCTGTGCCTTGCACCCAGAGGTGGAGCCTACAGAGGCAGGCAAGCCTCCTTGAGCTGTGGTGGGCTCCACCCAGTTCAAGCTTCCCGGCCACTTTGTTTACCTACTCAAGCCTTGGCAATGGCGGGCGCCCCTCCCCCAGCCTCGCTGCCACCTTGCAGTTTGATCTCAGACTGCTGTTCTAGCAATGAGCAAGGCTCCATGGGCATAGGACCCTCTGAGGCAGGTGCGGGATATAATCTCCTGGTGTGCTGTTTGTTAAGCCCGTTGGAAAAGCACAGTATTAGGGTGGGAGTGACCTGATTTTCCAGGTGCCTTCTGTCACCCCTTTCTTTGACTAAGAAAGGGAATTCCCTGACCCCTTGTGCTTCCCGGGTGAGGCAATGCCTCGCCCTGCTTTGGCTCACACTCGGTGCGCTGCACCCACTGTCCTGCACCCACTGTCCGGCACTCCCCAGTGAGATGAACCTGGTACCTCAGTTGGAAATGCAGAAATCACCCATCTTCTGCGTCGCTCATGCTGGGAGCTGTAGACTGGAGCTATTCCTATTTGGCCATCTTGGCTCCACCCCCAGGACTATAATCTTTTTTTTTTTTTTTTTTGAGATGGTGTCTCACTCTGTCACCCACAGTGGAGTGCAGTGCCATGATCTCAGCTTGTTGCAACCTCCACCTTCCAAGATCAAGTTATCCTCCCGTCTCAGCCTCCCGAGTAGCTGGGACTACAGGCATGTGCCACCATGCCTGGCTAATTTTTGTATTTTTTATAGAGGTGGGGTTTCATCACATTGCCCAGGCTGGTCTCAAACTCCTGGGCTCAAGCCATCTGCCCACTTCAGCCTCCCAAAGTGCTGGGATTACAGGTGTGAGCCATCCACCATGTCTGGCCACACTTTCTAGTATATGAAGGGCATTCATTTACTTCTACCCTTTTGTGATGATTATATCTTCTAGCTATTCACTTCTCTCTGTAAAATATTGCCTCATATTGCCATGTGACTGTCAATACTTCCCTGTGGGAGGAAGATACTTTACCACTCCATTAGTTATCAGTTTGGCCATGTGGCTTGTTTTAGCCAATCTAATGAGAATGAAAGTGATCAGAGCAGAAGTTTTAAGGGCTATCACAGTCCCGTTTACCATCTGCCATGAGAATGGCCTGTGTTAGAATGAAGAGACTCTTGCAACAGAGCTGAAACTAACTTGAAGCTGATGAGCAAGAAATAAACCCTTGTTGCTATAAGCCATGAATATTTTGGTGGTGTTACCACAGCATAGCCTGGCAAAAGCTGACTAATACATCTTTACTAAAGTGTAAGTCTTTTTTTTAACTTCTAAAAAAATTAAAAATACAAGTCTTTTGGTGGGAAAGATCACACTGTATTCATGACTCGTCTTCATGACCTTGGCCTTCCAAAGTGCTGGGATTACAGGCATGAGCCACTACTTCTGGCTTTTTTTTTTTTTCACTAGAGAGTGATTTGTCTCTTATCCTTCATGAACCTAGCACAAAGCCTCACTTAAAGGCTCAGCAATTATTTACTGAGAGAATAAATAAATAAATCCAGCATTTACTAAGTGCTACTGTTATAATCCTTTACCTTATAGTACTGTGAAATTCAGAACACAATTTGACAGACATTGCCTCACTGAGCCTCAGGACATCCAGGGGAGAGCAGTAGGGGAGAAAGAGTATTATCCCACCTGTCTAACATCTCTGTTTTCTTTGGAGAACTACCCTCCCCCCATTCCATGTGGTTCTGGTGGGGCTGCCAGTCACAACCCCAGCCCTTCTGGTTACAAGAGTAGGCATATGACCCAGGTCTGTCTAATCCCAGTATTGAATCCTCTGTACACAATGACTGGACCAGAGACAGGAATATGACCTAAATGGGACCAAGCATCAGAGCGCTTTCCTGAGAAGAGTGGCAGACCCAGAAGGAAGATGTCTAGAAAGAGTCCGAAGTATGAGTGGGAAATTTCAAGAGGACACTTAACACTGCTCTGTAATCCTCCACCATTCCTCTAATGTGTTTACTTTCTCACTCTTCACAACTTATATTCCATACCTCTTCCTGTCTCTTCAGACATCTTTCACTCTCTTTACTCCTCCCTTTCAGCTGATGGTCTCGCCTCGTGCCTCATGGAGAAAACAGAAGCAATTAGACAGTTGCTCCCTCATTTTCCTAGCACCAATTCTACTTACCTACCTGCATGCGTATTCAAATTATCTGCCTTTTTTCTTATACATTGGATTAACTGTTCCCACTCCTATCAGTGGCCATCTGCTACCCTAGAACATGCTCAATAGCACGCAAACATTTTCTAATATAGCCCAGCTTTAAAACATAAATAAATGACCCTACCCTCTATCTTGTATTGTCACCCAATTTTTCTACTGTGCTTCATGGCAAAACTTTTTTCTCTTTTCTTTCTTTCTTTTTTTTTTTTTTTTAAAGACAGGGTCTTGCTCTGTCACCCAGGCTAGGGTGCAGTGGTGTGAACATGGCTCACTGCATCTTCCGCCTCCTGGGCTCAAGCAATCCTCCCGCAGTGCTGGGATTACAGGCATGAGTCACTGTGCCCGACCAAAACTGCTTGAAAGTTGTGTATAGTTGCTGCCTTCACTTCCTTCCTTGCATTCTCTCTTCAGTGAAGAAAAAACTCCACTGAAACTGATCATCGTTGGGATCACCAATGGTCAGCATGCTGCCAGGTCCAAAAGCCACTCCTCACTATTGTTGACTGCTGCTTCCATCTTGAAACATAATCTCCTCTTGGCTTCCAGGACACCATACTCTTCTGGTTGTCTACCTCACTGGGCACTTCTTCTTTGTCTCCTATGCTGGCTCCTTCTTTAACAAACTACTAAATGTTGGAAAGTGCTGGAACTCAACCTAGTTCCCTTTCTCTTCTCTATCTACATGTAGTCCCATGACTGTTTTTCTTTTAAGACAGAGTCTTGCTCTGTCGCTCAGGCCGGAGTGCAGTGGCATGATCTTAGCTCACTGCAGCCTCTGTCCCCGGGGCTCAAGTGGTTCTCCTGCTTTAGCCTCTCAAGTAGCTAGGAATACAGTCATGCGGCTGGGTGTGATGGCTCACACCTATAATCCCAGCACTTTCAGAGGGCCAGGTGGGTGGATCACTTGAGGTCAGGAGTTTGAGACCAGCCTGGCTAACATGGTAAAAACCCGTCTCTACTAAAAATACAAAAATTAGCTGGGCGTGGTAGTGCCTGCCTGTAATCCCAGCTACTGGAGAGGCTGAGGCACCAGAATTGCTTGAACCTGGGAGGTGGAGATTGCAGTGAGCCAGGATCATGCCACTGCACTCCAGCCTGGGCAACAGAGAGAGACTCTGTCTCAAAGAATAAAAATAAATAAGTAAATACAGACATGTTACACCATACCTGGCTAATTTTCTTATTTTTTATAGAGGTAGGGTCTCACTATGTTGCCCAGGCTGGTCTCAAACTCCTGGGCTCAAGGGATCCTTTCACCTTGGCCTCCCAAAATGCTGGAATAATAGGCGTGAGCTACTGCACCCAGCCCCCACTAGTGTTTTACTGTGATGGCGAAATTAGTGCTTCCAAACTAGACCTCTCCCCTGAATTTCACCTTTGTATACCTATCAGCCTACTTGACACACCCTTTGATATCTCTTATGTGTTGAATTGTGTTCCCTAAAAAGATATATTGAAGTCCTAACCCCCCAGTACCTGTGAATGTGACCTTATTTGAAAATAGGGTCTTTGCAGATATAATCAAGTTAAGATTGCCATTGATTTTGACTTGGTGTAAAATAGGTTGATAAATAAGTAAATAATCAAGTTAAGATGAGATCACACTGGGTTAGGGTGGGCCCTAAATCCAATATGACTGGTGTTCTTATAAGAAGAGGAGTGGTGGTGCACACCTGTAGTCCCAGCTACTTGGGAGGTGAAGCCAGGAGAACCACTTGAGCCCAGCAGTTCGAGGCTGCAGTGAACCGTGTTCACAACACAGCACTCCAGCCTGGAAGACAGAGTGAGATGCCGTCTCAAAAAAAAAAAAAAAAAAAAAAGGACTGGGCACAGTGGCTCACGCCTGCCTGTAATCCCAGCACTCTGGGAGGCCGAGGCAGGCAGATCACGAGGTCAGCAGATTGAGACCATCCTGGTTAACACGGTGAAATCCCAACTCTACTAAAAATACAAAAAATTAGCTGGGCGTGGTGGCGGGCACCTGTAGCCCCAGCTACTACTCAAGAGGCTGAGGCAGGAGAATGGCATGAACCCAGGAGGTGCAGCTTGCAGTAAGTCGAGATCGCGCCACTGCACTCCAGCCTGGGCAGAAGAGTGAGACTCTGTACCCCGCCCCCCCCCCAAAAAAAAAGACGAGAAACATAGAGACAGAGACACACAGGGAGAATACCAGGTGAAGATAGAGGCAGAGACTGGAGTGATGTGTCCATTAGCCAAGGTTTGCTGGCCACTACCAGAAAATAAGAGAGAGGCATGGAACACATTCTGTCTCAGAGTGTCCAGAAAGAATCAACCTGATGACACCCTGCATTCATACTTCTGGCTTCCAGAACTGTAAGATAATAAATTTCTGTTGTTTTAAGCCACTTAGTTTGTGGTCATTTGTTATAGCAGCCATAGGAACCTAAAACAACATCTAATAGGCATCTCAAAAAAAAAATTCTGTTTTTGAGACGGTCTTGCTCTTTCACCCAGGCTGGAGTGCAGTGGCATAATCATGGCACACTGCAGCCTTGATCTTGTGGGCCCAAGCAATTCTCCCAACCAAGCCTAGGACTGAGACTACAGGTGCTTACTACCACGCCTGGATAATTTTTTTTTTCTTTTTGAGACAGAGTCTTGCTCTGTTGCCCAGGCTGGAGTGCAATGGCACGATTTCAGCTCACTGCAACCTCCGCTTCCTGGGTTCAAGCGATTCTCTTGCCTCAGCCTCCTGAGAAGCTGGGACTCTAGGCATGTGCCACCATTCCAGGCTAATTTTTATATTTTTAGTAGAGATGGGATTTCACCATGTTGGCCAGGCTGGTCTCTAACTCCCGATCTCAAAGTGATCCACCCGCCTCGGCCTCCCAAAGTGCTGGGATTACAAGCGTGAGCCATTGCACCCTGCAGCATCTCAAATTTAACATGACCAGAATGTAACTTTTTGTTTTGTTTTAAATTTATTTCAAATTTTTTTTTAAGACGGAGTTTTCCTCTTGTTGCCCAGGCTGGAGTGCAATGGTGTGATCTTGGCTCACTGCAACCTCTGCCTCCCAGGTTCAAGCAATTCTCCTGCCTCAGCCTCCCAAGTAGCTGGGATTACAGGTGCCCACCACCACGCCTGGCTAATTTTTGTATTTTTAGTAGAGATGGAGTTTCACCATGTTGGCCAGGCTGGTCTCGAACTCCTGACCTCAGTTGATCCACCTGCCTTGGCCTCCGAAAGTGCTGGGATTACAGGCATGAGCCACCACACTCGGCCAATTTTATTTTTAGTTGACATGTAATGATTGTTCATATTTATGGGATACACAGTGATGTTTTGATATATGTATATAATGTGTAATAACCTAATCAGGGTAGTTAGTATATACATCATGTTAAATATTTATCATTTCTTCGTGTTGTGAAAATTCAAAATATTCTCTTCTAGCTTTTTGTTTTGTTTTGAGACAGGATCTTGCTCTGTCGCCCAGGTTGGAGTGCAGTGGTGCGATCATGGCTCACTGTAGCCTTGACCTTCCAGGCTCAAGCAATTCTCCCACCTCAGCCCAAGCTTCACCCCTCCCAGTAGCTGGTAACACAGGCCTGCATCACCATGCTTGGATAATAATAATAATTATTATTATTTGAGATGGAGTTTCACTCTTGTCACCGAGGCTGGAGTGCAGTGTCACGTTCTCGGCTCACTGCAATCTTCGCCTCCCAGGTTCAAATGATTCTCCTGCCTCAGTCTTCCAAGTAGCTGGGATTACAGGCATGTGCCACCACGCTCGGCTAATTTTGTATTTTTTTAGTAGAGTTGGGGTTTCACCATGTTGGCCAGACTGGTCTCGATCTCTGGGCTCAAGTGATCCACCCACCTTGGCCTCCCAAAGTGCTGGGATTATAGGGGTGAGCCACTGGGCCCGGCCAAATTTAGTTAATTTTTTTAAAAAAAGGGTTTTTTTTTGTAGAGTTGAGGTCTCATTATGTTGTCCAGGCTTTTTGAAAATGTACACTAAATTACTGTTAACCAACATTCACCCTGCAGTCCTAGAGAACACTAGAACTTATTCCTCTCATCTAGCTGTAACTTTGTATCCATTAACCAACCTCTCCCTCTCCTCCCCTCCCCATACCCTTCTCAGTCTCTAATAAACACAACTCTTCTCACTTTCATGAGTTTGAGTTTTTTTAGCTCTCACATATGAATGAGAACATGTGTTATTTCTCATTTTGTGTCTGACTTATTTCACTTAACATAATGTCTTACTGAAAATGACAGGATTTCATTCTTTTTTTATGGCTGAATAGTATTCCATTGTGTATAGGTAGCACATTTCCTTTATCCATTCATCTGTTAATAGACATTCAGGTTGATTCTGTATCTTGGCTATTGTGAAGAGGGCTGTAGTCTACATAGGGATGCAGATATCTCTTCGATATACTGATTTCCTTTCTTTTGGTTATACCCGCAAAGGGATTGCTGGATCATATGGTAGTTCTATTTTAGTTTTTTGAAGAACCTCCATACTGTTCTTCAGAGCGGCTGTACTATAATAATTTACATTCTCACCAACAGTGTACAAGCATTCCCCTTTCTCCACATCCTCCCAACTTATGTTATTTTGTCTTTTTGATAAAAGCCATTTTTAGACTGGGTGCGGTGGTTCATGCCTGTAATCCCAGCACTTTGGGAGGCCGAGGCGGACGGATCACTTGAGGCCAGGAGTTGAGACCAATCTGGCCAACATGACGGAAGCCTGTCTCTACTAAAAATACGAAAACTATCGGGCACGGTGACGCACACCTGTAGTCCCAGCTACTTGGAAGGTTGAGGCAAGAGAATTGCTTGAGCCTGGGAGGTGGAGGTTGCAGTGAGCCGAGATGATGCCATTGAACTCTAGCCTGGGTGGCAAAGCAAGACTCTATCTCAAACAAACAAACAAACAAACAAACAAAGGCCATTTTTACCATGGTAAGATTATATCTCCTTGTGGTTTTGATTTGCATTTCCTTGATGATAAATGACGTTGAGCATTTTTTCATAGACTTATTGGCTGTTAGTATGTCTTCTTTTGAGAAATATCTATTCAGATTCTTTATCCATTTTTAAATCAGATTTTTTTTTGCTGTTGAGTGTTTTTTGAGTTCCTTACATATTATGGAATATTAGTTCCTTGTTGGATGAATAGTTTGCAAATATTTTCCTCCATTCTACAGGTTATCTTTTCACTGTTGATTATTTCCTTTGCTGTACAGAGCTTTCTAGTTTGCTATAGTTTGTCTGTTTTTTTTTTTTTTTGCTGCCCATATTAGTCTGCTCTCACACTGCTGTAAAGATACTACCCGAGACTGGGTAATTTATAAAGGAAAGAGGTTTAATTGACTCACAGTTGCACATGAGTTGGGAGGCCTCAGGAAACTTACAATCATGGTGGAAGGTGAAGAGGAAGCAAGGCATGTCTCACATGATGGCAGGAGAGAGAGAGAGCACAGGGGAAATGCCAGGCACTTATCAAACAACCAGATCTCATGAGAACTCCCTCACTACCATGAGAGCAGCACGGGGGAAACCACTTCCGTGATCCAATCATCACCTCCCACCAGGTCCCTACTCGACGTGTGGGGATTACAGTTCGAGATGAGATTTGGGTGGGGACACAGAGACAATCCATATCATTGCCTATGCTTTTGAAGCCTTACCCATGAAATCTTTGCATAGCCCATTGTCCTGAAGCATTTCCCCCATGTTTTCTTCTAATAGTTTTATAGTTTCAGGTCTTATGTTTAAGTCTTTAATCCATTTCGAGTTGATTTTTTTTGTTGTTTGCTATTGTGTGTGTTTTAGGTTTGCTGTTGTTGTTGTTTTAGAGACAGGGTATAGCTATGTTGCCCAGGCTGGTCTCAAACTTATGGCTTCAAGTGATTCTCACACCTCAGCCTCCTAAAGTGCTGGGATTACATACCCAAGCCACCCCATCTAGCCCATTTTGAGTTGAGAGATAGAAATCTCATTCTTCTACATATAGATATCCAGTTTTCCCAGCACTATTTTGTTCTTAATTTTTGAGACCAGGTCTCACTCTGTGACCCAGGCTGGAATGCAGTGATGCAATCATGGCTCACTGAGCCTCACCCTCCTGGGCTCAAGCAATCCTTCTACTTCAGCCTCCTGAGTAGCTGAGTAGAGACAGGATCTTACTATGTTGCCCAGGCAAGTCTCAAACTCCTGGGCTCAAGTGATCCTCCTGCCCTGGCCTCCCAAAGTTCTGGGATTACAGGTGTGAGCCACTGTGCCCAGCCCCAGCACCATTTATTGAAGAGACTCTCCTTTCCCCAGTGTATATTCTTGGTGCCTTTGTTGAAAAGCAGTTGGCCATAAATATGTGGATTTATTTCTGGATTTTCTATTCTGCAGAACAGAACTTTTATCATCACCTCTTCAAATCTGCTAGACTAGACTTTCCCCCAAGCCCTCCTTCTATTCTACCCCTGGTCTCCTTTTCACATAGCAAACAGAGTGTTCTTTTGAAAATATAAGTTCGATCAAGTCCCTCAGTGTTTAAAACCCATCAAAAGCCTCCCCATAATCCTTTGGATAAAATTAAATTTCCAGTGGACATGGTGGCTCAAGCCTGTAATCCCAGCCCTTTGGGAGGCCGAGGCAGGAGAATTACTTAAGTTTAGGAGTTGGAGACCAGCTTGGGCAACAGAGTAAAACCCTGACTCTATTTTTTTTTTAAGAAAATTTCATTTCTTGGCCTATAAGGTCATTCATGATCTGGCCTGTATAGAAAAGAACAAACTGTTTTCTTTCTTTCTTTCTTTCTTTCTTTCTTTCTTTCTTTCTTTCTTTCTTTCTTTCTTTCTTTCTTTCTTCTTTCTTTCTTTCTTTCTTTCTTTCTTTCTTTCTTTCCTTTTTCTTTCTTTCTTTCTCTCCTTTCTTTCTCTCTCTCTTTCTTCTTTCTTTCTCTTTCTTCTTCTTCTTTTTTTTTTTTTTTTTTTGACAGAGTCAGTCTCTCTCTTTCTCACTCAGGCTGAATGCAGTGGCACAATCTCGGCTCACTGCAACTTCCCATCTCAGTCTTCCAAGTAACTGGGACCACAGGCATGCACCACCATGCCTGGCTATTTTTTTTTTTTTTTGTATTTTTAGTAGAAATGGGATTTTGCCATATTGCCCAGGCTGGTCTCGAGCTCCTGAGCTCAAGCAATCCACCGGCCTCGGCCTCCCACAGTGGCTGGGGTTACAGGCATGAGCCACTGCGCCTGGCCCAAACTGTTTTTCTTCTGCTCTCACACCACAACAACCATCATAGAAGACTTCTGTGACCAAATATGTGGGGGTTTCTTCCCACCAATAAGCAAGCAGTGAGTTCTGCTGTGGATATCAACTGAATGTCCTCTAATTCAGTTCAATTGTGACACTATTTATCTGGAGATAGCATCAGACTCCTGAGTTTGAAGGCTCAGTCCCTAAGACTGCGTCCTCTTCCAATGCCAATTGCAAGCCCCAGGTTGTTTCATCTGTGCTTCTGACTGACCCCCCTCCTTGGGTTTGGTTAATTTGCTAGAGTAGCAGTTTTCTGCAAGGACTCAAAGAACACTTACTCATGTTTACCTATTTATTATAAAGGACATTACAAAGGACACAGATGAAGAGATGCATTGGGTGAGATATAGGAAGGCATGTGAAGCTTCCGTGCTTTCCCAGGGAGCGTCACCCTCCAGGAACCTCCATGGGTTCAGCTGTCCAGAAGCTCTCTGAACCCTGTCCTCCTGGGCCTTTTATGGAGACTGCATTGGATAGGCATAATAGAAGCATGGACAGCCATGTAGAACTGTGGTTGGACAAGAAGGGGATGATCTAATGTTAACAGACTGAGTGGGGAAACCCAGCAAAGCCTGTCTGTTCAGATTCTTCTTGGCCTCTCTGCAGCCTTTCTTCCTCCAAGGTATGGGGCAGGTCCCTTCTGAAATGAGGGTCTTATGGTCTACAGTCAGACAAGGTAGGTCAGATAATTTCTTTATGGCCAGCTCCGAGACAGAAAGATGGGTAGGATTTGAGTCCTGCCTTGGAGAGAAAAAGGAGCAAGTGAAAGGAGGGCAGGAGTCAGAGAGAGATTCCATTTTCTGAGGCCTGCTTCTGATGCCTAAAGCAGCCCAACATTATAAAAAAGGCAGTAACAGGGGCTATGGGAGTTATGAGCCAGGAACCATGGATGAAAACCATTCTATGCTGTGTATGTCACATGGCCCTGCCTCCTTGTGGTTGTCACCTCCCATCATGCCCTCCTGGCATGTAGGTCCTTTGCACTGATTATTACCTCTTCCTGGGGCTGTTCTGTCCACAGATCTGGCATGACCTGACCTTCTTGACCTCCCAACATAAAGTGGGCCCAGGTTTTTTGTTTTTTTATTTTTTTATTTTTTGAGACAGGGTCTCACTCTGTCACCCAAGCTGGAGTGCAGCAGCCCAATCATGGTTCACTTCAGCCTCGACTTCCGGGGCTCAGGTGATCCTCCCACCTCAGCCTCCCAAGTAGCTGGGACTACAGGCATGTGTCACCATGCCTGGCTACCTTTTTTTTTTTTTTTAATATAGTGATGAGGTCTTACTATGTTGCCCAGGCTGGTCTCAAACTCCAGAGCTCAAGCAATCTGCCCATCTCGGTCTCCCAAAAAGCTGAGATTACAGGTATGAGCCACTGTGCCTGGCCAACCACTAGGTTTTATTTCCTTCATGGGACAGTGTTTCCCTGCATGCTGAGCCTCTGGTTCCAGTCCCTGTGGCCTTGATTCTGACAGCTCTTCCTTCTTCAGACTCTGATTAGGGTCCTTCCCGAGTCTGGTCTCTTGTCTGCGAGTCAATGCATTCCATTTTTGCTTAAGAATTTGAGGGAGGTGGCTGGGCATGGTGGTTCACACCTATAAGCCCAGCACTTTGGGAGGCTGAGGTGGGAGGATTGCTTGAGTCCAGGAGTTCAAGACCAGCCTGGGTGACATGGCAAAACTCCATCTCTACAAAAGATACAAAAAATTAGCCAGGCGTGGTGGCATGCGCCTATAGTCCCAGCAACTCAGGAGGCTGTGGTGGGAACATAACCTGAGCCCAGGAGTTCGAGGCTGCAGTAAGCTGTGATCATGCACTGTACTCCAGCTTGGGCACCAGAGTGAGACCCTGTGTAAAAAACAACAACAACAAAAAAACAAAAAACAACAACAACAACAACAACAAAAAGAATTTGAGAGGGTTTTGGCACTTTCAGTAGAAGAATGTAGCCTAATCAAAGGCTGAGCCCAGTCTCTACAAAGAACTAACCCCCAAGGAAGGCTGCTCAGAAGTCCAGGCCCTTCCTGTGTAAGAAGCCCTGATGACTTTAGCTTAGCATCATTAAACTTTCCATTCTGTGATGGGAAAAGGCCATTTCCATCTTCCACCAAGTGTGGAGGGAGGCAGAGCTGACAGTTTATCTCTCAAATGCCCTCACCCTGCCAAACAGACATCAGAGTTTCCCTGGTGCTGGCTTCCTCCCGGACTGAGGCAGAAGCAGAGCATGGGACAGAGGAATTAGGGGAGAGAGGAGTCTCCCAGCCTGTGTCTGTGTGATGTGGAGATCGCTATGGTCTCCAAAGAGTTGAAAGAAGCTGCAGCTCTGCGTATCCTCTGGTGGCTGAATATAACAGTTTCATTTATTCAGCAGATTCCTAGCCAGGCACTGAGCTAGAACTTCAATACTAATAATGGCGTCAACGGCTCCCATTTGGAGATGGCAGGCTATGGACCAGGCACAGTGCTGCACACTCTAGAAGCATTATGTCAGGAGGCTGAGGCAGGACAATGGTGTGAACTCGGGAGGCGGAGCTTGCAGTGAGCCAAGATCGCGCGACTGCACACCAGCCTGGGCGACAGAGCAAGACTCCGTCTCAAAAAAAAAAAAAAAAGAAGCATTATGTCATCTCATTCTCACAACAGTTCCCTGAGACAGGTATAATTATCCCCACCTAACAGATGAAGAAACAGGCTCAGTGAACAGAAGGCACTTGCCAGGTGGTTTCTACTGCAAAGCTGTGATCTTTCTTCTGCAAGGAATTGCCTCTTTCCTAAACCTCCTGGCGCCTGGTTCCCAGCATGAGAACTTGTGACTAAATGTAGGTGACGGGGGCCTATGGCGGCCCTTCTGTGGCAGCCAATGAGGGAGCAGGGTAAGGACCTGCCAGCTCAGGAACCTGCCCTCCATGAATCTGCCCCCAGTTCTTTCACAGCTGTGGGGAGACACCAAGCCCTGAGTCACTTCCCTGGGAAATCCCCGCAGAGGCTTTCCTGGGAATAAGATAATGCAGGAATCTGGGCTGGACTGTCCAAGGGGCCCGATTCCTGCCAGCCAGCCTATACGTCTTGGAGCAAGACCTCAGGGTCTTCTCCAGATATGGACAGGCCTGATAGACATAAGCTGCAGTGGGACAAGCAACATGTGTAGAAGGCCTCTGGAGAGAGGGGTCTGGGAAAGGGATGGGGTGGGTATCTCTGCCATCAAGAGAATGATTGCTAAGGCTCCCTCCCAGGCCAAGGCAATGGCAACCTGTGATTCTGTGGGTCAGGGATGAGGCCACTTCAGTGAAAGGCCTTCAGCCTGACCCCCCCGTAGGAGACAGGGAGGCAAATGGCTGAGCAGATGCCATGGCCGAGAACTCAGGTTAGAGGCCAGTTACGGTGGCTCATGCCTGTAATCCTAGCACTTTGGAAGGTTGAAGTGGGAGAATCACTTGAGTCCAGAAGTTTGAGACCAGTGTCAGCAACATAGCGAGCCCCTGTCTCCACAATAAAAATTTAAAAATTAGCCAGTTGTGGTGGTGCACACCTGTAGTCCCAGCTACTTGGGAGACTGAGGCAGGAGGATCGCTTGAGCCCAGGAGTTCCAGGTTACAGTGAGTGAGCCAGTGAGCTATGATTGCACCACTGCACTCCAGCCTGGGCAATAGAGTAAGACCCTGTCTCAAAAAATAAAAATAAAGAATAGGAACATGGATTCCAGCCTCCTTGATGCACAGATGGGGAAACTGAGGCACAGGTAGGCGAAATGTCAAGGTCTCACAGCAAGTGAGTGATAGACCTGCCACCTCCCACACTTCTGTGCCTTCAGGTAAGAAAGCCTTCATCTCCCTGCTTTCATACTAAAAATAGAGCTTTGAAAACATGACAGGGAGTCATGTGGAGTCTGGCTGCTGTGGGGGTCCCAAGTGTCTGAGCCCTTGTGATGCTGCCTGAGTATCCCTGGAAAGCCGAGTTGGCATCTGAAGGTGTGGGGATGGGGTTCGTGCTGGTGCCAGTCACACACCAGCCCACCTCCAAGCACAGAAGGGTGTTCCTCAAACCCTCTGGGCACGGCGTCTTTGCCTGTGATTTTCCTCTGATGATATCTTGTTTTGCCAACTAAATTAAGACTATGACAGAGAACAGAGACTACCTCTAGCAGTTTAGTTCAATTAAGATTTCACATCAACAAATTAAAATGCACCCTCACCGTCTGCAAAGTAAATCTGCCTGCGTTTAGGAGGAGGCACTGACATTTGCTGTTCAGGCACCTAGCCGATGTGAGCTGAGTGTCAAAGAGGGCCTACCCTTTCTGGGACCAGTCTGGGGGTTCAGAGCCAGGAATTGTCTCCAGGGACTTACAGCCTCTGGGTCAGGCTTCTCAAGCATGAGTGTGAAGCTCCCTCTGAGCCTGTGAGAAAGTCTTCACTGGTTCTCCCTAAGATAACAAAAATGAGAGTAATGTCATGTTTTTAAAACAAAACAAAACAAAACAAAAAAACTAAGTTAATCCAAATTAAAGGACCATCAGCAAACACTTTTTTTTTTTTTTTTTTTTTTTTGAGACCAAGTCCTGGTCTGTTGCCCAGGCTGGAGTGCAGTGGCGTGATCTCGGCTCACTGCAACCTCCACCTTCCGGGTTCAAGTGATTCTCCTGCCTCAGCCTTCTGAGTAGCTGGGACTACAGGCACGTGCCACCACACCCGGCTAATTTTTTGTATTTTTAGTAGAAACAGGGTTGCACTGTGTTAGCCAGGATGGTCTCGATCTCCTGACCTTGTGATCCGCCTGCCTTGGACTCCCAAAGTGCTGGGATTACAGGCATGAGCCACCGCGCCCAGCCTTTGTAACTTTTTGAGGGCTTAATTTGTCAGTCTCTTTTCAAGGGACTGAGGAGACAGCAATCAGCAAAACAGACAAAAGTCCCTGCTCTCCCGGATCTTTTATTCTACAGGGACAGACAATAAACGACAAATACACAAAATATGCAATAAGTTAGAGAGTAAGAGCCATGGAGAAAAATAAAGCAGGGAAAGAGGGTGGGGAGCGTGGAGGGCAGAGGAGTTTGTGGTTTTGTTTTATCCGTTAGAGACAGGGCCTCACTGTCTGTTGCCCAGGCCAGAGTGCAATGGCAACATCAAAGCTCACTGCAGCCTCCAACTCCTGGGCTCAAGAGATTCTCCTGCCTGAGCCTTCTAAGTAGCTACAACTACTCAGAAGTTGTAGCACCACCACACCTGGCTAAGTTTTTAATTCTTTATATTTTTTTCTTCTCCTCCTTGTAAGTTTTAAATTTTTATTTTGTAGAGATGAGGTTTTGCTATGTTGCCCCGGCTGGTCTTGAACTCCTGGTCTCAAATGAGCCTTCCCCACTCAACCTTCCTAAGTGCTGGAATTACAGGTGCGAGTCACTGAGCTCAGTTGAGTTTGCACTTTTATTTATTTATTTTGAGGTAAGATATTGCTCTGTTGCCCAGGCTGGAGGGCAGTGGCATGCTCTCAGCTCACTGCAGCCTCAATCTCCCAGACTCAAGTGATCCTCCCACCTCAGCCTCCTTAGTAGCTGTGACTACAGGTGCACACCACTACACCCAGCTAATTTTTGTATTTTTTGTAGAGATGGGGGTTCACTATGTTGCCCAGGTTGGTCTCCAACTCCTGGATTCAAGCGATCCACCCTCCTCGGCCTCCCAAAGTGCTGATATTACAGGCGTGAGCCACCATGTCCTCCCAAGTTTGCAGTTTTAAATGGGGTAGCTGGGGAAGGCCTGGATGAGAGTGATGATTAAGTCAAGACCTGCCAAGATGAGGGAGTGAGCCAAGAGGATGTCAGGGCACAAGGGCAGCCCTCTGGGCAGAGGGAGGCAGAGAGCAAAGGCTGGCGTGGGATTGTGGGTGAGGTGTGGAGCAGGAAGGGAGGGCAGTGTGGCTGGAGCTGGATGAGCAGGAGGGTGGGGAGGAGAGGAGGTCAGAGGACCAGGGCTGTAGCCCCTGTAGGCCATTGCAGGGACTTGGTTCATTCTCTGGGTGAAGAAGCCAGGGCAGGGTTTAGAGCAGAGAAGAGACAAGCTCTGCCTTCCTTTTAACAGGATGGCTGGGGCTGCTGTGTGGAGAACAGCCAGGAGAAAGGCCAGGTTAGGAGTGGGGAGACCAGTCACAAGGCTATTGCGGAAACCAAAGTGAGACCCGATGATGGCCAGAGCAACAGCACAGGAGCTGGTGATATGGGGACACTGGCTCCGAATGTTTGAAATCAGTAATAACCTAGAGGCTGGGTGCGGTGGCTCATGCCTGTAATCCCAGCACTTTGAGAGGCCATGGCAGGCGAATCACGAGGTCAGGAGTTTGAGACCAGCTTGGTCAACATGGCAAAACCCCATCTCTACTAAAAATGTAAAAAATTAGCTGGGCGTGGTGGTGGGTGCCTGTAATCCCAGCTACTTGGGAGGCTGAGGCAGGAGAATTGCTGGAACCCAGGAGGTGGAGGTTGCAGTGAGCTGAGATTGTGCCGTTGCACTCCAGCCTGGGCAATAGAGTGAGACTGTCTCAAAAAACAAAAAACAAGCAAACAAACAAAAAGATCCTCTCACCTTGGCCTCTCAAAGCACTGGGATTACAGGTGTGAGCCACTGCACCCGGCCATGCCCCTCTCACCTGTTTTTTATAATCCCAGAAGGCTGTTTGTGTAAGTGTGGTTTTTGTTTTTTTCTGTGAATGTAAAGGATTATTATCACATGGATTTGGTTATTGCCTCTGAAGGACTGGGGCAATTTGCAGGTCGTCTCTTGTTCTCTTGTCTTTCTTCTTCTCCCTGTTTCCTTCTCCCTCTGCCTCTGTAATCTTAGTTGGCCGTCATGTAAAACCGAAGAGAGTTTTATGCTTCCTAGTCCTACTATTTAGAGTGGATAAGTGGAATGTTTTTAATTTCTGTCTCTTAGAAAAACAACAGCTAAATTAAATTCTTTGTTACTTGTGTAACTCTCAACTGCTTTTCCTCTCACTGTGCGTCAGCACCCCCACTTTCTAAGACTGAGAAGTCGATACTGCTTCCCAGGGAAAAGGAAAACACACCCAACATGGGCCTTTGGATTTCCCACCACTTCAAACTTCTCTTCTATTTAACTTGCATGGTAATTTGCATATATCTACATATGTTATGCAATCAGCCTGTTCTCCTTTTACATTTAAGCCTAAAATAATTTTGCGTTTCTGATGTTTTCCTTCTCTACTGCCTTCTTTATTTCTTTCTGGACCTGCAAAAGGAATTGATGAAAGGCCAGTGGTATGGACACACTACACACAGCATGGGGGAAAGGAAGATTGGGGAACAGGATGATGAGATTGTCTCTGGGGCTTATTCATTCGTTCATCAAATATTTATTGAGCACCTACTATGTGCTAGGCCCTGTGTCAGTTGCTGGGAGTACAGCGATGAGCAAATCGATCACAGTTCTTACTCACATGGAGCTTACACTCTAGTGAGTAAAATAGTAAGCATAAATAAAAAGATAACTTCTGATATTAACAAATTATATAAAGAACACATAGTGACTGGAAGATTGGTAGCTTATAGAAGGTCTCTCTGGAGAAGGAACTTTGGGCTGAGGCCTGAATGATAAGAAGGGGACAGCCATGGGGGGATTTGGTGGAATCCTGTTCCAGACAGTGGGAACAGCAAGTGAAGACACCTGAAATGAGAATGAACTTGGAGGGTTTGAGGAGCAGAAAGGAGGTGTATCATTTAGAATGTTTTTAGTAGAAAGAGAAGTCCCAATTCAAAATGGCACAAACAAGAAGGAATTTTATTGCCTTCACATAAAGAAGCCTGGGGGCCATGGGGACAGGGTTCTAAGTTTGTTTAGTTTAGCAAATCAACATTATCAAGGGCTAGGTTATGTCCTTCTTTCTGCTCAGCCATTCTCTTGGGCTGGCTTCCTTCCAGACACCAAGATGGCAGCCAAAGCTCCAATCTCCCATTACATCCTCATCTCCATGCAGTGTCCAAAAGCAGAGAGAACAGTGCAAACTCGCTCCTTTTCAGAACAAGGCAACCCTTCCCACAACCCTGCACAGATTCCTCTTCACATCTCATAGCATAAGAAAATTACACAACACGCCCATTCCTAAACCAGTCATTAGCAAAAGGAATGGGATTACTAAGACTGGTTTAGAGCTGGGCAAGGGAGAAACCTAGCTTCTGTAGAACTTTAGTGAAGAACCAATGTTCTCCATTTCTGACAAAAACCAGGCTTCTGTGAGCAGAGTGCAGTGGCGTGTGCCAATAATCCCAGCTACTCAGGAAGCTGAAGCAGGAGGATTGCTTGAGCCCAGGAGTTCAAGGTCAGGAAAATAGTAAGCATGGAAAAAAAAGAAAGAAAACACAAACCCCCATTCAACACTGTACTGGAGGTCCTAACTAGTGAAATAAGGTAAGAAAAAGAAATAAAAGATGTATATGTAAGAAAAATAAATAAATTTAAAACCCAGGCTTCTGGAAGCAAAATTAAGCTTCATTAAGCAAAGAAATGGGAAAGGCCTACCTATAAGTAGGTGATCAGGAGTATCAGCCACAGGAGGTCAGTGTGGCCAGAGCATTGGTGTAAGAGGAGGTTATAGAGGTGGAACTGAGGGATGGCAGAGCTTGCTTTAGCTTCTTTGAATGCAGTCTTTCGAACTGGATAAATCCCTAAGGGCCTTATCCTTACCAGGAACCCCCTCCAGCATCCCCCGCTCTCCAGGACCCACCCCACCTCTGGGTGAGGAGCCATGGAAAGACTGCCCAGCTCAGGCAACAGACACCGACTTTAATACTAACTGATGACACTGGGTGTCACCTTTCCTTCCTTCAGTCTCAGTTTCATTATCCATAAAAATGATGCAATAACGTTTGTCCTGTTGGCCATTCAGGGAGGTTGTAAGAATCAAGTGAGAGCATATCTGCATGTCCCTTGATGTGCCATGATTATTATTATTGCTATAGTTGTCATTCATCTTACATGAAAAACAAAAGGATTTTAAGTTTTAAGTAGTCACATGCTCCAGCTCCCGGGAAGGCACATCTGTCATTTTGGAAAGCTGTGTGTTCTGAGGGAGTAAGGAGGGTACCCTTGGGCTCTTTGTTCCCCAGACCTTTTCTCAGCACCTCCTGTGCCCCCACCCCCACCCTACCAGCAGCCTTCTGTGCTTTGCATCACAGATGTCCTTGGAAACAAGCTCAGCTGATGTTCAATAAAATGTAGGCTAAAGCTGGCTGAGTTATTATCCTTTTTTCTTGATAAAAAGAGTGGATGTATTTTCATTACTGGCAGAGTGCTTTTAGCTAGTGTGGACAATTAAGCCCTGGAAATGCAGCAATCCATTTCACACTGAGAGAAGATTTGAGCAGGACTGTCACCAAAAATCCAGGAGGAGCTGAAATCATGGCCATGGTGCCCAACAATAAAAAGCCATAGATATTTGGAGGCAGCCCACAGGGATTTGCCCCTCCGTGGAATGTTGCTGTTGCTGGCTTGGAATGAGAGCTGCGTCCCCTGATGCTTCTCCACTGGCCTCAAGACCCTTCTTAGCCACCCTCTTCCTCATTCTCACCTCTCTTGGGCAGGCAGGCAGGGAGGAGCACCCTGTTATTGGCAGCAGCTCCTACCAAACTTTGCCTTTTAGGTTCAGGCACCCTTCTTGGTTTTCTTCATGATCTCCTGATCATCTCCTTCACCTCTGGAGACACATTCTGTCTCCAAAGAATTGGACCTCTAGACCAAGAGAATTGTCCATTCCAAAGCTACTAGATCAATGACGAAGTCCTCCTGTAGGGAATAACAACCCTCCTGCCTCCTCTATCCTTCCCTTCTTTCTTTCTCTTGTTCATTTACTTCTTTTTAAAATGGTGGCCCAGGCATGGTGGCTCACACCTGTTATCCCCGCACTTTGGGAGGACGAGGTGGGTGGATCACTTGAGGTCAGGAGTTCAAGACCAGCCAGGCCAACATGGTGAAACCCCATCTCTACTAAAAATACAAAAAGTTAGCCAGGCGTGGTGGCTAATCCCAGCTACTTGGGAGGCTGAGGCAGGTGAATCGCTTGAACCCAGGAGGCAAAAGTTGCAGTGAGCCAAGATCACGCCACTGCATTCCTGCCTGGGTGACAGAGCTTCTAAATAAATAAATAAATAAATAAATAAATAAATAAATAAATAATAAAATGGTGCATTAGCAGCTCTAATTTCCAGCTCCTAAAGGTAAAGGTGAGATGATCCCCCTTCAACCTCCCTGTCCAACCTAACCCAAGCTAGGGGAAGAGGTGGGTTTTTTTGTTTTGTTTTGTTTTGTTTTGTTGAGAGGGTCTTGCTCTGTCACCCAGTCTGGAGTGTAGTGGCACAATCTCAGCTCACTGCAACCTCTGTTTCCTGGGCTCAAGTGATCCTCCCACCTCAGTTGGCTGAGTAGCTGGGACCACAGGCATGTGCTGGCACACCCGGCTAATTTTTGTATTTTTGGTAGAGATGAAATTTCACCATGTTGCCCAGGCTGGTCGCGAACTCCTGGACTCAAGCTATCTATCCACCTTGGCCTCCCAAAAGGCTGGGATTACAGGCATGAGCCACTGTGCAGGGCAGGGGAAGAGTCTTAAGGGGCAGATTCTTGGGAGCAACACAATTTGCAGGTGCTGTGGCTTATCTGGCTACACATCTACTACACATCTCATCTGCCTCCCCCTGCTGTTTTTTTTTTTTTTTAAGACAGAGTCTTGCACAGTTGCTCAGGCTGGAATGCTATGGAGCAGTCTTGGCTCACTGCAGCCTCAACTTCCCGGGCTCAAGCCATCCTCCTACCTCAGCCCCCTGAGTACCTGGGACCACAGGTGCATGACACCATGCCCAGCTAATTTTTTTGTATTTTTTGTAGAGATAGGGTCTTGCCATATTGCCCAGGCTTGTCTCGAACTCCTGGGCTCAAGCAATGAGCCTGCCTCGGCCTCTCAGAGCGTTGGGATTACAGGCGTGAGCCACCATGCATGGCCTCTTCCTCCCCTTATTCTAAGAGCAACTGGGGGGCAGGGATAGTCCCCCACCTCCCCATCTCTGCATCTCCTGCAGCCAGTACAATGCCTAGGACAGAGTCAGTTCAGATGCTTGAGGAATGAAAGGAAGAATGAATGAATGAGTGAACAAAGCCATTTCTGTGTTAGTTCCTTTCTCACAGCTTTGTCTCTTTGTTCTGAAAAACACCCACAGCTCCTCCCATCATAATGTAGAAAGTATAAATTACTTCAGAGATGTAGGGACTGAGTGACGATCAGTGGAGTGATAGCAATCTGCTACATTATTACGATTTTTTATTTAAACCACTTAAGCTCTAGTCTCCCTCCTGTTTACTGTTAGAAATGATCCCAAATCAGTTGTGAATCTTCTCCTGCCTTGAGGGAGTAAGATGAGAAGACTGGGGTGGTTGTCCAGGCTTATTATCTTCTCCATTACTCAGGCATGTTCCCCTGAGCTTTCTCATGATTTTATTTTAATGCAGTTATTTGTATTAGGCGAGTCTCCAGCTCAGCCAGGACAAAGAGGGAGGTGGGGGAACCAGGGAGAAGCTGGTGGAAAAATAAATACCCTGAAGGTTCATGATGATCTGACCATGGCTTTAATATGAATCAAATTTGCTCCAACCTGCTTTCCCACAGTCAGCATTTCTGCTAGAAATAATTTGTAATTATCAAACTCCAATTAGGCCAGAAGACTCCTTGTAAAAGACTTTGATGTGATTAGGGAAAGGCTTGAAAATATAATTTGCATGATTCTAGCCCTCTCTGCCAATGACATTCCTGGAGAAGACATCTTGTCTCTCTTGGCAGGAGAAATTCCAAGGACAGGAGCTGGGGGCCAGACTTCAGGGTCACTGGGGCTGCTGCTCCAAGGCTGGCCCAAGAAGGTGCTTTCCTGGAATAATGAGCCTGAGAGATTCCTTATCTCAGCATTCAAGAGCTGAGAGTCAGTGAGTGGCCCAGAGAGGGACAGAGCTAGATGCATGCTGACCAGCAGCTGTGCCCAGCACTTTGATGAAGGCCCTTTGGTAACTGCCCAGCATCAGTATGGGTCACCCCCGGGGGATTCCTGGTCTTGCCCTTGGCTGAGAAATGATGACAACCTCTTTCATCCCTTCTCATATCTTAACCTTTCAGCTCTGTAGCAGCTGAGCCACGGCAGTGCAACAGTAATGCAAAGGTACTGAAAAATAACCAAAAAGGTCTAAAGAAATTAGCAAAAACCTAGATAAATGGAATGATATCCTGTGTTCATGGAGGACAATATTGTTAAGATGGCAATACTCCCAGAATCGATCTACAGATTCAACACAATTTCTATCAAAATCCCAGCTTCCAGCTGGGTGCGGTGGCTCACGTCTTATAAACCGGCACTTTGAGAGGCTGAGGTGAGTGGATCTCTTGACGTCAGGAGTTCGAGACCAGCCTGGCCAACATGGTGAAACTCTGTCTCTACTAAAAAATACAAAAATTAGCTGGGGGTGGTGGTGCACATCTGTAATCCCAGCTACTTGGGAGGCTGAGGCACAAGAATCACTTGAACCCAGGAGGCGGAGGTTGCAGTGAGCCGAGATCACACCACTGTACTCCAGCCTGGGCTACAGAGTGAGACTCCATCTCAAACAAACAAACAAACAAACAAGAAACAGCTTCCTTGCAATAAGGAAAAAGTCAAAAAGTCAAATAAATGGAAAATCAACAACTTTTATTTGATCCATCAGAGAGCTGAAGTCACAGAACAAAATGCCTCCCTGAAAATGAGACAGATGAATACGGATCAGTTTATCTGAAACAGAAGCTGTTTCAGCCAGGAGCCAGTGGGAATGAAGTGCTGAAACATGGAGGACGCTTAAAAACATCACAGTGAGTGAAGGAAACCAAACAAAAGATTACATAGTGCATGATTTTATCCATAGGAAACGTCCGGAATAGGCAAATCCATAAAGACAGTAGATTACTGGTTGTCAGAGCTGACGGGTGACTGGTAATGGGTACAGGGTTTCTTTCTGGGGTGATGAAAACGTTCTGGAATTAGATAGTGATGATGGTTGCACAATTTGTGAATACGTTAAAAACCACTGAATTGTACATTTTAAAATGGTGAATATTATGGCATGTGAATTATATCTCAATTAAGAAACAAACGTTAAGCAAAGATAATTTGGGATGGGAAGTCGAAATTTCCCTTCAAATTCAGTTTGCAGACCATTTTCAGGAACAGAAGGCTTTTCTACTGACTCATGAGTTAGTAGTAGTCAGAGCCCAGTCAGAGCCCAGCCTCTGACCACCCTGCTCCCCTGTGATTTGCTGACTTGAGAAGAGGAAGTCTGGGAAATGGAACAGAGAGAGCCAGGAGTAGCCTGAAGAAAAGGAGCCAGGACTGGGAAATGCTTGAAACAGACTTCAGAGCTTTGTGATGCTGGCTGAGGGCTCTGCAGGAGGCCTTACTGCTACAGCATGCCGCCACCTCCTCCATGAAGTCTCCCTGCCTCTTTCTTCCCATAAGGCACTTTATCTGGCATACATCGTTTTCACCCAAAGACCTCACACTGGATCCTTTACTGCCTTGTTGCCTTGCAGGTTCTCTGACTGTTCCACAGAGAGCTATTCTACTTGGAGATATGTGTCCCCTCCACAATGACATCACAACCTCTTCCAGGATGGGATGCCTGTCTTGGACTCACAGACCCCCTTAATGCAGGAAAAAACTTTAGGCATCACCTGGCCCCCTCTTCCAAATTTAAATGTAGCCCAACTATGAGACACTTGGGTTGACTCGAGTCTCCCAGCCTCCTGGGGTCATCCTTCCCTCTGTGTTAAGCTAGATGGACACGCACTGCCCCCTATCCCCATGTACAATGGAAAACTCATGTCCTGAATCCTGTGCCTTTGAGGGTTTCTGAGGGGCGGAAGTGTGTGATTTTGTTGTTGTTTTTAAGAGGTGTGGGTCTCACTATGTAGCCCAGGCTGGAGTGCAACGAGTATTTATAGGCATGATCATGGCACACCATATCCTGGAACTTCTGGGCTCAAGCAATCTTCCTGCCTCAGCCTCCTGAGTAGCTGAGACTACAGGCACGTGCCTCTGGGCCCTGCTAGAAGTGTGTAATGTGTAAGGAAATGGCTTTGGAACCTGGGTTCACATCCTAGCTCTGCCATTTACCTTGGACAAGTTATTTAACTTATTTGTGTCTCTGTTTCCTTATCTATAAAACGGGGATAATAATACTTCCTCCTTTTGTTGTTGTTGTTGTCGTTTGTTTGTTTTTGAGATGGAGTCTAGCTTTGTTGCCCAGGCTGGAGTGCAGTGGCACGATCTTGGCTCACCACAACCTCCGCCTCCCAGGTTCAAGCAATTCTCCTGCCTCAGCCTCCCAAGTAGCTGGGACTACAGGCACGCGCCACCATGCCTGGTTAATTTTTATATTTTTAGTAGAGATGGGGTTTCAGTATGTTGGTCAGGCTGGCCTTGAACTCCTGGCCTCGTGATCTGCCTGCCTTGGCCTCCCAAAGTGCTAAGATTACAGGTGTGAGCCACCATGCCCAGCCTACTTCCTCCTTTGTAAGATTGGTATGAGGATTAAATGAATTACCAGTAATATAGGAACATAAAGCATTTAGAACTGTATTTGCCATCCCATAAGTTCTATAAAAATATTTGACCTTATTTCTTGTTTCTGCTGAATTCTTGACCTACCGTGTGTCTTGCCCCTTTCTCCTCTCCTGCTGCCTCCATCTGCCCCCTCCGAAGCATCCCTCATTCAAGGCCACGTGTGGCAGACTTTTGCTAAAAGCTTTGAGGGGAACAGAAGGGGCCACACAACACAGCTCAGCCAGCAACTTAAAATTGTCTTGGACCTTGCTGTTCCTGAAAGTGCCCTAGTCGTTCCTACCACAAGGCATCTCTCAGACACTGCCCATCTTCTCTTCTCTAATGCCAGCTTGCTGCCTTGCTGCACTCGCTCACTTTCCTCCTTCTCATACCTCCTCTCTCTTTCCCCCAGCCCCTCACCCTGCAAACTCTGCTTTCTCTCCGAACAAGCCTGAACAAGCCTCGTTGTAGCCCATCTAAGTCCTGCGTCAGGGGAAATGGGGAATGGGGAGTGGCAGGGAGATCGACCTTTAGCATCCAAAGAGGCCTTGCAGGTAATTTCTAGTAAAGATGCTTCTCTCACTATCAGGACTCAAGGAGATAGGAGAGGCCCAGGGATGGGAAGAGACACTCCTACCATTCCCAGACAGAGAGAAGTTTCCATCTCCCCACGAAAAGCACTGCACAGCCTGCTGGGTGCAGTGGGTCACACCTGTGATCCCAGCACTTTAGGAGGCCAAGGCGGGGAGATCACCTGAGAGCAAGAGTTCTTGACCAGCCTGGGCAACAGTGAGACCTTGTCTCTAAAATATATATAACTATGTACATATAAAACAAATAAAAGCACTGCACCCCCCAAAAAAGCAACACAAAGCCCACGCTGGACAAAGGACCGGCCAGAAAGCTGCCTAAGTAAACCAGCCTCCTCCTGCCGCTCACCCTGCATTATCTGTTACTAGGCCCAGACGACTGGGGAGTTATTGTTTCGGGGGAGGGTCAGAGGTGATATTTTAGCCCATTAAGGCCGCTGCTTTCCAAGGCCTGATTTTCCTCAGGCACCGCATCAAACTTGTTCTCTAGCTGCCAAAGAAGGCAGGATTTCAGCTGAAGGTAATTTATGTTAATTTTTCCCCTTTCTGGTCCGTTAAGTTTTGTGATGTTAATATATCTTTTTGGGGGCCTCTTCGCAGGGTGCTGCTGGGTGGGCTGGGGGTGGGGGCCACCTGCTGGCATGACATCTGGGACCCTGTGTCTCCCTTCCTCTGCTGCCCGGGGACTCTCCATTGCTGAGGGCCTTGTTGGGAGGCTGCTTTGGGAGGGCAAAGACCTTTGTATTTTTCAGAGTTCTTTCCTTACCACCCCTGTTCCAAGCTCAGTTTTTCAGGGATGTACTGAAAGAAGCCTAAGGTGCAGTGCAGTCAACTGAGCAACAAATATTTTGGGAGCGTCAAGTAAGTGCCAAGCTACTGTCTTGGGAAGTTTTGGGGATTCAAAACTGAATAAAACATAGTCCCTGTCCTTTTTTCTTTTTCTTTGTCTTTTTTGAGACAGAGTCTCACTCTGTCACCCAGGCTGGAGTGCAGTGGCATGATGCCGGCTCATTGCAGCCTCAACCTCCTGGGCTCAAGCGATCCTCCCACCTCAGCTTCCAGAGTACCTGGGACCACAGGCATGCACCATCATGTCAGACTAATTTTTTAATTTTTTTATAGAGATGTGGTCTCCTTATGTTCCCCATATGGTCTCAAACTTCTGAGCCCAAGCAATCCTCCCACCTCAGCCTCCCAAAGTGCTGGGAATACAGGTGTGAGCCAGTTTGCCTGGCCAGTCCCTGTCCTTAAGGTGCTTTCCATCTAGTTGGGATTTGGGAGAGAGGTTAGGTGTACCCAAGTGTAGTCAATTATGTTATAAGGTGACATGTGTGCACCTAGAATATCACCAAGCTATGCAAAATCCCTCAGGGCTTATGGGAAGAAATGGGGCACAACACTGAAAACTTCATCAGTGACACATTGAAAACTAGCTGGGCACGGTGGCTCACGCCTGTAATCCCAGAACTTTGGGAGGCCAAGGTGGGCAGATCACCTGAGGTCAGGAGTTCGAGACCAGCCTTGCCAACATGGAGAAACCCCGTCTCTACTAAAAATACAAAAAAAATTAGCCAGGTGTGGTGGTGGGCGCCTGTAATCCCAGCTACTTGGGAGGCTGAGGTAGGAGAATCACTTGAACCCAGGAGGTGGAGGTTGCAGTGAGCCAAGATAGCTCCATTGCACTCCAACCTGGGCAAGAGAGTGAGACTCTGTCTCAAAACAACAACAAAAAAAAACAAATAACAACAACAACAAAAATAATAGCAGAGCTTTACAGATGTTAAGTCATTAAGAAAAACATAAAGGCCAGGCACAGTGGCTCACACCTGTAATCCCAGCACTTTGGGAGGCCAAGGAGGGTGGATCACTTGAGGTCAGGAGTTCAAGACCAGCCTGGCCAACATGGCAAAACCCTATCTCTACTAAAAACACAAAAATTAGCTGGGTGTGGTGGCGCATACCTGTAATCCCAGTTACTCAGGAGGCTGAGGCAGGAGAATTGCTTGAACCCAAGAGGCGGAGGTTGCCGTGAGCCGAGATTGCGCCACCGCACTCCAGCCTGGGCGACAGAGCAAGACTCTGTCTCAGAAAAAAAAAAAAAAAAGAAAAGAAAAACATAAATACTATAGTAAATATGGCACTTTCCCTTGAAAAAGACCTGAAGTTTGCTTGTGGAAGTAGGTATCAGAACAGTTGCAGCTTGCGAGTTATTGTGAAGCAGTGGAAGGAGAGTTATCTGAAATGTAGTGGGAAGTTAACACCACATGCAGATGTGTTATGCATGCTGTTTGTCCAGGTTTTATGTATTCCTCTGTGGGCTGGTTCAGCTGGGTGTGGTTTTCTGCACTTACCAGAAACAAACATGAAATTTGCATTTTTCTTTGGGAGGCCGAGGCGAGTGGATCACTTGAGGTCAGGAGTTCGAAACCCGTCTGGCCAACATGGTGAAACCAAGTCTCTACTAAAAATACAAAAATTAGCCCGGCATGGTGGCGCATGCCTGTAATCCCAGCTACTCAAGAGACTGAGACACGAAAATCGCTTGAACCCGGGAGGTGAAGGTTGCCGTGAGCTGAGGGATCACGCCACTGTACTCTAGCCTGGGAAACCGAGAGAGACTGTCTCAAAAAAAAAAAAAAAATTGCATTTTTGCTCAAATTGCTCCCTAATATATCAATCGCTTTGGAACAAATTCACATTTTCAAAACAAGCCTTACAGAAGCATAAGACACAGTGTATATACCAAATTCTATAATATAGACTTACAACAGGATAATTTATTAAGGAGACTCAAGGAGGTAGGAGAGGCCCAGTGAGGGGCAGAGACACCCCTATGGTTGCCAGACACTTGTTCCCTCTTCATTTTTTTCATCTTCTCCATTCCAAGAAGGTAGCTAAGTCTTATGTAATTATTTGCCTCAGAGGCATCTGCAGAGCCATTCATTTAATCAATCAATAACCATTCACTGAGTCCCTCCTGTGTGCCAAGTGGTGTTCTGGGCACAAGAAGATAGTGCAATGAACAAAACCACAAAGACTCTGTCTTCACGGAGCAAGGGTTGTAGTGGGAGAGACAGAAAATAAACAAATGAATATATTATGCAATGTTAGGCAGTGAGAAGTACTACTGAAAAATAAAGAGCAGGCCGGGTACAGGGGCTCACGCCTATAATCCTAGCACTCTGGGAGGCCAAGATGGGAAGATCACTTGAGCCCATGCATTGGAGACCAGCCTGGGCAATATAGCGAAACCCTGTCTCTACAAAAAATACAAAAAGTTAGCTGGGTGTGGTGGAGTGTGCCTGTATTCCCAAGCTACTTGGGAGGCTGAGGTGAAAGGATTGCTATATGGAGAGAGACAGAGAGAGACAAAGAGACAGAGACAGAGAGAGAGAGAAAGAACAGACAACGTAACTAGAGAGTGACTAGGAGTGGAGGGAGAGGATGTGACTCCTTTTCAGGGAGGGGAGATTTGAGCAGAGATCTAAATGAAGTGAGAGAGTGGGTCACGTGATTATTTAAGGAAAGAGTGTTCACAGCAAAGAGAACAGCAAGTGCAAAGGCCCTGAAGAAGAAGCAAGCTCGGTGTATTCAAGAGATGTCGGCTGGGCGCAGTGGCTCAAGCCTGTAAATCTCAGCACTATGGGATGCCAAGGCAGGTGGATCACGTGAGGTCAGGAGTTCGAGACTAGCCTGGCCGACATGGCAAAACCCCATCTCTACTAAAAATGCAAAAATTAGCCAGGCATGGTTGCACATACCTGTAGTCCCAGCTACTCGGGAGGCTAAGGCACGAGAATTGCTTGAACCTGGGAGGTGGAGGTTGTAGTGAGCCAAGATCACACCACTGCACTCCAGCCTGAGGAACAGAGAGTGATTCTGTCTCAAAAAAAAAAAAAAAAAAAGGGATGTCAAGGAAGCCGGTGTCTGTGTCTGGAAGTGAGTGAGAGGCAGAGAGAGCGATAGGAAATGAGATTGGAGGCATAGCAGGGGGCCTGGTTACATAATGTCTGTAGATTATGGTCAGGTCTGAATTTTTTTCTAAGTGTAATGGGAGGTCATTGGAGCATTTTGAGTAGGTGAGAGACATGATCTGACTGAAATATTAAAGGGCTCACTCTGGATCAGTTCCATCCAATAGAACTCTGGCAATGATGAAAATGCCCGGTGTCTACTCTGCCCAGTACGGTAGCCACTGGCCATGTGTGGCTATCTTTATTATTTTGAGAGATGGGTTCTTGCTGTGTTGCCCAGGTTGGCCTCAAACTCCTGAGCTCAAGCAATTCTCCAGCATTAGCCCCCCTAGTAGCTGGGACTAAAGGCATGAGCCACCACACCTTGCTGAATATTTGGCTATTGAGCACTTGAAATGGTGCAAGTATGACTTTGGAAATGAAATTTTAATTAACATAAATTTATTTTTTATATTAAATAAACAATTTATTTTTATTTAATAATAAATTATTTATGAAATAATAAATTATTTAATTTATTTATATTAATTATAGCTAGCCAGTGCTGTTCTAGATGTTGTGCAGAAAATAGACTGAAAGGGAGAAAGAATGGAAGCAGGGGCACTTGTCCTTCAAGTTGCCTGCTTGGGTATCTTCCAAGTGTTTTTTGTTTTTTTGTTTGTTTGTTTTGTTTTTGTTTTGAGTCAGAGTCTCACTCTGTCACCCAGGCTGGAGCGCGATGGCGTGGTCTCAGCTCACTGCAACTTTCAACTCCCAGGTTCAAGCAATTCTCCTGCCTCAGCCTCCCAAGTAGCTGGGATTATAGGCGCATGCCACCACGCCTGGCTAACTTTTTTTTTTTTTTTTGAAACAGAGTCTTGCTCTGTCGCCTAGGCTGGAGTGCAGTGGCACCATCTCAGCTCGCTGCAAGCTCCGCCTCCCGGGTTCACGCCATTCTCCTGCCCCAGCCTCCCAGGTAGCTGGGACTACAGGCGCCCGCCACCACGCCCAGCTAATTTTTTTTTTTTGTATTTTTAGTAGAGACAGGGTTTTGCCGTGTTAGCCAGGCTAGTCTCGATCTCCTGACCTCGTGATCCGCCCGCCTCGGCCTCCCAAAGTGCTGGGATTACAGGTGTGAGCCACTGAGCCTGGCCAATTTTTGTATTTTCAGTAGAGACGGGGTTTCACCATGTTGGCCAGGCTGGTCTCGAACTCCTGACTTTGTAATCCGCCCGCCTTGGCCTTCCCAAAGTGCTGGGATTATAGGTGTGAGCCACCACACCCGGCCGTATCTTCCAAGTGTTCTAAAAAAAAAAAAAAAAAAAAAAAAAAAAAAAAAAAAGAGTGAAAGCAGGAAGACTAGTTAGGAGTACAAGAATCCAAATAACAGACAATGGGGACTTTGAGATGATAGCACTGGAGATGGTGAGAAATGATTAGATTCTGGATATATTTTAAAGGTTAGAGGCAACAGGCTAATGGACGGAATTTTTTTTCTTTTTTCTGTTTTCGAGACAGGGTCTTGCTCTGTTACCCAGGCTGGAATGCAGTGGCATGATCACGGCTCACTATAGCCTCAGTTTCCTGGGCTCAAGTGATCCTCCCACCTCAGCTTCCCGAGTAACTGGGATTACAGGCATGCACCATCATGCCCAGGTAGTTTTTTAATTTTTTGAAGAGATGGGGGGGGGGGGTCTCTCTATGTTGCCCAGGCTGGTCTTGAACTCCTGGGCTCAAGTGATCCATTCTCCTCGGCCTCCCAAAGTGCTGAGATTACAGATGTAAGCCACCGCACACAGCTGGATTGAATATTATTATAGTGTATAAGAGAGAGAAAGGAATTGAAAATGATGAAGTTTTTGGCTTGCAACTAAGTGAGTGGTGGTTTCATTTCTTGTAATGAGCGATAATGGAGAATGAGCTGAAAGCTTCCATTTTGCATTGCTCCCCCTACCCCCAGTCCCAAGCTCACTGATGAGACTGTACCAGAGTCCTAGAGAGGGCAGGGAGAGAGGAGGGTGCCCTGGAGGGCAGCCAGATTGAGAAGAGATCTGAAGTCAGGGGTCTTTTGAGCTGGGCAAAACTGAATCCCTTGACAGTGTCCCTCAGCAAAGGCAAAGAGAGGCTGGACTCCCACAAACCCGCTGCTTCAAGTTTAGCTCCAAAACAGCAGAGCTTCCTGATCTGATTCTCCAGACTCAGCCTCCCAAGTAGCTGGGATTACAGGCACCCACCATCATGCCTGGTTAATTTTTGTATTTTTGTAGAGATGGAGTTTCACCACATTGGCCAGGCTGGTCTTGAACTCCTGACCTCAGGTGATCCGCCCACCTCGGCTTCCCAAAGTGTTGGAATTCCAGGAGTGAGCCACTGCGCCCGGCTGAGAATAGGTATTTGGAGTCATCTTTAAGAGAATTCAAAGAAAAAGAAGTGTAGGTACTTGAAAAGGATTGTGGATGGGATGATGTTTAGACTTGATGATGAGGGGTTGATGATTCGGGGGCAGAATTAGTGGGTGCTTCTATGGCATAGACTGTAGATTCTGTGTCCAGTGAAGTTCAGAGCTTTTTCTGGGACCTTCTCAAGGGGTATGACAAATTTCTTACATTCAGGTTATTCTATAAACATGTTAGAAATAATCTTTAACTTTCTGTGTGGGTGTCACACACTGGAGGATGTCTATGTCAAGGCAAAGATAATAAATACCTCTCTCTAGCAGTAGGTAAAATAGAGAATGTGGGAAATCTGGGTTTGAATCCCAGATCCTTCCCATACTACCTGTGTGATTTGGGACAATCACCTCAGTTAATTAATTACTTCTTTCTGAGCCTCAATTTACTCATTCACAAAATGGGAGCTCACAGGTTTTCAATGAGAACTAAATAATATATTAAAATATCATCGGCAGCGCCTGACATATAGTAAGAGCTCAGTAAATGCTAATTTGCTTCCCTATGGAATTGAACAAAGCTGCTCCTAGTGGCTTTGGTCCAGAACCTTCTTCGATATGCTGCCCAATGTCTCCTCTGGTTTTGACCTGGATTCTCCACTGTTTGCTCAGATTCCTTCATGGCTTTTTCTCCCTTGCATTAATTCTAAGCACCTGCTTGTTATTAAAGTAAAATCCTCTCTTTGCCTAGTCCCTGTGATCTGAAAAAGCATCTGTAAATAGAAGGTATGCCCCCTATGACACAGCACTATTGGCATTTTGCTCTTTTTTTTTTTTTTTTTTTTGTGACGGAGTTTCACTCTTGTTGCCCAGGCTGGAGTACAATGGCGCAATCTCAGCTCACCGCAGCCTCCACCTCCCAGGTTCCAGCGATTTTCCTGCCTCAGTTTACCAAGTAGCTGGGAATACAGGTGCCCACCACCACGTCTGGCTAATTTTTTGTATTTTTTTTAGTAGAGACAGGGTTTCCCCACGTTGGGCAGCCTGGTCTCAAACTCCTGACCTCAGGTGATCCGCCAGCCTCAGCCTCCCAAGGTGCTGGGATTACAGGCGTGAGCTACCACCCCCTGCCTGGCATTTTGCTCTTCAAGGGTTAATAATGGTCAGGGCTGTACCTTTAGAAAACTCAGCCAGCAGGGCTCACCAGAAATAATTGCAATAGCAGGGACGCAGGGAGGTGGGGCTGAGAGGATGTGGGGTGGGTATTGAAGAAGGCCTGCAGAGCAGGACAGTGAGCCTCTGTAGGGAGAATGGTATATTCCAGGGGGAAAAAATGACGGGCCATTGGAAACCCCTGGCCATGAGAGGTAGCAGCGGTTTGGCTTCAACCTGGCCCCTTTCCAAGACCACATTCTTATTGCTGATCCCTTGCTGGTCAGCAAGAGCCCCTGAGAGGACTTGCTGTGATAATTTGGTGCCAGATCATGCTTCAGTTGCAATTTATTTAAAGTTGACAATAGGGTTCCTGTCTTTTACAAGCAGATTCCCTGCCCTTGAATGTCTGCAGGCTGGATTTTTTGCCTTGATGAAAAGGTAGTTAAATTTCACACTTATTATAGCACCTGGCACCTGACATCTTCCAGAGACTTTATAAAGACTAATGAAATGAAACCCTCAGCGCTATTGTAAACAGGGAAGAAGAGAGAGCAGACTCATATCCTCTCTCTGCAGGAAACAAAGAACTAAACCTGCCTCATCTCCACCCCACCAGTGGACCCATTTTTTTTAGGCTAATCTTCAAAGGGCTACTGACTGGTTATCAGACAGGTCATGGCTCAGAGCATCTTTGGAGAGCAGGATCTGCCTGAAAAATGGGTCAATAAGGCACCAGCATACAGGTCTGCGCTGCTGGAGATGAGGCCTCCAGACCCAGAGATTCTGTTCCAGCTTTTTTCACTCAGCATCAGACATCAACCAGTCAGGGAAGCTGGACCGATCTTTGCCAATGTCCCCAGGAATTGAAGTGTGTGAGCGTGTCTGCCCTGTGATGAGAAGGTGAGTGCAGAATTTGGGGTATGGTTTAAATGAGGAAAAGTACAACAGTATGATTCCCTCCCCCAACCCAGTTAGTCCCTTCACCCCATCCTTTATTGTGTCTGTAGTGGGAAAGATGGAGTTTACAGTCAAACAGACCTGCGTGCAAATTGTCCTGTCACTTGCCTTAAAACTTAATTTCTCCAAGTCTCAGTTTCCACATCTGTACAATGGGAATAATAATACTGCTATGATTACCTATGGTTGTGCAACAATCTCAAACTTAGTGGCATTAGGGGAAAAAAAAAAATGGGCTGGGTGCAGTGGCTCACGCCCATAATCTCCACACCTTGGGAGGCCAAGGCGGGAGGATTGCTTGAGGCCAGGAGTTCAAGACCAGCCTGGGCAATATGGGGAGACCCTGTCTCTACAAAAAATAAAAAAATTTAAAAAATTTATCGTGCTCACAGATTCTATGGGTCAGTAATTTGGACGCGGTACAATGGCAATTCCTGAAGCCCCTGGTTCATGATGTCTGGGGCTTTAGCTGGCATACCTGAGAGGGTGGGTGTCTTTAATGGCTGGAATTAACTGGAGGCTTTTTCATTTGCATGTCTGGTGCTTGGGCTAGGATGACTTGAAACTGGGCTCAACTGGGACTGCCAACCAAAGCATTTCTATATGGCCTCTGCACACAGCTGGGGCTTCCTCAAAGCATGGTAACCTTTGGGACTTCTTACATGGTGACTTCAGGTTCCAAGAGTGAGTGTCACAGCCAACAAGGCAGGAACTTCATGGCCTTTTATACCCTGGCCTTGGGAGTCACATGTCATCATTTCCACCATCCTCTATAGGCAAAGATGTCACCAACCTGTACAGATTCAAGGAAAGAGGACATAGAATTGGCCCCCACTTCTTGATGAGAGAAGGGTCAAAAAATTTGAAGCCATGTTTTATTTTTATGTATTTATTTATTTTTGAGACAGCTCTGTCACCAAGGCTGGAGTGTAGTGGCGTGATCTCGGCTCACTGCAACCTCCGCCTCCTGGGTTCAAGTGATTCTCCTGCTTCAACCTCCTGAGTAGCTGGGATTACAGGTGCCTACCACCATGCCCAGCTAATTTTTCGTATTTTTAGTAGAGATGGGGTTTCACCATGTTGGCCAGGCTGGTCTCGAACTCCTGACATCAAGTGATCTGCCCACCTTGGACTCCCAAAGTGCTGGGATTACAGGCGTGAGCCACCATGCCTGGCCTGAAGCCATATTTTAAAACTACCACCAGGCCAGGAGCATTTGGCTCCTATATTATAATGCCTATAATCTCAGCACTTTGGGAGGCTGAGGTGGGCAGACTGCTTGAGCCTGGGAGTTTAAGACCAGGCTGGGCAACATGGCAAAACCCCATCTCTACAAAAAAAAAACAAGAAGTTAGCCAATCGTGACAGCTCGCACCTGTGGTCCCAGCTATTTGGGAGGCTGAAATGGGAGGATCATTTAAGCCCAGGAGGCCAAAGCTGCAGTGATCCATGATTGTGCCATTGCACTCCAGCCTGGGCAACAGACTGAGATCCTGTCTCAAAAAAACAAAAAATAAAAAAAAGGCTGAGTGTGGTTGTGGCGGCTCATGCCTGCAATCCCCTGTAATCCCAGCACTTTGGTAGGCTGAGGCAGGGGAATCACTTGAGGCCAGGAGTTCAAGACCAGCCTGGGCAACAAAGTGGGACTCCATCTCTACAAAAAAAAAAAAAAAAAAAGATAAAACTGTCCTCAATTCCTTCTTCCTTCACTTGGTTCTTGTGAAGAATAAGAGAAATAATAATCTTATACATAAAAGCGTTTCAGTAAATATTATTCTGAATCCTCCCAACTCCTTCAGGCCTTTCAGATCAATTTGTACTCACTCCAAAGGAGCAGAACACAATCAATGATGCCCAAAATAACTAAAACTGGTTCTCGCTTTTCTGCCTTATCTTCTACCCTGAATTATCATAAAGTCTGGAGAAATGATCCCCTCAATGCCAAATCTTAGGGTGGTGACTTGGGGTACGTAGGTGGTTTAATATCCCTTGAGAATTTTCAGAGCTGCTTCTCAGGACAGAAAATTAAAATGAAAAGGGGAAGCCAAACTCTAGAGCTTGAACCCCCTGCTGAGAGACTCCAGTCCTATGATTTGGTTCTAAGCATGCCAAGTCCTGTGCTACAGCACAAAGATGGCTCTGCACTGAGTGTGTATCTCATCCTGACCTCTGAGGACGCCACCCTGGGAAGTGTTTGTGAAGCTCCAATGGAAAAAGCAGTCCAATGAGGCAGAGCGACTGAATCAGAGCAGGGCAAGAAAGCTGCCAAGCTTGGACCCCACTCAGAGAACACAAATTCCAGGTTTAAAATCAAACTCCAACAGTTTTTGGGGTCTAAGTTGCATTTATTCTTGGCAAGCTCACTTCTTTTGTTCACAGAGAGAGTAGAAGCTTTAAGGGGCTCCAAGAAAGACCTCTCACATCGAATCACTCTCACAAAGCCACAGGGAATTGGGGAGTGTAAATGAATCAGGAAATTATGGCTTCTTTTTTCCTTTGAATTGTATAAGGGAACATAAATTAAGGAGAAAAACTGCCAAGAGAAAGAAAAAGTATGCAGTGTTTCAGCCAACTTCGAGCTTTGAAAGCAGCTTCAGAACCATGCTGTAACACTTTCTGTTGGGCCTACCAAGAAATGCTGGTGAGCAGGTGAACAAAGAGATCTGTAGGAGGCAAGCAGCAAGGCCCTGCCTATTGAGGGGAAGGGCATATGGTAAAGGCAGTGTATTAGTTGTCTATTGCTATGTAACATAGTACCCCAAAATGAAGAAACTTAAAACAGTACACTTTTTTTTTTTTTTTGAGACAGAGTCTCATTCTATTGGCAGACTGGAGTACAGTGGCACGATCTCAGCTCACTGCAATCTCCGCCTCCCAGATTCAATCAATTCTCCTGCCTCAGCCTCCCGAGTAGCTGGGACTACAGTTGCATGCCACCACACCCAGCTAATTTTCGTATTTTTAGTAGAGACGGGGTTTCACCATGTTGGCCAGGATGTCTCGATCTCTTGACCTCGTGATCCACCCGCCTCGGCCTCCCAAAGTGCTGGGATTACAGGCGTGAGCCACCGCGCCTGGCCAAAACAGTACACATTTATTATCTCACACAGTTTCTGAGGGCCAGAAATTGAGGAGCAGGGCCGGGTATGGTGGCTCACCCCTGTAGTCCCAGCGCTTTGGGAGGCAGAGGTGGGAAGACCATCTGAGGTAAGGAATTCAAGACCAGCCTGGCCAACATGGTGAATCCCTGTCTCTACTAAAAATACAAAATTAGCCCGGCATGGTGGTGGGCACCTGTAATCCCAGCTAGTCAGGAGGCTGAGGCAGGAGAATCACTTGAACCTGGGTGGTGGAGGTTGCAGTGAGCTGAGATCATGCCATTGCACTCCAGCCTGGGCAACAAGAGTGAACCTCCATCCCAAAAAAAAAAAAAAGAAAGAAAGAAAGAAAAAAAGAAATTGGGGAGCAGCTTAGCAAGATGGTTCTGACACAGGGTCTCTCAAGAGGTTTCATTGCCTGGGGCTGCAGTCACACAAACACCTGGGGCGCTGCCTGAGGGCTTTGTTCTGGCCACAGGAACACACCTGGCCTCTCTACAAAGGGAAAGGAGGGAGTGCCAGAGAGTGAATGGCTCAACTCAGGAAGCAGCTCCCAATCAATGACAGAAGTGTATGTGTGTGCATACACATGTTGTTGGGGGAGTGGGGGGTGTTGGTGTTGGTGTTGGTGGATAAATGCCCCCGCTTCAGCAGTCATCTGAAGGCTTGACTGGGGCTGGAGGGTCTACTTCTAAGACGAGTCACTGACATGGCTGTTTACTGCAAGTCTCAGTTTCTCTATAGAGGTACTTGATATGGCAACTGATGAGAGAGAGAGACTGAGACTGAGAAGAGAGAGCCCAAGACAGAAGCTGCAAAGTCTTTTTTTTTTTTGAGACGGAGTTTTGCTCTGTCACCCAGGCTGGAGTGCAGTGGTGCGATCTCAGCTCACTGCAAGCTCCACCTCCCAGGTTCACGCCATTCTCCTGCTTCAGCTTCCTGAGTAGCTGGGACTACAGGCGCCTGCCATCACGCCCGGCTAATTTTTTGTATTTTTAGTAGAGACGGAGTTTCACCATATTAGCCAGGATGGTGTCGATCTCCTCACCTCGTGATCCACCCACCTTGGCCTCCCAAAGTGCTGGGATTAGAGGCGTGAGCCATCACACCTGGCCTGCAGCGTCTTTTATAACCTAATCTCAGAAGCGAAATACCATTACTTCTGCTATGTTCTATATTGGTCACATAGATCAACTCTGGCACAGTGTGGGAAGGAACTACACCAGATGTGGATACCAGGAGGTGAAGATTGTTGGAGGCTGGATACAATAGATGGGTAGAGGCACAGAAACCAGGAGGATAGGTGGCCCTAGGCTCCTCCTCCGAATGCTTACTGGTTCAGAGAAGGGCAGCCTTCCTGTGATCTCTACCCCATCTCTCTCTTCTCCATCCCTGATGGGCTGTAGACTCTCTGAGGACAGGGACTGTGTGACTGTGTCTGTCTTATTAACTACTGTTCCCCTAGGGCTGGTCCATGCCTGGTATATAGTAAAGCCCTCAATACATGTTGGTTGATTCGTGAGGTGCGTAGGAAAGACAGAAGTAGATGAGATAGAAACAGTAAATCGGATTAAGGTATTGAGTTCCAGGCTCAGGGCTTGGACTTTGTATCCTGGATGACAGGAAGGCATTGGGCGGGGGCCCCCTTAGACCCTGGATAAGAGCTGGCTGTTGCTCTTCCTCTGCCTGCAACATTCTCCCTTTAGATCTACTGTCCATCATTCAAGGAGGGTTACTGACAGAACAACATCTTGGAGGAAGTAGGATGTGTGTGTCTGTGTGTGCAAAAGCTCACGTGGAAGGGAAAGGTTCCAAGCTCAAAGCAAAGGAAAAAGAAATGGGGGGAGATGTGAAGGCATTTTGAGATGGGGAGGAGGGACATTTGAGGGCAACAGGGACAAGAGAAAGGAGAGAGGGTAAGGAATATTTGTGCTTATCTACCGGGAGTAATGAGGAAAAGGGGAGATAGCTTAGTGAGGGACTGTTTAGCTTCAAGGGATAGAAACCCACTCAAACTGGCTCAAGTTAAAGGGTGCAAGTTGGAAGGCTACAGGGGTTTGTAGCAGATGTTGTTGCCTCACTTAAATCTTCTTAGTCCTCACCTCTCTACCCAGAGACTGATCACGCAAACACCTGGGGCGCTGCCTGAGGGCTTTGTTCTGGCCACAGGAACACACCTGGCCTCTCTACAAAGGGAAAGTAGGGAGTGCCAGTGAGTGAATGGCTCAGCTCAAGAAGCAGCTTCCAATCAATGACAGAAGTGTATGTGTGTGCATACACACGTTGTTGGTGGGGGGTGAGGGGTGTTGGTGTTGGTGGATAAATGCCCCAGCTTCCTCACCCCTCAGTTGCTCAGTTGGGATAGCCCTGATGCATGTTCCTCATTGTCTTCTAGGGCCCCCACCCCCAGCAGTCCTTGCAGTGAGTTAATATACACCACTTAGTGGTTTCCTTCTCTTTTATTTTTTTATTTTTTGAGACAAGGTCTCGCTCTGTCACCCAGGCTGGAGTACAATGGCGCGATCTCGGCTCACTGCAACCCCCGCCTCCCAGGCTGAAGCAATTCTCCTACCTCAGCCTCTCGAGTAGCTGGGACTATAGGCGCATGCCACTGTGCCTGGCTAATTGTTTGTATTTTTAGTAGAGATTGGGTTTCACCATGTTGCCCAGGCTGGTGTTGAACTCCTGACCTCAGGCTACCTGCCCGCCTTGGCCTCCCAAAGTGCTGGGATTACAGGTGTGAGCCACGCGCCTGGCCCAACATTTGGATAAGAAAGAGAAGAGCATTCCGGTTAGTGAGAACAGTACATAGCCCGACCTGCCCTTCTCTTTTTATTTCTTACTTCCTCACTCCCCTACCAATGTTTCCTGGAATCACCTCCTAAATAAACTATTTGCACTTGAACCCCTGTTTCAGGATACCCCAAACCAAGACAGATGTCTCACAAAACACAAGCAGAGATGTCAGTCTTCAGGCCTCGCATGGAGAAGATGAAAGAGAGGGGTGGCTTTTCCAAAGCCCAGCGTCAGCACGAAGCTTCCACGAGATGATTTTCCCTCTTATTTTGAAGTCCTGGTGAGTCCCTCTCTTCTCTCCATTTTAACAAAATCTGCTTTCTAATTGCCCAGTTTGGTATATGCTATGGTCCCCACTTTGTCATCAACGCTCCTGAACTCATCTTATGCCCGATGTACCCGAAAGCACTTCATAAACTGTAAAGTGCTGAACAAATGGAGCAGGTGAGAAAGAGGGGGAGAAGAAGAAAAAGAAGGGAAGAAGAAAGAGACAGGAAGAAGAAGAAAAACAAGTGGAAGGAAGATGGAAGGCTAAAAAGCAGAAATATAGTGCAGAGTCAGATGAAGAAAGCCAGGGCAGGCAGGGGAGGCAGGTTGAAGAAAATGGCCAGCACTTTTGTAGGAAGCCAGTGTTGAAAACAGGCCTGTGAGGCCAGGCACGGTGGCTCATGCCTGAAATCCTAGCAATTTGGGAGGCCAAGGCTGGTGGACCACCTGAGGTCAGGAGTTCGAGACCAGACTGGCCAACATGAGGAAACCCCGTCTCTACTAAAAATACAAAAATTAACTGGGCAAGCCAGGTGCGGTGGCTCATGCCTGTAATCCCAGCACTTTGGGAGGCCGAGGCACGTGGATCACAAGGTCAGGAGTTTGAGATGAGCCTGGCCAACACAGTGAAACCCAGTCTCTACTAAAAATACAAAAATTGGCTGGGCGTGGTGGCGCGCGCCTGTAGTCCCAGCTGATCGGGAGGCTGAGGCAGGAGAATCATCTGAACCCGGGAGGCAGAGGTTGCAGTGAACCAAGATGGTGCCACTGCACTCCAGCCTGGGTGACAACAGCAAAACTCTATCTCAAAAAAAAAGAAGGCAGGCCTGTGAAAAGCAGATGCGGGGCTCTGCTTGGAGCCAGTTCTTCAGCTCTCCTTGACTTCATTTGAAGTAAGCCCTTCCACTAGGCTGGTATATGGCAGACTGGAGTAGCAGAGATGATGCCCAGATGCCCACAACTCTCCTGGGCGTTGTGCAAGAGCATTGTTTCTTCATTTCCCTCTTTTGTTTCTGTATCCACTGGCAACTGGCAGGGACAGGCACTGACAGTCTGGCTCAGAGGGCCCGCAGGGCTGAGACATGTGCTCTCCTGGGTATGTGGTTCTCAGAGCACTTGGACACCCCTAGCAACCCTCCCACCTCCCATTATAGAACACCAGACACACAAGATCTGATTTCTTCAGGGCTGAAATACTGGATGTGGGTACAGTAGGTGAGAGCCGGCTGGGGGTATGGTGAGGGTGGCCTTGAATTGAAATGTCAGCAAGGCCAACCTTGCCTTCTGGGCTTTCTGGGGAGATAAGGCCAGGACTGCAAATGTGATCAGCCAAAGAATGCAGGGTTGGCTGGGGACAAAAGTGCCCCCCGGCCCTTTCCCCAAGAGGAGACTTTGTGCTTCCCGCCTTCCAGGAATCCTCCAGTCAGGGGAGCTGGACCTGAGGAAAAAGGTGGGGTTTGCTGTTCCTGCAGGTTGGGAGGCAGAGTCACAAAAGAAACAAGCCTGGGGAGAGAGGGAAAAGGGTCCAAACCACAGAGCAAGACCATGTTAGTGTGGGGAGCGCATCTTTGTTGCATTCATTCACGTGTGCATGCATTCATAACTTCATTTACTAGCTGGCACGCAAGAAATGCCTACAAGGTGCCAGACCCTCTGCCAAGTTCTGAGCCTGCCCAGATGCACAGAGCTTCCTGACTTGGTGTCAGATTGCTGCCCTGGGGATAGCTGGGCCTCCTGCTGTGGTGAAACCAGTTTTTCTATTCTCTGAGGGGCAAATTACTATTGCTTAGGCACAGGAGGTGCTCCCTCTGGAGGAGAGTGAGCTTACAGGGTAGGCGGCCTGGGGAGAAGGTGTGGCTCACTTTTCACGCTCAGTCCCCACATTCCCCTGTGCCAGGGAGGGTGTTCCTTTTTACTTGGGTGATCTGCCTTAGAGCTTCTGCAGTTCTCCACTCCACAGAATGGGAGGGACTTGCAGGATGACGCAGTCCGCCCACCTTCCATCCTTTCTCTTTCCTTTCCTTCCAGTATTTACTGAATGTCTGCCGAGACCCTGGCACGTTACTAGGTGCCTGCCTTGAAGCCATTTAGGAGAAATGGCGTTCTCCAAACAAAAGTATTCCGTTGCCATTCACGTTTCTCTCTCTCCCCCTCTCTGGCCACATGGAGCTGGGCAGAGGTGTTTTTTTTTCCTTTTCTCTTTTTCTCTGTCTCTGCTTGTTTCTCTGAGAAGATAAAAGCTGGCCTTTGGCTCCCCGCTAGGGGACAGGCCCATTACAGCCCTCTGTTCCTTTCCCTGCTTTCTCTGACACTGTGAGGCTGAGACACAGTGAGTCCTGCTCAGCTGGGCCTGTGTTCATCCCATTAGCATTGTGGCCACTTCAGGGCCTCTGGGATTGAGTTCTCTGGAGCCAGAACAGTTTCATAACCCCTAGAGGAGGCCAAAGTCGTCCCAGCCTTCTGGGTCCAAAGGTTCTCTCCCATGTGGCTCCTGCCTCAATAACCTACCTCCATTTTTTTTTTTTAGTTTGTTTCTGCCTCAGGCACATTTTCTCTGTAATTTTTGGAACCCAAATATAAGGGAAATCTCATTTGCTCCGTTCTGACTCATTTACAATTAAATACACTTGTTCCCATCTGTGTCTGTATACATCTGCATATATTTGCTAAAGCATCGCCCTTAATTTTGGAAAATGAGGCGGCTGGTGTTATTTTTATCCTGACTGCCAAGTTGGCTGAGAAGACCAGTGGGTGTTCACCCACCCAGTGACGACCCCTGGCCAGGCCTGTGCCTGAGGGAGGTGGTGACATTTCTCCCATGCATAGAACATGCAGACCCCTGGACAGTTGTGGCCTTCGTGATTGCTGTCTTTAGGGGTCCAGTTACCATGACTAGGCGTGTTCCTGTCCATCTCGGTGCCGAGGCTTCACTGACCACAGAGATGGGCCATGACTCTCTTGTCTTTTTTACACAGTTTCAATCTGTCACCTAGGCTGGAGTACAGTGGCACAATCATGGCTCCCTGTAGCTTCAAACTCCTGAGCTCAAACAATCCTCCTGCCTTAGCCTCCCAAGTAGCTAGAACCACAGGCATGCACCAGCATGGCTGGCTAATTTTTAAATTTTTTGTAGAGACAGAGTCTCACTATGTTGCCCAGGCTAGTCTTGAACTCCTGGCCTCAAGCAATCCTCCCACCTTGGCCTCCCAAAGCACTGGGATTCCAGGCATAAGCTACCACGCCTGGCTGAGCCTGGACTCTCCATGTCACTTTCTGGCAGCTGCTTTGACAAGCATGGGCTTTGGAGATGAGAGTGGGGGGCTGGCTGATCCTCAAGGAAGGCTTCACTGAGGAAGCAATGCCAGGTCATCACAGCCCCATCCCCTCCAAGGCCAGGAGAAGAGAAGAGATGTCTTTACTGTTCAGAAGGATGTGGTGGCATGTGTGGGCGCCTGCCTCACCTACGTACCTAAAAATACCATACTGTGGTTGTCTACCTCTTTTTTTTTTTTTAAATCGAGTTACACTGTAAAGATATTCACATTTAATGAGATGGTGGTGCCTGTCAGCACACTTAGAACCCTTTTGATATTATCATTGAATACTTTTATTTATGCCCAGGTGCTAAAATAGAACTTGGCCAACAAGAATTACAGGATGCAGAAAATAAAATGTCTACTCCTGACAATAAAAAAAAAAGTTAACATCAAAACAATACTGGAAACAACACTTACTTCCTGCTGACCTACAACCTTCTCTTGAAAATTCTGTGATGGGCAGTGCTGCTGCTGACATTGATAAATAATTCAGATTGATTCAGGGAAATGCTGGGCTTTTACATTTTTTCTGCACCACTTCCAAGATGCTAGACTCCATACTTCATGTTGAACCAACCGCACTCCTGAGAAGAGATGGCTTAGAATGATCCCAGGATTGTCCAAAGTGTCTTCCTCTTACCTGAGGTCTCTTTAGAGAACCAGTGATGCCATGGGCACTAGTCACAACTGAGGGTCCTTGTTGTACGTGGCTTTGTCTTGGGCCTATGAACTCCACAAGGGTAGAGAAGCTACCATTTCTGCCCTTAGAGAGCTTAATTCTTGGCTGATATTTCCAGTCTAAGCCTGTGGATCAATTAGCTCCTCTCCTCCCCTGGAGGGTGTGTAAGTATCTGCTTTTTCCATTCATAGCCTCTGCCCAAGAGTTCTTGACTGGTTAAAGTCTTATCCCTTGCTCAGTCTGAGTGGCTGCTACAAACACACACACACGTACTCAATCATACGCGCAGAGTCAGTAATCGTGTTTGGTGGTTGTAGATAGAGTCATCTGCTCCTTGAGCAACCAAGCCTATTGTACATGGCCCCTATGCCTAGGTTCTAGCTTGACAATGTCTCTCGTAAATTTTCCTCTTTTTCCTTACTAACTCCTAGCTGTTCCTCAAGATTTAAACACTACAATTTAAACATCACTTTCTCCAGGAAACCAGATTGCGCTGGGTGGCCCTCCTCTCCTCTCAGTCTACACAGCAGTGTTTTGTAATTGACTGGAGATGTGTGTTGATAGCCACCACTAAAGTGTATGTTTTCCATTGACAAAGGCTGTGTTTATCTTGTATTCCTTGTGCTGAATAGTGTTTGTTAAATGAAGTGGATGAATTAATGCACTCCTAAATTAGGTCAGTTTATGAAATCCGAGCTCTACAGAGTCAACTGTACCCAATTAATACTATGAGAGTAGCCAGTTTCCTGAAAAAGAAAGATATACTGGATATGTACACATAAACATCTACAGAGATGCACCCCAAAATGAAAATCTAGGGTAATGGAATAACAGGTGAATTTAATTTTCTTCTTTCTCCTTATCTATGTTTTCTAAATTTTCTATATTGAAATAGCTACATATCTACATGTATACAAATATGTACGCTAGGTAGCAAAAGAAATTTTAAAAAGAATATATGATCCACGATTATTCTATATAACTATCTTAAATTGTTTTTACAAATTTAAATACATCTTCCTTTTTCCAAGAATAATAATGATAAATAATATTTATTAAGAGGCTGTTGTGGCCAGGCGTGGTGGCTCATGCCTATAATCCCAGCACTTTGAGAGGCTGAAGCGGGTAGATCACCTGAGGTCAGGAGTTCGAGACCAGCCTGACCAACGTGGTGAAACCCCGTCTCTACTAAAAAAATACAAAAATTAGCCAGGTGTGGTGGCGTGGGCCTGTAATCCCAGCTACTCAGGAGGCTGAGGCAGGAGAATCACTTGAACCCAGGAGTCCAAGGTTGCAGTGAGCCGATCGATCGCACCACTGCATTCCAGCTTGGGTGACAGAGCAAGATTCCGTCTCCAAAAAAAAAAACAGAGGCTGTCATGTCAGTACAGTCCTCTAAGAAACAAACACTAAGCTGAGTTTAGGCATGCAAGACATTAATGGGGCTGGGTGTGGTGGCTCACGCCTGTAATCCCAGCACTTTGGGAGGCCGAAGCGGGTGGATCACCTGAGGTCAGGAGTTCGAGACCAGCCTGGCCAACATGGTGAAACCCCATCTCTACTAAAAATACAAAAAAGCCGGACATGAGAGCGGGTGCCTGTAATTCCAGCTAGTGGAGAGGCTGAGGCAGGAGAATCGCTTGAACCCAGGAGTCGGAGGTTGCAGTGAGCCGGGATCATGCCACTGAACTCCAGCCTGGGCAACAGAGTGAGACTCTGTCTCAAGGAAAAAAAAAAAAAAGAGGCTGTCATGTCCATACAGTCCTCTGAGAAACAGACACCAAGCTGGGTTTAGGCATGCAAGACATTAACAAGGGAACATCTGTGAAGGATAAAAGAGGAGGAGCAGGAAAAGGTGGTGAGAGCTTTCTGACTGTGATGCAGGCGTGACAATCTGTAAAAGGAGGTGGAGAATGAGGGAGGATAGGTAGGAGGAACGTCAGACTGAAGTGACGTTCTGAAAAAGTCTCAGCCAGGCTGATAGAGAGTCCTTGAGCAAAGGTTGCCCACCAGATGAATGGATAAACAAAGTGTGGTGTACACATGCCATGTAATATTATTCTGTCTTTATTTTACTATTTATTTATTTATTTATTTATTTTGAGACAAAGTCTTACTCTTGTCCCCTAGGCTGAAGTGCAATGGTGTGATCTTGGCTCACTGCAACCTCCACCTCCTGGGTTCAAGTGATTCTCCTGCCTCAGCCTCCCGAGTAGCTGGGATTACAGCTGCCTTGCCACCACGCCCAGCTAATTTTTGTATTTTTAGTAGAATGGGGTTTCACCATGTTGGCCAGGCTGGTCTCAAACTCCTTATCTCAGGTGATCCGCCCGCCTCAGCCTCCCAAAGTGCTGGGATTACAGGCGTGAGCCACCGCGCCCGGCCTATTCTGTCTTTAATAGGAAGGAAATTCTAAGACACGCTACAACGTGGATGAGCCTTGAAGGCATTATGCTAAGTGAAATGAGCCAGTCACAAAAGGACAAATACTGCATGATTCCACTGATATGAGATATCTAGAGTAGTCAAATTCATAGAGAAAAAGTATAATCCAGCTTGGCCGACATGGCGAAACCCCGTCTCTACGAAAAATACAAAAATTAGCCAGGCCATGGTGGCGGGCACCTATAATCCCAGCTACTTGGGAGGCTGAGGCAGGAAAATCTCTTGAACCTGGCGGGTGGAGGTTGCAGTGAGCTGAGATTGTGCCACTGAACTCCAGCCTGGGCGAAAGAGTGAGGCTCTGTCTCAAAACAAAAACAAAAACAAAACAAAACAAACAAAGTACAATCGTGTTTGCTAGGGGTAGGGGAGGAGACTAATAGAGAGTTACTGTTTTTTGTTGTTGTTGTTGTTGTTTTCGAGATGGAGTTTCACTCTTGTTGCCCAGGCTGGAGTACAATGGGGCAATCTCGGCTCACCGCAACTTCTGCCTCCCAGGTTCAAGTGATTCTCCTGCCTCAGCCTCCCGAGTAGGTGGGATTACAGGCATGTGCCACCACACCCGGCTAATTTTGTGTTTTTAGCAGAGACGGGGTTTCTCCATGTTGGTTGGTCAGGCTGGTCTCGAACTCCCGACCTCAGGTGATCTGCCCGCCTCGGCCGCGCAAAGTGCTGGGATTACACGTGTGAGCCACCATGCTCAGCTGAGTTATTGTTTAATGGATATGGAGTTTCAGTTTGGGAAGATGAAAAAGTTGTTGAGATGGATGGTGGATGGTGGTAATTGCACAATTTGAATATACTTAATGCCACTGAACTGTATATTTAAAAGTAGTTAAATAGTTGGTTTTATGTTATATATATTTTAGCACATACACAAAAAGTGCTGCTTATTGGAAGATCTCATGTTAGGCAGGAGTGGTCTAACTCTGGTACTCCACCGTGCTCAGTTATTGGCTGACAGCGGCTCAGGGGAAGAGTGTAGCCTTTATGTGAATGCTGTGATAAATTCCAAGGTCAGTCAACTCTGCACAGCGGTTCTCTCAAAGGGAAATGTGAGCAGTGCACTTCTATAGTTGCCATGGTTGTGTAGTATAATGGTTAAAAGGTTGGCCTCTGGACTCAGGTTGCCTGGGTTCAACACCCTGCGCTGGCACTTTCTGTCTGTGACTATGGTGAAATTATGCAACTTCCCTGTGCCTTACTTACTTTATCTATAAAACAGGGGTGATGATGCTAGTATCTACCTTGTAGAATTATTACATACATGAACGAATTTGTGAATGTTCCTAGCATGTTGCCTGTCAGGCCAGGTGCAATGGCTCACGCCTTGTAGTCCCAGCACTTTGGGAGGCCGAGGCAGGCCGATTACCTGAGGCCAGGAGTTCGAGACCAGCCTGGCCAACATGGTGAAACTCTGTCTCTACCAAAAATAAAAAAGTAGCTGTGTGTGGTGGTGCACACCTGTAATCCTAACTACTCAGGAGGCTGAGGCTTAGGCAAGAAAACTGCTTGAACCAAGGAAGTGGAGGTTGCAGTGAGCCAGCCTGGGTGACAGAGCGAGACTCAGTCTAAAAAAAAAGAAGAATGTATCCCGTCATAAAGTATGCTGCATGTAAGGATTTGGTTAGTATCACTGTAAAGCATTTTTTGTGTATAGACAATGTGATAACGTGATAATGTTTTACAGAGATTACTTCAAAAGAGCCTCCTCAAAACCCTTTAATTCATGTAATAATTTCTCCATTTAGAAAGGGGGAAACTGAGGCTTGGTGGACCACACAGCCAGTAAGAAGTAGAGTCCTGAGGTCACAGATGGCCCAACTTGAGGGTCCAGCTCAACTGCTGGGCAATGCAACATCCTGATCAGCCCTTTGCCTGTGACACTGGCTCCGGCTCCATTATCTTTGTGTTTTGTTTTATTTGTTTGTTTGAGATGGAGTCTCACACTGTCACCCAGGCTGGAGTGCAGTGGCAAAACCTTGATTCACTGCAACCTCCGCCTCCAGGGTTCAAGCAATCCTCCCACCTCAGCCTCCTGAGTAGCCAGGATTGTAGGCACCCGCCACCACGCCCAGCTACTTTTTTTGTATTTTTAGTAGAGGCAGGGTTTCACCATATTAGCCAGGCTGGTCTCCAACTCCTGACCTCAAGTGATCTTCCCACCTCGGCCTCCCAAAGTGCTGGGATTACAGGCATGAGCCACCGCGCCTGGCCTGGCTCCATTCTAAGGTAAGAGTTCCCTCTGGACCTGGTCTTCAGGGACATCTTCATCATCATCATTATCAAAATTGCCATCATCCTCAGCATCATCAGCATCAGCATCATCCAAAATGGCTTTATTAAAAGCAACTAATTACACATTCTGCTGTTCTATATTTTAGACAACAATAATTACACAGACTTCGAGGAGTTTAGCAACTGAAAGTTGGATGAGCCTGTTAAGGGCTCCCAAGTAGCATAATAAAGACACAGCTATTAAGCTATTGAGTCTTAGAGAGGTCCAGCAGCCTGCCCAACTAGACACCAACAGGAGTTTCTCTGAGACTGACAGATAGGCTGAAACCTACGTTCCTTGCCCCTAGGCCCCAGTGAGATAAGGATAGAGGACGTGCTTGGTGGAGTGGGGAGCACTTTGCAAACTTCAGCTGGCACTTTTCTGGGCCTCTTTGATAGATCCTGCCAGAGTTGATAGTGAGAATGCTTCTATACTTCTCACCCAGTAATTAACTGCTCTCTTCCACTTGGCAGTAGGCAGATAGTGAGAAGCAGGGTCTTTTTGGCCACATCCACCTCTTTTTGCTCTTAATTTTGAGAATTTAATATGGTGTTATTTTCCTGGTTTGGCCTATAGGAAGGGGTTGCCTCTCTGCTGTAGGCTTAAGGTTTATGACAGCTCTTCCTACCATTGCTATAAAAATGACTAGTGTCCTAATCCATGTTTCTCTGAACCACATCTTGGTATTTGGTCAACCGACAAACATTAGTGAAGCACCTGCTGTGTGCTGGTTATTGTGTTGTGTGCTGGGCGTCAGGAAGCGAAAGGATGTCTTCCTGCAGCTTACAGACAGGTGATACAGATGTCAGATAAACATGTCATTGCAGTTCAGTGAGATGAGCCTTGACAGAGGTATGTGCTAGGATTGAATATGTGGGAGAAGTTCAGAATCCGGAATAAAAGGGAGAATAAGCATAGGAGCAAGGAGGTGGGTGCTGAGGAGAGAAGGAGAGACAGTCCAGGCTGAAGGAAGTAGTGGCCTCAATTACTGAGGCAGGTCTAAAGACCTCCATCCCTCCAAAGCTCAGGGAGCAAGGACAGGATGGAAGGGAATGAGGCTGCAAATATAGGCTAGGACCAATCCTTCGTTCATTCAGCACCTACAATGTGCCACACGTTGTTCTAGATACTGGGGATAAAACAGTGAACAAGACAGACAAAGCCTCTGCTATCAGGCCACATCCTGGAAGACGAAGACCAATAAGCAACTGGACAAACAGATAATTTTATAATGGTGATGTGCTATGAAGAAAATACAATAGGGTGATGGGAAGGAGAGCAACTATTCAGATACCTTAGACTGGGTGGTCAGGAAAGGCATTTTGAGGAAGGTGACATTTGATTTGAGACCTGAATGCAAAGAAGATACTGCCACAGGAAGATCTAGGGGAAGAACCCTATAGGCAGGTGGACAGCTGGTGGAAAGAAGCAGCTCCCAAAGGGCCCTGCAGGCCACACTGCATTGTTGAGATTCATCTTATAAAAATGGGAAGCCATGGGGGACAGAGGACCTGCCTAGACCACGTTTTAGAAAGCTTACCCTGGTCTCCTGAGCTTCAGCCTCAGTGGAGACACAGGTCCCTGGAAGGGCAGAGCAGTCGGAAGACAATGCCCAGCACCCGGTGGAAAAAAAGTCTATGGGCTGGGCACGGTGGCTCACGCCTGTAATCTCAGCACTTTGGGAGGCTGAGGTGAGTGGATCATGAGGTCAGGAGATCAAGACCATCCTGGCCAACATGGTGAAACCCCGTCTCTACTAAAAGTACAAAATTTAGCTGGGCGTGGTGGCGCATGCCTGTAATCCCAGCTACTTGGCAGGTTGAGGCAGGAGAATTGCTTGAACCAGGGAGTCGGAGGTTGCAGTGAGCCTAGATCGCGCCACTGCACTCCAGCCTGGTGACAGAGGGAGACTGCGTCTCAAAAAAAAAGAAAGGACTGCTGGGGGTGAATGATAGTAGTCAGGGGTGTCATGGCCTCACCCTAAGCAAATTATTGAAGGACCTTTGATAACTAAAGAGACCTTGCATTGTGGTGCAACATTATGCTCCATTAGGCAGAGGAAACTGGAGTCCCTGGCATGCCCAGTCCTGGAGTCAACGATGGGTTGTTGCTCAGTACAACAAGCAGATGCCTCCAAATTCAGGGCTCTTGCTGTTCCAGGCCTGGGCCCTGGACAGTGAGGAGAGGCAGTAATGGGGTGGCCAGTGTCATTTGCCAAACGGGTCCTCACCCATCTCAAAAAAAATCCCAAAAGGAATTTTCTGAGGGCATAACGCCCACTCTCAGTAGAATTGCCATGCTGGATAAAGTGTGGCATCGTGTGGGGGCTTAGCCCAGCCTCCTCTCTGCGGCCAGAGCAGTCTCTAATGCTCCATCTGACCAGGTCACTCTCCTGCTTGAACTCCTTCAGCTATTCCTTACTGCCCTTAGCATGCCCTTCTTAGCATGTTAGGATTTTGATCCAGGTGATTTCTCCATTCTGACCACATCTCCCACTCTACAGCCCAGCTTATTGAACCACTTTTTTTTTTTTTTTATGATGGAGTCTTGCTCTGTCGCCCAGGCTGGAGTGCAGTGGCATGATCTCCGCTCACTGCAAGCTCCGCCTCCCAGGTTCACGCCATTCTCCTGCCTCAGCCTCTTGAGTAGCTGGGACTACAGGCACGCACCACCACGCCTGGCTAATTTTTTTGTATTTTTAGTAGAGACGGGGTTTCACTGTGTTAGCGAGGATGGTCTCGATCTCCTGACCTCGTGATCTGCCCGCCTCGGCCTCCCAAAGTGCTGGGATTACAGGCATGAGCCACTGCACCTGGTCTGAACCACTTGTTTTTCCTTCCAATCCACTATGTTCTGTTGCCTCCATGCTTTTTTTTTTTTTTTTTTTTTTTTGTACAGGGCCTTGCTCTGTCACCCGGGCTGGAATGCAATGGTGCCACCATGGTTCACTACAGCCTCGACTTCCCTCCCACCTCAGTTTCCTGGGTAGCTGGGACCACAGGTGCACGCCACCATGCCCAGCTTCTTTTTTTTTTTCAATTTTTTTTTTTTTTTTTTGGTAGAGACAGGGTTTCACTATGTCATCCAGGTTGGTCTTGAATTCCTGGGCTCAAACGGTCCACCCATCTTGGCCTCCCACAGTGCTGGGATTACAGGTGTGAGCCACCACACCCAGCTGCCTGTGTGCCTTTGCACAAGCTATCTGCTGCTCTGGAATGCTTTCCTTCCACCCCAGCTCCTCCTCAGCTGGCTCACTCCTACTCATCCTTCTGGACTCAGCTTAGATGCTGGAAAGTCTTTCCTGACCCACAGAGTTGGAGCTGGGCTGGAGCTCAATGGGTCCACAGCACTCTTCCCCTCTCTCTCTCTCTTTTTTTTTCTCCCGAATCCCTGATATGATAGTACCCCTCTCTTTTACCTACTCAACTACTTACATGCAACCCGTCTTCAGGCATCAGCTCAAACAGCTTCTCCTGAGTCATCTTAGACTACACTAGGCCCCCCTCTTACACTCTATTTCCTTCCTTCCTTCCTTCCTTCCTTTCCTTCCTTTCTTTTTTTTTTTTTTTTGACAGAGTCTTGCTCTGTCACCCAGGCTGGAGTGCAGTGGTGCAATCTCAGCTCAGTGCAACCTCTGCCTCCCAGGTTCAAGCGAGTTTCCTGCCTCAGCCTCCCGAGTAGCTGGGATTACAGCTGCCTGCCACCATGCCCAGATAATTTTTTTTTTTTTTGTATTTTTAGTAGAGATGGGGTTTCATCATGTTGGCCAGGCTGGTCTTGAACTCCTGACCTCAAGTGATCCACCTGCCTTGGTCTCCCAAAGTGCTGGGATTACAGGCGTGAGCCATCATGCCTGGCCTGTTATTTTTCTTTCATAACTCATATGACAATAGGTAATGATAGGTCTGTAAGAGCATTTCATTAATGTCTGTCTCCCACACTACTCTGTAAACACTGTAGGTGGATGTGTCTTGTCTGCTTAGGTCACCATTGGGTCCCAAGAGTTTGGCACATAAATATTTACTAAACGAATAAATGAATGAATTCCTCTGGGTTCCCATAACATATGGATATTTCCCCTAGCACCATACTTAGCTCATTACAAGGGCCCATGTTCTTCTTTGTCTCCCCAGCTGACCTATAAGCTCCTTGAGTGGCGGGATGATATTTTGCCAGTGTGACTTGCCAGTGCTTGTCCCATTGCTTAGCAATTAGGCACTCAAAGAATATTTTTGCATAGATGAATAAATGAATAAATGATGATAGGCCAGGCGCGGTGGCTCATGCCTATAATCCCAGTGCCTTGGGAGATGGAGGTGGGTCGATCCCTTAAGCCCAGGAGTTTCAGAACAGCCTGGGCAACATGGTAAAACCTGTCTCTATAAAAACACAAAAATTTACCTTAGGGTGTGGTGGCATGCACCTGTAGTCCCAGCTCCTTGGGAGGCTGAGTTGGTAGGACCTCTTGAGCTCTTGAGCCCAGGTGCTAGAGGTTGCAGTGAGCCATGATTGCGCCACTGCACTGCAGCCTGGGTGACAAAGTGAGACCCTGTTTTTGAAGAAAAAAAAAAAAAGATGACAGGCATTCACTCATGTTCTCTTATACTTTATACTTTATTCTTTTTTTTTTTTTTTTTTTTTTTGAGACGGAGTCTCGCTCTGTCGCCCAGGCTGGAGTGCAGTGGCGCGATCTCGGCTCACTGCAAGCTCCGCCTCCCAGGTTCACGCCATTCTCCTGCCTCAGCCTCCCGAGTAGCTGGGACTACAGGCGCCCGCTACCACGCCCGGCTAATTTTTTTTTTGTATTTTTAGTAGAGACGGGGTTTCACCGTGTTAGCCAGGATGGTCTCGATCTCCTGACCTCGTGATCCGCCCGCCTCGGCCTCCCAAAGTGCTGGGATTACAGGCGTGAGCCACCGCGCCCGGCCTATACTTTATTCTTTATACAGCAAAGTGGTCTTAAAAAACACAGGCCAAGTTCGTGCGGTGGCTCACGCCTGTAATCCCAGCACTTTGGGAGGCCAAGAGGGGCGGATCACTTGAGTCCAGGAGTTCAAGACCAGCCTGGGCAACATGGTGAAACCCTGTCTCTACAAAAAAATACAAAAATTAGCTGGGCATGGTGGTGCATGTCTGTAGTCCCAGCTACACAGGAGGCTGAGGTAGGAGGATTGCTTTAGCCCAGGAGGTTGAGGCTGCAGTAAGCCGTGATTGTGCCACTCCACTCCACCCTGGGTGACAGAGCAGAGTGTACATTTCATGAAGGCTGTTCACCACTGTATCTCCTGGCTCAGTACAATGCACAGCACATAGTAGGTGCTCCAAAATATTTGTTGACTGGGTCAACAAATGAATGAATGAATATGATAATAGCTTTTTGTGATAGAGGGCAGGTGCTGCCAGACTTGCAGGCAGACAGAAGAGTGATTTATTGTGCTTAAAGAAAAAGAGAAACTGGACTGCTAAGAACTGATGGAGGGAGCCAGGAAGGAATCTAGGTTTGCCAGACTCCACTGTGAGCTCATGGAATCTGGGAATCCCAGGGCCAGCTCATGCCACCTGACTCCAGTCAACCCATAATGAAATTCAGTATGCAAAAACCAAAACCAAAGGCTGGGCTGGCTTCTACTTTAAGTCCACCTGTATTCAGAGTGTCCATACAGGGATCTACGGGGGCATGTAAAGATTCCTGGCAGATGTACCTCTTTGCTCTGTTCCAGAAGGTTTTCTTTTTCTCCAAGTGTCTTGGAATTCACAAGAGATTGTTGTTAGGCAACAGAAACAATGAAAGAAGACAGGTGACTCATTCACCAATACATCTGAAATCTAAAATGTATTAATTTAATTTGGTTTATATTACCATGAGACAATTCTTATTTTGATAGCACATTTCCTACCCCTATAAAAATCTAAAAATGCCACACAAAAAAAGAATTTTTACAATGGTGAATACAAAGAGCCAGGTTTCCAAAATAAAGCCCACTGATACTTTAAAGAGAAGAAGAAAAACACATACCTCCTCCTCCAACCCTCTCTCCTTTAAAACTATTTCTTTTCAGATATAATTTTGCTTGGTTGTCACAGTCTTTAACGTTTCCCCCCTAGGTTCTTTTTCTCCTTTGTTATCAACAAAAATATGAGCATGAAAGGGGCGGGAAGTGTTTGTTTTTATGTACACATCTTTGATCATATCAGAAAGGGAAGAATCATGAACACCCACTGCTGACTGATTTTAAGAACTAAATCTTGATTCTAGTTTCTACAGGGAAGATGAATAACATGAATAAAGAGAAGCTTACACATCTTTCATAAGTGTCAAGGGCCTAAGTTTGGTTCTTTTTATTTAAAATTTAACTCACTGGGTAAAGCCAATGGCATCCTCTGTTAGAAGAGGCCTGAAAGGGATGCAAGTGAAGCCCTCGTCCTGGGACCCCCTAACTCCCCAAACAGCCCCACCTGTCAGACCGCTTGAAGCTGTGCAAAAAGACAAGACGTATATAGCATAAAAACGAGGCATTTAAATCACCTCCATTATGGTATCGTCTTGACAGGAAAACTATTTTGAATGTGGCTTTTCAAGAAAGATTTTTAAAAACCCATTGACATTTCAGAGGCTAAGTGGGAGTGGTTAAGAGCATGGTTCTGGGCTGGGCGCAGTGACTCACACCTGTAATCCCAGCTCTTTGAAAGGCTGAGGTGGGTGGATCACAAGGTCAGAAGTTCAAGACCAGCCTGGCCAATGTGGTGAAACCCTGTCTATACTAAAATACAAAAATTAGCTGGGTGTGGTGGCAGGTGCCTGTAATCCCAGCTACTCGGGAGGCTGAGGCAGGAGAATGGCGTGAACCCGGGAGGCAGAGGTTGCAGTGAGCTGAGATCGCGCTCCAGCCTGGGTGACAGAGCAAGACTTCATCTCGAAAAAACAACAACAACTAAAAAAGAGGGTGGTTCTGGATTCTGGCAGATCTGGGCCCCAGCACTGCCACATAATCTCAGCATGACCTAAGTCTCTGTTTTCTTATTTATAGAATGAGGAATACAACATTAACTACTGTAGGATTGTTGAGAGGCCTGGATGAAATATGAAGCACTTTGCCTGGAGCAGTGGCTCTTGCCTGTAATCCCAGCACTTTGGGAGGCCGAGGTGGGCGGATCACGAGGTCAGGAGATCGAGACCATCCTGGCCAACATGGTGAAACCCTATCCCTACTAAAATACAAAAAAAAAATTAGCCAAGTGTGGTGGCGTGAGCCTGTAGTCCCAGCTACTCAGGAGGCCGAGGCAGGGGAATTGCTTGAACCTGGGAGGCGGAGGTTGCAGTGAGCCGAGATCGCGCCACTGCACTCCAGCCTGGTGACAGAGCAAGACTCTGTCTCAAAAAAAATAAAATAAAAAATAAAGAAATATGAAGCATTTAGCACAGAGCCTGGCATACATCAAAGACTTAGTAAATATGAACTATTATTATTTTTACTCATCGAGTGTGTTAATTATTGTATGAGCAAATGAATTAATAAGTTTTAGGTATACATGACTTTGTTTTCTGCTCAGGCTTATATTAGGTATCAGTGATTCTCAACTCCGGCTGCACATTAGAATCACCCAGGGAGATTTTTTAAAATGCTAAGTTCCTACTGAAGAACAATTGAATCTGAGTCCTGGGGGTGGTGCCTGAGTATCATATTTTTTAAAAGCTCTCCAGGTGATTCTTGTGTGCTGCCAGAGTTGAGAATTACTGGGCTCTACAGAAATGAGGAAATCCTCTGATGTTAACTAAACCAACAGACAAAACTAGGGTGGGCAGGCCTCCCCTGCTTTTCTCCCACTCATCTGAAAATAAACTGAAAGGCAACCAGGGCCATCAGGCATTGGCTAACCCTGATGTGGCCCACACTTTGGTTTTACCTTTTGTTTTTACTGACTCTTGTCTAAATCTAACTCCTTTTGCTGGCTTTCCTCAGGCTAAACCAAGAGTCCCTTTAACTTTTTCTATGGAACTTAATTGGCGGAGGGGGTGCTCACCACTTCGTGGCCACGAGTAAAGATTTTCCAATCTTCATTACAAAGCTGCCAAGTCAGCTCTTGTCTTCATCATTCCGACATCTTTACTCATTTTAGTTCTACCTTTCTTTTTTTGTTTTGTTTTTTTTTGTTTTTTGTGATGGGGTCCCCTCTATTGCCCAGGCTGGGGGAGTGCAGTGGCGCCATCCTGGCTCACTACAACCTCCGCCTCCCAGGTTCAAGTGATTTCTGCCTCAGCCTCCTGAGTAGCTAGGACTACAGACGTGCGCCACCACTCCCAGCTAATTTTTGTTTGTTTGTTTGTTTAGTAGAGACAGGCTTTCACCATGTTAGCCAGGGTGGTCTGGAACTCCCGCCCTCAAGTGGTCTGCCTGCTTCCACCTCCCAAAGTGCTGGGATTACAGGCATGAACCATCTTACCCGGCCAGCCGGCCTGCCTGCCTGCCTGCCTTCCTTCCTTCCTTCCTTCCTTCTTCCCTCCCTTCCTCTTCCTCTCTCTCTCTCTCTCTCTCTCTCTCTCTCTCTCTCTCTCTCTCTCTCTCTTTCTTTCTTTCTTTCTTTCTGACAGAGTCTTGGTCTGTTACCCAGGCTGGAGTGCAGTGACGGGGTTTCACCTTGTTAGCCAGGATGGTCTCAGTCTCCTGACCTCGTGATCCACCCGCCTCAGCCTCCCAAACTGCTGGGATTACAGACTTGTGGAGGCCAGGCACTGTGGCTCACGCCTGTAGTCCCAGAACTTTGGGAGGTGGAGGAGGGCAGATCACTTGAGGTTGGGAATTTGAGACCAGCCATGGTGACACCATGTCTCTACTAAAAATACAAAAATTAGCTGGGTGTGGTGGCGCGCACCTGTAATCCCAGCAACTCAGGAGCCTGAGGCATGAGCATCGCTTGAACCCTGGAGGTGGAGGTTGCAGTGAGCTGAGATAGCATTACTGCACTCCAGCCTGGGCAACAAACAGAGTGAGACTTTGTCTCAAAAAAAAAAAAAAAGTTGTGGAGTACCTTTCTTAGGGGTTTGGAGTGCCTCAAATGAGACAATATCCAGGAAAGTGCTTTTTAAACTGTGAAGCTATTTACCAGCATGATAATGAAACAATTATGACAGGTAGGTAAATAATAACAAAGTCCTCATGATGTAGAGAATCTCTAAAATGATCTTTGATAGGGTTTTTGTTTTGTTTTTTCCTTAATATTCTTGGCACAGCCTTAAATTTGGTGGGTATGGGCATTATGTTCGGCAACCTAAAGTAAGTTGAAATCTAAAGTTTCAACCCAAATGCCATCAATTGAAATCAGTGACCAAGTCCTTGGCTTTAATGACACTTGATTTTTCTCCTACGTCTATAGCCCATATTCTTTCAGCAAATATTTTTAAAGTGCATTTTATGTTTCAGGCCCTGTGTTAAATTATGGGAGCAAAGAAATCAAAAAATGAGACAAGTTCTTGTCCTTATGGAGCTCCTCCTAATGGAGGAGGCAGAAAATAAACCAGCAGGCAAACAAGACAATTCTAGAGCAGAACAAGTGCTATAAAGAACAAAAATGCAGTGATGTGGTAGAGAGAGACTGGGGTGTTTGAGGTGTGGTCAGGAAAGGCCTCTCTGACCAGATGATATAGAAACTGGCCCTCAGTCGGGCGCGGTGGCTCATGCCTGTAATCCCGCACTTTGGGAGGCTGAGGTGGGCAGATAACGAGGTCAGGAGATCGAGACCATCCTGGCTAACACGGTGAAACCCCATCTCTACTAAAAATAAAAAAAATTAGCCGGGCATGGTGGCAGGTGCCTATAGTCCCAGCTGCTCGGAAGGCTGAGGCAGGAGAATGGCATGAACCCAGGAGGTGGAGCTTGCAGTGAGCTGAGATCACGCCACTGCACTCCAGCCTGGGTGACAGAATGAGACTCCGTCTCAAAAAAAAAAAAAAAAAAAAAAAGGAAAGAAACTGGCCCTCAGGAATGAGAAGGAGCCAGGCTGGTGAAGAGTTAAGGCAAAGAGATTTCCAAGTAGAGAGTACAACAAATGGAAAGATCCTGATGTGGGAAAGGAATTGATGCATTTTAGGCAAAAAGGAGGGCTCTGGTGTTGCAGAGGGCAACACAGTCTCCTGTTTTGGTTTCTCTTTCTCTTAAATGTTGGGTCTGGACCTTCATGCTTTCCTAGCACACATTCTCTAAGTGCAGGTGACTTACACATCTTTCTCTCCACACTGGGTCTTTCCTGAGCTCACGTCTGGATATTTCCCTGTCTATAGAACATTTCCTCATATATGTTTGGTAGGCACTGAAACTAAGCATGACCAAAAATAACTGTCTGCATGACTCTCCACCCACTTCCCCACAAGCTTTACCTCCAGGGCTCTTTCTCTATCTCTCTGGGTAAATGGCACCACTATTTCCTCACTGATCAAATCAGAAACCTGAAGATGATTCTTGACTTCTCCTTTCCCAGAACCTCCATATCCAATCCATCGGCAAGGCCTAGGCTCCTCTGTTCTTCTGCGTAGCTCCCAAATCTATCCACTTCTTTCCATCCCCACGACACTTACATACTATATACTACACTATGTACTCTAAACCATCTAATCTGTTTTAAAGACCCCTCTGCTCTACTCTACTCCCCTCCCCTCCCTTTGTTTAACTACTGGAACATTTGCTGTGTATCCTCACAGACTTAACTACTCATTAATTCAACTGAGTTCCTGTTAACTGCCAGGCACTGCTTTAGGTGCTAGAGTTATAACAGTGAGCAGAGGCCGGGCATAGTGGCCTATGTCTGTAATCCCAGCACTTTGGGAGGCCGAGGTGGGAAGATTCTTCAGGTCAGCAGTTTGAGACCAGGCTGGCCAACATAGTGAAACCCTGTCTCTACGAAAAATACAAAAATTAGCCGGGTGTGGTGTTGCATGCCTGTAATCCCAGTTACTTGGGAGGTTGAGGCAAGAGAATTGCTTGAACCCGGGCGGCGGTGGTTGCAGTGAGCTGAGATCGCACCACTGCATTCCAGCCTGGGTGACAGAGTAAGACTCCATATCAAAAAACAAAACAAAACCAGTGAGCAGAAGAGAAAATATCTGCTTTAATGAATCTTACATTTTATTGAGGGAAGACAGACAATAAATAAATAACCATACAATGTGTTAGGTCAGCAGTCTCCAACCTTTTTGGCACCAGGGACTGGTTTTGTGGGAGCAGGGGGAATGGTTTTGGGATGAAACTGTTCCACCTCAGATCATCAGGCATTACAGGCATTAGATTCTCATAAGGAGCCCACAGCCTAGTTCACAATAGCATTCATGCTCCTACGAACATCTAATGCCGCCGTGATCTGGCAGGAGGTGGAGCTCAGACCTTAATGCTTCCTCACTTGCTGCTCACCTCCTGCTGGGCAGCCTGGTTCCTGGCAGGCCACAGACCTGTACCAGTCTGTTGCCTGGGGTTTGGGGACCCGTGTTAGGTGGTTGTAAGTGCTCTGAAGTACATTAGGGTAAGGGAATGAAATGGGGAGGAGGAAAGGGAAATGGGTGCTGGTTTTATTTTATTTCTTTAAATTTTGAGACAGGCTCTCACTCTGTTGCCCAGGCTGGAGTGCAGTAGTGCAATCATAGCTCACTGCAGCCGTGACCTTCTGTGCTCAAGTGATCCTCCTGCCTCAGCCTCCTGTGTAGCTGGGACTACAAGTGTATGCCATCACACTTAGCTAATTCTTAAATTTTTCATAGAGACAATTTCTTGCTATGTTGCTCAGGCTGGTCTCAAACTCTTGAGCTCAAGTGATTCTCCCACTTTGGCCTCCCATAGTGCTGGGATTATAAGCATGAGCCTCTGTGACTGGCTGCTGGTGCTATTTTACAGAGTGGTCAGGGAAAGCCTGTTGGACAACGTGACATTTGGGCAGAGATCTGGGTGATGGAGTGACTAAGGGCTATCAGAGGGATGACCATTCCAAGCAGAGAGAACTGGAAAGGTAAAGGCCCTGAGGTCTGAGGGTGCTTGATGCCTTACAGGAATGTCTAGACCACAACGTGGGCTTGAATGGAAAGATAGAGAGAAAAAGCCAAAGACGGGTCTGAGATGACTGGGTGAGATCAAATAAATTTTATTCAGAGTGAGATGGGAAGCACTGGAGGGTGATTTTTTTTTTCCTTTACTTTCCAACTTTTATTTTTGGTTCAGAGGGTACATGTGCATGGATAAATTAATTGTATGTCATGGGGGTTTGGTGTAAAGATTATTTTGTCACCCAGGTAATAAGCGTAGTAAGCCATAGGTAGTTTTTCGATCCTCACGCTCCTCCCACCCTCCGCTCTCAAGTAGGCCCAGGTGTCTTCGGTTTTCTCCTTTGTATCCACGCGTACTCAGTGTTTCTGGAGGGGTTCTGAATAGAGTGGTGTGTTTTCAATGGCTCTGCCACTATGAGAAAAGAGCATTAAGATAATATGTATATGCTGTTCAAACGTAAATGCAATATTATGTGCATTGCTTCACTATCTTCTTTCTTCCAAAGTGAATTTTTTTAAAAAACAAAATATGATCCTGTCATCCTTTGTTTAGAATCCTTTGTGGTTCTCCATTCCCCTAAGGGTCAAGTCTAAACTCTCACCAAGCCCTCCCGAGTCTGGCCTCTACCTACCTCAGCAGCTCCCAAATCACAGAAAGTTTTTCCTAGATGGGACTCGGGGCCTTCAACCTTCCTTGTTCCCTTGGTCTAAAATGAAGTTATTTCCTTCCCTCCCCATCTACCTTGTCAACATCGTGCCAAGCACTATTCTAGGCACCAGGGATACAGCACTGAACAAAATAGACAAAAACTCTAGCCCTTGTGTGGCTGAAATTCTAACAGGAATAAGACAGAAGAAAAGCAATAAATTATATACCATATATGACTATTTTAAATTTTAAATATGTATTAAATATATATTTTTAAAATATGATTTTATATATCAGGAGGGTGATATAAGCTAAGGAAAACACTGAACAAGGAAGAGGGGGGTGAGATGTTGAGAAACGGGTTGCAATTCTGAATAAGGTGGCCAAGCGGAAGCCTCACTGAGAAGGTGCCTGGCAGAGGTGAGGGAGCAAGTCAGGCAGCTATTTGGAGGAGAGCATTCCAGGCAGGAAGCAAACGCCCTAAGGCAAGAGCCTACTTGATAGCAAAGAGGACACTGTGTCAGAGAAGAGTATCGGGGCAAGTGAGGCCCTTATAAGGCCCTCACTTCTCTGTACTTTGAGTGAGATGGGAGCCACTGGAGGGTCTGGGTGGAGCAGGAGTGACATGCTTGGACTTTTTTTTTTTTTTTAGACGGAGTCTCGCTCTGTCGCCCAGGCTGGAGTGCAGTGGTGCGATCTGGGCTCACTGCAAGATCTGCCTCCCTGGTTCACGCCATTTTCCTGCCTCAGCCTCCCAAGTAGCTGGGACTACAGGTGCCCGCCACCACGCCTGGCTAATTTTTTGTATTTTAGTAGAGACGGGGTTTCACCGTGTTAGCCAGGATGGTCTCCATCTCCTGACCTCGTGATCCGCCCGCCTCAGCCTTCCAAAGTGCTAGGATTACAGGCATGAGCCACTGTGCCTGGCCACTTGGACTTACTTTCTAACAAGATCACTCAGGCTGCTGAACTTAAACTAGACTGAGGGAGGCAAGTGCAGAAGTAGGGAGACCAGTTGGGCTCCCCTGGCAAAATTGAGGCTAAGAGATGATGGTGGCTTGATTCAGGATGGTAACAATGGTGATAGTAAAAAGTTAGTGGCTTCTGGGCCTGGTGCGTTGGCTCATGCCTGTAATCCCCGCACTTTGGGAGGCCGAGGTGGGTGGATTGCTTGAGGTTAGGAGTTCGAGACCAGCCTGGCCAACACAGCGAAACCCCGTCTCTACTGAAAAAAATACAAAAATTGCTGGGTGTGGTGGCGGGCACCTGTAATCCCAGCTAATCGGGAGGTTGAGGCAGGAGAACTGCTTGAACCTGGGAGGTGGAGGTTGCAGTGAGCCGAGATTGCGCCACTGCACTCCAGCCTGGGTGACAGAGTGAGACTCCGTCTCAAAAAAAAAAAAAAAAAAGTTAGTGGGTTCTGACTCTATTTCGAAGGCAGAAGTACAGGGTCTAAGGAATCAGATTTGAAATGCATGCAAGAAATAAAATAGCCAAGGATAACGCCAAGGTTTTTGGCCTCAGCCATGGCCAAAATGAGAGGATGGAGTTGCCATCTAAGGAAATTAAGAAAACTATGGGATAAGTAGGTTTGGACAGTGGTATTAGGAAATCAGTTTTGGACATACAGACATATAAAGTTTGAGATGGGCTGGGCATGGTGGCTCATGCCATTTAATTTCTGTAATCCTTTGGGAGGCCAAGGCAGGAGGATCACTTGAGCTCGGAGTTTGAGACCTGCCTGGGGAAGATAGCAAGACCTCATCTCTACTAAAAAAAAAAAAAAAAAAAAAAAAAGCTGTGCGTGGCAGCACATACCTGTAGTCCCAGCTACTTGGGAGGCTGAGGATCATTTGAGTCTGGGAGATCAAGGCTTCATTGAGCTATGATCAAACCACTGTATTCCAACCTAGGTGATGGAGTGAGACCCTGGCTCAAAAATAAGATAAAGTTTGAGATGCCTAGATGCCTATTGGCTATCTAAGTGGAAACATCAAGTAGGGAGCTGGATAAGTGAGCTGCAAATTCAGGGGAAAGGTTCAGGTTAGGGATATATACCTGGAGTTGTCAGCATATTTCAAGTCAAAAGACTGGCATCAATGGGTTAATGACAGCTATTAGTAGAAAAAGAAGTCCAAGGACAGAGCCCTGGGACACTTTAACAGAAATTTATAACTTCAGGCTGGAGTGCACTGCAAACTCCGCCTCTCGGGTTCAAGTGATTCTCCTACCTCAGCCTCTGGAGTAGCTGGGATTATAGGCATGTGCCACCACACCCAGCTAATTTTTTTTTTTTTTTTTTTTTGAGACAGAGTTTTGCTCTTGTCGCCCAGGCTGGGGTGCAATGGTGTGATCTTGGCTCACTGAAACCTCTGCCTACCAGGTTCAAGCGATTTTCCTGCCTCAGCCTCCCAAGTAGCTGGGACTACAGGCATGTACCACTATGCCCAGCTAACTTTGTATTTTTAAGGAGATGGGGTTTCACCATGTCTGGTCTCGAACTCCTGACCTCAGGTAATCTGCACACCTCTGCCTCCCAAAGTGCTGGGATTACAGGCATGAGCCACCACGCCTGGCCATAATTTTTGTATTTTTAGTAGAGATGGGGTTTCACCATGTTGTTCAGGCTGGTCTCGAACTCCCAACCTTGGGTGATCCACCCGCCTCGGCCTCCCAAAGTGCTGGGATTACAGGTGTGAGCCACCGCACCCAGCCAAAGTTTTTAACTTTTTTTGATCTCAAGACTCCTTTACACTATAAAAAATTTGAAGATCTCAAAGAACTCTTGCTTATGAAAGTTTTATCTATCAATATTTACTATAGGCCTGGCAGGGTGGCTCACACCTGTAATCTCAACACTTTGGGAGGCTGAGGCAGCAGGATCACTGAGGCTTGGAGTTCAAAACCAGCTTGGTCAACAGAGTGAGACCCCTGTTTCTACAAAAGAAAAATTTAAAAATTAACCACACGTGGTGGTGTGCATCTGTAGTCCCAGCTACTGGGGAGGCTGAGGTGGAAGGATTGCTTGCACCTGGGAGATCAAGGCTACACTGAGCTATGATAGCACCACTGCACTCCAGCCTGGGCAACAGAGCAAGACCCTGTATTAGAAATTAAAATAAACAATTTCAAAATATTTATTAATTCATTAAAAAATAACAATAGCAAGTCCATTACATCTTATCAATAAATAACATTTTTGAAAAGAAAAATAACCATGTTTTCTAAAACAAAAGAAAAATTCAGGGAGAACTGTTGTTGTTTTGCATTTTTACAAATCTCTATCTGACTTAATAAAAGATAGCTGGATTCTCATATGTGCTTTCACATTGCATGTGATGCCACATCATACATCATTTAGCCTGTGGAATACTCTACTGTACACCCGGGAGAAAATGAGCATAAAAAAGCAAATGATATTTTAGAATTATTGTGAAAATAGTTTTTACCACATTACTCCCTGAAAAGTTATCAGTGATGTCCAGACTATACTTTGAGAATCCCTGCTCTAACATTTAGAGGTTAGGAGGAATTAGAAGTCATCATCAATGGAGACTAAGAAGCTTAGCCAGGAAGGCTGGATGGAAATCAGGAAAGCCTGGTGCCCTGGAGGCCCAATGAAGAAAGTGTTTCAAGGAGGAGAGTGACCAAATGCTGCTGATTGTACAAGTCAACTGAGGAAGGACGGACCATTGGATTTTGCAACGTGGAGGCCATCAGGGACCTTCATAAAAGCAGTTTTGGTGGAAAGGCGAATGCTAAAGCCAGACTGGAGATGAGTCACCACATAAAGGTCACTTCTCAGGTCTCCGAATCCCAGGGTAGTTAATTTACCCACAAACCTACATGTATCTCTCCCCTATCTTCACACTTGCCTTTCTTTTTTCCTGGTTTACGTGTGTGCCTGTGTGTGTGTGTGTGTGTGTGTGTGTGTGTGTATTGACACAGGGTCTCAATCTGTTGCTCAGGCTGGAGTGCAGTGGTGCAATCTCGCCTCACATCAAACTCCACCTCCCTGGCTCAAGTGATCCTCCCACCTCAGCCCTCTCCACATAGCTGGGACTACAGGTGCATGCCACCACACCCAGCTAATTTTTGTATCCTTTGTAAAGACAGGGTTTTGCCATGTTGTGCAGGCTGGTCTCCAACTCCTGAACGCAAACGATCCTCCGCCTCAGCCTCCCAGAATGCTGGAATTACCGGCATGAGCCACCGTGCCCAGTCAGTTTACCTGTTTTAGTATCTGTCTTCATCATTACCTTTAAGTGGTGTGAAAACAGGGATCAAGTCAGTCTCAGTTTTTATTCACTTCCTCAGCACACAGCAAGTGCCTGGGATATAGAGAATGCTCCAGCCTTCCCTGGTAAGCTTTTCACGATTTCTCAGGAGTAGGAAACTGACTCTCTTTAGGCACACTGCAAATCTCTCATATCTTCCTGTCACCTTACCCTTCTTTTCCCAAAACAAACCCTGTAATTTCATCTTCAGGGTCCCATGCTTAGAGAGATCCCATGCTGGCTGGGCGCAGTGGCTCACACCTGTAATCCCAGCACTTTGGGAGGCTGAGGCAGGCAGATCACAAGGTCAAGAGATTGAGACCATCCTGGCCAACATGCTGAAACCCCATCTCTACTAAAAATACAAAAATTAGTTGGGCGTGGTGGCAGGCGCCTGTAGTCCCAGCTACTTGGGAGGCTGAGGCAGGAGAATCGCTTGAACCCAGGAGGCGGAGGTTGTAGTGAACCGAGATCACACCACTGCACTCCAGCCTGGTGACAGAGCAAGACTCCGTCTCAAAAATAAATAAATAAATAAATAAAAATAAAAAAATAATAATAATAAAGAAAGAGCCCATGCTTGGTTTAATACTCTGCTGTTGCTGTCTTAAAATGGTTAATAGTTTTTGAACAAGGGGCCTTAAAATTAAGAATCTTGTCCCGAGTGAAATGATGAATATACAAAGTTATGGAGCATAATCCTTTAACTCTGTCTCTTGTTACTTTATCCAAATACTTTATTGACTGATTACTATTGTGTTAGGCTGTTCTTGCACTGCTAAAAAGAAATACCTGAGACTGTGTAATTTATAAAGAAAAAACAGGCCGGGTGCGGTGGCTTATGCCTGTATCCCAGCACTTTGGGAGGCTGAGGCAGGCGGATCACCTGAGGTCAAGAGTTCGAGACCAGCCTGGCCAACACGGTAAAACTCCGTCTCTACTGAAAATACAAAAATTAGCCGGGCGTGGTGGTGTGCACCTGTAATCCCAGCTACTTGGTAAGCTGAGGCAGGAGAATCGTTTGAATCCAGGAGGTAGAGGTTGCAGTCTGGGTGACAAAAGTGAAACTCCGTCACACACAGACACACACACACAAAAAAAAAAAAAAAAGAAAAGAAAAAAGAAAAAACGTTTAATTGGCTCATGGTTCTGCAGGCTGTATAAGCAAGGCCTGGGCATCTGCTCTACTTTCTGGAGAGGCCTCAGGGAACTTTTACTCATGGTGGAAGGTGAAGCTGGAGCAGGCACATTACATGCTGAAAGCAGGAGCAGGAGGGGGCTGAGGTGCCACATCTTTTTGTTTTTGAGACAGGGTCTCACTCCGTTGCCCAGGCTGGAGTGTAGTGGCACAATCATGGCTCACTGCAGCCTCAATCTCCCCAGGCTCAGGTGATCTTCCCACCTGAGCCCCCCAGGTAGCTGGGACTACAGGCACACACCACCATGCCTGGCTTTTTTTTTTTTTTTGAGACAGACTTTTGCTTTTGTTGCCAAGGTTGGAGTGTAATGGCGTGATCTCGGCTCCACCTCTGCCTCCCAGGTTCAAATGATTCTCCTGCCTCAGCGTCCCGAGTAGCTGGGATTACAGGCACATGCCACCATGCCCTGCTAATTTTGTACTTTTAGTAGAGATGGGGTTTCACCATGTTGCCCCAGGCTGGTCTTGAACTCCTGACCTCAGATGATCTGCCCGCTTTGGCCTCCTGAAGTGCTGGGACTATAGGCGTGAGCCACGGTGCCCAGCCTGCTTGGCTAATTTTTTTGTATTTTTTTGTAGAGATGGGTTTTTACCATGTTGCCCAGGCTGGTCTCGAACTCCTGGGCTCAAGCTATCCGCCCACCTTGGCTTCTCAAAAGTGTTGGGATTACAGGTGTGAGCCACTGTGCCTGGCCGGTGCTACACTTTAAAACGACTACATTTCATGAGAATTCCCTTAGTACCTGGAGGACAGCACCAAGCCATGAGGGATCCTCCTCTATTACCCAAATGCCTCCCACCAGCCCCACCTCCAACACTGGGGATTACATTTCAATGTGAGATTTGGGCAGGGACAAATATCCAAAATATATGAATTATGTTCTGAGTTAGCCAGGTGAAGTAGAGGGACGCCAAAGCCACTCTAGGCAGAGGAGACTACAGGAGCAAAGACCCTGCAGCCAGAAACAGGACAGGGGTAGTTGGACAAGAATGACCTTGTCAGGGTTTGCCTTTTTCTTTTTCTTTTTGAGACAGAGTCTCACTGTGTTGCCCAGGCTGGAGTGCAGTGGTGCAGTCATGGTTCACTGCAGCCTTGAACTCCCAGGCTCAAGCGATCCTCCCACCTCAGCCTCCCAAGTAGCTGGGACTACAGGTAGGTGCCACTACACCCAGCTATGTTTTTGTATTTTTTTGTAGACAAGGGTTCTATCATTTTGCCCAGGCTGGTCTCCTGAGCTCATGTGATCCACCCATCTTGGCCTCCCAAAGTGCTGGGATTACTTGTGTGAGCCACTGTGCCCATCCTCTTTTTCTTAAAGGTTGTTCTCTCCCCACTTCATGGTCCTATTGCCCTTTGTCAGCATCTGTTAACTAGCACAGGCCCACAGTACTTTGAATTACAGTGGGCACATTCACCCACAGATGTTCACTAGGCACTCCCTAGGGGATGGGCAATGTGCTGGGTGCTGCAGGAGATACAGCTCCTGCTTTCCAGAAGTTTATATTCCCTTGGGGGAGAGGGAGATGTGAGGAGTAGAGGGTAAACACGGTAAGGGCAGGTCTCCCTAGCACCCTGCTCTCTATTCAGCACAAGGCCAGCAGTGGACATCGTCGTCTTGCATTATTCAGGTTTATAGGCCAATACTGAAATCTATCTTATTCATCATCCCGTGAGCAGGGGAAACATCATTAGGGTTTTCTATACCAGGATGATAGTGAGCATGTAGTAGTTTTTGTTTTTTTGTGTTGTTTGTTTGCTTTGTAATTTTGTTTTCTTTTGTTTTTGGAGTATTCACTATGAAGATAAGAAAGGGTAAGAATAAAATGCCCCAAATGACCAGAGGAATAGAGATAGAAGTCAGGTCCCTCAAATTTGTTGGAGGAGGGGGACAAGCTGGGAGGGGGGACGTGCTGGGGGCGGGGCGGGAACAAGCCCAAAAAGGGACAGCTGCTGCGGTGCCTCTTTTGTGTTTGTAAATGTCCTCCCCGCAAGGTGGCTCTAGCCTGTAATCCCAGCACTTTGGGAGGCTGAGGAGGATTTCTTGAGCCCATGAGTTTGAGACCAGCCTGGCAACATAGTGAGACTCTGTGTCTGTAGTTCCAGCTACTCCGGAGGCTGAGGTGGGAGGGTCGGTTGTCCAGGGATTTGAGGCTGCAGTGGGCCGTGATCGCGACACTCCACCCCAGCCTGGGCGACAGAGGGAGACCCCGTCTTAAAAAAAAAAAAAAGTCCTTGATCAAGAGGGCTTCGGGTGTTTCCATCTGTGGAGTGAGGGGACGGGTTAGGTGAATTCTAGGGGCGCTTCCACCTCACATTATGAAAGGTCCTGAGAGTCAGATTCTAGTTCCACTGTGTCCCGAAGCTGTGGGGCCTTTCCTTAGCCTCCGCTTCTCCTTCTGTAAAGCCAGGTAGTTGGCCTAGATCACTTTTCCAGAAGACTGTGACTCCGGGACACCTGTGACACTCTTGAGGGGAGCGTGCCCAGTACCCCTGGTCGCGTCTCTGGGATTCCGCCGGGGTGGGGGCCCGCGCGAGGCCGCCCCTGAGCCTCACCTGTGCGCGGAGCGGTGACTCACCTGCCCTCGCGCAGCCCTCTCCGCCCGCGGGCTGTTCCAGGAGTCACCGCTCCTCCTCCCTCTCAGGGGTCACTCCCGGCCTAAGCTCCCACTAGGGGCCGGGGAGGAAGGAATTCTGAGGTGGGCGGCGGGGAGGAAGAGGTCCCTCGGGGGTCCCGGTCCGGCGTTGCCAGACTCTCTTCGCGGTGGGGGCCTTCCCTTTCCCCAAAAGCGGAGGCCGGAACGGCCGGGAGGAGCGGGCGGGGCGGCGGCGGGAGGCGCCGGGAAGAGCGAGTCGGAGGGAGGTGCCAGGAAGGGCGGGCGGGGCCGGGACAGGGGCGGGGGCCGCGGGCGGGGGGCGGGCCGGGGGCGGGGGCGTGGGGCGGCCCATTTCCTCCTCCTAGCCGGACTGGAGGGAGACAAAGCAGCGCCCGTCTGCTTCGGGCCTCTGGAATTTAGCGCTCGCCCAGCTAGCCGCAGGTAACTTCGTACCTCCCTCCTCGCGGGCGCGGTCTCTCGGGCCAGGCCGAGAGGGTCCTTGGGCCGGGCCGTCCCAAGCTGGGCCCCGCGAGCCGCGGGCGGGCGAGCGGGCGGGGCGCGGTTTCTTTGGCGACGTCGCCGGGAATTGGGCCCCGGGCGGGCGTGGGACCCGCGTCGGGCCGGCGGTCCCTTCCCCCGCAGGGCCCGAGTATGGGGCCCGGGCGGGCACGGCCGGCGCTTCCCAGCGCTCGGGAAGTCGGGGGGCCGCCTGGGCTGGGGAGGAGAAACTATAGGCCCAGCGCCGCCGCCGCGTTTCCTCTTGGAAAAGTTTTCTCGCGGTTTCCAAACTTTGTTACCGCGGCCTCGGCGCGCGCGGCAGCCCCGCGCCGGGCCCCTCGGCCGCCTTCCTTCCCTGGGGCGGCTTGTCTGGGAGCCGCTTTCCCGGGAAGTGATTGTCGTCCGGCTCCGAGGCGTTCCTGCCCCCTCCCCCTTCCCGGCCGCTGAGACTTCCCGATGGGGCGGCGGGGACGCGGGCTCGGCGAACCGGGAGGCTGGAGCCCGGGCTTCTCCCATACAGCTTCGCCGTAGGTGGGCCACACCCGTGTGGACTTTTGGCGTGACCGTCCACTTGGACTCGGGGATTACTCAGCTTTCCTGGGTTTCTTGTCGGTTGGACGCACTTAGCTTTCAGCCCTAGTTTTCAGGAGTGGCATTAGAGAGGTTTTTTTTTTTTTTTAATTGTTGTTGACTTTTAAAGGAGCGTGTGTGTGCGTGCGAGTGTGAAGCACTTGTTGGAAAAAATGTTGCCTGAATGAATGCCTGACCTTTGCTTGGCAGCAGTGGCTTCCCAGTAATGCAGGCGGCGGTTGGCCCAGTTCCAAGGTTGACTCCCTCTTACGTCCTCTTGCATCTTGGTGACATTTTTTTGGTGCGTGTGTTTTGTACAGAATTTACAATTATTTGGAAAAGAGCGAGATATGTCAAGTCTACGACTAAATTCGGGGCATTTTATATTTATGATGAAGGAAATGCTTACATCATTGTTGGGACAGGATAGGCATTTTGTGGAGCGAATATTTGTGTTTAGTCAGCAGTGATTTTTAAATACTGGACAGGTGGGTGTTACTTTAAGGAACGGAATTTATAAATCGAATTAATTAGGATGTGTTATTTTGTTTTACAGGAAGAATGAAGAATGAGTGTAGGAGTTACCTATAGTTTCTGCCTAATTATTTACCAATCTGGACTTTTGAACAAACATTTTTTTTAAAGACGGGGTCTCCGTCGCCCGGGCTGGAGCGCAGTGACACGATCATGACTCACTGCGGCTTCTGTCTCCTGGGCTCAAGTGATCCCCCCACCTCGGCTTCCGAAGTAGTTGGGACTACAGGCACGCGCCACCACATCCGTCTAATTTTTGTATTTTTGGTAGAGATGGTGTCTCGCTGTCTTGCCCAAGCTGGTCTCGAACTCCTGGGCTCAAGTGGTCCTCCTGCCTCAGCCTCCCAAAGTGTTGTGATTACAGGCCTGAGCCAGGGTGCCTGACCCCATCTGGATATTTATTCAGCGAAAGAATAATTTTTTAATCCACCTAAGAGCTCACAGTGTAATAGGGGAGACACACACCCCAGGTGTAGTACAGAGCGGACTGCAGTAAGTGCCTTAACAGTACTAATGAAACTATTGTCTGAGTCAAATCTTACCTAATAGTAACAACAAAAGAAACTTGTAGAGGCACGGAGAGGGGGCTAATAAGTTTTACTTGGGTAAGTCCAGAAAGGCTTTCAGGAGGTGGTGGCATTTGATCTGGATGAAACATGAGTCGAGTTTTTTTTAAGTGAAGGGAGAAAGTCATGAGAAGCATAAAAGGGCATAGGAGTTTGGGGAATTGTGATATCACTCTCCTGGTTTTCTTTTCCTTTTGACTCATCTCAGTTTCTTTCTTTTCCTCGCCCTCACTCTTTCCTCTCGTACCCAGGGTTCTTTCCAAAGTATCTTTGTCCTCCACACCACTGATGTGGCATCACCTTCACTCCCATCAGTGATATCTCATTTCATATAGTGACTTAGAGATGAGAGGTACCCTCCTCCAAGATGAGAATCACTGCTCTGTGCAGTCTCTTCTGTCATCAGCCTTATGTGCTAAAAGTCCAAGCCTTTGAGTGCAGGTGTGTCTCCTGACCCACATGGTCACCTGTGCATTGGGAAGCTTTTTGGGTGTCCCAGGCTTCTCAAACTCAAGGTGTCCAAAGTGGGACTCCTGTCTCTTCTGGAGACATGAACCAGATGTGGAGATCCAGGGTAACTGCCCTGCCCGGGTTTTGGGATTTCCTTCTTTTTTTTTTTTTTTTTTTTTTTTTTTTTTTTTTTGATGGAGTCTCCCTGTGTTGCCCAGGCTGGGGTTCAGTGAGGTGATCTCAGTTCACTGCAAACTCCACCTCCTGGGGATTCAAGCGATTCTCCTGTCTCAGCCTCCGGAGTAGCTGGGATTACTAAGTGCAAGCTACCACGCCCGGCTTATTTATTTATTTATTTATTTATTTATTTTGAGATAGTCTTGCTGTGTCTCCCAGGCTGGAGTGCAGTGGCATAATTGCGGCTCACTGCAACCCGTGCCTCCTGGGTTCAAGCAACTCTCCTGCCTCAACCTCAAGGAGCTGGGATTACAGGTGTGTGCCAACATGCCTGCCTAATTTTTTTGTATTTTTGATAGAGAGGGTTTCACCATGTTGGCCAGGCTGGTCTCAAACTCCTGACCTCGTGATCCACCTCGGCCTCCCAAAGTGCTGGGATTGCAGGCTTCAGCCACCGTGCCCAGCCTGATTTTTTAATTTTTAGCAGAGATGGGGTTTCATCATATTGGTGAGTCTGGTCTTTAACTCCTGACCTCAGGTGATCCACTCGCCTCAGCCTCCTAAAGTGCTGGGATTACAGGTGTGAGCCACCGCACTTTCGGATTTCTTTGAGAACGTAACTCACTGTGGGGCATAACAGACAGCCCTGATTGTTGGGGGTAGTGTTGTGTGCTGGTGAGAATATGGAGAGAAGGAACAGGGCCCTCTGCATTTGTAGAGGTCCTGAGACAGGAAAGACTCCGTGTGTTTAGAGACTTGAGAGAAGACTTGTATAGCTTGGGTACTTTTTCAGTGGGGAGAAGACCTCACATGAGATTGCCAGAGAAGGCAGAGGCCATGTTGGGGTTTTATTCTAGAGGTGTAAGAAGCCATTGTAGGGAGTTTCATGATTTGATTTCCTTTTTAAGACTCCTGCTAGTGCTTGGAGAAGGCTTGTGTTTGTGTGCATGTGGAAGCAGAGAGTTGAGCTAGGAAGATGGTGGAGTACGAGGTGGTAGGGATGAAGGGAGCTGTATTTTGGAGAAATGAGACAGGACTTAAATATGGATTGGGGCTGGACAGGGAGGCTCATGCCTATAATCCTGTTTTTTTGGGAGGCTGAGTTGGGAGGATCACTTGAAGCTAGGAGTTCAAGACCAGCCTGAGCAACTTTATGAGACCCCGCCTCTAAAAAAAAAAAAATCAACCAGGCATGGTGACACGCTCTGTAGTCCCAGCTACTCAGGAGGCTGAGGTGGTAGGATTCATTGCTTGAGCTTGGGAGGTGGAGGTTGCAGTGAGCTCTGATCATGTCACACTGCAGCCTGGGTGACAGAGTGAGACCCTGTCTCAAACAAAAGAAAAAAAGGGAGGAAGGGAGGGAGGAAGGAAGGAGAAAGAAAGAAAACAGAATGGTGGTTGTTAGGGGCCAGGTGAAGGGGAATAGGGAGCTATTGTTATGGGTACAGAGTTCGGTTTGGGAAGATGAAAAAAGTTCTGGAAATGGATCGTGAATATATGTAATGCCGCTGAGGCATACAGTATTTAAAAACAGTTCAAGGCTGCTGTGAACTATGATCATGCCCCTGCACTCCAGCCTGGGCAACACAGTGAGACCCTGACTCAGAAAAAAAGAAAATGGACTGGATGTTGGGGGCCTAGGGTAAAGTTGCTTCCTCAGTGATTCCCTTCTACTCTCCCAACATAACCTTTCATGATGAGCTTTTAGTCATATCTTAAGACTCAGCACTTTCGTTTCTGGTAGCAAATTTTTTAGCACTGGGTGGTGCATTACATTATGCTGTACGTTATTATTGATGTACCTGTTTGCCTTTACTGCTAGGAAGGGAGCCTTGTAAGCTCCTTGAAGGCAGGAACTGAGAGTCTTAGTTCTTGTCTTGGTGCTTAGTACCTGGCATGGAGGGCAAATTAGATGCTTGTTGAGTGAAGGAGGAAAAAGTCTTTTCTGCCTGGAGTCTAGCTTGTGGATGGAATGATAACAGATGAGGCAACAGTCAGATTATGGAGGGCCTCCAATAACAAATTTGGGCAAACTGAGAACCATCTACAGCCCATTCTTCTTCCTTGCCACCCAGATCTAATCACTGATGAAATCCTCTCCATGCAGTCCTCAGCTTATGTGTAATATATTCTTTTTTTCTCCTATTTCTTTTTTTTTTGAGATGGAGTTTTGCTCTTGTTGCCCAGGCTGGAGTGCAATGGCGTGATGTCGGCTCACTGCAACCTCTGTCTCCTGGGTTCAAGTGATTCTTCTGCCTCAGCCTCCCAAGTAGCTGGGATTACAGGCATGTGCCACCACACCTGGCTAATCTGGTATTTTAATTTTATTTATTTTATTTATTTTTATTTTTTTTTGAGATGGAGTCTTGCTCTGTCACCCAGGCTGGAGTGCAGTGGTGCGATCTTGGCTCCCTGCAACCTCCGCCTCCCGGGTTCATGCCGTTCTCCTGCCTCAGCCTCCCTAGTAGCTGGGACTGCAGGCGCCTGCCACCACACCCGGCTAACTTTTTTTGTTTGTTTGTTGTTGTTGTTGAGACGGAGTCTCGCTCTGTCACCAGGCTGGAGTGCAGTGGCACGATCTTGGCTCACTGCAACCTCTGCCTCCCGTGTTCAAGTGATTCTCCTGCCTCAGCCTCGCAAATAGCTGGACTACAGGCACATGCCACCACGCCCAGCTAATTTTTGTATTTTTAGTAGAGATGGCATTTCACCATGTTGGCCAGGATAGTCTTGATCTCTTGACCTCGTGATCTGCCCACCTCGGCCTCCCAAGGTGCTGGGATTACAGGTGTGAGCCACCACACCCGGCTGATATTTTTATTTTTAAAATACATTATTTTCTTGATTTTTCCCATACCTTCCTTTAGTTTTTTGAACATCTGTAAGACAGTTGTTTTAATGTCTTTGTCTAGTAGGTCTTCCATCTGGTCTTTCTCTGGGACAGTTTTTGTTTTTTTTTTGAGATGGAGTTTTGCTCTCGTTGCCCGGACTGGAGTGCAATGGCGTGATCTTGGCTCACTGCACTGCCTCCTGGCTTTAAGCGATTCTCCTGCCTCAGCCTCTTGAGTAGCTGGGATTACAGGCATGCGCCACCACACCTGGCTAATTTTGTATTTTAAGTAGAGACAGGGATTCTCCATGTTGGTCAGGCTGGTCTTGAACTCCTGACCTCAGGTGATCAGCCAGCCTTGGCTTCCCAAAGTACTGGGATTACAGGCATGAGCCACCGTGCCCAGCAACTGGGACAGTTTTTATTGGTTAATTTTTTTTTTCTTTTAATGGGTCATACTTTCCTGTATCTTTGTATGACCTGGGACTTTTTAATTTTTTTTTGAAAACTGGACATTTGAATCTAATGATGTGCTAACTCTGAAAATTGGACTCTTCTCATTCCCAGGGTTTGCTGGATTTTTTTGTTTATTTGTTACAGTTTGTTTTTATGCTGAGGATCAGCCTGAGATACAAACTTAAGGACTTCTCAGGTCTTTTTTGAGCCTGCACCTTTCCCTGGGCGCATGCACCATGGTAACTTTTTTCCTTATCTCCCCCGCACCCTCATGATTGCTTTTGAATATCCTAGTCTTTAAAGTCTAGCTCCTAAAGAGGAAAAAGAGAAAAATGAAGGAAGTAGGGAGGTGGGGGCCCTTGGCCCATTAAATTTCCTGGAAGTCTACTTCAGCTGGAGGGGGAGGACTTGCAGTCATGGAGGGGGTGCAATAATGGCTATCCTTCTCAGTGTCTGCCTATCCCTGATTATAAGCAGCAATCAGCAATTAGAATACGGATCCCTAATATTTGGAGGACAGGGTCCTTATTACCCATCCTGGTTCCCAAAAGCTGCTTGCAAGCTGTTTCAGGAATGCATTGTAGGTTGTCTGCCCGTGGCTGGGGGCTAGGGAATGGGGTAGCTGCTGCTCAGCTAAGGGCTGAAATTGACTGAAATTAACCCAATTTACTGTCCCAGTCTTTCCTTGGAAGTTGCAAGCTTTCTTCAACAGTCCCCAGAATTACATCTGACTAATTATGCCAGTGTAATTGTCTAGGTGGGGAGACTGATCTTGGTGCTTCCTACTCTGCTGTTTTAGAATCTGGAATCCTCTCCCAGAATTTCTTTCCTTTTTTTTTTTTTTTTTTTTTTTTTTTTTATGAGATGGAGTTTCACTCTTGTCGCCCAGGCTGGAGTGCAATGGCGCGATCTTGGCTCACCACAACCTCCGCCTCCCGGGTTCAAGCGATTCTCCTGCCTCAGCCTCCTGAGTAGCTGGGATACAGGCATGCGCCACCATGCCTGGCTAATTTTGTTATTTTTAGTAGAGACGGGGTTTCTCCATGTTGGTCAGGCTGGTCTTGAACTCCTGACCTCAGGTGATCCACCCGCCTCGGCCTACCAAAGTGCTGGGATTGCAGGAGTGAGCCACCGTGCTCAGCCGGATTTCTTTCCTTTTAAAGGCTGAATAATGTTCCATTTATTGTATGTATATGCCATATTTTGTTTATCCATTCATACTTTTTTTTTTGGAGGGGACAGAGTCTCTGTTGTCCAGGCTGGAGTGCAGTGGTGCGATCTTGGCTCACCACAACCTCTGCCTCCCAAGCTCAAAACGATTCTCCTGCCTCAGCCTCCTGAGTAGCTGGGATTACAGGTGTGCGCCACTACCACCCGGCTAATTTCTTTATTTTTAGTAGAAACGGGGTTTCACCATATTGGCCAGGCTGGTCTCTAACTCCTGACCTCAAATGATTCACCTGCCTCAGCCTCGAAAACTGCTGGGATTACAGGCGTGAGCCACCACGTCTGACCTATCCATTCATATGTTGATGGACGTTTGGATTATTTCCAAGGTATGCTACTTTTTTATAGCTCTTAAAATTTTTCCAAATTCCTCTCCAGAAATGTACTTTATCATCACCTGTGGTACATCAGGGTATTTTCCACTTTAGACATTCTTGATCTATTGTCTGAGTACTTGAAGTGGTGTGACTGTAGGCTGACTGTTGAATGAAGCTGAAAGGGGGGTTTTAATAGCAGGTCACAAACTTGGATAGAAGAGGAGATGTCTCTCGGGCTGGTTGGATATATAATAAGTTCTGGAAGGCCACATGCTGGTGATGATGTCATCCAGAAAGGGTTTGGTACTGAATTTCTGTTCAGGAACGTTCCTTGTCAGGGATGTTAGGGATCTGCCTTGTCAACTGTAGTCCTTCGTCAGCCTCTTCAGAAGTTGATGCCCACTTAGCTCTTGAAGCAGGTGTTCTAAGTAAATAATATTTTGTACTCTTATATTCTGTGGATTAGTTGTAGGTACATGCTGTTGTGAAAATAAATTCATTTGACTTCTCTGTATCTTGATTGTGGAGGTGATCACACAACTGTTATTTATTTTTTTTGAGACAGAGTCTCACCCTGTCGCCCAGTCTGGAGTGCAGTGGCATGATCTCGGCTCACTGCAACCTCCACTTCCTGAGTTCAAATGATTCTCCTGCCTCAGCTTCCTGAGTAGCTGGGATTTGCAAGCATGTGTCACCACGACCTGTTTAATTTTTGTACTTTTAGTAGAGACGGGGTTTCACCATTTTGGCCAGGCTGGTTTTGAACTCCTGACCTCAAATGATCCGTCCGCCTCCTAAAGTGCTGGGATTGCGGGCTTTAGCCACTCACCTGGCCCACACAGCTGTTTTTAGATTGGTATACGAGAGAGTGAATTTTATTGTGCATAAAAGGTGGAAAAATGAACAGGTAAAAAAATTTACTCAAAAAAATTTTGGGGGTGAGTTTGGCCTTCTATATGGAGATAATAAATAAGTAGTGAAAAACATGAACCCAATTATTCTTTCTACCTTCTCTGCCCAAATCATTTTTTTCTCAAGTGACCAAAACCACACACTTTGAGGTCTTTTTGTTGTTGTTGATACAGGGTCTCACTCAGTCATCCAGGCTGGAGTGCAGTGGTGCAATCACACCTCACTGCAGCCTTGACCTCCCGGGTTGAAAGTGATCCCCTCACCGCAGCCTCCTATGGAGCTGGGACTACAGGCGCCTGCCACAATGCCTGGCTAATTTTTGTGTTTTCTGTAGAGACAGAGTTTCACCGTGTTTCCCAGGCTGGTCTCAAACTCCTGAGCTCAAGTGATCCACCTGCCTTGGCCTCCCAAAGAGCTGAGATTACAGGCGTGACCCACTGCGCCTGGCCCACTTTGAAGTCCTAAAGAAATTTAGGTTATTATTCTATGCATGTTGGAGGATTTAAGTCTTATTAGCAGCTTCTGTTTTCTGTAAGGAAAAAGTTAAAACACATCTGGAAGAGTCTCATAGAGCAGCACTTTCTGAAACTTGCCTGGGTACCAGTATGCCTGCTTCCAGACCTTGAAGATATTACATGTACTGCTTGGTGATCTGCCCTGTCCCCCACATGTTGTGGGCCTGGATTGAATGGACTGAACAGTGTGGGGAATTAGTCCAGCGTGACTTGCCTTGTCTCATGCTGTTTGCTCACTTGTGAGAGCACTATACTGAATTATCCATTATTGAAAGTTCCAAGTGTGCAAAGAACCACACTTCAAAAATAAAATGTCAACATTGCCCTTTCTCTGTTAGAGCCTTAAATGTTCATTATTTTCTTTAGTTTTTTTTTATAACTATCAAACTTATTTTTCTCCATGTGGAAGTATGCCACAACTCCATTTCTAATGGAGCTTGAAATTAGCATGTATTTCCACTTACTTGTTGATGGGCTGTCATCGATCAACCCCTCTTTTTGATTGGGATTTAATTTGTGGTTTTTTTTTTTTACCAGCTGTAAGTTTGGAGTAATGCATGTAATGTAAATACAGTTCACAGGGCAACTTCGGATGTTCTAAATACTTGTAACATTTGCTCATTTTGAACAATATTGTATGAGTAGTGTGAAGTGATTTTTAAAATGTCTGTCATTTTTTTCATGTTCCCATTTTATTAAAAGGAGGGATGGAACTATATTGTGGAAGCTAATGTAATTTTTGTCTCTAAGAGGTTTTTTTTTCTTTTTAGACTAAAAGGGCTTAACAGAAGAAAAATTTATCTTTCTTAATTGCTAATTTAAAGGCTAATTTTTTCCCTAGATTGCTTAGTTTTGACTATTTGATTCCATCATATCAAGCTGTGAATTTCCTTCATTTTCTTGTTTTGAGGTTTCATTATTAAATATTGTCAAAAATAAGTGGCTCATCAACTCTCTTGAAAGTGTCTTATTGCTATGTTTTTTTTTGTCAGTATTTGACATTCTGAATTGAAGATGTGAGTTGGAAACCTGGTTAATTACCAAGTTACATAATCCTGTATTTATTAACTAGGTTAGACTACATACAGACTGTTCTTGAAAATGAAAGTGCTGTTATAACTCAGAAAACACATTCACTATGGCCCATTTCAAGTTAATTGAAGGATTGAGCCTTTGATAGTGCATTTGCCCTGTGCGGCTCTGTTACATGCATTCTTTCTAGGCAAAGATGCATTGTTACCATTCTCTCATGGTATGTTGAATATTTCATTAGATTCAATATTTCAATATTAATCCAAGCTTTTTTTTTGAGACAGGGTCAAGCCATCCTCCCACCTCAGCCTTCTGAATAGCTGGGACCATAGGTGTGTACTACGACACCCAGCTAATTTTTTACATTTTTAGTAGAGACAGGTCTCACCATATTGCTTAGGCTGATCTTTGAACTCCTGAACTCAAGCGATCTGCCCACCTTGGCCTCCAAAGTGCTAGGATTACAGGCATGTGCCACTGTGCCTGGCCTGAGTTTACAATCCAAATTCTAAATCATGGTTTGTGAAATATGATGGTGCAGTGAATAAGCTAGAGGCTAAAAGGGAGAAGCATGTTACTATTACTGATGAAACAGTGTTTGTGGGTTTTATATTCCTGGGGATCTCTAAATTGGCAAAAGGTTTCATGAGGGATTCATTTGTTGTCATTCTCTTGCGTCTGTGGACCTGGGTTATCATATTTTTAGAAAAGCTTTGGACTGACTTTTAAGTGTGTCTTTAGAAACCTGCCATTTAGGCTGGGTGCGGTGGCTCACGCCTTTAATCCCAGCACTTTGGGAGGCGGGCAGATCACCTGAGGTCAGGAGTTCAAGACTAGCCTGACTAACATGGAGAAACACCGTCTCTACTAAAAATACAAAAAATTGCAGGGCGCGGTGTCTCACACTTGTAATCCCAGCTACTCCTGAGTCTGAGGCAGGAGAATTGCTTGAACCCGGGAGGTGGAGGTTGCAGTGAGCTGAGATTGTGCCATTGCACTCCAGCGTGGGTGACAGAGCGAGAATCTGTCTCAAAAAAACAAAAAACAAAAAACAAAAAAATAATTAGCCGGGCATGGTGGCACATGCCTGTAATCCCAGTTACTCGGGAGGCTGAGGCAGAAGAATCCCTTGAACCTGGAAGGCGGAGGTTGCAGTGAGCTGAGATCGTGCCATTGCACTCCAGCCTGGGCAACAAGAGTGAAACTCTGTCTCAACAAAAAAAAGAAACCTTCCATTTTGCAGAGAGGTAACTAAGTGAAATGTGAGTTTGATCCCTTGGGAGGGAAAAAAAAGTGGAAATGGAAGATGGCAACTTTTTTCTTTTTTTTTAATTTGAGACGGAGTTTTGCTTTTGTTGCCCAGGCTGGAGTGCAGTGGCATGATCTCAGTTGACCGCAACCTCTGCCTCCTGGGTTGAAGCGATTCTCCTGCCTTAGCCTCCCGAGTAGCTGGGATTACAGGCATGCACCACCACGCCTGGCTGATTTTGTATTTTTATTAGAGACGGGGTTTCTCCATGTTGGTCAGGCTGGTCTCGAACTCCTGACCTCAGGTGATCCGCCCACCTCAGCCTCCCAAAGTGCTGGGATTATAGGTGTGTGCCACTGTACCTGGCCAGATGACATTTATTTCGGGTCTTTAAGACCAGTGAAAGATGTGATGTTTTCTAGTTGCTTTGAGTTAGTCTAAAGCAGTAATTTGCTGTATCTCTCTCTTTTTTTTTTTTTTTTTTTTTTGAGATCTCGCCCTGTCGCCCATGCTGGAGTGGGAGTGCAGTGATGCGATCTCTCTTCACTGCAGCCTCTGGCTCCAGGATTCTAGCGATTCTTCTGCCTCAGCCTTCCGAGTATCTGGGATTACAGGTGCCTGCCACCATGCCCAGCTTGTTTTCTTTTTGTTTTTTTGAGACGGAGTCTTGCTCTGTCCCCCAGATTGGAGTGCAATGGCATGATCTCGGCTCACTGCAACCTCCGCCTCCCAGGTTCAAGTGATTCTCCTGCCTCAGCCTCCCAAATAGCTGGGATTACAGGCACCCACCACCACGCCCAGCTAATTTTCATATTTTTAGTAGAGATGGGGTTTCACCAGGTTGGCCAGGCTGGTCTCAAACTCCTGACCTCAGGTGATCCGCCCGCCTCGGCCTCCCAGAGTGCTAGGATTACAGGCGTGAGCCACCGCGCCCGGCCCCAGCTAATTTTCTTATTTTTAGTAGAGACGAGGTTTCACCATGTTGGCCAGGCTGGTCTTGAACTCCTGACCTCAAGTGATCCACCAGCCTCTTCCTCCCAATGTGCTGGGATTATAGGTGAGAGCCACTGTGCCTGGCCATTTTGCTGTATCTCAATTGCATCAGGAAAGGCTCACTTAAATACAGTTCATTTATTAAGTCTGCCTTGCAAAGCAGTGTGCTGTGTGCTGGAGGGATGTTAATGTGTAAGCCACCATTGCTAACCCCAGGAAATTTATGAACTCAGGAGATCAGGTTTGGTAAAATAGCTGATAGGTAAGAATTGGCGCTGGGCGAGGTGGCTCATGCCTGTAATCCCAGCACTTTGGGAGGCCGAGGCAGGTGGATCACGAGGTCAAGAGATCGAGACCATACTGGCCAACATGGTGAAACCCCATCTCTACTAAAAATATAAAAATTAGCTGGGCATGGTGGTGCATGCCTGTAGTCCCAGCTACTTGGGAGGCTGAGGCAGGAGAATCATTTGAACCTGGGAGGCAGAGGTTGCAGTGAGCCAAGATCGCGCCACTGCACTCCAGCCTGGCGATAGAGTGAGACTCTGTCTCAAAAAAAAAAAAAAAAAAAAAAAAGGCAGTTTATACCCACTTTTTGCTAATCTGTCATGAGAGATGTTTCTTATTTCTTTGTGCATAGAGCAGTTGAGCTAATTCAGTTAAACATGTATAGAGTGTTAGATTAGATGAAAGTTACCATGATCAAAAAACTCGAAAGAGCTCTCAGTTTCATGGGAGACACACATACACACACACAGATAATAGTGCTATGTGACAAGTGCTGGGGGAACATGGTATGTTGTGTCTCTTTGTGAGGCAGAGATGACAGATGTCTGAGTCTTGAAGGAAAATTGTAGCTTTCCAGTTTGAGAAGACTTGAAGGGTGCTCTGGGCAGAGGAACAGTCTTGTGTATAGATCTGGAGGCATGCAGGTGCATTGGGGAATATTTTCTTGGAGTGGAGACAGGTGATAAGGCTGACAGGCTAGAGTAGGCGAGGCTTGTAGGAGTTTTTGGCTTCATCCTGTATGTGGTGGGGAAGCAATACCATGTTTTGTTTTTTTTTTTTTTTCAGAGGGAGTGACCCAATGATAATGATAACTGGGGCTCCCTGGAGAATGATTGGAAATTAGAAGACACCTTGATATTCTCAACCAGAGATAACAGAGCCCTGAGAGCAGGAAGGGGGTTAGTAGGGTGAGTGAGGTGTTTACTGAGGTACGGAGGAGAAAGAAAATGAGGCTAGAGTCTCATTCTAGGGACCTGGATTGGTGGAACTTTGGTCAGCGGAGAAGGGGAAGGCCACAGGGGGAATGCAGTGGAGTATAGAGGGGATGCTTGGTTTGGGGCTCATGGAGTTTGAGGAACTCAGCTTTGCAGTTAAGTGCAGGGAGAAGCCCTATACTTGTGAAAATGCAGCTCTGGTGAAGGCATGTCTCGTCACTTCCCACCTTCACTGTGGTAACGGGAAGAGGTGGGGTTTGCTCCTTTACCTTTGTTTTTTAGGGGGCAGAGGGAAGGGGTTGTTTCAGTGTTGCTCAAGTAGTTGTTATGAACAGTAAGAATACAGTGGGTCCAAATATTTTTAAGATAGGAAGAATAAAGCTGAACCCTCCAATGTCTTCTGAATTTCATAACTTTTCTTTCTTTCTTTTTTTTGAGACAAGAGTCTCGCTCTGTCGTCCAGGCTGGAGTGCAGTGGCGTGATCTTGGCTCACTGCAAGCTCCTCCTCCCGGGTTCACGCCATTCTCCTGCTCAGCCTCCCGAGTAGCTAGGACTACAGGCGCCCGCCATCACGCCTGGCTAATTTTTTGTATTTTTTAGTAGAGACAGGGTTTCACTGTGTTAGCCAGGATGGTCTCGATCTCCTGACCTTGTGATCTGCCCACCTTGGACTCCCAAAGTGCTGGGATTACAGGCATGAGCCACCGCGCCAGGCTGAATTTCTTAGCTTTTCTTTCAGCTTATTATCTGCCACTTCACTGTGCATCCTCTATTTTTCACTCACTGTGGTTGCCGGAAGGTGCTGGTGTTCTTTGGCGCCATTGTCCTTCACAACCTGAAACAGCCTCCCTGCCCTCAAACAGTACGTCAGATACTCAGTGAGTCCTTCCTGACTATTTGGGGACCGTCTTTTGGGTGCCCCTGGAGCACTTAGAACATTATACCTTCTATCGTATTATAACTCTTTTCCTGTATAGACTGTTGTAAGCATTTTCCCCCTACTTTTTTTGGGGAAGATCTTCAAACCTACAGAAAAGTTGAAGTACAGTGAGTGCTTGATTTACCAGCTGACCATTGTTAACATTTTTCAAATTTTCTCAATTACTCGATAGAAACTATTTCAGAGTCATTTGAAAGTAAACTGCAGACCTCATGGGACTTCACTCTTTAGCATGTTATTCTGAAGAATAACATAACAGGCCCTGCATAACCCTGACACTACTGTCACACTCAAGACCTTTTACATTGATACAGTAACATGTAATACCTTTTAAAGAGCAGTCTGAGGGTTAGCATTGGCTCTCCCTGGGAGCTCTTGAGAAATGCAGAATCTTAGGCCTTACCCTAGATATATTGAATCAGAATCTGTGTTTTAACAAGATCCGCAGAAGTACTGATTTTTTTGTGCAGTCCATATTCAGATTCAGATTCTCACAGTTGTTCTAGTGATACCCTTTATGGTTTTTCTTTCTCTTTTTAAAAATCAGGAATCAATAAAAGATCACATATTGCATTCGATTGTCGTATGTCTTTAGCCTTCACTTCCAGCTTTCCCACTTGGGACAGTGGCATTTTTGTATAGTTTAGGCCAGTTTTGTAGATGTTCTCCATTTTGGATTTGTCAAATAGGTGTGATGATGTTTTTTTGTTGGGTTTTTGAGATCGAGTCTCGCTCTGTCACCCAGGCTAGAGTGCAGTGGTGCGATCTCGGCTCACCTCGACCTCTGCCTCCCAGGTTCAAGTGATTCTCATGCCTCAGCTTCCCAAGTACTGGGACTACAGGTGCACACCACCACACCCAGCTAAGCTTTTTTTTTTTAAAGTAGAGATAGGGTTTCACCATGTTGGCCAGGGTGGCCTCAAATTCCTAACCTCAAGCAATCCACCCACCTTGTCCTCCCAAAGTGCTGGGATTACAGGCATGAGACAACGGTGTCTGTTTTTTTTTTTTTTTTTTTTTTTTGAGATGGAGTCTTGCTGTGTTGCTTAGGCTGGAGTGCAGTGGCTGTTTGCAGGCACAATCACGGCATGCTAAACTCCTGAACTCCTGGGTACAGGTGGTCCTTCTGCCTGAGCCTTCCCAGTAGCTGGGACTATTGGTGTAAGTCACTGTGCCTGGCTTGATGATGTTTCTTTCTTAGGGCATTCAGTGGGTCAGGTTGTTCCACTGGTGATGATGCTAAGTTTAAACACTTGGTTAAGTAGCATCTTCCAGATTTCTGTGTTACAAAGACAGAATGGTCTTTTGGTCTTAATAATTAATTGCTACAGTGATCTGCTAGCAATTTCCAATTCATCTAGCATCTAGCAGGATCTGACATCTAGCAGGATCCCAGAACTGATAATTCGTCAGTCATTGATGAATGAATGACTGAATAGGTCATCCAGGATATATACCACAAGTTTTAGAGGCCATTCTTTCTTGTTTTCTTTCTTTTTTTTGTTTTGATTTTTGTAGAGATGAGGTCTTCCTATGTTGCCCAGGCTGGTCTGGAACTCTTGGGCTCAAGTGATCCTCCCGCCTTGGCCTCCAAAGTTCTGGGATTACAGGTGTGAGCCACTGAGCCTGGCTCCTTCTTGTTTTCCTGCTCAGTCTGGGTAACTTCTCAGACTCTAGTCAAGTCCAGGCATCTTTTTGCCTGGCTTTCCAACAAAAATACCTCACTCTTCTCCCTGTGGGCTTCTTAGCTGTGTGAAAGGTTTCTCCTCCCTTAGTCCCACTGTGTTTTTAAATTTTTATTTTTATTTATTATTTTTGGGTTATTATTATTATTATTATTATTTTTTGAGATGGAGTCTCACTGTGTCGCCTAGGCTAGAGTGCAGTGGCATGATCTCGGCTCACTGCAACCTCCGCCTCCTGGATTCAAGTGATTCTCCTGCCTCAGCCTCCCGATATTTTTATTTTATTATTTTATTTTATTTTTTTTGAGACGGAGTTTCGCTCTTGTTGCCCAGGCCGGAGTGCAATGGTGCGATCTTGGCTCACCGCAGCCTCCGCCTTCTGGGTTCAAGCGATTCTCCTGCCTCAGCCTCCCGAGTTGCTGCGATTACAGGCCCTGCGCCACCACGCCCAGCTAATTTTGTATTTTTAGTGGAGACAGGGTTTCTCCCTGTTGATCAGGCTGGTCTCGAACTCCCGACCTCAGGTGATCCGCCCGCCTCGGCCTCCCAAAGTGCTGGGATTACAGGTGTGAGCTACTGCACCCAGCCGCTTATTTTATTTATTATTTATTTATTTATTGAGACGGAGTTTCGGTCTTGTCGTCCAGGCTGGAGTGCAATGGCGTGATCTCGGCTCATTGCAACCTCTGCTTCTTGGGTTCAAGCGATTCTCCTGCCTCAGCCTCCCAAGTAGCTGGGATTACAGGCGCCTGGCTGATTTTTCTAATTTTTAGTAGAGAGGGGGTTTCACCATGTTGGCCAGGCTAGTCACGAACTCTGATCTCAAGTGATCCGCCTGCCTTGGCTTCCCAAAGTGCTGGGATTACAGGTGTGAGCCATCGTGCCCGGTGATACTTTTATTTTTTAAAAAATGATTTTTGGTTCAAGGAAGTCAGTTCGGTCCAATTGTTCTAAAACAAAAATGTCTTCTGTATTTTCTTTTTTCTCTTGTGCCTCCAGTCCAGGTGCTTGTTTCACATTCTTTGCTTTTTAGACTAGTCATTCAGTCTCATGGAAACAGGGACTTCCTCTGTATCCATTATCAGTTGTTAGGAGGGCTTGATGCAGCTTTCTATTAAACACTCTTCCATTGTTAATGTTCTCAACTATAATACGATGGAAGCTGAGGAAATGAACATAGATATCCAGTCCATACAGCAAACTGTCACTTCACCCCAGGAGCTTGTTTTGTTTTCCTTCACTTGACCTCCTACTGCTTCTTGCCCTGTTCCAGCTACACTGGCCTTCTCTTTCTGTCAGTCCTTGAAGATACTGCCTCATCTGTGTTCCCTCTGCCTGGAATGCTCTCTTCCTCCAGATACTCACTTGATTAGTTCTTTCCTGACTATTAGATTTTCGCTCAGATGTTGTCAAGACAGAAAGACCTCGCCGGGCGCGGTGGCTCATGCCTTTAATCCCAGCACTTTGGGAGGCCGAGGCAGGCAGATCACGAGGTCAGGAGAGTGAGACCCTCCTGGCTAACATGGTGAAACCCCGTCTCTACTAAAAATACAAAAAATTAGCCGGGCTTGGTGGTGGGCGCCTGTAGTCCCAGCTACTTGGGAAGCTGAGGCAGGAGAATGGCGTGAACCCGGGAGGCAGGGCTTGCAGTGAGCCGAGATTGCGCCACTGCACCCAGCTTGGGCGACAGAGCGAGACTCCGTCTCAAAAAAAAAAAAAAACACAAAAACAAACGAACAAAAAACAGAAAGACCTCTAAGGACCCTACTTAATTCCATTGCCATTACACTGCTTAATTTTCTTCCTAGCTCTCATACTGTCTTCTTTGTTTAGTTATTTATGCCATTATTGCAATGAAGGCTTCATGAAGGCAGGGTTCTTTTTTTCTTGTTGACTGCTTTCTGGGATAGTGACTATACAAAGGAGGCACTCATATTTGTGAGTGAAGGCTAAATGGTTGGCTGAATTTTTTTTTTTTGTTTACTTTTTGTCCTTTGATGAGTGCCTTTTGTTGTAGTGTCTCCTGATGCTTGTAGCACAGCAGTTCCAACTGCTCCCATTGCCTTTGGTGCCCTCAAGAAAAATAAGAAAAGGAGCAAAATAAAAATGATTCAAGTGTTTTATTATTATTATTTATTTATTTTTTGTATATTTTTGAAACAGAATCTCCCCCATCACTCAGCCTGCAGTGTAGTGGCATGATCATGGCTCGCTGCAGCCTTGACCTCTTGGGTTCAAGTGATTCTCCCATCTCAGCCTCCTGAGACCACAGGTGTGCACCTCCATGCCCAGCTAATTTTTTTTTTCTTTTTAAAAGTTGTTTTTGTAGAGACGAGGCCTCTATGTTGCCCAGACTGGTCTTGAACTCCTGAGCTCAAGTGATCCTCCCACCTTGGCCTCCCAGAGTGCTGGGATAACAAGTCAGAGTGTGTCTTAATTATAAGTTACCTTGATTTTTTTGGCAGTTACCAGGAGATTTGAGAGTTGAGGTTCCAAAGGCTGTGTTAACTCTGCTTGATGCAGATGCAAGCTGGCATACCTGTGACAGCACTGAGTATTCCACAATCTTCTGTCTTGTGCAGTGTGACAGTTAACGTTGCTTCGGGTACTTTTAATTTCTAAATTTCCTGATTTGCATTTAAACGAACCATCCTAACATTTCATTAAGTTAACTTTGCTGTTAAAAAAAAAATTGGCATTGAGTAGCATGGTTAAGGTAGTCTAAATCTGCCACAATATAATAATGAAAATTCAGGAGCAGACACATTTTAAGCATGATTTGGCCATTCTTTTATAAGTGAATGCTGAACATCTTTGGAGAAGGTACGTAGTTCTTTGCACAAATGAGGCAGTTTGCCAGTTATCAGCCCCCTTGGTTCTGATAGAACTATGCTTTTATTTTCTCCTCATTGCTTCTCAATTTCTCTTTCTGTTGTAGATTGCTAGCTAAATGATTGCATCTCTGCCCCTTTCTGAATTTATAGCAAACTTTTGCTTTATAGCCAGGATTACCATTTATAAGGTAATGAAGACCAGATAAGTACAGTTTAACTGTTTATTTAGTTCCATTAAGCATGATCCCTCCTGGAAAAACCTAAGGTTGCTGTAATTCATTAAGGTTGGCTAGCTCTAGTAGGTTTTGTGATAGATCTTGCGAAGGAGTGCTCTGTAAGTTAATTGGAAAAGTAGAAACTGTCAAGAGTTTAAAAGTTATTTGTTTAGTTACTCTGAACAATACCATTAATTGTAGAGAACCAGAAGATACGACTAAGATTAAGGCAGGAGCTTTGTCTTGGGAGGCTTGTAAATATTTGCAAATTATGTTGCATAAATTCAGCTCAACTAATACTATCTGCCCTGCATAAAGCTCCCAGCCAGCAACTTACGGGATATAAAGAAACATAGGCATGGTTATCATCCTTACACTTAAAATATAGCTCTGAAGACCATATGCTAAACCTGAGAAAATTAAGTTTAATAAAACAATTCAATGGCTGTTGAGTGACAACATAAATGAAAAGAGCACCAGAATTTCAGGACTAGAGGGATTTGGAGTATAGAATTCAACTTCTTTCATTTTATAGATAGATGAAAAGAGCACCAGAATTTCAGGACTAGAAGGATTTGGAGTATAGAATTCAACTTCTTTCATTTTATAGATAGATGAAAAGAGCACCAGAATTTCAGGACTAGAAGGATTTGGAGTATAGAATTCAACTTCTTTCATTTTATAGATGATAAAACCAAGGATCCAGAAAGGTGAAGTGACTTAATCAAAAGTCAGAGGATAAGTGACAGTGCTGGTTCCAGAAGCTGATGTTTCAAGTAGAACATGTTCTCTTTAGATTTTAAGATACTTTTATTTTTTGAAATCCTTTTAGGATTGGGATCACTAAAAACATGCCTTGGCTCTGTAGCATCATTTCATGATGTTCAGCGTCATTCTTGGCAGGACCCTGCGCTCATGAAACTTACACTGTAATAATGGCATAAATAAGTAAACAAAGAAGACGATACGAGCTAAAATAAAATTAAGCAGGGTAATAAGTAATGGAATTAGTAGGATCTTTAGAGTGCCTTTCTGTCATGACGGCATTTGAGCTGAAATCTGAAAGTTAGGAAAGAACTGGTCTTCTGAGGGAAGAGAGCATTCCAGGCAGAGGGAACACAGATGAGGCAGTGTCTTCAGGGACTTACAGAAAGAGAAGGCCAGTGTGACTAGAACAGGGCAAGAAGTAAGTGATCAAGTGAAGGAAAAAACAAAAACAAGCTCCTTGGCACTTTTGATTAAAGGTGCTATACAGGGCAGTCTGCTTGCATTATGGTTATTGAAAGTCTTGAAAATACACTGAGTTCTCAATTTTCAAGTGTTAGTGTATTTTAAGTTTCTTAATGTAAGTGAGTGATTAGAGTCCTTTGCCTTAACTCGTTTAGAAGCAGGATTAGGGAGGCTGAGTCTGGTGAATTAATTTTTTTTTTTTTTTTAGACAGAGTCTCACTCTGTTGCCCAGGCTGGAGTACAGTGGCAAGATCATGGCTCATTGCAGCCTCCACCTTCTTTGGCTGAAGCGATCCTCCTGCCTCAGCCTCCTGAATAGCTGGACTATGGATGCACACCACTACACCTGGCTGATTGTTTTGTTTTTGTTTTGTTTCTGAGACAAAGTCTCACTCTGTCGCCCTGGCTGGAGTGCAGTGGCGTGATCTCATCTCACTGCAATCTCTGCCTCTTGGGTTCAAGCGATTCTCATGCCTCAGCCTCCCGAGTAGCTAGGATCACAGGCATGTGCCACCATGCCCGGCTAATTTTGTATTTTTAGTAGAGACAGGGTTTCACCATGTTGGCCAGGCTGGTCTTGAGATCCCGACCTCAGGTGATCTGCCCACCTCAGCCTACCAAAGTGCTGGGATTTCAGGCATGAGCTACTGCGCCTGGCCTGTTTTTTATTTTTAAATTATTTGTAGAGATGAGGTCTCGCTATGTTGCCCAGGCTGGTCTTGAACTCCAGGGCTCAAGTGATTTTCCCATCGTGGCCTCCCAAAGTGCTGGGATTACAGGTGGGAGCCACCACACCTGGCTTTTTTTCTAATATTAAATAATTTATTTTTGCACAGTAAGACTTCTTGGAAGTTGTCACTAACGTTAAAGTTGGGAGATTCCATGTAAAAATCTGCATCCCTGGCCTCTCTTGAAAAGTCAGATGGTCTGGAAACCCTGGATTTATGTGGTAAAGATTGCCTGGAGTTGATGAACAAGTGGGCACAAGCTTTCTGATTTTGAAGTCCTGGCTCCTCCTAGTGGTCCCTGTCCCCAGCCTGGAGAGGCCAGGTGTCATTTGCAATTCATTATTGTGCTGTTGTGCATATTGTGCTGTTGTGCCACCTTTTTTTTTTTGAGGCGGAGTCTCGCTCTGTCGCCCAGGCTGGAGTGCAGTGGCGCGATCTCGGCTCACTGCAAGCTCTGCCTCCCGGGTTCACGCCATTCTCCTGCCTCAGCCTCCTGAGTAGCTGGGACTACAGGCGCCCACCACCGCACCCAGCTAATTTTTTGTATTTTTAGTAGAGACGGGGTTTCACCGTGGTCTTGATCTCCTGACCTCGTGATCCGCCCACCTCGGCCTCCCAAAGTGCTGGGATTACAGGCATGAGCCACCGCGCCCGTCCTGTGCCACCTTTTTTAAGTTAAGAAGTAAGTGAAATTATTTGTACTCCAAAGTATCAAAATTAGGAAAACAAAAGACCAAGAATGTTTTTTGTTCAAGAAAAAAATGAAAGTCTTTTTTTGAGAAAGTGAAATAGTTATGTGTTGTACCTGTTTAATAATTAAACACAAATGTGACCACATATACCTAAATGTCTGCTTGCAGCTAGCTTCACTTAACTTTCCTCTTGGCTCTCTCCCTTTGCAACCCTGGAAGGTTCTGTGTTTTGTTTGTGTTAATGCAGTATCTCTGGAATGCTAGGATATGTAGGATCCATAGGGCAAATAGTTCTTCTGAAATGTCTTATCTGTGACATTTGATGACATTTGGTTGAGCTGTTGTCAAACCTTTAGCAATCTAGAGCATTCCATTTCCTAAGGTTCACTGACTTGGGTTGATCAGTTGAGTGGACAAATAACCTTTAAAAACCAAAGTGTAGGCCTGACGTCACATGAATGTAGACAGCAAATTCATCTACCTTCAATGAAACAGATGACTGGGACACAGGCATTCTGTGTTACCAGATTAGGCAAATGCAGGTTCCTTTTGGCACCCCTATCTCTAGTGATTCTAGATTTGATGACAGTATAATGACAGTATAATGATGAAAATTCAGAAATTTAACATTGATACAATGCTACTGTTTAATTCAGTACCCATAGTCAAATTTTGTCAATTGTCTCAATGTTTTTCCCTTTCTCAACACAATTTCAGTCCAGAATCACTGTGTTTAAGTCTCTTTAGCCTCCTTTAATCTGGAAATATTTCTTTTTTTTTTTTTTTTTTTTTTTTTGAGTCGGAGTCTTGCTCTGTCCGCCCAGGCTGGAGTGCAGTGGCGCGATCTCGGTTCACTGCAACCTCCGCCTCCCAGGTTCATGCCATTCTCTTGTTTTAGCCTTCTAAGTAGCTGGGACTACAGGCACCTGCCACCACACCTGGCTAATTTTTTTTTTGTATTTTTAGTAGAGACGGGGTTTCACCGTGTTAGGCAGGATGGTCTCGATCTCCTGACCTCATGATCCACCTGCCTTGGCCTTCCAAAGTGCTGGGATTACAGGTGTGAGCCACCATGCCCGGCCTCTGGAAATGTTTCTTTTTTTTTTTTTTTTTTTTTTTTATTGATCATTCTTGGGTGTTTCTCACAGAGGGGGATTTGGCAGGGTCACAGGACAACAGTGGAGGGAGGGTCAGCAGATAAACAAGTGAACAAAGGTCTCTGGTTTTCCTATGCAGAGGACCCTGCGGCCTTCCGCAGTGTTTGTGTCCCTGGGTACTTGAGATTAGGGAGTGGTGATGACTCTTAACGAGCATGCTGCCTTCAAGCATCTGTTCAACAAAGCACATCTTGCACCACCTCAATCCATTCAACCCTGAGTGGACACACCACATGTTTCAGAGAGCACAGGGTTGGGGGTAAGGTCACCGATCAACAGGATCACAAGGCAGAATAATTTTTCTTAGTACAGAACAAAATGAAAAGTCTCCCGTGTCTGCCTCTTTCTACACAGACACGGCAACCATCCGATTTATCAATCCTTTGCCCGCCTTTCCCCCCTTTTCTATTCCACAAAACCGCCATCGTCATCATGGCCCGTTCTCAATGAGCTGCTGGGCACACCTCCCAGACGGGGTGGTGGCCGAGCAGAGGGGTTCCTCACTTCCCAGTAGGAGCGGCCGGGCAGAGGCGCCCCTCACCTCCCGGACGGGGCGGCTGGCCGGGCGGGGGGCTGACCCCCCCACCTCCCTCCCGGACGGGGCGGCTGGCCGGGCAGAGGGGCTCCTCACTTCCCAGTAGGGGCGGCCGGGCAGAAGCGCCCCTCACCTCCCGGACGGGGCGGCTGGCCAGGCGGGGGGCTGACCCCCCCACCTCCCTCCCGGACGGGGCGGCTGGCCGGGCGGGGGGGCTGACTCCCCCACCTCCCTCCCGGGCGGGGCGGCTGGCCGGGCAGGGGGCTGACCCCCCCACCTCCCTCCCGGACGGGGCGGCTGGCCGGGCGGGGGGCTGACTCCCCCACCTCCCTCCCGGACGGGGCGGCTGGCCTGGCGGGGGCTGACCCCCCACCTCCCTCCCGGATGGGGTGGCTGCCGGGCAGAGACGCTCCTCACTTCCCAGACGGGGTGGCTGCCGGGCGGAGGGGCTCCTCACTTCTCATATGGGGCGGTTGCCAGGCGGAGGGTCTCCTCACTTCTCAGACGGGGCGGCTGGGCAGAGACGCTCCTCACCTCCCAGACGGGGTCGCGGCCGGGTAGAGGCGCTCCTCACATCCCAGACGGGGCGGCGGGGCAGAGGCGCTCCCCACATCTCAGACGATGGGCGGCCGGGCAGAGACGCTCCTCACTTCCTAGATGGGATGGCGGCCGGGAAGAGGCGCTCCTCACTTCCTAGATGGGATGGCGGCCGGGCAGAGACGCTCCTCACTTTCCAGACTGGGCAGCCAGGCAGAGGGGCTCCTCACGTCCCAGACGATGGGCGGCCAGGCAGAGACGCTCCTCACTTCCCAGACGGGGTGGCGGCCGGGCAGAGGCTGCAATCTCGGCACTTTGGGAGGCCAAGGCAGGCGGCTGGGAGGTGGAGGTTGTAGCGAGCCGAGATCACGCCACTGCACTCCAGCCTGGGCACCATTGAGCACTGAGTGAACCAGACTCCGTCTGCAATCCCGGCACCTCTGGAGGCCGAGGCTGGCGGATCACTCGCGGTTAGGAGCTGGAGACCAGCCCGGCTAACACAGTGAAACCCCGTCTCCACCAAAAAAATACAAAAACCAGTCAGGCATGGCGGTGCGCGCCTGCAATCACAGGCACTCGGCAGGCTGAGGCAGGAGAATCAGGCAGGGAGGCTGCAGCGAGCTGAGATGGCAGCAGTACAGTCCAGCTTCAGCTCGGCATCAGTGGGAGACCGTGGAAAGAGAGGGAGAGGGAGACCGTGGGGAGAGGGAGAGGGAGAGGAGGGAGAGGGAGAGGAGGGAGAGGGGGAGGAGGGAGAGGGGGAGGAGGGAGAGGGGGAGGAGGGAGAGGGGGAGGGGAAATGTTTCTTAATCTGTCTTTTTTTTTTTTTTTTTTTTTTTAAACAGAGTCTTGCTCTGTGGCCCAGGCAGGAGTGCAGTGGCACCATCTCCACTCACTGCAAGTTCTGCTCCCCCAGGTTCATGCCATTCTCCTGCCTCAGCCTCCCGAGTAGCTGGGACTACAGGCGACCGCCACCACGCCCGGCTAATTTTTTGGTATTTTTAGTAGAGACGGGGTTTCACAGTGTTGACCAGGATGGTTTCGATCTCCTGAACTCGTGATCCACCCGCCTTGGCCTCCCAAAGTGCTGGGATTACAGACGTGAGCCTCCGCGCCCGGCTGCTTTGACATTTTTCAAGACTACAGCCAGTTATTTTGTAGATCGTCTCACGCTTTGAATTTGATGTTGCCTCATGACTAGTTGAGGTTATGTAATTTTCAGGCGAAATAACACAGAGGTGATGTTGTATCCTTCTCAGTGCATCGTGTTAGGAGATACGTGATGTGGGTTTGTGTCCTTATTAGGGACAGTAATTTTGATTACTTGGTTAAGGTGGCATCTCAGGTTTCTGGACTGTGAAGTTACTATTTCCCCCATCTGTCATAAATAAATAATCTGTTGGGAGTTACTATGACACTAGATCACGCTACTGAGAAACTGAATGCTAATCTACTTGGTTAGCATTCTTTGATTCTTGCCTGAGGCAATTAATATTATGGTTCCTGAATGCTGATTTTTCTAAATACATTGTTCTTTCTACATTTATTAGTTTGTTTCCTATTGTTTGGAAGAACTTTTCCTTCTTTATTCATATTAGCATGGACTCATGCATTAGTCAATGGATCATACTTTGTTCTATCTAATCTCCACTAAAGCTCTCTGAAGAAGGCAGTGGTTGGTAGTCTTTTATGAGGGATCTAGTTCAAAGTTACGTTTTTTTTTTGAGATGGAATCTTGCTCTGTTGCCTAGGCTGGAGTGCAGTGGCATGATCTCGGCTCATTGCAACCTCTGCCTCCCAGGTTCCAGCGATTCTCCTGGCTCAGCCTCATGAGTAGCTGCGATCACAAGCAACCGCCACTACGCCTGGCTAATTTTTGTATTTTTAGTAGAGAGAGGGTTTCACCACATTGGCCAGGCTGGTCTCGAACTCCTGACCTCAGGTGATCCACCCACTTTGGCCTCCCTAAGTGCTGGAATTACAAGCATGAACCACCATGCCTGGCCAGTTTTCACCCAGTAGTTTTGACATTCATTGCTAATCCTTGGCTGGATCAGTTTTTACCAGTGGGGGTTGCAAGATGGTCATTTTCTAATTCTATTCTAGATTCATGGTAAAGAAATTCCCTCCCCATACCCTTTCTTTTGAGGATCCCTATGGTCTTAAGGATATTTATTTAATTATTTAGTTACAGACAGTTACAGTCATTATTCTCTTTGATAGTTGTCCTAAATTTGGCTGATGGGAGCCCTTGCTTCCTGTGTCTTTTGATATGATCTTGTTAGTCTTGTCCCCTTTCCGCACAATACAGTGCTTCAGACCTGGAACTTTGGTTTCTATTAATGGGAAATGGTCCGTTTTTTAAAAAAAAAATAAGTAGAAATGGGATCTCTCTGTGTGGCCCAGGCTGGTCTCAAACTCCTGGGCTTAAGTGATCCTCCTGCCTTGGCCTTCCAAAGTGCTGGTATCACAGGCATGAACCACCATGCAAATGGTATTTAATAGAAATAAATACTTGGGCACTGATAACACTGGTTTTTTTTTGTTTTTGTTTTTTTTTTGAGACAAGAGCTTGCTCTGTTGCCCAGGCTGGAGTGCAGTGGTGCGATCTTGGCTCACTGCAACCTCCACCTCCCAGGTTCAAGTGGTTTTCCTGCCTCAGCCTCCTGAGCAGCTGGGATTACGGGCGTGTACCACCACACTGGACTAATTTTTGTAGTTTTAATAGAGACGGGGTTTCACTATGTTGGCCAGGCTGGTTGTTTTGTTTTTTAATTTGCCAACATTGTTTTTAAGAGTAACATTGTAGCCCGTTGTGTCATTGTTACATAATTTATTGAGTGATCTGTTGTTTGAAATTTAGGTAATTTATAACTTTTAATGTTTATATAAAGCAGTGTTGTGAACATCATTGTATCCCAGTTTTTACATGTTCCTTAACTTTAGAATAAGATTTTAGCAGTAGATTTTCTGGGTCATACAAATGTACTTTTTAAAGATTTTATTTTATTTATTTATTTTATTTTTTATTTTTTTGAGACGGAGTCTTGCTCTTTCGCCCAGGCCGGACTGCAGTGGCGCTATCTCTGCTACTGCAAGCTCCGTCTCTGGGGTTCACGCCATTTTCCTGCCTCAGCCTCCCGAGTAGCTGGGACTACAGGTGCCCGCCACTGCGCCTGGCTAATTTTTTTTTTGTATTTTTAGTAGAGACTGGGTTTCACCGTGTTAGGCAGGATGGTCTCAATCTCCTGACCTCATGATCTGCCCGCCTCAGCCTCCCAAAGTGCTGGGATTACAGGCGTGAGCCACTGCGCCTGGCCAAGATTTTATTTTTTTAATTTTTATTATTATTATTATTTTTTAAGATGGAGTTTTTTTCTTGTTGCCCAGGCTGGAGTGCAATGGCACAATCTCGGCTCACTGCAGCCTCTGCCTCCCGGGTTCAAGCGATTCTTCTGCCTCAGCCTCCCGAGTAGCTGGGATTACAGGCGTGCACCACCAGCCTGGCTAATTTTGTATTTTTAGTAGAGACAGGGTTTATCCTTGTTGGTCAGGCTGGTGTCGAACTCCCGACCTCAGGTGATCTGCCCGCCTTGGCTTCCCAAAGTGCTGGGATTACAGGAGTGAGCCACCACGCCCAGCCTTTAAGCTTTTAAATGTCTACCAGCAGTTTGTTGTCTAGAAAGTTTATATTAGTGTTTACCTCAGCTTCATGCCTTTTCTTTTCTTTTTTTCTTTAATAATTGAAGGCACTACTTTTAGAAGAAAAGACTAACTGTTATTTTCGTTGATGTTTTCTCCCTATTCTTAAAGCCGCTGTCTGACAGAAGTTTCTCTTGACACTGATACAGTGATATTTGACTAAGTGTGATTTGAAATTTCTTCTGGCTATGAGTGATAATAGCTGTGGGTGCAGAGGGCAGCTGATTTAAACATTATGTTTTAATAGAATAAGACAAGTCCTTCTCTAGGAATCCATCAAAAAATGAAGTGAAGCATACCTTTTAGATACTACTGTACCATGAATGTTGTGGAGTAGGAAAAATCAGGATCTTCTGTATTCGTTTTTGAAGCAGTGTCTTTGAAAGTAGCTTTTGGCCGGGTGCGGTGGCTCACGCCTATAATCCCAGCACTTTGGGAGGCCGAGGCAGGTGGATCATGAGGTCAGGAGATCGAGACCATCATATCCTGGCTAACACGGTGAAACCCCGTCTCTACTAAAAATGCAAAAAAATTAGCCGGGCGTGGTGGCGGGCCCCTGTAGTCACAGCCACTTGGGAGGCTGAGGCCAGAGAATGGCGTGAACCCAGGAGGCGGAGCTTGCAGTGAGCTGAGATCCACCACTGCCCTCCAGCCTGGGCGAAAGAGCAAGACTCTGTCTCAAAAAAAAAAAAAAAAAGAAAGTAGCTTTCATTCACTTTAGCTTTTCATCTTGTTTCTAAAGGTGGGGCAGATAAAGTGAGTAGGAACTGAGGTAGGAAGTCTTGGTGCTAGAGAAGCCCAAAGGGAAACATTCTGTGTGTTTGGGAATGCCCTCTTGTAGTACCCCTCCTATTTGTAAGCCTGAAATCATTAAATATTAAGAGGTTGTAAGGTTTACTGGGTCTTCATGTGTAGGCTAGTTAGAATTTTTTCATCTATAGTGAATATAGCTTTCCTGATGCAAAAGTCCCAAAGTAGGAGAAGATTTGTTACATATTTCATGTTTGTGTTTGATGTTTGCCTGACTGACTTTTTGTTTCTTATTTAGAAATGACTGCTGTCCATGCAGGCAACATAAACTTCAAGTGGGATCCTAAAAGTCTAGAGATCAGGACTCTGGCAGTTGAGAGACTGTTGGAGCCTCTTGTTACACAGGTAAGAATCTGAAAACACAAATACATTGTAACATGGTTCTATAGCACAGGCCTGGGTAACAACCATAAGAGCAAGGTTATTTAGTTCAAAGCCTTAATTCCAGTACTTGAGTTTAGGTGACAGTTCTTAGATGATTTGAATATTGATGCATGGGTTTAGTTAACCCTTGAGAACGCTGCTGCTGTCGTTTTCTTCAGTCTTATTGCTAGTAACGGGTCCATGGTATGTAGTGCAACTTTGCAAATGTTTGTGCTTTGCAGATACTTCACCTTTCTTCAGAGGGGAAACCCAAGAAAGGTGGAGTCTGGATCCTTGATTGTTAAGGTCTCTCACTCTGCTTAACACACCTTTCATTGTGTGGGATTAATTAGCAGGTAATTCAACTTGAGGGTTTAGGTTTGGTATGCTACAAATGTCACAATGTTAGGGTAGTTCATAAACTGTTAGCAACTAGCTGTGTACTTTTAGTGTTTTACAATAGTATGTCTATTGTTTGTATGTGAGAGATTCAGAGAGAGAGAGAGAAAATGAGTCTTGTTTGGCAAATTTACACTATAACATATATTCATCATCTTTAACCTAGAGATAATCTGGTATTATGTGTATTAATGATGGTAATGTTCTAAGACATAAAGCGTCATCACTGTAGGCTTCTTTGGGCAATCATTCGTTTATTGGGACCTTTACTAATTGCTGAGATTTGTGTGAATAAACTGTCAAAAGACTTCAGAAGCAAATTATCTTAAAATGTTTTGCAAAGTTTGAAAACAGTGGCAGTGTGATCTCCAGATAAAGCTAAGTTCATTGTTAACCTCTTTCTGGAACATCTTGGTGACATATAGTAGAGACATCTAACTTGTCTCTAATCATTTTTTAATTTGTAAAATCAAACTAAAAACCTAATGATCATATTTGAGAAATTAAAATATGTGTTAAATAATTCTCTGTACACATTAAGAAAGCTGAATTATTTTGGAAATTAAATATAGCATCATTGCTGTATATCTTAAATATGGGGAATTGTATGTTAATGTTCAGTGGAATCTCATGTGATTTTTTAAAAGAATAACTTAATCTTGCTGTCTTTAAAGATATTAGTTTGTCATTTTAATTGACTCCAGTTTAATGTTAAAAATGAAACTTTTAGGTTACAACCCTTGTAAACACCAATAGTAAAGGGCCCTCTAATAAGAAGAGAGGTCGTTCTAAGAAGGCCCATGTTTTGGCTGCATCTGTTGAACAAGCAACTGAGAATTTCTTGGAGAAGGGGGATAAAATTGCGAAGGAGAGCCAGTTTCTCAAGGAGGAGCTTGTGGCTGCTGTAGAAGATGTTCGAAAACAAGGTAGGTCATTACTGCTTTTTAGGTAAAGAGAGGCAGGCCTTTCTAGAAAATCAGTGTTTGAAGATTTTTTTTGTGGTCAGTATTCTCATTCTTATGCTTGCCAATTGCTCAGTAACTTACTTAGTTATTGGAGATGTATTAAGTTGGACTGGCTCATATTTTAATTCTCATTCTTATGCTTGCCAGTTGCTCAGTAACTTAGTTATTGGAGATGTATTAAGTTGGACTGGCTCATTTTAATCATGAGAGATGCTTGCAGAGGGACATCTGGAGAATCTGAATCCACTTCTCTTGGGTATTTCAAGTAATAGTTAAGTCTTAGAAATGTTGTAACACAAATTGATAGGAAAGAAATGGGACCGAAGTTTACTTTTCATCCTGTGTAATACTTCTTTTTAGTTCATGCTGAAGAGATGGGTGTGATAAAATGGAAAAATATCTACCTACTCTGAAAATACTCTAGAAATTGTCCTATTGTGTCAGAATAGTATGTTAAATCAGCCATGCATATTTGAACTGGTTGGAGCTTGACATAAATCTGGGTATAAAGGAATCATGTTTTGGGAAATTCAGAATTGATAAAAAGTAAAATGGTAATCCACAGTTTACTAATAATTAATGCTAGAAAAATTGTCCTTATTATGTTACAAATGTGGAAGGAAGACTTTAAATACGGAAGATAAACTTCTTGAAACCTGCAGTTTTTATTTTTAGTAGAGATGGGGTTTCACTAGTTGCCCAGGCTGGTCTCAAACTCCCAAGCTCAAACAATCCGCCTGCCTCGGCCTGCCAGAGTGCTGGGATTGCAGGCATGAGCCACAGTGCCCGGCCTTGAAACCTGTAGTTGTGTGTTAGGTTTCTTTTCCAGTCGGAGAATTTCAACAATGATGTAGGTTTTTTAGGTTATTGGATATCAGCTAAGGTAAATCGAGCCCTGCTATTTACAGGTGCTTTACTAACCCTTGGGAGAACTTCATAGATCTTTCGTGCCTGATGGTAGATTGCATAGTCCAGAGTCTTATGTCAAATTCATCCCTGTGGCAGTACCCATAAATGGGCAGTGCCTTAGATGGAGATAACATCTCCAATTGTTTTCTGAATTTGTGAACAAATAACCTTCAATGGTAAATATTTTTTCAGTTTTCAGGCTGAAGATAAATATTTCTAATACTGAAAATGATGAAATTATTAGAATTCCACAGTACTAATTAGGCAGGTATATTAGTTTCCTAGGGCTTCTATAACATAAATTATTACAAGCTTGGTGGCTTAGAATAATAGAAATTTATTCTCTCATCATTCTGAAGGCCAGAAATCTGAAATCAAGGTGTTGGCAGGCTTGATTCCTTGTTGGGACTTAGGAAGAATCTGTGGATGCCTCTTTCCTAGCTTCTGGTGGTTGCCAGCAATTCTTAGCATTCCTTGGCTTGCAGACATGTTACTCCAGTCTCTGCCTTTGTTATCATATACTTTTCTTTTTTTGTGTCTCTGTGTCCAAGTTTCCCTCTTCTTATAAGGACATCAACCATTGAATTAGGGCCCACCTTAATCCAGTATAACCTCATCGTAACTTGATATCATCTGCAAAGACCCTGTTTCCAAATAAAGTTGCATTCACAGGTTCCAGGTGGACATGAATTTTTGGGCAATGCTATTCAACCCAGTACAGTGAGTTTTGAATTAATTAATTAATTTTTTTTTTTTTTTGAGACGGAGTCTCGCTCTGTCGCCCAGGCTGGAGTGCAGTGGCGGGATCTCGGCTCACTTCAAGCTCCGCCTCCCGGGTTCACGCCATTCTCCTGCCTCAGCCTCCCAAGTAGCTGGGACTACAGGCGCCCGCCACTACGCCCGGCTAATTTTTTGTATTTTTAGTAGAGACGGGGTTTCACTGTTTTAGCCGGGATGGTCTCGATCTCCTGACCTCGTGATCCGCCCGCCTCGGCCTCCCAAAGTGCTGGGATTACAGGCGTGAGCCATCGCGCCCGGCCTAATTTATTTTAAAGTAGTTTAATGGTCCAGTTCAGGACAGTTTTTGAGCTTGCTGTTGAGGAAATCAGGCTATTACTTAATTGTATTCTGTGGTACATTCTCCTCCCCAGCCCTTCTTGTCTTCTATAACGAAACTCACAATCATATTAACAGATGAGTTTGGGCAGTGTTTGCTGGCTCTAGTGACTGACGTTTCTTTTCTTTTCTTTCTTTTTTTGAGTTGGAGTCTTGCTCTGTCTCCCAGGCTGGGATGCAGTGGTGCGATCTTGGCTCACCGCAACCTCCACCTCCTGGGTTCAAGCGATTCTTCTGCCTCAGCTTCCCAAGTAGCTGGGATTACAGGCATATGCCACCACACCCAGCTAATTTTTGTATTTTTAGTATAGTATAGTGTAGTGTAGTGTAGTGTAGTATAGTATAGTATAGTATTGCCTTGTTGGCAGGCTCGTCTCGAACTCCTGACCTCAAGTGATCTGCTCGCCTTGGCCTCCCGAAGTGCTGGGATTACAGGCATGAGCCAGTGCGCCTGGCCACATTTATTTTTAAAATGCATTTAATTGTTGTAGGTAATTTTAATTTGACTTTATATGTTTCTTATTTCAGAAGTTTCTCCAGTGCAAATATGTAGCAATCATGGTATAATATACATTCCCTGCTCCCCAAACCCCCCACAATTTTGAATGCATATCTGAATTGCTTTTGTTATTTTTGTTTGTATATGATAATCTTTTATGTGGTTCTGAATCATAAGGACTTTTCTGTCCTAGTCCACTTTTGCAATTATTTATTATCATGACCTGTCCACCATAATTTGCCTTCTCTTTGGAAAAAAAGAGCCAAAACCAAAATATAACTTCCTCCCATCATCATTATTGCATCAGATATGAAAAGCTGAAATGCCTTACTTTTTTCTCTTGGCTTACTTTTTTCTTTGGAGAATCTTAACAAATGGTGATAAGATCTCTTTTCTATCATAAATAGAACAAAATACATATTACAAAAATATGAAGCACAGATTGCTTAATCAACTGAGACTTGTTGGCTATGTCGTTGAAGCCATTTACTCATCGTTTGAAACCCTGTAGTGGTGTTAATAGGTCTGCAGATTCTTTGGACACCCCTCCCTTAAAAAAAAATAGAGCCTAACCCTTGAACATGGGTTGAACTTAGTGATTCCTACAATGACTAGAATGTGGTAGAAGTGGTGCTATTTACTTTGGGAGCAAAGTTATAAAAATGGGGCCGTATCCACTCCACTTTTTCTCATGGATTATTCTGTCTGGGGGAAGCTGGCTGCTATGTCTTGAGTGCACTCAGGAGGTCCTGTGGAGAAGAACTGAAGTCTCCAACCATCAGTCAGCACACATTTGTCAAGCATGTGAGTGAACCACCTAGGAAGCAGATCCTCCACCTCCAGTCAAGTTTCAGACAACATCAGTCCTGACCAACCCCAAATCCCTGACCCATAGAAAACTCTGGGAGTTAATAATTGTTTTAAGCTGCCACCTCTTGGAATTTCTTAGGCAGCAAAAGAAAATTTATACAAACACTTTTCCCTGCCCTGGCTTCAGTGGTCCTGAGCATTTACGTAAAACCCTGACCTAACTTTTCTGAATTTTTCTGATAAATAAAAATATGCCATCCACTGAAACACTTAATTTTTAAAGGATTTTTAAGATGTCTTTGTTCTGAATCACTGTTGACGTTGTTTAGGATGGGGGTTGGTAAATTTCTTCTAGAAGGCCAGGTAATAAGTATTTTTGGCTTTTCTGATCATAAGGGCTCTGGGCTGGGTGCGATGGCTCACGCCTGTAATCCCAGCACTTTGGGAGGCCCAGTTGGGCGGATCACGAGGTCAGGAGATGAAAACTATCCTGGCTAACACGGTGAAACCCCGTCTCTACTAAAAATACAAAAAATTAGCCGGGCGTGTTGGTGGGCACCTGTATACCCAGCTGAGGCAGGAGAATGGCGTGAACCTGGGAGGCGGAGCTGGCAGTGAGCCGAGACCGTGCCACTGCACTCCAGCCTGGGTGACAGAGCGAGACTCCGTCTCCAAAAAAAAAAAAGGTCTCTGTTGAAACTATTAATATTCAGCTCTGCTGTTGATTTGGGAAGCAGCTATAGACAAGATATAAAGAAATGGTCATGGGGGATGGCTGTGTTCTAATAACATTTAGAAAAATTACAGGCTATAGTTTGCTAACCCTGATATAGGGTTTTCCCAGGCTGTTAAAGATATGAGCTTACTGTCTTCAAAAAGGTAGTTATTTATGTGTTTATTTATTATACTTTTGAGCCAAAAATTAGACCTTCTGTATCTTTGGGTTTGTACATGTCCATTGCTTCCCGTGCAATCATAATAACCAAAAGTTGGAATGTACACAGTTTTTGATGTGTAACTTTCTTTTTGTGTTAGACCCTGATTACATAAATAATGAATATGCACATTTGTGAGTATACTAAAATTTCACCATAATGCTGTAAGTGATGTTAAAAAAATTCACGTACATAAAAACAGGATCATTTGACTTCAAGGCTAATGAAATGGTCAGGTGAGCCACATGTGGTGGATAGGAGCCAGTCACCAATTGCATGGCTTCCAAATCTCTGTGATCTAAGAGTTTAATTGTACTACTAATCTGCTTCGTTTTTGAGTAGCTACCTTATATAGGCAGAGGTGTACATATGCCTCTTAGATGTGCTCTTTTCTTATTTTAGGATCCTGTTTACCTCCCGTATCCCCCCATCCTTATCAGATCAATCTTACCTTTGTTCTTTTTTGTCTTAGCGCTTATCACAGTGGTAATTTAAGTTGGTTGCCTTTTCCTCTCTACGCTCCAGCAGTGCAGGTTCTGTGCTGGTCTGGTGACCATTCTGTTTGTATCTATGATAGTACCTGGTCCGTGATAGGCACTTAAATGTTTGAGTAAGATAATTGATTATTCTCCGAGAAGTACAGTAAGAGAAAATGCTTTTTTCTCGAAATTTAAAGTGTGTTTTCCTTTCCAGTGCCAAATGTAAATGCATGGGTAGGGGTGGAGAATCTTATGTTTTTTTTAAAAAATTGAGATATAATTTCACATACCATAAAAATCACCCATTTAAAGTATACAATGCAGTGTTTTTTAGGGTATTCAGAGTTGTACAGCTATCACCATGATCTAATTCCAGGACATTTTTATCATCCCCCAAAAGAAACCTCATACTCATTAGCAGACATTCCCCATACATGTACATTTTAACAGTAGATAAAGAGTAGCAGCTGCCTTGTGGTACATAAATGTATTTTATGAATCCTTGAATAGGGCTCTGACCAGAAAAAGAAGCCTCTTAAGCCGGATAGGGGACTTTCAGGGGACAGAGATGAGAAGACCTAAATGAAGCTTTTTTGAAAAAGGAGAGATATTATGAACAGAGGCCCATTAATGTTAAATTTGAAGTGGAGTGATGAGGAACAGCTTCTTACTAGAACAGTGTTTTATAATCCATTAGCCACAATTTATACTTGGATCTCAAAGGCCAGGATCAGTATTATTGCTACTTCTGTAGCTTCTTCCCTATAGCTCATGGGCATTTCTGGGTCAGTGAAGGGGGAGAAGACCCAAAGAAACTGAAATCCACCTTTTTGTATTCCTGCACTGCTTCTAATCATATTTGCTCAGTAAAGGGGCCAAATAGATTATTCGTGCACTGAGCAACAGTAGATTTCCTAGGAAGAAGCTTGTGTCAGGGAAATATGAGTGAGGAATGGGCTGGTTGATAGTGTGTGGTCCCTGAGGGGGAGATGGTATTCTAGCACATAGGAGGCTGTTTTTCCTGTTTTTCCCCCCCCCCAGAGCTTATAATGATACATGAATACGAAAAATAATTAATAGCATGAGTGGCAGAGGAATGGGAGGATAAGCATGGGATTGGGAAAGTTAACTAAAGGTATTTGAGCTTGCACTGGATCTTGAAAGGTAGAAAAAGGGAGCAGGAGGAAACTCATCCAGGTAAGAAAAATAGACTGTGCAAGATGGGCATGAGAAACAGTGAGGTCCCTGGCTGGAGGTGGGTGCTAGTCATGTTGAGCACTGCTGGCAGGAGAGGTTTTTGTTTTGTTTTGTTTTTTGAGTTGGAGTCTTGCTCTGTCGTCCAGGCCGGAATGCAGTGGTGGTATCTTGGCTCGCTGCAACCTTCGCCTCCTGGGTTCAAGCAATTCTCCTGCCTCAGCCTCCTGAGTAGCTGGGACTACAGGCATGTGCCACCACACCTGGCTAATTTTTGTATTTTTAGTAGAGGTGGGGTTTTACCATATTGGCCAGGCTGGTCTCAAACTCCTGACCTCGTGATTCACCCACCTCGGCCTCCTAAAGTGTTAGGATTACAGGCGTGAGCCACCGCACCCGGCTGCAGGAGAGGTTTAATATAGTTTGGAGCATATTTAGAGGGTGGCTTGGAATGCCATGTGGCATTACATGGTTCAGGTCCCATATGCTTGAATGTATCAAGTGACACAGGACTCACTCACTACCTCAAGGGGGAGCTCTTTCCAGTATTGGTTTGTGTTTATTTTAAAAGCTTTTTTTTCCCCTTAGAAACTGAAATTTGTCTCTTGAATTTTCTTCCTGTTTTAAGAAGTTCCACCATCTGGGCAATACAGAATATGAGGAAAAGTGGAGTTTTTGCAGGGAGATTAGTGTTAGCTGTGTGCAGGAAGGGTTAAAGTGACTGGTAGACAGCCCAGAGGTAGGACCTAGAGTCTGGAGATGACCATAGTAGTGGGGAGTGAAATGGAGCTGTGCAGGAAGGGACTGCTATAACAGAATTGATGGAAAGAGAGAATTGGCCAGTTGTCATGCATGTTAACTGCCAGCAGGGCCTGTGCAAGTAGCTGATCTTTTCAGTAGGTAAAACTAAGGGACCTGGTATGTGAAAAGTTGTAGTAATTTATTTTCCTGTGACTTGAGGCATTTAGGGTGGTGTTGAGGCAGCATGTGCTGCTAAGAACCTGTGTTCTTACAGGTGTAAAATGCTGCCTTTTAAAATGTTTGCATTATTTGCTTGTAATGGATGTCAAACCTTATTTTGTGTTCATTAATCACACGTATTAATGTTTATTAATACATCTGAAACATGTTATTTGTGTGAGTTCCTATGGCAATGATAAGTATTGGTAAACATTAGTGCTCCTTTCTCTGTTGATTTGTTGAAGCCCTGTTATTTTTCTTTTTAATTGGAATTCCACCAAGTTTTCAAAAATTGAGACATGGCTCATTGGGCTGGAGATGCTGATCTTTTAGATTTCTCTTTACTAATCTAATGGCATAGCAGAGGTTAAATTACCTTGGAGTAGAAAATCAAGAAATGATTGTGTGTGTCTGCAATTTTGGTTTTAATGGTAGGACAAGATTATGGTAGTCTGGGAAAAGGTGATTGAGTGCTGCTGAACAGAGCAAGGATTGATTGTAGCTAAGTCTAGTGACTTACTGCCTGCCATTTGGTTTGACCTTCATTTTGTGACTATCGTACCACTAACCACAGCCAGTCACCTCTCATGTATGTGTTGTTATTCTCATGGCAAACACTGTGAAAACCTCTGGGTAATTCACTGCAGCCTCTTCTTCAGTGCTGAAAAAACATTTTATAGTGACAACTATACATCCTTTGTCCCCCAGATGGCCAGAAGGTGAAGATAGAGTAAGTTCTTTTACTAAATATTCCTGTCCATAAATAAAAAGCAGACATCTTAATGTTTGGCTTACAGTTTTTTCCCCTTTCATATCTATTTATGTTTAGACAGATTTGTCTTAAGATTTCTTTGAAACGTTTCTTTTTAGGTTTTGGCTTTCAGGTCATTCCATTTCAGGCAAACTTTGATACTGCGAATGCATTTTCCTTGAGTAGAAGATCTCAACTTACTGAAAGCAGTCAGTGTTGTTAAGTACTAAATCTCAATCATTACATAAATCATCTTTTATGTAAAAAATGTCGGCCGGGTGCGGTGGCTCATGTCTGTAATCCCAGCACTTTGGGAGGCCGAGGCGGGCAGATCACGAGGTCAGGAGATGAAGACCCTCCTGGCCAACATGGTGAAACCCCGTCTCTACTAAAATACAAAAAATTAGCCAGGCGTGGTGGCACGTGCCTGTAGTCCCAGCTACTTGGGAGGCTGAGGCAGGGGAATTGCTTGAGCCCGGAAGGCAGAGGTTGCAGTGAGCTGAGATTGCACCGCTGTGCTCCAGTCTGGAGACAGAGCAAGACTCCGTCTCAAAAAAAAAAAAAAAAAAAAAAAAAAAGGGTCTTGTTAGTTTTAGAACAAGAAAGGAGTATTTATTGTCTGCTAACACAATAGTTAACATCTGTGAGTTTGCAAGCATCTGGGTAATCTTAGTACCTATAGTTGATTTGTGAGCATACTCTAATGGTACTTGTTTTCTCAGCTTTTTTTTTTTTTTTTTTTTAGAGAGGCAATTACTGTTCATTGTAGCTGTTCTTGTTTTTTTAAATTTTTATTTTTTATTATACTTTAAGTTCTAGGGTACATGTGCACAGCATGCAGGTTTGTTACATATGTATACGTGTACTATGTTGGTGTGCTGCACTCATTCTCAGCTTTTTTTAAATCTTTAAAGCATGAAATTACCCAGTCATATAAAACTGAGGGTCTCTTAGGGCATTGTTATAAAGAAAGGATGGAAAATGAGAGTTCTTAATTGATGTTAATGGAGAGACATTCTTTTATTTATCTCAGTAATTGTGTATAACTGTGTAGTGAAGCTAAGGACATAGATGCCATCTTCCTTGGTACAGCTTGAATAATTTGTATATAGGGAGAAAAAATGTGTACACACATGTATGTGTATGTGTATATATACATAGTTCACTGTGAATCTTGGCAAGGCAATTTTCAGAAAAATAATGTATTTCATCCCTGACAAAAGGTTATTGAGCACAAGCTGTCAGGCTCTTGAGGCATGATTTTCTCCCTGGCAACTGACTAGAGTCAAGATTGAAGGAGGCGAAAATTGGTCTCCTGTCCAGTGCAGATGTTGACAGCTTCAGACTGATGTACCCACATCTACTATAGGCAGCCTGGAAGATAGATGTTAAAAGACAGCTGTGATTAGGACAAAGCACGTATCAGTGACTGTTTTAAGTAGAGTTTGAGACGTAGACAGGAGGCAGAATGGAATCTGGGTTTGCTGGGTTCATGATGTGAAGACTTAAAACATAGCTTTGAAGAGCATTGTGTGGGTGTGTGTGAGAGAGATTGCATTTTAATTTGTCTGATCTGGTTAGTGTGGTTTTAATCGGGTTGAGATCATGAGCTTGATCTCACATATGGGCTCTTTAATTTTTCACAAGAGAAAAATGACAAGTGTTCCTACTTTGGAATGTTGAGTATGGATTTCAAAAAGTGTTAATGATGCTCTGGAAGAGCAGTAGCTGGGAAACATTCAACATTTTGAAAAAGATTAAAGTTAAGTTAATTAGCTTTTCAGATTAGTACAATAACTTTATTAAAACTAGCAAGAAATCAGCTGATTTTTTTCTCATAGTCTTCCTTTGAGTTCTGGCTTCTCATTTGTTATCTTACCTTTTCCCCTTGTTGTCTTAGAATTTTCATCCTGTTTTCTCCTCTTATTTTTGTGGATGTCTCTTTTCATGTGATCCCATTGTGGCTTGGTCTTTTGTTAGAAGTGCTCCCACTCCAATTCATACCTTTCAGATGTTCCTGAAGACTGTAATTAATTTAAAAATTGTTATTGACCCCATTCCTTCAGTCTCACCATTTAATCCATTTTTTCTTGTTCTTCATTTAACTTGAGCAGGAAAAGCAAAATATAAATTCTGAAAAATCATTAGCTGGTTGTCATCTGGGAATTTTATGTCTTAAAGTTGTCTGCCTGACTTAAACTATAAGTCTTTAGGGCAGAGGCTATATTTTCTTTGACTTGGGATGTTTCAAGGATGCTGTCTGCTTCTGGATCACTACCCTTGTGTGAGCATATGCTGCTTTGCAGAGACTTGTGTTCTGCTGTAGCCAGCTTGGAATTGAGGAAAGAAGAGTGAAGTTATTACATTCTAATGTCATTTTGAAGTGGTTCATTTTTTCCCCTTTTATTAAAAAGTCTGTCCTGTTAAGCTCACAAAAATAAATAACACTAACCAGGATAATAATATTTATGAGTTACAGTGGGTAATATTACTGCCTTAATATATTTGTACAGTCAGTGTAGCTGAGGAAGTTATTTTAGGTATTAAAATTTTAGTTTTGGCATGACTTCAACCATGATGTTGCAGTAACATGATTTCTACTAGTTAATTTCTTAAGAAAGTGATTCCAAGTTGAAATGCATGTTATGCATTTATTTGAATGTGTAATCAGGAAGTAAGTGCCTCTCTTTGGAGTGTTTCTGAATAGCAGCAGGGCACACTTGAATTAGTAAGGAAAATGAGAACATGAATATGTGTGTTACTTTATTTTAACTTTTTTTTAAATCCATTCTGTCTGTCAACTGGAAAAAGAAATTTCAAAGCTTCTTTCCTTACCCTCAGGGGATGGGGAAGGGGGGGAAGTTAAGAGGTTTTCTAGGCTTGCTCTGATTCAGATGGGCTTATAGTATTTAAATAACTTCATATTAAATGTTTATTTCCTGGGTTGATTTTTTTTTTTTTTTTTTTTTTTAAGACGGAGTCTTGCTCTGTCGCCCAGGCTGAAGTGCAGTGGTGCAATCTCGGCTCACTGCAACCTCCGCCTCCCGGGTTCAAGTGATTCTCCTGCCTCAGCCTCCCAAGTAGCTGGGATTGCCAGCACCCGCCACCATGCCTGGCTAATTTTGTATTTTTAGTAGAGACAGGGTTTTGGCATGTTGGCCAGGCTGGTCTTGAACTCCTGACCTCAGGTGATCGGCCTGCCTTGGCCTCCCAAAGTGCTGGGATTACAGGCATGAGCCACTGGGCCTGGCCTCTTTTCTTTCAAAAGATAAACAGTTGTGTGGATTTAAAAAAAAAACAAAAAAACAACTGCATCCCAGAAAGTTCTCTTAAGGCATCTGTCAGGGATTCTTTGAGTTATTCTCAGTTTATCTGTACTTACAGGGATATCATCTAGGGGTCTGTTTTTACCAAATATCCCTCCTTGATAAATGGAAGGCTTGATTGAGAAGATTAAAGTGTGTTATTCAGGATCATCCTCATGTCATAGGGCACGTGGGTTATGCCAAATATATACTACCATTTGGTTCCTTCTTATAAGGGCTGTGTTATGAAGTCTATTATTCTTTGCATCTGTATTGCCAATTTGCATCTATATTGACAAGTGTGGAAAACATTTTATTACCAGATCATAGAAAATGAATTAAAATTTGGCTGGGTGGGAGTGGTGGGACATGGAGATGGGATGGGGTAGGAAACATATATTAACTTTGGATTATCTTGAAGTTAGGAGATAATTTTGTGAAGTCTTGGTCCTGTTATTTTATTATGTTGTAAAATGAAAGTTGGTGGAATAACAGATGAAAATAGTTATCAGGCCCACGCCTGTAATTCCAGCACTTTGGGAGGCTGAGGCAGGTAGATCACCTGAGGTCAGGAGTTCGAGACCAGCCTGACCAACATGGTGAAACTCTGTCTCTACTGAAAATACAAAAATTAGCCAGATGTGGTAGCACTCACCTGTAGCCCCATCTACTCAAGTGGCTGAGGTGGGAGAATCACTTGAACTCGGGAGGTGAAGCTTGCAATAAGCCAAGGTTGCGCCACTGCACACCACCACCACCCTAGGTGAAGGAGTGAGACTCTCAAAAAAAAAAAAAAAAAAAAAAAGAGCTGGCCAGTCATGGTGGCTCATGCCTGTAATCCCAGCACTTTGGGAGGCCGAGGTGGGTGGATCACGAGGTCAGGGGTTTGAGACCAGCCTGACCAACATGGTGAGACCCCGTCTACTAAAAATATAAAAATTAGCTGGGCGTGTTGGCGCACATCTGTAATCCCAGCTACTCTGGAGGCTGAGGCAGGAGAATTGCTTGAACTCAGGAGGCGGAGATTGCAGTGAGCCGAGATTGTGCCACGGCACTCCAGCCTGGGCGACAGCGAGACTCTGTCTCAGAAAAAAAAAAGAAAAAAGAAAAAAGCTATCACTTGTTGGTGAGATCCCTTAATCAAATCAGATGTATTTAAGAGAATTTGGTATAAAGTAGGTTTATCAGTAGGTTTTGGAGCTAAAGCACCAAAAAGTAACTTTCAAGAGTTAGGAATCTCATGGTAGGGAAGTTTTGGGCATTCATTAAATCCAGGGCTGGATGTTTTTTACTCTGTAAAACACTGTGTAAAAAGATGCCAAGCTGTTAAGTACAGGGCAGTTTTATTATAGGCTTGCCTGTGATGTTGGTTACTTTCTCTCTTTTTTTTTTCTTCCTCTAGTTCTACTCCCTGGGTAGAATTAAAAACGGTTTTAAAATGAGCGTTAATTTTCTGCAGTGAACATGTGTTTTGATAGTAAGAGCAAAAAGAAAAAAAATGAAAACTTACAATTTTGTATCCTAGAGATGAAACTAATGGTTAACATTTTTGTCCTAAATGCTTTCCAGTTTGTCTTCTGTGAATATGCTCACGTGGGTAGAGATATGTTGGGTTTGATTATGTCATTTGCTTTTTTTCATTTAATGGATCCTGAACATCTTTCTGTAATATTAAGTATTCTTCTACAACATAATTTTTAATGGCTGAACACTATCCTCTAGAGAGTAATATGATTTAAGAACATTATTTTATACCAGCAAACTAAAGACTTCTCTTTAATACTGTTATGTCAAGAGTTTTATTCACTTTTCACATTTTCAAAGGAGTATAGTATTAATAAATAGTTACAATCCTAGTTTTTTACTTTAAAGACTGAAGGCTCCTATTGTTAAGAAGTATGTATCGGCTGGGTGCGGTGGCTCATGCCTGTAATCCCAGCACTTTGGGAGGCCAAGGCAGGCGGATAATGAGGTCAGGAGATCGAGACCACGGTGAAACCCCATCTCTACTAAAAATACAAAAAATTAGCCAGGCGCGGTGGCGGGCACCTGTAGTCCCAGCTACTGGGGAGGCTAAGGCAGGAGAATGGCGTGAACCCGGGAGGTGGAGCTTGCAGTGAGCCTAGATCGCGCCACTGCACTCCAGCCTGAGCGACTGAGCGAGACTCCGTCTCAAAAAAAAAAAAAAAAGTAGTAGGTATCTGAGAAGAAATAAAAGGTTTTAGATAGTTAAAATCATTTTGAGATAAAGAGAACAAAGTTACTTGAGCAAGGTTATCTGGGAAATCAGTGGGAGAAGGGAGAGTTGGAATTCCAAGTATGCTCATGAAACTGATCCTGAAATGAGTAATTTGAACATGTTTAAGATAGTTGATGGTGTCTAACTCTTCTCCTGGAAGCTTTTGTCATTTTAGCGCAGGGCTGTTTTTGCTGGTTTGCAGAAGCATATTCAGGTGGATGTCTTTAAAATCTCTTTTCTCTTTTGGATTTGGCAGTTGATAACAAACAATATGCTCCTGTAAAATGTTCTGTTTAAGAAATGCCTACCTAAGGTCTGTGTAACCATTGAATCTTCTTCCCTGCAGCAACTCTACAGAAAATTTTAAAAATGAGATTGGGGCTACAGATACCCATTTATTTTACCACTTGGCTTACTCTTATTTTGGATAAAACCCCTCTAGTTAGCTGACTTTATAAGCTTTTACAGAAAGATTTTGTAATATGTGCAAGTTTTACTTTTTCATTTTTGCATGAACTAGCAGCCATGGGATTTTTATACTTCAGAAAAAAGAAAATTTGAAGCCTGAGTTTTATTATCATACACACAAACTAAAGATATTGGCATTTTTATCATTTAAAAACTTTTTTTATATAAAAGTATATTCACTATAGAAAGTAAAAATAAACAATAAACAATCACCCATCAGGCTGTACCACCTTATGATTAAGCTCTGTCGATATTTTGGTATGTGTTGGTTGTAGTGTTTACCATCCCATCCCTTTCCCAGGACATAAACACATTGTGATCTCCATTCTCACTGTGCAGTACAGATTGTTATATATCTGCTATTTAAAGTGGAAATGAAAATCATTTCCATTAATGAAGATACCTGGGTGGGGGCAGATTGTATAATTTATCGAAGATAAGCTGTGTTTCTCTACTGGGCTGGCAAAAATATTTTTTCTGGACCTTAAAGGTAGAAAGGTTCTGGTGAAGAAGCTATTTAAAAGTATCCTTAGTATTATTTTGGGGAAGGAGATATAACTTTGCCCTATTTATTGAGGTTTTTGGAGGACTTTTACAGGCAGTAGAGATGTTTCCATAGCTGGATTTCTGAGCCATTACGTTGTGGTTGGGAACCTTTCTTTTGTAGTATACTGTAGAATTTTGGGATGTGACACTGTAAATGGGATAGATGAGGAAGATGACCAGTTCCTGAGAACTGGAAGGAATCCCAGCTTGACTTGAGAACTTCTTTAAAACAAAATGAAACAAAACAAAACAAAAAAACTGCTAAAAAAAAAATTTAAAAAAAGCAGTTGGAAAAACGTAAGGCACAGCAAGCTTTGGTTGTAGCTATTAGCACAAAAGGAACAATTATTACTACTTTCTGCACTATAGACAGTGGAGTGAAGGAAGCTCCCCTCATCCTTTACAGCTTCAGCATTTAAAATTAAAAGCTAACATTTCCTCTGTCCTTTAGGAAACTTGGTATCATGACTTTATTTCTAAAAAGGTAAGAAACAGCTGGTGTGTGGATAATGACATGTTCTAAATAGGTTTAAAAACTGGAAAAAGTAGATGGAAAAATAGAAGGGGGCACAGAAGTATTTGTTGAGCTTTGCATATATTATTTCATTTAATTTTCAAAACAACTGAGTAAGGTATGGGAGATGTGTACTCATTTTACAGAAAAGAAAACAGCTAGAGATAAAACAACCCAAAGTAACACAGCTGCCAAATATCGAAGCTGGATTTAGACCCAGTTCCAATACCTTATTTCATCTACACCAAGTAGTGTTCTGGGAGAGAAGTAGTTATATTCATTAACATTACTTCATAGCATTCTTTGTTTTAAAGGAGCAATGTAACAGGTTCAGGTTAAAACAAACAAGCCTTTTGTTTTTTTTATCCATCACCCAAATATTTTCCAAGCCTATCCTTTCCCCGTAACTTTATAAAGTTTGGTTGCTTTCAGGGGAATTTACTCATGATATTTGATGCTTCAAAAACTTCTTGATTTTGTCTTCTCCTAATAAAGAATTGTGGGTTTTTTTGTTTGTTTGTTTACTTTATAATTGCCCATTGTCTTTGTTTTAAACTCCAGAGGAACTTATTTTATTCCCAGCTCAGGAGAGAACATCAGGGGATGACAGATTTTATTTCATGGCAGATGGTACAGTAGTATTGAGCTCTCTTAAGTTTCATCTCCTTTGTTAGTAGATGTAGTGTAGTTGACTGGAAACAGCTGGGACAAAGTCAGGTTTTACAACCGTGCGATCTTGGATATAGTTCCTGTCTACCTCAGTTTCCCCAGTTTGCCCTTTTGTGTGCAGAGAGCACTTTTGATATCTTATAAATTTAAACTAACAGGTATCTTTTTAAATTTTTAATTTTTTTTATTAAAAAAAATTTTTTTTGAGATGGAGTCTTACTCTGTCACCCAGGCCACTGTGCCTGGCTAATTTTTGTATTATTATTTTTTAGTAGTTCTGGTCTTGAACCTCTGATCTCAAGTAATCCCCTACCCTCAGCCTCCCAAAGTGCTGAGCCATCGTGCCCAGCCTTCTGCCACATTTTGTTTTTTTAGACAGAGTTTCGCTCTTGTTGCCCAGGCTGGAGTGCAATGGCGTGACCTCGGTTCACTGCAACCTCTGCCTTCCGGGTTCAGGCAATTCTCCTGCCTCTGCCTCCTGAGTAGGTGGGATTACAGGCATGTGCCACCACGCCTGGCTAATTTTGTACTTTTAGTAGAGATGGGGTTTTGCCATGTTGGTCAGACTGGTCTCGAACTCCTGACTTCAGGTGATCCACCCACCTCGGCCTTCCAAAGTGCTGGGATTACAGGCGTGACCACCATACCTGGCCATCTTTTTTTATTTTTAGAGTTCTTTTAAGAGACATGAGAGATGGAGGAAAAAAAAGTTGTTGATTCCTTTTTACAATTTTTTTAAGCAAGGTTTTGAGCATGGGTTCTTTTTACATTTAATTTTGAAATGAAACTTATTAAACATCTCAAGTTAGTCTTAGTGTCATTTTTTTTTTTTTTGTAAGGATGACCATTCAGAAGTTTGAGGACCTCATTTTTAGCTGGGGGCTTATTTATATACTTGTTTATAGTTTTGCTGATGGAGAAAGTGTGAATATTTTAACCCATTATACAGTGTGTTTCTGATGTATTTTTTCATTACTAATACTTTATGTTAGCCATGAAATTAAGGATTTGTCATTAGGGCTGTGAGCTAAAATAAATTAGAGTAGATGTAGATGTATGTATGTATGTATGTATGTATGTATGTATGTGTGTGTGTATGTGTGTATTTAGAGACAGAGTCTTGCTCTGTCGCCCAGTCTGGAGTGCAGTGGTGCCATCTCGGCTCACTGCAACCTCTGCCTCCTGGGTTCAATCGATTCTCGTGTCTCAGCCTCTCCAGTAGCTGGGATTACAAGTGCTCGCCACCACACCCAGCTAAATTTAGTATTTTTAGTAGAGACGGGGTTTTGCCATGTTGGCCAGGCTGGTTTTGAACTCCTGATAAATGAATTCAGCAGACCACTGTAAAAAAAGAAAATCCATGAAGCTGTAGCTGCTACAGCAGCAAGCATGAAAACCCCTGCACTTTTTATGAAAATAATTTTATCTTGTCAACACAAGATAAAATGCAGCTTCTGTGTGGGTGCAGGGCTGCTATAAGAAAGGCATACCTATAGACTAGTAAGATTCGAGAAAAAGCAAAGTCATTATATGACAATTTAAAGCAAAAGGGAGGTGAAAGATCTAGAGTTGAAGAATTTAATGCCAGCAAGGGATGGTTTGATACTTTAAGAGAGATGTGGCTTTAAAAATGTCAAGATAACAGGGGAAGCAGCTTCTGCTGACCAAGAGAAGGGTTCCCAAATGCCATTAAAAAGTGCAGCAGAAGGCCAGGTGCAGTGGCTCACACCTGTAATCCCAGCACTTTGGGAGGCCAAGGCAGGCAGATCACCTGAGGTCAGGAGTTCGAGACCAGCCTGACCAACATGGAGAAACCCTGTCTCTATTGAAAAAAAAAGAATAGAAAAATTAGCCAGGCATGGTGGCGCATGCCTGTAATCCGAGCTATTCGGGAGGCTGAGGCAGGAGAATCACTTGAACCTGGGAGACGGAGGTTGCAGTGAGCTGAGATCGCGCCACTGCATTCCAGCCTGGGCAACAAGAGCAAAACTCCGTCTAAAAAAAAAAAGTGCAACAGAAGGGTGGGCACGGTGGCTCATGCCTGCAACCACAGCTGCAGACTTCAATTCACAGTATGTATCAGGCAGTTCGGCTTTTTCTTACAATGTCATGACTTTTCTTTACCTCTTGGTAGTACTTCCAGCATCACTAGTGGCACTTTGTATTAGCTTCATGGTGTTTCTCAATGTTTTGAGTGTTGTACTAAACATGATGAATGAGAACTACGAATGATCACTTTTCACTGTCATGCAATTTACTGGCTGTGAACTGCTCAGGTGGAGATGATTAGCATCGCATGCAGATGCATCATATGGCATTTTAAGTGGATATTCACAATACTTGACCATACTGCAATAGCAATAGGAGATGGCTACAAAATTATTACAGTAGTACAGTGTGTACTACAATTAATTTTATGTTTGATTATATTTCCCTTGACTGCGAATGGCACCATGTACGGCCTGTGTTTGTGTGCATAAGTTTTGATTGGTTAACTTTCTGTGATAGGTTTGTGTATATTTATGGTAGTACATGATAAAATAGGCTAGTATCTACAGATATTTTATGCATTCATGATATACCTAACTTTCTCTTAATTTTTTGGTACTTCTGGATTACATGATGAGTTTTTTTCAAATTGTTGCAAATCTCTGAAACAATTTTCAATATGCTTATTGAACAAAATCCACGTATAAATAAACCCATGCAATTCAAACCCAAACTGTGTTGTTCAAGGGTGGCTGTACAAACTTCGCTGCTAGCTTTTAAGTGTACAAATAGCTGCATAAATAACCGATGTGCATCATGACCAGTCATGTCACTTCTTTCAAAGTCTGTTGGTGATAGTTCCCTGCAAATCTGTTCAGTTTATGCAAAGTGTGTAGTTGTGTTGCTTCCTTTTCTCCTAGTGATAAACCCACATGAACTACTTGACAGAATTGAATAATTGAAAGATTATTCAACACAACAAAGATGAATGTGCAACAAAGAAATGAAAAGTGATAGACCTGGAATTGAAATTTGATTAGAATATAAAGGGAAGAAATAGCTGATTGTGGAAATGTTGACCCTGCTGCTATTTAAAACTCTAGCTATGCAGCTAGAACTACTTAGTGAAGGCAAACTTCTCGACTTAAATGAGGAATGTGGTTGTGATGTCCAAGAGAATGTGTGATGTCATTAAAAACGACACATTAAAGGAACTCTTGAAGATATTCATGACAAATAAGCGTAGATATTGGATAAAATGTTGGAAATGGGTCCAAACTTAGAAAGAAATATGATGATTCGCCAAGGGATTAAAAAGATGCTCATTCTGCACCCTAATGTAAATGACAAGAAGAAGGCAGGGAAGCATTGTTCAAACTACTTTTGAAAATTTTTTTTCACAAGGAAATAAAATATTTTGTCTCAGTGTTTATAATGTTTTAATTTAGTACATTAAGCAAATATTAGTTGACTATATCATATCCCTATACATTTATAATAGACAATAAAGGAATTTTTAATGCATAGACAAAAGTATTTATTTTTAATTTTTATTTTGTAGAGATGGGGTCTCACTTTGTTGGCCAGGGTGATCTCAGGAAACTCCTGGGCTCAATCGATTCTCCTACCTTGACCTCCCAAAGTGCAGGGATTACAGTTGTGAGCTCACATGCCTGGCTGACAAAATTTTGGGGGGTCTTATTTTTTAAAAATTTATTTTTTTCTTTTCTCCAAATATGATGTTGGAAACTGCCAAAAATTTTTAAAGGTTACGGGAGAATCATAATTCTCTGTGATTAATCTCTGATTAAGATCAGGTTGCACTGTTTCAGCTTGTATGGTCATTTTTACAGTCCTGTGCTACTGTGCAAAGTGAAGATGATCAGTATTGTTATCTCTGTTTTACAACTGTGGAACCTGAGACTATTAAGTGGTGAAGCTGTGGTTTTTGTTTTTTGACTTCTGAGTTTATGATCTTATTCTCTATTATACTGGTTACCCCTACACAAGATTTTTATATTCTGAGACAGGGTCTTGCGCTGGAGTGGTCTGGAGTGCAGTGGTGCAGTCCCAGCTCACTGTAGCCTTGACCTCGTGTGCTTAAGTGATCCTCCCACTTCAGCCTCCTGAGTAGCTGGGATTACAGGCATGCACCGCCACACTTAGCTAATTAATTTTTTTTTTTTAAATAGAGACAGGTTCTCACTATGTTGCCCAAACTGGTCTCAAACTCCCTGGGCTCAAGTGATCCTCCTGCCTCAGCTTCCCAGAGTGCTGGGATTATAGGTGCTACATAAAATTGAAAATAAAGTAGAAAATAATTCCTTTAGTAGCCCTTGCTTTTCCTCCTGGTAATGGGCCAAATTTTTTTTTTTTTTTGGGAGATGGGGTCTGTCACCCATGCGCTGGAGTGCAGTGGCATGATCGTGGCTCACTGCAACCTTGGCTTCCTGGGCTCAAGCGATCATCCCATCTTAGCCTCCCAAGTAGCTAAGACTATAGGTGAATGCCACCATGCCTGGCTAATTTTTCTTTATTATTTGTAGAGATGAGGTCTCACAATGTTACGTAGGCTGGTCTTGAACTCCTTGTCTCAAGTGGTCCTCCTGCCTGGACTTTTCAAAGTGCTGAGATCACAGATGTGAGCCACCGTGTCTGGTCTCAGGCCAAATTCTTGAAAGAGCAGTCTTATTTATAACTTACTTTATTACCCTTGAAATCTGGTGTGTGCAACTCCCAGAAAGCCACTTGTCTTCTTCGTTGTCTTGTGCTAGCCACATTGGCTTCCTTGGCCTTCCATAATCTTTTTAGATCTTTGACTTGGTGTTCCCTCTACCTGGAATGCTCTTCCTCCAGATAGCCACATTATTCCTGTGATTCCTTTGT